>NC_000015.10:52026874-52651874 GCF_000001405.40 Homo sapiens
ACCCGTCTTTACTAAAATACAAAAAATTAGCTGAGTATGGTGGTGCATACCTGTACTCCCAGCTACTCTGAAGGCCCAGGCAGGAGAATCGCTTGAACCCAGGAGGCGGAGGTTGCAGTGAGCCGAGATCACACCATTGCACTCCAGCCTGGGCGACAGAGCAATACTCTGTCTTGAAAAAAGAAAATGCCTGTCACAGCCGGGCGCGGTGGCTAATGCCTGTAATCCCAGGACTTTGGGAGGCCGAGGCGGGCGGATCACAAGGTCAGGAGTTCAAGACCAGCCTGGCCAGCGTGGTGAAACCCCATCTCTACTAAAAATACGAAAAAACTGGCCATGGTAGCGTATGCCTGTAATCCCAGCTACTCGGGAGGCTGAGACAGAAAAATTGCTTGAACCCAGCAGGCGGAGCTTGCAGTGAGCCGAGATCGTGCCACTGTACTCCAGGCTGGGTGACAGAGCGAGACTCCCTCTCAAAAAAAAAAAAAAAAAAAGAAAATGCCTGTCACATAATAGGTCCTTAGTAGATGTAAGTTACCTACCCTCCCCCTCCTGCTTGGATTTTATAGCCCTCTGTAATTGAGTTTTATGCTTAAGATTCCAATCAGGCTTAATACATATTCTGAGTCTTCATCTCTACCCGTTACTGTAATTTCATGCCTTGCTTTGTTCATGTTGTATCCCATGTAGATTGTGCCATTTGTGCTCTGGATGTCTTCTCTTGACTTTTTTTTTAATCTTAATTTTTTTTTTTTTTTTTATAGGCGGGGTCTCCCTGTGTTGCCCAGGCTGGGCTCAAGCAATCATCCTGACTCGGCCTCAAAAAGTGCTGGGATTACAGGCATGAGCCACTCTGCTCAGCCTGTTGATTTCTCTTTATTTATTTATTTATTTATTTATTTATTTACTGTTTTTTGAGATGGAGTCTCACTCTGTTGGCCAGGTTGGAGTGCAGTGGCACGATCTTGGCTCACTGCAGCCTCTGCGTCCCAGATTCAGGTGATTCTTCTGCCTCAGCCTCTTGAGTAGTTGGGACTGCAGGTGCCCACCACCACGCCCGGCTAATTTTTGTATTTTTTTTTTTTTTTTTTTTTTTTGAGACGGAGTCTCGCTCTGTTGCCCAGGCGGAGTGCAGTGGTGCGATCTCAGCTCACTGCAAGCTCTGCCTCCCAGGTTCACGCCATTCTTCTGCCTCAGCTTTCCGAGTAGCTGGGACTACAGGCGCCTGCCACCACGCCCGGCTAATTTTTTGTATTTTTAGTAGAGACAGGGTTTCACCGTGTTAGCCAGGATGGTCTCGATCTCCTGACCTTGTGATCCGCCCGCCTCGGCCTCCCAAAGTGCTGGGATTACAGGTGTGAACCACCGCGCCCGGCAATTTTTGTATTTTTAGTAGAGACGGATTCGTCTCTGTGTTGACCAGGCTGGTCTTGAACTACTGACCTCAAGTGATTCATCTGCCTTGGCCTCCCAAAGTGCTGGGATTACAGGAGTGAGCCATCGCACCCTGCCAGCCTGTTGACTTCTTAAGGACTTACCTCGTTCTTGCCTACATCATGAATTTTTCCCTTTCTGGATTATCTTTATTAATATGCAGATGTGCTTTAGGGCTGTACTGTCCAGTATGGTAGCTACTAATCAATAGTGCTTTCTGCAATGAAATGTGTGGCTGTTAAAAGAAAAATTTAAAAAATTTAGGTCCTCAGTGATGCTAGTCATATTTCAGTTGTTCAGTAGCCATATATGGTGCTAATGGCTGCTCTATTGGACAGTGCAGATATAGAACATCCCTATCATTGCAGACAACACTATTGGACAGCACTAAGTGTGGCTTCCTTGTTTATAAGCCCTCTCGCCATTCCACATTATTCTCTAGCTACAGCCTCATTTCTCTGATTCTCTTCCAAGCCAGTTTTCAAAAGTTGTCTTTTTGTGCTCTCTCCACTTCCCTTTGCTTCTCAGCCTACTACAGATTGGCCTCCATTCTTACCACTAAAACTACTCTAGTCAAGGTTGCCAGTGGTTTCTATTTACTAAATTAGTCTTACAGGCTCTTGTAGGAGCATTCAATATAGTTGACCACTGTTTTCGGCCTATTCATCTACTTCTCATTTTATGAGACATATGTTCTTGTTTTCCTTCTACTTTACACCTTGTTATACTGTATGCTTTTTTTTGTTTCTGAGACGGAGTCTCGCTGTCGTCCAGGTTGGAGTGCAGTGGCGCAATATTGGCTCACTGCAACCTCCATCTACTGGGTTCAAGTGATTATCCTGCCTCAGCCTCCCCAGTAGCTGGGATTACAGGCGCACACCACCACGCCTGGCTAATTTTTGTATTTTTAGTAGAGATGGGGTTTCACCATGTTGGTCAGGCTGGTCTCGGAACTCCTGACCTCAGCCTCCTTATTACAGGCATAAGCCACTGCACCTAGCTTTGTTTTTTTTTAATTATTAAACAGGCTTCTCTCCTTTACCTGCCTCTAAGTATTGGCATACCTAAGACAGGATAAAACTCCTGGGTTTTTTTTTCACCCTCTTTTTCTAAATTCTTCCCTAGATGGTCTCATTCAACTCATTGTTTTAAATGCCATCTGTATGTGAATAATTCTCATATTTATGTTTCTGGTTTAGACTTCTTGCCTGAGCTCCAGACATATTATCCAACTGCCTTGCTAGACATTACCACTTAGTAACCTAGTAGGCAGTTGTCTAAATATACCTAACATGTCCAAAATAGAACTCTCTTCCATAATATTCTTCCAGTCTTTCTCTCTTCTGTAACTGGCACCTAGGATTTATCCTTGAATCCTGTTTTTCCCTTATCCCCATAGCTAATCCATCATCAAGTTCTTTTGGTCTCCAAAATATCACTTAAATCTGTTTATTCAATTATCTGTTTTACATCTTTATTTCTGCCACCTTAGTCTCAGCCACCATTATGTCACCTGGCTTACTGAAATAGCTCTTAACTGGTCTTTGCTTTTACTCAGCTACCTTCTTCAGACATTCTTCTCCCAGTAACAAGAATCTTCTTTCAGAAATGTAAATGAAATAATGTAGATTGCCTGCTTAAAATGGTTTCATAGTTTTTCTTTGGTCTTAGTTATGAGATTCAGAATCCTGCCTCATGTGTTCCTTCCTTCCTCATTGCTACCTCCTTTCCTTTGCCCTTTGCTGTGGATGCTGTGGCTACACTGGCATTTCTTTTGCTCCAAAATGCCAAGTTTTATCCTGCCTTAGGTTTGTTCAATTTGTTGTTTCCTCTGTTAGGAATGCCCTTCTCCCATCTCTTAGCAGTGCTGGTAGCTTCTTATTCAGGTTTCAGCTCCTCAGAGGGCCATTTCCCAGCTACTAGGCCAAATCTGAATTTGTTAATTAGCTAACATGTTTGTTGGTCTTTCCTTACTAGAATGCGAGCTCTTCGGAAGCAGAAGAACCTTGTCTGTCTTATTCTCTACTATATTGTCAAACAGTGCCTGGCACATGCTAAGTGCTCAGTAAATTTTTGTGGACTGTATAAAATGTTTGATTCCTTTAAATCTCAGAAGGGAAAAACTGCATAATAATTGCATTGTACCCAGTGTAACGTGATTCTGGACTGGGTCCTTTACCTCCCAAGTACATGATTGAGATAATTGCAGAAACTTAAATGGGGCCTGATTATCAGATGGTAGTACTATACCAGCGTTAATTTCTTGATTTTGATGGTTGTGTTTTAGTTATGCAGAAGAAGGCTTTTTTTTTTTTTTTTTTTTTTTTTTTTTTGAGGCAGAGTCTCACTCTGTTGCCCAGGATGAAGGAGTACAGCGGTGCAATCTTGGCTCAGTGCAACCTGCGCTTCCCAGGTTCAAGGGATTCTCCTGCCTCAGCCTCCCGAGTAGCTGGGACTACAGGCGTGTGCCACCATGCCCAGCTAATTTTTTTTTTTTTTTTGAGACAGGCTCTCAGTCTGTTACCCAGGCTGGAATGCAGTGGCGTGATCTCGGCTGACTGCAGTCTCTGCCTCCTGGGTTCAAGCAATTCTCGTGCCTCAGCCTCCTGAGTGGCTGGGATTACAGGCATGTGCCACCATGCCTGGCTCATTTTTTTGTATTTTTAGTAGAGACAGGGTTTCACCATGTTGGTCAGTTTGGTCTTAAACTCTTGACCTCAAAGGATCCACCCGCCTTGGCCTCCCAAAGTGCTGGGATTACAGGTGTGAGCCACCATGCCTGGCCTTAATTTTTGTATTTTTAGTAGAGAGACAGGGTTTCCCCCTGTTGGCCAGGCTGGTCTCAAACTCCTCACTTGAAGTGATCCGCCCACCTTGTCCTCCCAATGTGCCGGGACTACAGGTGTGAGCCACTGCCCCCAGCCAGAAGAAGGTCTTTGTCTATAGGAAATATACTCTACTCAAAAGGTTGGGGAGTGAAGGGAGATATGTACTATACTTGTCAATAAAAAAATAAGTTACAGTGAGAGATAATGGAATTTGGTTTACAAACCTGGTTCAAATCCTGGCTCTCTCATTCATGTGTGATCTTGAATGTGTTTTTTAAGTTCTCTAAAATAAAGATTATATTTTGCCTATTTTGCCTATTGGGAGGATTTAGTGTAAGGGTATATGTCCAACACAATGCTTCACACATAATACAGTCTCAATAAAACCTTGCTTATATTCTTGTAAAATGTTGACCAGGCGTGGTGGCTCACACCTGTAATCCCAGCACTTTGGGTGGCCAAGGTGGGAGGATCGCTGGAGCCCAGGAGTTCAAGACTAGCATAGGCAACATTGGGAAACCTTGTCTCTACCAAGATAATAAAAAATTGAGCCGGGTGTGGCACCTTGCACGGTGGTCATAGCTACTCAGAAGGCTGAGATGGTCCACCCACCTTGAGCAATGGAGGTGGAGGTTGCAATGAGTCATGTTCATGCCACTGCACTTCAGCTTGGGCAAGCGAGATCCTGTCTCAAGATAAATAAAATAAAAATTTCACCATTTTATTTTCATGTTCAGTGCTGTGACTTTCTTTATAATATGAACAAATAATTTTTTTTTTTTGAGGCGGAGTCTCGCTCTGTTGCCCAGGTTGGAGTACAGTGACACGATCTCGGCTCACTGCAAGCCCTGCCTCCCGGGTTCATGCCATTCTTCTGCAGCGCCCACCACCACGTCTGGCTAATTTTTTTTGTATTTTTAGTAGAGATAGGGTTTCACCATGTTAGCCAGGATGGTCTCGATCTCCTGACCTCATGATCCGCCTGCCTCGGCCTCCCAAAGTGCTGGGATTACAGGCGTGAGCCACCGTGCCCAGCCCAACAATTTTTAATTTTTTTTTTTTTTTTTTTTTTTGAGACAGAGTCTTGCTCTGTTGCCAGGCTGGAGTGCAGTGGTGCAATCTCGGCTCACTGCAACCTCCGACTCCCTGGTTTAAGCGATTCTCCTGCCTCAGCCTCCCGAATAGCTGGGATTACAGTCATGTGCCACCATGCTCAGCTAATTTTGTATTTTTCATAGAGATGGGGTTTCTCCATTTTGGCCAGGCTGGTCTTGAACTCCCAGCCTCAGGTGATCCATCTGCCTTGGCCTCCCAAAGTGCTGGGATTACAGGCGTGAGCCACTGTGCCTGGCCGTGGATAGATATTTTTAATAGACTTTTTATATTTTCGAGATATTTACCCTTTCTGAGTTTTTTATTCCTCTCTGTAGATCTGGGGTTAGTTACATTTGGTGTATTTTTCTTTCATCCTAAAAGACTTCTTTTAGCATTTCTTGAAGTGAAAGTCTGCTGGAGACAGATTTCTATCCAGTTTTTTTAAATACTTTTTTTCTTTTTTTGTTTTTGACACGGACTTTCGCTCTTGTTGCCCAGGCTGGAGTGCAGTGGCACAATCTCGGCTCACTGCAACCTCCGCCTCCCAAGTTCAAGTGATTCTCCTGCCTCAACCTCCCTAGCAGCTGGGATTACAGGCATGCGCCACCACACCCAGCTAATTCTGTATTTTTAGTAGAGATAGGGGTTTCTCCATGTTGGTCAGGCTGGTCTCAAACTCCTGACTTCAGGTGATCTGCCCGCTTCAGCCTCCCAAAGTGCTGGGGTTACAGGCGTGAGCCACCGCGCCCGGCCTCCTTTTTTTTAATGGAGACAGGGTCTCACTATGTTGGTCAGGCTGGTCTTGAACTCAAGTGATTATCCCACCTCACTTCCTGAGAAGTAACTGGGATTACAGGCATAAGCCACGGCACCTGGCATCTTTCTACTTTTGTCTTTTCTTTGAAAAGGTCTTTTGAAGGTTATTTCTCTTAGATACAGAATTCTGGTGTGATGGTTAGTATTAAGTGTCAACTTGATTGGATTGAAGGATGCCTAGGTAGCTGGTAAAGTATTGTTTTTGGGTGTGTCTGTCAGGGTGTTGCCAGAGGAGACTGACCTTTGAGTCAGTGGACTGGGAGAGGAAAACCCACCCTCATCAGTGTGGGTGGGCACCATCCAATTGGCTGCCACCGAGGCTAGAACAAAGCAGGTGGAAGAAGATGGGATAAGCTGGCTTGCTAAGTCTTTTGGCTTTCATTTTTCATCCGTCCTGGATGCTTCCTTCTGTTCCTCCTGCCCTTGAACATCAGACTCCAGATTGTTTGGGCTTTGGACTCTTGACTTAGACCAGTGGTCTGTCGGGGGTTCTCCAGCCTTCAGCCACAGATTGAAGGCTGCACTGTTAGCCTCCCTGCTTTTGAGACTTTTGGACTCAGATTGAGCCACTACTGGCTTATTTCTTCCCCAGCTTGCAGACGGCTTGACGTGGGACTTCTTCGCCTTGTTATTGTGTGAGCCAGTTCTCCCTAATAAGCTCCCTTTCATATATACATAAAACTTATTATTTCTGTCCCTGTGGAGAAGTGTGACTAATACATCTGGGTTAATAGGCTTTGTTTTTTATTTTATTTTTTCCTTATTTTCTTTTTGGGTTGATAGTTTTTTTTTTCTTTTGGTACTTAAAACATATTCTATTGTCTTCTGTTTTTCATTGTTTCTAGTGATAAATCAGCTATCATTCTTATTATTCTTCTCCAGTATATACTTTATCTCTTTTCCCTGGTTGCTTTTTTGTTTTTTGTTTCTTTTTTTCCTGGTTGCTTTTTTTTTGGATATTGAGTTTTGCTCTTGTTGCCCAGGCTAGAGTACAGTGGTGTGATCTCGGCTCACTGCAACCTCTGCCTCCCGGGTTCAAGCGATTCTCCCGCCTCAGCCTCCTGAGTAGCTGGGATTAAAGGCATGCACCACCACGCCCAACTAATTTTGTATTTTTGGTAGAGACAGAGTTTCACCATGTTCGCCAGGCTGGTTTCAAACTCCTCACCTCAGGTGATCCGCCCGCCTCAGCCTCCCAAAGTGCTGGGATTATAGGCGTGAGCCACCATGCCCGGACTCCTGGTTGCTTTTAAGAATCATTCTTTTTTGTCGTTCGTTTTTTTTTTGAGACAGTCTCGCTCTGTTACCCATACTGGAGCACGATGGCTGATCTCGGCTCATGGCAACCTCTGCCTCCCGGGTTCAAGCAGTCCTCCCACCTCAACCCCCCAAGTAGCTGGGACAGGCGCATGCCACCATGCCTGGCTCATTTTTGTGTTTTTTGTAGAGACGGGGTTTCACCATGTTGCCCAGGCTGGTCTCAAACTCTTGAGCTCAGGCTGCCTGCCTCGGCCCCCCAAAGTGCTAGGATTACAGGCATGAGCCACTGTGCCCTGGCGAAGAGTTGTTCTTTCTCTTCCTTCCTTCACTTTTCTTCACTTTTCTTTTTGTTTTCAACAATTTCACTCTGTGCGTAGGTATTTTTGTTTGTTTGTCTGTTTGTTTATTGAGATGGAATCTTCCTCTGTTGCCCAGGCTGGAGTGCAGTGGTGTGATCTCAGCTCACTACAACCTCCTCCTCCCGGGTTCAAGTGATTCTCCTGCTTCAGCCTCCCAAGTACCTGGGAGTACAGGTGTGCACCACCACGCCCGGCTAATGTTTGTGTTTTTAGTAGAAACGCGGTTTCACCATGTTGGTCAGGCTGGTCTTGAACTCCCAGACTCAAGTGATCTGCTTGCTGGCCTCAGCCTCCCAAAGTGCTGGAATTGCAGGCATGAGCCACTGCGCCTGGCCTTGTTATCTCTTCATATGCTCCTGCTTTACTGAACCTTTGAGCTCTGCTTTTTAGTCTAGATTCTGGTTCTTTGGACTGCTGGGAAATTCTCTTTGCTTTCTAGTCTCATCCAAGATTTTCCTTATCTCTTGATTTTGCCCTAATTCTTTGACTCGGCCTTAGGAGGAATATCTGTCTTACATTCTTTGAAGACTCAGAATGTCTCAGAGGTGTTTATTCCATGCTTCCTGTCTTGATCCCCTTCTACAGAGAGGGCCGCTGCCTTGAACATGGTAGAGGCTCTTTTCTTCATGGGATTCTCTCTGCTTTTCTGCCTTGCCCTCAGACTTGGACACATTCAAAACCCATAGGGGGCCGGGCAGTGGCTCACGCCTGTAATCCCACCGCTTTGGGAGGCCGAGGCGGGTGGATCTCGTGAGGTCAGGAGTTTGAGACCAGCCTGGCCAATATGGTGAAACTAAAAATACAAAAATTAGCCAGGTGTGGCGGTACACGCCTGTAGTCCCAGCTACTTTGGAGGCTGAGGCAGAAGAATCGCTTGAACCCGGGAAGCGGAGGTTGCAGAGAGCCGAGGTCACACCACTGCACTCCAGCCTGGGTGACAGAGCGAGACACCATCTTAAAAAAAAAAAAAAAAGAAAAGAAAAAATCCATAGGGAAGAGTTGGCAGTTGGGGCTTATAGTTGGGCCTCCTCCAGATTCTCTAATATTTTATCTGAGTCCACATGCAACCATTAAAATTAAGTTCGTTATTTGGCTGGTTTCTCCTTAATCCTGTCAGTGGATTCCTGGTTCTGCCACTTTGCCAGGAATGAGAATAGCCATGGTCTCTTCCCTTCTAAAGGGTTTGACTTTTTCTCTGATTTAGCTTATTTATTATTTAGATTTCTTTACATGCTTAGCTCTCTGATTTTTTTTTTCCTTAAACTATGATTTTTGTAGCTTATCCAGCTTGTTGCAGTTTATAGAGTGAGGCTTGGTATCTTGCAACTTTGAGCATTCTAGTCAGAAGTGGAAATCCTGAGCCTTTTGTTAGAATTACAAAATTTGAGAGCTGGAAGAGACCATAGAAATCAAGTAGTTTAAGCCAGGTGGGGTGGTGTGCGCCTGTACTCCTAACTACTACCTGGCTCTGCCTGGGTGACAGGGCAAGACCTTGTCTCTTAAAAAAGAAGAAATCCTGTAGCTTAGCCACTTTGTTTTCCTGATGAGGAACTGAGACATAAAAATGTGAAATTCTTTGACTACACAGCTGATGTAGCCACAGATCCTGGAGTAGACCCCAGATCTTTAAACTTATGGTTTATTTCCTTTAATATAAGCTGTCCCTCTTGGTTTCATGTTGCTAAAACAACACCTGAGACTGGGTAATTTATAAAGAAGAGAAATTTATTTCTTACAGTTCTGGAGGCTTGGCAGTCTGATACCATGGTGCCGGCATCTGGTGAGGGTCTCCTTTCTGCATCAGCCCATGGTATAAGAGAAAGAGAGGGCCAAATTTGCTTTTATAATAGGCCCACTCCCACAATAATGACATTAACCCATCTGCTTCTTACTAGTGATTAATAATCACCACTTATTAGGCCCCACCTCCTAACACTTGCATTGAGGATTAAGCTTCCAACCCATGAACTTTGGGGGACACATTCAAAGCATGGCACGGGCCTAGTGAAAGACTGGACTCTTTCAGTAGGGCCAAATTCTTGTATGGATCTGATAGCAAACCAACTTAAAATTTTGTTTTTAAATCTCGCAAGCTTTCTTTTTTTCTTCCTTTCTTTCCTTCCTTCCTTTTTCTTTCCTTTCTTTCCCTCCCCTCCTCTCCCCTCCCCTCCCCTTTTTTTGTGAAAGCAGGTTTATTAAGAAAGTAAAGGAATAAAAGAATGGCTACTCCATAGGCAGGGCAGCCAAATCTTGTAAGCCTTCTTCAGTTTGGAGAAAATGAGAAATAAAGAGGAAGGATATTCCAAAAAAATAACATGCCATTCTGAATTGTTTTTAAAAATTAGGGAATTGGCCAGATGCGGGGCTGATCTGTAATTCCAGCACTTTGGAAGACTTAGGTGGGAGGATCACTTGAGGCCGGGAGTTCAAGACCAGCCTGGGTAACATAGTGAGACCCCATTTCTACAAAAAGAAAAAGAAAAAAAAGTTGAACGTGGTGTGTGCCTATAGTCCCAGCTACTCAGGAGGCTTAGTGGGAGAATTGTTTGAGGCAACAGAGTGAGACCCTGTCTCTTAAAGAGAATCTCCAAGTAAGCATATGGTTCTCTCCATTTGAGAGTCCAGAGATGTTTTATATGGCCTTGCATAATGTGACCTTCTTCAGACCCTCACCAGAGTTAGCTCAAAAACAACAGCAGTCACGTTTGATCTGTAGTCTGAAAAGCTGTGGTGCTAAACCCTGCTAGGATGGACTGAAGAATAGTGTCAAGGTCTTGCATATCTTCATTATACCTTCTTTGGTATTACATGGGCTGATAGGACTTTTTAGAGTCCTGCTTGACTGATTATATAGGATGCTATTTCAGTGGCACAGTCCCTCCCCATCACCTCAACAAGATAAGATGAGAGCTGTAACAAAGCTGAAGTGTTTCATTTCTTCATTCTGAGTGGGTTGAAACCAGCTGCCTTCTTCATGTTGTTGGCAGACCTGTGCATTCGCATAGAGTGAGGGTCCTGGTGGAATGCCTGGAAAGGAAAATACCATATCTGGGAATCTTCACTGATGTTTTCTAGTGGTAGATCAGAATGTGATCAGATTCTGAAAAATTCGAGGATAGGACTTCCCTTCTCCAAAGCTTTCTACTCACGTAGAATATGCTATTTACATTGATTCATTCAGTACATATTTTAGGGTACCTACTAATTACCAGGTACTATGCTTAGGAAATGTCCCCAAAGCTACTTAGTCCCAAACCTTTTATCATAGACAAAGCCACAGAAAAAAGGAGGGGAATGGTGCCCTGGAAAATGAAGAGTAGAGGTTCTGAAGAATCACATTAGATTAGGTTGGGGGAGGATGGCAAAAGAAAAGGGAGTGAAAATGTTATTAGAAAGAGGAGAAAGAAAAGTGAAATGTTAGATAGGGAGGAATCCACTACATGCCCCTGTGCTCCAGGAGTAATAATGTGTTCCTTTGAGCTCAAGATTGAAAAAAAAAAAAAAATTGACCTCTGCTATAGCTTAATGCCTAAAACAATGCCTGGCACATGGTAAGCATTCAGTAAAATGTTGAATGAAACGTAATGGATGGATGGGAGGGTTGAATCTGTTTAGTCTGTTTAAAAGATGTTTTAAAAACATCTTGGTTCATTCTGCTTCTGGGCCCATGTTGGGATTGCATTTACCCACTCCCTTGGGTATACGTATGACCATGTGACCTACTTTAGTCAGTAAAATGTGAGAAGTGAATGGTGTCACTTTTGGATGGAAGCTTTTTTGCCAGTGAGATAGTCTTACTTTTCTCTGCTACATTGCATGTAATTGGTAGAGATGGTGGGTACTTTAGCAGCTTGGCTGACAGCTACGTTGAACTTGTGGCATGAGCAAGACTTAGATTTTTGGGGGCCATCTATTATCCTGACTGCTTTGAAAATTTATATTTTCATCTAGTTAGAATCCTCAGGTGTCCAAAGGTGCTTGAAGAAAGAGGCTGTGCACATGTCTCCTGTCCTATATTTGCTCCAATATTTCTTTAATGTTAGTTAGGTTAGGAATCTTAGAATAAAGCCTCCTGCCGGGAGGAAGATAAGAAATGGGATCAAGCGTTATTATAATTATTTAAAAATTTCCAGCCGTAAGTTTGTAGAAGGGATTATATTTGTTTAGTATACAGCAATTTGAATAACATCTCTCCCATTCTGAGCATACCACCACAGGGCTTGGGAATAAAACTAAAGAAATATAAGACTTGTAAATCATAGACTTAGAATTGGAAGAGTCTATAGGGATGTTATTACTAGTTTATCTGGTCTATGAATTTTTGAATTTCTAATATGAATGGGTTACAGTAAATCTGTAACTAGGAGATGGAGTCTCCCTCTGTCCCTCAGGCTGAAGTGCAGTGGCACGATCTTGGCTCACTGCAACCTCCACCTCCCAGGTTCAAGCGATTCTCCTGCCTCAGCTCCTGAGTAGCTGATTACAGCAGTGCACCACCATGCCAAGCTAATTTTTGTATTTTTAGTAGAGATGGAGTTTGACCATGTTGGTCAGGCTGGTCGCAGGTGATCCACCCGCCTTGGCCTCCCAAAGTGCATGAGCCACCACGCCTGGCTGTAACTAGACTTACTAGTTGTAATCTGGTTACAGATTTACTGTAAGTCATCCATACTGGAAAATAACAACTAGAGATAAGCAACAAAATAAACATAATGGCATGTGCTTTACAATGGCTTTTTAAATGGCCAAAGGCAAATGAAAGCCCCTAATGTTAAAATGCATGTAGGCAAGGGCTTAAACAATTTAAGAACACAAATTGGTAGTAGTAGGTGAGTGTTTTGTCTTTTTTTTTTTTTTTTTTTTTTTGAAGACAGGGTCTCACTCTGTTGCCCAAGCTGGAGTGCAGTGGTGTGATCTCAGCTCACTGCAGCGTCCGCCTCCCAGGTTCAAGCGATTCTCCAACCTCAGCCTCCTGAGTAGCTGGGATTACAGGTGTGAGCCACGACACCTGGCTAGTTTTTGTATTGTTAGTAGAGACAGGGGTTTTACCATGTTGGCCAGGCTGGTCTCCAACTCCTGGCCTCAGGTGTTCTGCCCACCTTGGACTCCCAAAGTGCTAGGATTACAAGTGTGAGCCACCACGCCCAGCCTGTTTTGTCTTTAAATTGGATACTTTGTTACTGTCTTCTCTGACTTTGAAAGTTTGTCTCTGTAGATAAGCATAGTTACTGATACTACCCAAAGCCTTTCAGACTTTGGCATTTTAGATTTAAGGTCCCATGTCTTTTCCCAGGTTCCTAAGATTATTTGTTGTTAATAGTTTATACTCCCAGCCTCCTTGATGTCCAAATCCTGAAAGGGCCCCTGATAACTCTTATGGCCGCCCACCATACATTAGGAGCAAGGGCTTTGTCAAAAATGCAGTGAGCAAGCAGCTAAGCTGTAGCACTTGGCCTTCTCTGCCCGAAAATCTTAGTAGCTTTGATGAGAGCTTGAGACATGATCTCAGGGAAGGGTGAATTTGCTACAGCTACATTTATCTGTGCCAGGGTTAGGAGATAGCCCTAGGTGAATATAAGAAAAGCTCAACCTTTCCCTTCTGTCCAAAAGCAACTGGGTTTTGGCTGAGGAGATGTGAGGCTGGCTAGGTTCCTGTTAACTCAAATTACTCACTTGACTATGGAGAAGAGCAAAATAAGAGCCTTTGTGGAGAGGGGATGGGGGAAGTGCTGTGCTGTCAGTGAATGTGAACAGGCCAGATGACCCATGTCAGCATTTATCCTGAGAAGCAGCAGAGCAGAAGGTTGAGGAGAAAACCAGAAAAAGTAACCTTTATGTTTATGGCCCTTACTTCAAACTTTCTTTGCACATCTAGACTTCCTTTTTGACATAAGTAGGCCAAGTTGCTCCTTGATAAGAAAAAAAGAAAATTCTGGCGAGATAGGACAAAGTAAAGTTACTTCTTTTGTTTGCATTTCATTACTTTATACACTTAGGCTTGACTCCCAGTACCAGCATTACTCTTGGTGTGGGGGTAGACCAGCTGACAGGGAGCAGGAGGTAATGTAGCAAAGAGAGCAGTGCTTGAGCAGACAGTTGTGGCTAATGCAGTTTCAGGGAACTGCCTTATAAACTTAGGAAGCTGGTATCCAGCCTGCATTATAAAGAGCTTTTAATTCCATGACATGGTAGATCACTGAAAGAAAGCCAAAGAAAAAGCAAAAAGCCAACTTTTATTCTTATAAATTATTCTCTTTACTTCATTTTATTCACCAAATTTTTAAAAACAAAACAATATCGAACCAGCTAATTAAACTTAATGATCACTCCCCAAACAACCCAGAATCAGCAATGGTTGGTAGGAATGGGTAACATTTATTTGGAAGCAGAGAAATTGGAAAGATGCTGGAAAGGGTCCCTTTATGTTACCTTCCTTTTTACTGCCTTGTTGAAGTGTGTAGAACGTGTAAAAAGAATATGGAGCCCCAGTTTTTTCCTGGGTCTAAGCTTTAAACTTTGTTTTTTTGTTTTTTTGTTTTTTTGTTTTGAGATGGAATTTTGCTCTTGTTGCTCAGGCTAGAGTGCAATGGCGCGATCTCGGCTCACAGCGACCTCCACCTCCTGGGTTCAAGCCATTCTCCTGCCTCAGCCTCTGGAGTAGCTGGGATTACAGACATGCGCCACCACGCCCAGCTAATTTTGTATTTTTAGTAGAGATGGGGTTTCTCCACGTTGATCAGGCTGGTCTCGAACTCTGGACCTCAGGTGATCTGCCCGCCTCAGCCTCCCAAAATGCTGGGATTACAGGCGTGAGCCACCGCGCCCGGCCTTAACTTTGCCTTTATGAAATTAAGCATGAAAGATGGTGGAGATAATGGCAATTAATAGTACACTGATGTGGATAGAGGATGCAGTGACCATCTGCTGGTCCAACTGAGTTTTATATATGCTTTAGTCAGGCCAAGGAGCTCCGTGATTGATGTGAAAGTTGGAGGTAGTTAGAGAGATCAGAATTTGGAATATACCTGCCCTAAGAGTTAAGGTGATAAGGAGGGAACAGTTTTCTTTCTAAGGTCACTAGGAGAGCATGAGAGGCCTCTGCCTTTTTTATGGCTACCAGGCACACACATCTTGACTTTCTTAATTAGGTCAGACCCCCAGTGTGCAGATTCTCAGTAGTATCTTGTAGCATTCCTTGGTACCACTTGTCCTTTCTTCATTTCTTTGTTTACTTTTCTTTTTAAAAAAATTGTTTGTCTCTAGTCACATGATAAACTCCATGAGGGCAGAGCCCAAGTCTCTCTTTACTCACCATTTTATCCCCATTGCCAAGAGATTGACTGACACAAATACTTATCAAATACCAAATAATGGAACGTGACTGAATTGGAAACACTTATTGGATCCACTGTATGATATAGAGGTACAGCATTACTCGCAGCTTACTAATTAAGGTGGGTCTGCTTTCCAAGATCCTGGCTGAAAAGGCACTCTAGCAGCATTTGGTCTAATGGATAGTGAAGGATCTTGAAGACTACTACTCACAGAGCAGTGACGCAGAATCACTGAACAAGCACTGCCATTGTAAATCTTTTTCTCCCCCAGATGTTTAACTGGTATAATCCTCATTGTCTAGTGGAATTACAGTTTGTTTTATAAATACTACCTTCTCTTGTTACAATGTATAGTCTTCATCATCTGAGCACATAGTGATGACTCTGCAGTTCTCAGTGTAGGCAAAGCTCCTACCTTCCCTAGTATCACTTTTTACCCACTCTTACCTCGTTAAGTGCTGACCAGTCACTGAGAATTCTGAAAAGGCACTCGCATCCTTGAAGTTTCTAGTTTGTGAGGCTTGGTCTCAATAAAATTTAAGGGGGGCAGATGTGGATGGGGGTCTTGAGTAAGGATCTCTCATTTTCATGGCTTTCCTAATCTGGCTACAACTCCTACTATAGTGCTATTCTGTCAGATAACAGTGGTGTAATTTTTGACAAAGCATTATTTGTGCTTGACTAGATTGCTGTGAACTAGAAGTTTGAGAGAGAACTTGGAGATCTTACTGTTCTCATTTCATTTGTCTATAGAACTGACTTTACAGTGTACATTTATCAGAAATGTAAAACATGACTGAGCTTTAAGGAATTGTCTACGTTAAGGCAAGAAGGTAAGCGTGAACAAGCATTCTATTTCAGGTAGAGACTAGAGATGTAAAATTTAGGAAATAATGGAGCCTTTGAGAAATACTGGTTTTCTTGACCAGCCTGGGAAACATAGTGAAACCCCGTCTCTTCAAAAAATACAAAAATTAGCCAGGTGTGGTGACTCCTGCCTGTAGTCCCAGCTACTTGGGGGGCTGAGGGGCTGAGGTGGGAGGATTGCTTGAGCCCAGAATGCAGAGGTTGCAGTGAGTGGTGATCACGCCACTACACTCTGGCCTGGATGACAGAGCAATACCCTGTCTCAAAAAACAAACAAACTGGTTTTCCTAGGGTATTTAGTGGGGAGCGAGCAGGAAGAATCAAGATGTGTACAAACAGAAAAAACTTGGTGGGAGGGAGACATGCAGTATTAAAGCCCTTTTTAAAAATCTGAAACTTTTTTACCAATACAAAAATTATTTTTATTTTTTATTTATTCATTTTTTTTGAGACGGAATCTTGCTCTTTTGCCCAGGCTGGAGTGCAGTGGCGTGATCTCACCTCACTGCAACCTCCACCTCCCAGGTCCAAGCGATTCTCTTGCCTCAGCCTCCCGAGTAGCTGGGATTACAGGCACCTATCACCACGCTGGGCTGATTTTTGTATTTTTAGTAGAGACGGGGTTTCTCCATGTTGGTAGGCTGATCTCGAACTCACGACCTGAGGAGATCCACCTGCCTTGGCCTCCCAAAGTGCTGGGATTACAGGCGTGAGCCACCGCGCCTGGCCACAAAAATTTATTTTTATTACTTATTTCCACTATCACATGAGCTAGATCATATAACAACATTGAAAATCCACTGGCTAAAGACCAAAGACAGACTAATGGCTCAGCTAGATAATAGCAAATGATATGTTGGACTTAAGTTGTTTGATTTTTTTTTTTTTTTTTTTTTTTTTTTTTTTTTTGAGGCAGAGTCTCGCTGTGTCCCCCAGGCTGGAGTGCAATGGCAGGATCTCGGCTCACTGCAACCTCTACCTCCCTGCAACCTCTACCTACCTGGTTCAAGCGATTATCCAGCCTTACCCTCCTGAGTAGCTGGGACTACAGGCATGCGCCACCACGCCTGGCTACTTTTTGTATTTTTAGTAGAGACGGGGTTTCACCATATTGGCCAGGCTGGTCTTGAACTCCTGACTTCGTGATCTGCCTGCCTCGGCTTCCCAAAGTGTTGGGATTACAGGCGTGAGCCACCGTGTCCGGCCTTGAGATATTTTTTTAATTCAAAAGTTTATTCACAAACTTCAACTTTTAAGTGTTTTATTACAGATAGACTGGTAAGCTACAGAATTTTTAGGACTTTTTTTTTGGGGGGGCGGGCTAGGAGGGCTGATTTCTGAGAAGCAGAGAAAAACTTGTAGACAGGAGAAGCCGTTTCTGTTACAGTAAAATAAAGCTATTATACTATTAGTATCCTTCATGATATTAAGCAGATACAAGACCCGTTCTTATTTATTAAAAGAACTGAGGGATATAGTAAGTATCAGTTTTTATTAAAGCTGTCTTTCTCCTATTGGACAATGAGTTGCGTTTACTGAGGGCCAGAATCCTTTTGCTCATATCAGGTTTGCTCCTGCCTAGCATATAGTAGTTGCTCAATATATGTTTATATATTAAACGAATAAATTGGTGGCTTTATTCTTTCTGCCTAAAATATTGTCTGGTCTTATTTGTTAGGAATTCTGACCACCTGATTTTCCATAATGCCTCATATCTGGTATTCTGGGTACTCTGCAATTAGGCCATTAAGAAACTGAAAGAACCAAGTTGCATTTTTTTTTTTCCAGGCTGGCTAGGGAACCATCTACTGGAGTTGAGGCTATTTTTTCCTGCCCTTTTATAGGATATTTTTTAAAGTATGAAATATTTTAAGTGTACAGAGATCAATATAATGAACCTTCATATACATACCACCCAGCTCTATAAGATTCTAGTAATCTGCCATGTTTGTTATTTTAAAATAAATAACACATTAAAACGCAGATAAATGATTCTGGTCTCTTTCCTTAATCTCCGGGTAATCATTATGAATTTGGTATTTGTCTCATTTTTTTTTCCTTTTTTTTTTTTTTTTAGTTTTGCAATATACATATGTACTTACCAAAAAAAACTATTTTGCATGCATATAACTACTTATCTGTTCTCCTATTTTATGAAGTTGAGGTTGTTTCTAATTTTCTTTACCAAAAAAAAATGAGCATTTCTCTAGGGAGTTTACTGTGAAGAAAAATGGCCGGGTCATAGAGTACGCTATTTATTTATTCATTTATATGTTTATGCCAAATTGCTCTGAAGTTTTTACTAATTTAAACTCCAACCACTATTGTGTGAAAGTTTGTTTTTCTACACTCCTCAGACTTGACATTAACAGAGATGCATGTTTTTTCAATCTGAAATGTTCTCTTAAGGTAATCTTTTCCTATCAGTCACATTAAATACCTTTTCATAGGTATTATTCATTGTTCAAGTTTACTCTTATAAGTTGAAGAACATTATTTGCATATTTGTGCTGTTAGATTTTTGTTCATTGGATATTGATAGGCATAGTTAATAAGTAAACATGCTTTTTAACAAACTAACACATTGCAGGCTTCTTCTATATTCTTTTAGATATTTAGATAGATGTTACTAACGTTTTACCCCTCACAAAACTCAAGTTCTATAAAAATATTATGAACCTTCCCATACTTGTTGGCATTTCAGAAATGGTACAACCTAATGAGCCTGTTACCAAGAATCTAGTGTAGTGAAATCTGGAGCCCGGGCCAACGTGTGTGAATTGCTGATAACATTTTTGTAAGCTATTTTTGATTAAGGGTAATTTGTCACTTAATGACCATAATTAAGTTTAATGTACCAGTAGTAGTTTATTGCTAAATGCCTACTTTGTGTCATACTACAAATTTGAAGAAAAGAGTATTTCCTGCAATGGTGACTCTCTTCTTTTTCTCATCCCCCCAGGTTGTATCAGAGTAAGATGGACGGTAGCTTTGATTGTGATTGTGGTGAGCTGGAGCCACCTGATCACTAACAAAAGACATCTTCTGTTAACCAACAGCCGCCAGGGCTTCCTGTTGAAATAAATATATAGCAACAAAGGAAAAAAAGAAGCAAAACGGAAATAGTGCTTACCAGCACCTTAGAATGATGCTGCTCAGGACCAGTCCAACACTGAATGTATCTGCACTGTGAGGAGAATGTTCATAGAAGCCTGTTGTGTGCATATTTATTCACATTTTTGTTAAATGTTAAATCGTTTAGCACGGTAATCTGAGTGCACAGTATGTCATTTCATTCCGTTTGAGTTTCTTGTTTTCGTTAAATGTCTGCAGAGTTGCTGCCCCTTTCTTGAACTATGAGTACTGCAATCTTTTTAATTCTCAATATGAATAGAGCTTTTTGAGCTTTAAATCTAAGGGGAACTCGACAGGCCTGTTTGGCATATGCAATGAACATCAAGAAACCATCTTGCTGTGGAAGCATAATTATTTTTCTTCTCCCTTTTTGAAAGATCTTTCCTTTTGATGCCAGTTTTCTTCCTTGTTTACACAAGTTCAATTTGAAAGGAAAAGGCAATAGTAAGGGTTTCAAAATGGCAGAGAAATTTGAAAGTCTCATGAACATTCATGGTTTTGATCTGGGTTCTAGGTATATGGACTTAAAACCATTGGGTTGTGGAGGCAATGGCTTGGTTTTTTCTGCTGTAGACAATGACTGTGACAAAAGAGTAGCCATCAAGAAAATTGTCCTTACTGATCCCCAGAGTGTCAAACATGCTCTACGTGAAATCAAAATTATTAGAAGACTTGACCATGATAACATTGTGAAAGTGTTTGAGATTCTTGGTCCCAGTGGAAGCCAATTAACAGACGATGTGGGCTCTCTTACGGAACTGAACAGTGTTTACATTGTTCAGGAGTACATGGAGACAGACTTGGCTAATGTGCTGGAGCAGGGCCCTTTACTGGAAGAGCATGCCAGGCTTTTCATGTATCAGCTGCTACGGGGGCTCAAGTATATTCACTCTGCAAATGTACTGCACAGAGATCTCAAACCAGCTAATCTTTTCATTAATACGGAAGACTTGGTGCTGAAGATAGGTGACTTTGGTCTTGCACGGATCATGGATCCTCATTATTCCCATAAGGTATGTATAGAAAGCCAGCTGAGACAGATCTTTAAACTGATACACCTAATCAGGAATAGGTACTTATATTTTCTTTGTATATTGTGGCAGAATTTTTAATCTTATTAAACTTTACATAGTGCCTTTTTTCTGAAACAAGTCTCTCTGTTTGAAATGAAGGTGGAGTGGGATAATTAAATACAAATTTCTAAAAATACATGGTTATTATAATGAAATTTTAAAGTGTATGGTTATTTATTATAAATGAAATTCTCCCTTAGTTATTTAAAAGTGGAATATACTCTTCTTTCTTTGGGACAGAATTGTGGTAAGAGGGGATGCTATTTCAACTTTAGGTCTTTTGTTTTTGAGACAGAGTCTCACTCTGTCACAAAGGGTAGAGTGCTGTGGCGCCATCTCGGCTCACTGCAACCTTCATCCCCTGGATTCAAGCGATTCTTGTACCTCAGCCTCCCAAGTAGCTGGGATTACAGGTGCGTGCCATCATGCCCAGCTAATTTTTTTGTATTTTTAGTAGACAGGGTTTCACCGTGTTGGCCAGGCTGGTCTTGAACTCCTAGCCTCCAGTGATCTGCCTGCGTCAGCCTCCCAAAATGCTAGGATTACAGGTGTGAGCCCCCATGCCCAGCCTTTTTTTTTTTTTTTTTAAGTTTTTAGTGACAAGATCTTGCTGTGTTGCTCAGGCTGGTGTCAAACTTCTGGGCTCAAGTGATCCTCTGGCCTCAGCCTCCTGAATAGCTGAGGCTAAAGGTGCATGCCAGCACACCCAAGCTTATGTCTTCTTTTGTCTCTTTGAGCCTGTACTATTCAGTTCTGCTTTGTTTAAACTAAATTTAGCTTGAAATCTAAATTCACATAAACAATTGGTAATAAGTATAGCCAAAAAGATCTCACAGCAACTTCGTCTTAGATAGCAAATTGCCTTCATACAAGAATTTAATATTTTTCAAGCTGAACCTTGGTCTTTTAGTTTGGAAATGAAATCTTATGTGGGACCCTGATGTTTAAATTAGAGAGGTGGAGCTGCTTTGGTTGTAAAGAACCCCTGGGAGCCCTGCTTTGTTAGCTTTCCACAGTACATGCCTAAGACAAATCTTCATACATGTTGTTTCACGTTAAGATTATTTTTATTTTTATTTATTTATTTTTTTGAGACTGAGTTGTGCTCTTGTCACCAAGGCTGGAGTGCAATAGTGTGATCTCAGCTCATT
Source organism: Homo sapiens (assembly GCF_000001405.40). Lineage (NCBI taxonomy): Eukaryota > Metazoa > Chordata > Mammalia > Primates > Hominidae > Homo > Homo sapiens. Next base: position 52,048,227 of record NC_000015.10, read on the forward strand.
GCAACCTCCGCCTCCTGGGTTCAAGCAGTTCTCCTGCCTCAGCCTCCCAAGTAGCTGGGATTACAGGCGCCCGCCACCACGCCCAGCCCACATTAAGGTATTTTTACTTGGGCCAGGTACAGTGGCTCACACCTGTAATCTCAGCACTTTGGGAGGCTGAGGCAGGCGGATCACCTGAGGTCAGGAGTTTGAGACCAGCCTGACAACATGGTGAAACCCTGTCTCTCCTAAAAATACAAAATTAGCTGTGCCTGGTGGTGCATGTCTGTAATTCCAGCTACTCGGGAGGCTGAAGCAGGAGAATCCAGGAGGTGGAGGTTGCAAAGAGCTGAGATTGCGCCAATGCACTCCAGCCTGGGCAACAGGAGCAAAACTCCATTTCCAAACAAAAAAGATATTTTGTAGAAAATGAGTTCTAGGCTGGAAGCGCGGTGGCCCCTGCCTGTAATCTCAGCACTTTAGGAGGCCGGGGCAGGAGGATCACTTGAGGCCAGGAGTTTGAGACCAACCTGCGCAGTGGCTCCTGCCTGTAATCTCAGCACTTTAGGAGGCCGGGGCAGGAGGATCACTTGAGGCCAGGAGTTTGAGACCAACCTGGGCAACACAGACAACTTTTTTTTCCTAGAGAAAAAGAAAAAGAGATGAGTATTACACTGACGACGTCCACAGTGAAATATTGTGGGTAGAGCACTGTATCCACAGTGAAGTATTGTGGATAGAGCACTGAACTAATAAGACTTATACTATATAAAATTGACTCCATTTCTACATCCAACTAGCTATATGACTTGAAGCAGATCTCACTCTCTCAGTCATCACACCTATAAAATGGAGTTAATATCTACCATCACAATCTCTCAGGGTAGTTTTGAGGATGAAATAAGGCAATATATGTGTAAGGTTTTGTAAGGTGCTTTGTAATTGTAAAGTAGTTGAATAGGTGATGAATAGGATTTATAGTAGAGGTCATTAAGGAGGTAGACATTGGTTTATAAGTAGCACCTCTGGTGCTCTTCCCTACTGTTCTGACTTGAAGCATACTTGCTCTTTGATTATCTCAAGACTGAGTGTAAACCAGCTCGTCTTCTGAAAAATGCTTTGAATGTGTGGCCTAGAGTTATATAATTTTTTTTTTTTTTTTTTTTTTTTTAAAGACAGGGTCTTGCTCTTTGCTCACTGCAACCTCTGTCTCCTGCGCTTAAGTGATCCTCCCACCTCAGCCTCCCAAGTAACTGGGACTACAGGCGTGTGCCACCATGCCAGGCTAATTCTTGTATTTTTAGTAGAGGCAGAGTTTTACCATGTTGCCCAGGCTGGTCTCAAATTCCTGACCTCAAGTGATCCACCTACCTCGGCCTCCCAAAGTGCTGGGGTTAAAGATTAGGATTTTTTTTTTTTTTTTTTTGAGATGGAGTTTAGCTCTTGTTGCCCAGGGCGGAGTGCAGTGGCACAATCTCGGCTCACCGCAACCTCTACCTCCCGGGTTCGAGCGATTCTCCTGGCTCAGCCTCCCAAGTAGCTGGGTTTACAGGCATGCACCACCACACCTGGCTAATTTTGTATTTTTAGTAGAGATGGGGTTTCTCCGGTTGGTCAGACTGGTCTCGAACTCCCGACCTTGGGTGATCCGCCCACCTTGGTTTCCCAAAATGCTGGGATTACAGGCATGAGCCACCACGCCTGGCAAATTAAGGATTCTTTAATCAAGTTGTAAGTACTGTTCTTCAGCTAAAGTAAAAAAAGTATGTTTTTTGTTTCTTTTATAGGGTCATCTTTCTGAAGGATTGGTTACTAAATGGTACAGATCTCCACGTCTTTTACTTTCTCCTAATAATTATACTAAAGCCATTGACATGTGGGCTGCAGGCTGCATCTTTGCTGAAATGCTGACTGGTAAAACCCTTTTTGCAGGTTAGTATTTTGTGGGGGGAAAAATTTTCCCAAAGAGAAGTAATTTTGCATTTTATCTCTGAAGCAAGATTCATATAAGATTTAAAATAATTTGTTATGATCTGTAATACTAAAATGAACAGATAAATTGGCGTTTTTAATAAAAAAATTGAGAAAACTTATTCACATATTCACTAAATTGGTCACTTCATAAATTATCAGAACTCCTGTTTAAATATAATTTCATATTTTGTGGACCCATAATACTTGTTGGTAATTTGTGTTGATACTTAAGTTGCATAATTCTGTCAGTATCATCACTTCCTGGTGAAAATTTTAAGCCATTGTTGAAAATCCAACAAATTTTTCTTGGTCCCCTCCCCCTATAAACAACCAAACAAGTAATTTTTTGTTAAGTTTGGTGCTATTTAGAAGTCTAAAGAAGTGTGTGAGAGAGGACTTTGTCAAGATGAGATGAGTAATCCATGAAAAATGTCTTGTGTCATAAAGCAAAGCATAGGTCTGTATAAAATTATTTAGTATAGACTAGAGCTGTAAACTTAGAGAAGCTATGCATCAGTGATTGCTGGAATGGAAGGCATTATGGAGTCAAACAGATTTTTCACTATTTAGAAGTAGCGAAGAATTTTAATTGGGGAAGAGAGAAAATGTGTTATTTAAGGGTACCCATATAAATAAGAGTATAAGCCTGGTGCATTCATGAATCTGAGATTTGTGCAAGTTGTCAAATAATAATAAACATATTTATGACTAGTTAAGATGGGGTCGGAATACTAGAAAGTATTTAGAAAGTAGGCAGAGGACTTTCCATATGGAAAAGTAAGGAATAGTAGGGGTACTGAAGATTTTTTAGTTGGGGAAGTGGTGTGATAGTGATTAAGGCCTTTTTCTGTCTTTTGACATAACTTTTTCCCCCTCTATACCCATTTTTTTTTTCTGAGACGGAGTCTTGCTCTGTCACCCAGGCTGGAGTGCAGTGGTGCGATTTCTGCTCACTGCAAGCTCCGCCTCCCAGGTTCACACCATTCTCCTGCCTCAGCCTCCCGAGTAGCTGGGACTACAGGCGCCCGCCCCGTCGCCCGGCTAATTTTTTGTATTTTTAGTGGAGATAGGGTTTTACCATGTTAGCCAGGATGGTCTCGATCTCCTGACCTCGTGATCCACCCGCCTCGGCCTCCCAAAGTACTGGGATTACAGGCGTGAGCCACCCCACCAGGCCCTCCATACCCATTTTTAGAGTGGTTCCCCCCAACCCCCAGACGGTGCTAAGAGCAGAAGGAAAGGAATAGGCCAGAGTCTATTTACATAAGAAAGATTAGTGTACATAGGAGAGCACTGGTGAAGAAAGGACAGCGTGCATAAATGTCTTTTAAGTATGTTAATGCCAGTACTTAGTTTATATAACAGCAAGCCAGCTCTTTATAATTTTTTTCTAATATTTATCTAAAATTTCTGTCTGGGCTCAGTGTCTCACGCCTGTAATCCCAGCACTTTGGGAGGCTGCAGCGGGCAGATCACTTGAGGTCAGGAGTTTGAGACCAGGCTTGCCAACATGGTGAAACCCTGTCTCTACTAAAAATACAAAAATTAGCTGGGCATGGTGGCGCACGCCTGTAATCCCAGCTACTGGGGAGGCTGAGGCACGATAATCGCTTGAACCTGGGAGGCAGAGGTTGCAGTGAGCTGGGATCGCGCCATTGCACTCCAGCCTGGGCGACAGAGACTCTGTCTCAAAAAAAAAAAAAAAAAATTTCTAAGATGTATGATAGTTTTCTAAATTGGAATTCGGAGGGATTCCTGGAAACTAAATTATTAAATGGATTGATTTTTGCTTAGGAACAATACTGTGATTAGAGGTTATGTTCCTGATATCAAGTGCCTTCCAGCATATATAAACAATTCTGTTTGTTGCGGTGTGACAAATTACTCCAAAACTTAGTAGCTTAAACAACAAACATTTATTAACGTTTTACAGTTTCTGTGTGTCAAAATATGGGAGTGGTTTAGCTGGGTGGTTCTAGCTTATGTTTTCTCAGTCAAGATGTTGGTAAGGGCAGCAGTTACCCTGAAGTCTTGACCAAGGCAGGAGGATCCACTTCTAGATAGCTTACTTACATGACAGTTACCAAGAGGCTTCGGTTCCTCACCATGTGGGCTTCTCCATAGGACTGCTTGAGTGTCTTCATAATATGGTGGCTGGCTTCCTCTAGAACCAGTGATCCAAAAGACAGCAAGGAGAAAGCCAGTATATCTTTCTTTAAAAAGTTGTATTGTTATATAATTCACATATCATACAATTTATTTAAATAATATAGTTCCATATTTTTTAGTATATTTACAGAGTTGTGTAACCATTACCACAATCTAATTTTGGAACACTGTCTTGGCTCCTGAAAGATCCTGCAAACCATTAGCAGTCACTTCTCATTTCCTCTTTCCCCCAGCCCCTGGCATCCACTAATCTACTTTATGTCTCTATGGATTTGCCTACTCTGGTTGTTTCAGATAACATTTGGACTTTGTGACAGGCTTCTTTCATGTAGCAATATTTTGGAGGTTTACCCATGTTGTGGCATATGTTAGTACTTTTTTCCTTTTTACGGGCAAATAGTATTCTGCTATATGGATATACCACATGCTGTTTATCCATTCCTCAGTTGATGGACATTTGGGTTTCCACTTCTTGGTTATGAATTATGCTGTTGTAAATATTTGCGTACAAGTTTTTGTGTGAAAATATGTTTTCAGTTCTCTTGGGTATATATACCTAGGAGTGGAATTGCTGAGCTGTGTGGTAACTGTTTAACTTTTTGAAGAACAGTTTCCCAGCGCAGCTGTACCATTTTACATTCCCACCACCAATGCATGAGAGTTAAATTTTGTCTTTTTGAGTATAGCCATCCTATCGGGTATGAAGTAGTATCTCATTGTGGTTTTTTTTTTTTTTTTTTTTGAGACAGAGTCTTGCTTTGTCATCCAGGCTGGAATGCAGTGGTGTGATCTTGGCTCACTGCAACCACTGCCACCCAGGTTCAAACAGTTCTCCTGCTCTCAGCCTCCCGAGTAGCTGGGATTACAAAGGCTTGTGCCACCACGCCCAGCTAATTTTTGTGTTTTTAGTAGAGACGGGGTTTCACCATGTTGGCCAGGCTGGTCTCGAACTCCTAACCTGAAGTGATCTGCCCGCCTTGGCCTCCCAAAGTGCAAGGATTACAGGTGGGAGCCATTGCACCCGGCCTCATTGTGGTTTTGATTTGCATTTCCCTAATAACTAATGGATGATTGAATGTCTGTCCAGATCTATTGCCCATTTTTTAAATTGGGTTGTCTTTTTATTATTGAGTTGTAAGAATTCTTTACATAATTCTGAATACAAATATTTTGTGATTTACATGTATTTTCTCCTATTCTGCAGTTTTTTTTCCCTTTCTTTATAGTGTCTTTTGAAACAAGATTGATTGATTGGTTGATTGATTGATTGATTGATTGGTTGATTGATTGATTGATTGATTGATTTTTTAAGACAGAGTCTTGCTCTCTTGCCTGGGCTGGAGTACAGTGGCATGATCTCGGCTCACTGCAGTCTCTCCCTCCTGGGTTCAAGCAATTCTCCTCCCTCAGCCTCCTGAGTAGCTGGGATTACAGGCACATACCACTATGCCCAGCTGATTTTTGTATTTTTAGTAGAGACGGGGTTCACCACGTTGGTCAGGCTGATCTCGAACTCCTGACCTCATGATCCACTCGCCTCAGCCTCCCAAAGTGCTGGGATTACAGGTGTGAGCCACTATGCCAGGCCTGAAACAAGATTTTAATTCTGAAGTCCAGTTACCTTTTTCTTTTGTCTCTTTTGTTTTTGGTGTCATGTCTGAGGAATAATTGCCTGACCCAAGGTCATGGATGTTTTCTCCTGTGTTGTCTTCTGAGAGTTTTATAGGATTCTTATACAGCTGGGCGCGGTGGCTCACACCTGTAATCCCAGCGCTTTGGGATGCGGAGGCAAGTGGATCACCTGAGATCAGGAGTTTGAGAACAGCCTGGCCAACATGGTGAAACCCTGTCTCTACTAAAAATACAAAAATTAGCTGGGCATGGTGGCGCGCACCTACAATCCCAGCTACTCGGGAGGCTGAGGCAGGAGAATTGCTTGAACCTGGGAGGTGGAGGTTGCAGTGAGCCGAGATCTTGCCACTGCACTCCAGCCTGGCCAACAGAGCGAGACTCTGTATTGGGGGTGGGTGGGACGGGAAGGGATTAACTTTTACACATTCTTTTGCATGTGGACATCCTCTTGTCCTGGCACCATTTGTTGAAAAGATTCTTTCCCCACTGAATTATCTTGACACTTTCATAAAGAATCAGTTGACCACACATGTAAAATATCTTTTTGTGACCAAGTCTCAAAAGTTACATACTGTCAACTTTAGCTTTATGTGTTAGAAGTGAGTCACTAAGTACGCTTCATGGTCAATGGGAGCGGAGTTCAGTTCCACCCTTTAAAGGGAGGAGTATCAAAAGAATTTTTGGACCTTTTTTTTTCATTTTTTACCTTCTCGAATGAACAAGGGTAAAGTGTACATACATATATCTATACACACACACACACACACACATATACACATACATAGATACACACATACATATATATATAATTTTTTTTTTCCGAGACTGAGTCTTCCTCTTGTTGCCTAGCCAACAATCGTACAATGGTGCGATCTTGGCTCACTGCAACCTCCGCCTCCCAGGTTCAAGCGACTCTCCTGCCTCAGCCTCTCAAGTAGCTGGGATTACAGGCATCTGCCACCACACCCAGCTAACTTTTGTATTTTTAGTAGTTTCACCCTTTTGGCCAGGCCGGTCTCAAATTCCTGACCTCAGGTGATCTGTGTGCCTTGGCCTCCCACAGTGCTGGGATTACAGGCAAGAGCCACCGTGTCCGGCCAAGTGGACACATTTTAAAGCCACCACAGTAACGAGTCAGAAAAACAAGCCAGGTGTGGTGGCTAATACATGTAATCCCAGCACTTTTGGAGGCTGAGACCAGAGGATCACTTGAGCCCAGGAGTTAGAGACCAGCCTGGGCAGCATAGTGAGACCCTGTCTCGACAAAAAACAAAAATGTAGCTGGGTGTGGTGGCACACACCTGTGGTCCCAGCTATTCAAGGGGCTCAGGTGGGAGGATTGCTTGAGCCCGGCAGGTCAAGGCTACAGTGAGCTGTGATCATGCCACTTACTCCAGCCTGAGCAACAGAGCAAGACTTTGTCTTAGAACAAAAACAAATTTAAGTCTATATAATGAAAAATCATTTGGTCATGCTCCAAGTCATAGAAGTGAGTCAGTACCTACTGCTGCTGCATGGATTATACAAAGGGTTTTTTTGTTTGTTTGTTTGTTTTGGAGGAGTCTCGCTCTGTCGCCTAGGCTGGAGTGCAGTTGCATGAGCTCAGCTAACTGAAACCTCCTCCTCCCGGGTTCAAGCGATTCTCCTGCCTCAGCCTCCCGAGTAGCTGGGACTATAGGTGCATGCCTCCATGCCCGGCTAATTTTTGAAATTTTAGTAGAGACAGGATTTCACCATATTGGTCAGGTTGGTGTTGAACTCCTGACCTCAGGTCATTACCTGCCTCAGCCTTCCAAAGTGCTGGGATTACAGGTGTGAGCCACTGCTCTCGGCTGTATTTGTGTATTTTTAAATGTTTGTTTTTAAATGTTCAATGCACATTCGGACATTAAATATAGGAATAAAAATAATTGGATTTGTTTTAAAACTCTTAAGTAGCATAGTTTTACATTTAATAGGAATAGTTTGCAATGAAATGATTGGAAAGATCTAGATTGTAGTTTGTTTCTAGTTGCCAGGTGCTTTATTGATTTTTGTCAGTGACCCATTCAATAAAAACACGAAGGGAAATCTGAGTGGTTATTAATTAGGTATAAGTTGCAAATGAACAGAGCAACAAAAGGTAAGGACCAAGCACTCATTGGAAATCAGTGTGTTTTTAGCCTGTGTGTCTTATTTTTTGGTGCATTTCTCTTGTGTGTCCAGATTGTCTCTCTATAGGTGTTCCTGTCCCAGGTTAACACTTGTACTTGGGCAGTAGATATTTTCCCTCTTTCCTGCTGTAGCACTTCTATCTCTTGCATCTTCACTTTACCTCTTCTGCTAGATCACTTTTATCAGTATTCATTCAAACATTGATAGAATTTTTCCAGTCTTACAAAATAATCTGTCCTGACCCCACAGTCCCTCAGCTACTGCCACATACTACTGTACTCGTTGGATGTAAAACTTCTCAAAAGATGCGTGCATCCTTGCTGCTCTTAATTCCTCTGCTTACATTCTGTCTTTCACCCTGTCCAGTCAGGCTTTGTCCTCCACCAGAAACCACTCTCCACAGGTCACCAGTGATCTCCATAATGCTAAATCCCTTGTCAATTCTAAGTCCTCATTTTGAGCCATCTCCAGCATTTGTTGCAATTGATCTTCACCTCTTCAGGTGCTTTTTCACCTGTCTTTGGGCACGCCACTCTTGAATTCTTCCCTGGCCTCTTTCCAGTCACCCTTGCCAGTTCTCTTTCTCCTCGTGTTGGAAGTATCCCAGATTCAGTCCTTGGGCTCCCTGCTTCTCTAGCTTCACTTAGTCCCTGGGTAGTCTCATTCTTTTTCATTCCTTTAAGAATTATCTATATCTGATGATGACTCCTGAATTTATGATGACTCCTGAATTTATATCTTCAGCCCTGACCTCTCGTCTGAATTCCAGGTTCCTTAACTCAATATCTCCACTCAGATGTCTAATAACAAAGTTAACCTACCCAGAACTGGGCCCCTGATATTTCTTCCTCATACGTTGTTTTTACTCATGTTAGCAAACCAGTACCTCCATTTTTCAGTTGCTTAGACAAAAATCTTGTCATTGTCCTTCATTTCTGTTAGCACAGATCCTGTGGGCTCTTTCTTCAAACTATATCCAGACTCTTAACGGCTTGTTACTGTCACTCTTACTATCCCTCCCCCGGTCCAGTCAGCCATTATGTCTCTCCTGTTAGAAGGACCTTCTCTTTCCTGCTTCAGTATTTGCTGTCTTTAGTTACCACATCGCAGCCAGGGTGGTCCTGTTGAAAGACAAGGTAGATCATGTCATCTCTGCTCAAACTGCATGATGGCTTTCCATCAAACTCAGGGTAAAGCAAACCCTTTGTTCTAGTACCACTCTGACTTATCTCCCATTATCTGCCCCAAGCTACTCTCCTTTTGCTACACTTGTCTAATTGTTGTTTCTTTGACATACCAACCTGCCTCTGTCTTCTGGGCTTCTCTCCATCTTCCTAGAACTCCTTTCTTTCTTCCATATGAATGTTTGGTGTATTCCTGACTTCCTTAATTTTCCACTTCTTAGTGAGGCCTTCCTTTGTCTCAAAAAAAAAAAAATGTCTTATTGTTGCCCAGGCTAGAGTGCAGTGACATGATCTTGGCTTACTGCAACCTCCTCCTCCAGGGTCCAAGCAATTCTTGTGCTTCAGCCTCCCAAGTAGCTGGAACTATAGGCATGCGCCTTGCCTGGCTAATTTTTGTATTTTTGGTAGAGATGGGGTTTTACCATGTTGGCCAGGCTGGTCTCGAACTCTTGACTTTAAAAAAGTATTAACAACCCTATTCTTCCCAACAGTGCCATCACCCTTAGCTTACTCTCTTTTTCTTTATAGCATATGTCACCATAAGACCTACTTTACAGAATTATCTGTCTTTATCCACAAGATTGTAAGATCCATGAAGGCAGGCACTTGGTCTGTTTTGTTTCATAACTGTATTCTCAAGTGTCCTGCGCATAGTAGGAACTAAAAGGAATTTTGAATGTTCAATGAATTTATAGACATTAAAGGAAAGGCAAGTGGAATTTTTATTTTTTGTTTTTGAGACAGGGTCTCACTCTGTCATCCATGCTGGAGTACAGCAAATGGAATTTTTAAAAGTCACCACCTATTTAGCCTAAAGTTTCCCCCTTTATTTCTTTCATTGCCTAACAACCTAGAAATGCTAACTGAGCCCTAACATAGAACTATAAAACTTCCTGTTTTACAAGTCTAGTCCAACCCTTCATTTCATTGATGTTGAAATAAAGTCCTAAGAGATGTTAGCTATTGTCTCTGAAGTTATAGCCAGTAAATTAGTGGTACAGTTAAGACCAGAATCCAGATCTCTTGAATCTCAGTTGCTTTTTTTTTCACTAGTTTGTGATAACCTTAATATGAGACCAAACTTAAAGAGTCAGTTCCCTATGGAAACAAAGCAGCAAAAACTAAATACATCAGTAAGCAGAAATTGAAATAGATAAGTAGATTGGTGATAGTCAAAGCAATGAAACCTGCTGATGATACAATTCAAACTTTTCCCCCCACTGGTCATTATAATATTTAAATTAGTTTAGTATGTTTATTGTGAAATAAGTAAACATTGAGGAATGTGTTTTTTTGTTTGTTTTTTAACCTCAGGTGCACATGAACTTGAACAGATGCAGCTGATTTTAGAATCTATTCCTGTTGTACATGAGGAAGATCGTCAGGAGCTTCTCAGCGTAATTCCAGTTTACATTAGAAATGACATGACTGAGCCACACAAACCTTTAACTCAGCTGCTTCCAGGAATTAGTCGAGAAGGTATTGTGACTCGAGAGTAACCCTCACGTTAATGCCTGTGTGTGAGGCAGAATCTGTGTAGGGAAGCTGGAGCTTTTTATCCTTAGATATGGGGCTTTCTCCAAAATAGTCTTTAGACACTTAAGGTGTACGTAAAACTTCAACTCTCATTTTCCCTTTTTTTGTCCTGTTACTTGGGCTACGATCTGTTTTTTTGGTTCCTCTGAATCACTTTCCAGAGCAAGTAGCAAGTATTTTGAATATAGGCACTGGGGACAAAATCATGATGGCATTTTTTCCCTCAGATATACTTGGAACTCCTGTAAATGCCTGGATAAAAAGAAAGCTGCTGTATTTAATTTCAGCCGGTTTTGCAGGCTTTTCAGTAGTTCCACATTCTTAATCAGTCTTTGAGTCTGTCTGCACAAATTCCATTGCTAGCTCCCTTGCTCGTAACCCTGTAGCCACTGTCACAACATCCCTGTTCATATCTAAATGAGTCCTCTGTGGGAACACTTTATTTTTATTTTTTATTGAAAAATAGAGACAGAGTCTTCCCTGGGCTGGTCTTGAACTCCTGAGCTCAAGCAGCCTTTCTGCCTCAGCCTCCCACAGTGGTAGTATTACAGGTGTAAGCCACCACACCTGGCCAAGGAGCACTTTTAAAATGCTGAACTAGTAATTCTGAATTGGGAGGTGGAGTGGGGAACAGGGTGGGTGTCTGCATACCCTCTCTAAGGTGTGACTCTGCTCAGCCAGGTGAAGACACTGTGTGCAGTGATAACCTGGATCCACTTCAGAGTAGTTGTCACTAATCAAGAGGACGGTGCTGTTGAAGCATTTGTAACCTTGCTGTATAATGCTATTTGAATCTTTTTCGTACCCTCATTAGGGTGGGGACCATGTTTTAATCTTTGAATTAAACTGAATATTTGGCCACTGACTGGGGTTTATTAACCATTGAGCAAAGATCCTTGGTGGTCACATGTGGCAGCACTGTGCTTGCAAGCAAGTGAATGCAGAGTGGATGGAGTTTCTGAGACTAAAGATTTATCAATTGTATGCTCCATACTACTTTCTTCTTAACAGTGGAGTTTTATTTTGGGACAGAGCACATTCTGAGGCAGTGGCAACTTGGTAAAAAGAATACATGTTCTCACCCCACATTCTTTATGATCTTTGAAGGAAAAAAGCAAACAGGATTAAGTACATCTGAGTGAACGTATAAGACTCCTAGGAGCCCTACTCTGGTTAATTTCCCTCTATACTTACCTCTCATCCTTTCTGTAGTATACCATATATTTCTCTAAGCATGGTTCAGCACCATTGTAGCATTCCTGTAGTCCTAGCTGTTCAGGAGGCTGAGGCAGGAAGATTCCTTGAGCCCAGGAGTTCAAGGCTACAATGAGCTATGATCATGCTATTGCACTCCAGCCTGGGCAACCGCAAAGATGCTGTGTCTTAAAATTATCTTTCTAAAGAAAAGAAAAGGGTTCTTTCTAGAGTACAGGTTGGCTTGAGAGAGAAAGGCCATCTTTCTCACTTAGAAGGCAAGGATAAGAGGATGTGTGAGTGACCATAGTGAAGAGGTAGGGATTGAGACAAATGTGAAGTGGGTTTATCTGTTGAGAATGATAAAGAAGACCGAGAGCATAAAGAGAAGGCCAGATAGCAAAGGTCACAATGAAATTGTTTAGTATGAATTTGTAATGAGCCAGATATGGGATATTGCAGCTAGTTTTCATCAGTTTTGTGTGGCCAGGGAGCAGAGAGAGTAGATGGTGGTGGTGATCCAGGGTTGAAGGTTGATATCATAAGGCATAGAAGTGTGTGGCTGGTGTAAATATAGCTTTCAGGCTGCGTGAGGAACTAAGGAAGGCCTACTAGACTATTTTATGGGAAGAACTGGATTTGTGGTTAACCAGAGTCCTAAGATGTGCAAGGTCAGTGTGTGAACTATGCTGGAGTGTGATGTGAAGCAGAGATCAAGAAATTAGTACAACAGAGATGTTTTACTGTTGTACTTCCCATCAGTGAAGGATGGGAAAGGGCTTTTATTACATACCAGACACTATGATTACATCTCATTTTTGTACCTTATGAAATATCTATGTCTACTTTATGCATGAAGAAACTGATGTTCATCAAGTTTTAGTAGCCTATCCAGCACTACAGTGCTAGTAATTGAGTTAAGCCAGTGACTTGCAGAGCTAGGATTAAAACCTATATATTAGGCCGGGATTACAGGCGTGAGCCACCACACTCAGCCAGAAAATCGTTTTTAAGTTGTAAATCAGGTAAGTTTTATTTCTGACAAATTAACTTTTTAATTGTGTAGTCCATTTTTCCCTTTTATAAGATGGGGACCTATTAGTACAATTAAGATGCTCATTTCCTGTTGTGTAGTATGTAGTGCTAAGGTAATCACTTAGCTAGTCATTGAAATAAATGAGATCAACATTTACTGTTTTTCTAAAGGTAAGCAATTCTTTTCTGAAAAACTTTTACCTTTTCCTCTGCAGCACTGGATTTCCTGGAACAAATTTTGACATTTAGCCCCATGGATCGGTTAACAGCAGAAGAAGCACTCTCCCATCCTTACATGAGCATATATTCTTTTCCAATGGATGAGCCAATTTCAAGCCATCCTTTTCATATTGAAGATGAAGTTGATGATATTTTGCTTATGGATGAAACTCACAGTCACATTTATAACTGGGAAAGGTAAATTGATCCTAAATTAGAAAAATAATATTTACTGAACTTTCAGTGGACCATATGTAGTGAGTTTTTTTAAAATTATGTATAAGACATTGTAGAAGTCTTAAAAATTTAGTAATGTAAAGATACAAAAATTAGTCAGGTGTGGTGGCAGGCGCCTGTAGTCCTAGCTACTTGGAGGCTGAGGCAGGAAAATCACTTGAACCCAAGTGGCCGAGGCTGCCGAGATTATGCCACTGCATTCCAGTCTGGGCAATAGAGCAAGACTCCATCTCAAAGAAAAATTTAGTAATGGTCCTTAATATTTATATCTATAAATAGCCGTTAATTAAAACATTTAATAAAGTAATTACTGGTTAGATGATATATGGGAAAAGTTAAATGCTACTTTGAAACATTTTCAAAGTCATTAAGGCATATTTATAAAGTCCTTTAACTGTGATTTTATGAATGTCAAAAATTTAAGATGTTAGATGACAAGACTCAGTCATATCCAATAAAGTATCTCCAGTGTCTCAGTGGTAGTTATATCTTAACATAAAAAGTATTTGATTCATATTAGATGCAGGATTTTTTTTTTTTTTTTTTGAGATGGAATCTCACTCTGTCACCCAGGCTAGAGTGCAGGCTGGAGTGCAGTGATGCAAGCTCAGCTCACTGTCCTGCCTCAGCCTCCCGAGTAGCTGGGATTACAGGTACCCAGCTAATTTTTAGTAGAGGTGGGATTTTATGTTGGCCAGGCTGGTCTCGAACTCCTGACCTCAGGTGATCTGCCTGCCTTGGCCTCCCACAGTGCTGAAATTATAGGCGTGAACCACCGTACTCAGCCAGTATTTGAATCTGTTTTCCTAATGACACAATTAATTTGGGGACACTTAACATAGGTTCAGTAAAAGAGACTTTTTTAGGTCTAAACATTAGTGTATAATGTTATCCATATTTTGATGTTTCATAAAGTGAAATAATTGGATTTCTAGGAAAGTTTGGCTGGGCGCGGTGGCTCATGCCTGTAATCCCAGCACTTTGCGAGGCTGAGGCAGGCCAATTACCTGTGGTCAGGAGTTCGAGACCAGCCTGGCTAACGTGGTGAAACCCGGTCTCTACTAAAAATACAAACATAAGCCAGGCTTGATGGCGGGCTCTTGTAGTCCCAGCTACTCAGGAGGCTGAGGCAGGAGAATCACTTGAACCTGGGAGGCAGCAGTTGCAGTGAGCCGAGATTGCACCACTGCACTCCAGCCTGGGCGACAGAGCAAGACTCCGTTTCAAATAAATAAATAAATACATTTCTGGGGAAGTTTAGATATAATTCTGCTTCAGAGTAGGATGGTAGCTTATAGAGTCATCAGGTGATTTTGATGCTTCAGAGTAGGATGGTAGCTTATAGAGTCATCAGGTGATTTTGATGTATGGCCAAGTTTGGGAACCACTAATGCCAATCTTTTTAATCTTAAGATTTTAAGAAGAAATTTTTTTCCCCCTCCTCAAATGTTGATGTATTGGTATGGTATGTTTACACAAATCTGCAAACTACTTTTTTTCTCCATGTGTCCATTTCTACCCCCTAAATAATGGTTCTTTTCTTTTTTGAGACGGAGTCTCACTCTGTTGCCAGGCTGGAGTGCAATGGTGCCCATCTCTCTGCTCACTGCAACCTCCTGAGTTCAAGCAGTTCTCCTGCCTCAGCCTCCCTACTAGCTGGGACTATAGGCACCCGCCACCATGTTCAGCTAATTTTTGTATTTTTAGTAGTGGGGGTTTCACCATGTTGGCCAGGCTGGTTTCAAACTCCTGACCTCAAGTGATCCATCCACCTTGGCCTTCTTGAAGTGCTAGCATTGCAGGCCTGAGCCACTGCACCTGACCTGCATTTTCTATTTTACCTAGCTAAGTTATCTAATCTCTTTTCTTTTCCCTCAATGATTATACATGTCAGTAATAGGATAGCGCATTCAGCAGCACGTATACACAGGGAGATTTTTGCTATTCATGGTGATGAGTTTTCCAGCAAACCTCCTCCTCTTCTAGTTGCCCTTACTGTAGAGTAAACATTTAGCAAACCTCCTCCTCTTCTAGTTGCCCTTACTGTAGAGTAAACATTTGTAAGGTACCTGATTGAGATTTGAGATCTGCATTTTGTGGCTATGAAGTCTTTTGTTTGCATGGAACTGGTGGACAAAAAACAAATTGGAAATGAAGTTACATACTGCATTGGCAATTACCAAATATATTAACAGAGCTTTCCTATCAAGACTAAGTTCTGGTAGGGCAAGGCAGGCATATTTACTCTCCTATAATTATCCCCTCATAGACCTAGCACAGTGCTGTCACATAGAAGGTACTCGGTGAATTTGAAAATGAAATCATATACGTAGAATAACGCTAGTGTATTGATTTTTTTCAGGTATCATGATTGTCAGTTTTCAGAGCATGATTGGCCTGTACATAACAACTTTGATATTGATGAAGTTCAGCTTGATCCAAGAGCTCTGTCCGATGTCACTGATGAAGAAGAAGTACAAGTTGATCCCCGAAAATATTTGGATGGAGATCGGGAAAAGTATCTGGAGGATCCTGCTTTTGATACCAATTACTCTACTGAGCCTTGTTGGCAATACTCAGATCATCATGAAAACAAATATTGTGATCTGGAGTGTAGCCATACTTGTAACTACAAAACGAGGTCATCATCATATTTAGATAACTTAGTTTGGAGAGAGAGTGAAGTTAACCATTACTATGAACCCAAGCTTATTATAGATCTTTCCAATTGGAAAGAACAAAGCAAAGAAAAATCTGATAAGAAAGGCAAATCAAAATGTGAAAGGAATGGATTGGTTAAAGCCCAGATAGCGCTAGAGGAAGCATCACAGCAACTGGCTGGAAAAGAAAGGGAAAAGAATCAGGGATTTGATTTTGATTCCTTTATTGCAGGAACTATTCAGCTTAGTTCCCAGCATGAGCCTACTGATGTTGTTGATAAATTAAATGACTTGAATAGCTCAGTGTCCCAACTAGAATTGAAAAGTTTGATATCAAAGTCAGTAAGCCAAGAAAAACAGGAAAAAGGAATGGCAAATCTGGCTCAATTAGAAGCCTTGTACCAGTCTTCTTGGGACAGCCAGTTTGTGAGTGGTGGGGAGGACTGTTTTTTCATAAATCAGTTTTGTGAGGTAAGGAAGGATGAACAAGTTGAGAAGGAAAACACTTACACTAGTTACTTGGACAAGTTCTTTAGCAGGAAAGAAGATACTGAAATGCTAGAAACTGAGCCAGTAGAGGATGGGAAGCTTGGGGAGAGAGGACATGAGGAAGGATTTCTGAACAACAGTGGGGAGTTCCTCTTTAACAAGCAGCTCGAGTCCATAGGCATCCCACAGTTTCACAGTCCAGTTGGGTCACCACTTAAGTCAATACAGGCCACATTAACACCTTCTGCTATGAAATCTTCCCCTCAAATTCCTCATCAAACATACAGCAGCATTCTGAAACATCTGAACTAAAACACTCAGCAGACATTTATCTTTGTATTCTTCATGAAATGTGTTTTGTCTTTTTTTATTACTAGTGTTTAAGTCATTTTTTACTTGAATCAGATGGTGTCATTTAGTAAGGATTTTATGAGTTCTTGTTTTTTAAAATCCAGACTTTCTTTTTCTACATGTGAGATAGTTTTCATTTTAACTGGCATGTCATTTGCACACAAAAATAAAGACTAGAGCAAAATAATGCAACGCAGGAGGAGAAAAGAAATGCACTAAGACAAGAACATTCTCTCATAGAACATTGATCTGTTTTACAGGAAACAAACCTTGCCTTGAAATTTACACAGTGAGACTGTACATAATTGCATGAAAATAGCTATTTTTTTCCTAAGACATTTTTCATTCATGAATATTTTCAAGTTTTTCATACTGTACACATTTCTTAAAACACATGATACCAGCAGCAACTGAAAATGAATGCCGAATTTGGTACACATGTGTTATCTACCTCAAGGTAACAAGAGTATGTGGCAAAACATATACCACCCATAGTGCTTCACAAAATGCACTTCTATTTAGCCAGCGTTTATTGTAGTAAACTATTCTTAATAAAACTCACTCACTGTTTATAAATGTTCTGGTATGCATTCTTTATAGTGAAGTGTTAATACATCACATCTTATTTATTTTAGCAAATCAGTATATTTTCTGTATTTAATTATAAAAAATTAACTTAGTTTTTAAAATTTATTTGCAAATATACTTTACTTTTTCCATTTGGCACTATGGTTTGTTGCCTACCTAGCTGCATCTATAATGTCAGCTTATCCTAAGGCTGTCCACGTACTTAATTTACTTAAGTGTTCATTTTAAGTAACGTGCTCACTGTGTATAGGAATTTGTATTTTGGAGGTGCTTGATCTATCTACAAAGAAAAATTAATTAGGAATTACTTTATTATAAAATGCTCCTAGAAGTCTTAATTGTGTTTATTTTTTAAAAAAACAAATGTTAGACTTGTGTGCATGGAAGTAATTAAGGTACATCATTATTGTAGTTTGAAAGTTGTACATGATAAGACATTTTGTTTTTACTGTATGTTTTTACTGAATGATCTATTCCCCATCCCAAGGCAAGCATGAATAAAATTAGGTTAAACGTAGCATGTGGCATCGCAGTCTCTTAGAATTTGTTTCATCTATTTTATTTTATTGAATACTGTCTGTATCTTTGGTTATCCTGTTTGAAGAAAAAGGACAAATAAAACATGGCCAGCAAATACAGCTCCTGTTTCACTCTTGGGTTAATGAAAATTTTCTGCTAGAATGAAAATTACTACCAGAATCACTTTGAATTATGGCCATAAATTGCTAGTCTGAAAGGCTGAGAAGGTTCAAGTCTTTTGACTTAAACCATCACATATTAGAATGGAATAAAGCTTTATAATATTTCAAAACTGTTAGGTAAAATGTGTAGTTGAAACTTTGAACTGTGCAGTCAGAAAACTTGAGATTTGCTCTGTAATACATCTTTGCGTAAGAACTTACCCTTTTACCTATCCAGCTACAAAACCATCCTCTTCACCTCACTTTTCTTTCATCCTTGTTTTGTACAACACCAATTCTATTAATATCTGCCCACCTACCTTCTCAACAACTCCATCCTCTTCACCTCACTTTTCTTTCATCCTTGTTTTGTACAACACCAATTCTATTAATATCTGCCCACCTACCTTCTCAACAACTGACTTCATCTGGATTCACAAAGCCATATATATACACGTGTGTGTGTGTGTGTGTGTGTGTGTGTGTATATATATTCATTTATTTATTTTCTGGTTGAATACTGTCACGTTATTAATTTAAACATACTCAAATTACCTTAAGAGGACAAGCTCTGAAGTGCAGTCATGAGAATTGATTTGTGGGGAAAAAAAAAATGGGACACTTTTAGTTGGAGCTGGGTGGGGTGACAAGTGCAGAGGCTTTGAGTGTCATGAGAGCATCAGACAGGATGTAAAGGAAGCAACGGGCAGCAGACATTGGTCCCTGATCCTCCATTATAACCAATTTTTTGCAAACGTATGTTGATTTTGAGAATAATTAGCTTTGACTCTAAAATGCTGTCTTCCCTGAAGGAGACCTAGGATTTTTCTTACTGGGAAACTTGGCTCCTGGACTTAATCCACATTCGTTAAACTGTCACCTTGGCAGTTTAGTGGCCATCTACACAATGATCTGACTTGTTGGCATTAAAAAGTCCAAACATAGTCATCAAAGGAAGAAGAAAGTAAAACTGAAACCCCTTATATAAAATATGCTTGCTTTAGGGTGACCCAGGCTGAGTACTAAGTTGTAAAGTCAATTTCCAATAAAAATTTTATGTGCCAATTACTTTGTCTCCACTTGCAATCAAAGTATCTTTATAGGGTAATGAAGATGAAATACTCCAAGAGGCAAAGTCTTTCTTTCTCTGCCACCCAGGCTGAAGTGCAGTGGTGTGATCACAGCTCACTGCAACCTTGAACCTAGGCTCAAGTGATCCTCCCACCTCAACCTCTTGAGTACCTAGGAGTAGCTGGCACCTTTGTTAAAGATCATTTGACCATATAGATGAGAATTTATTTCTGGGTTCTCTACTCTGTCTCTTGTCACAGTTTTTGACTGTTTTTTTCCTTTGAGACAGGGTCTTACTCTCTGGCCCAGGCTGCAGTACAGTGACATGATCATAGCTCACTGCAACCTTGACTTCCCAGGCTCAGGCAATCCTGCCTCAGCCTCCTGAGTAGCTGGAGCCACAGGCATGAATCAACATGCCCAGCTAGTTTTTACATTTTTTATAGTACTTTTAAAATTTGTTTATAGAGACAGGGTCTCCCCCATGTCACCCAGGCTGGTCTTGAACCCCTGGGCTCAAGCAATCTTCCTCAGCCTCCCAATGTGCTGGAATTACAGGTGTGAGCCATTGTGCCTGGCGGTAAAGCATTTTTTTCTGACATGAGTATGGCCACCCCTGCTCTATTTTATCATTTGCCTGATAGCTTTAGTTTTAATTGCTACACCACAACGTATTTCTTAAATGACATCTTCCAAAATTTTGCTTCTACCAACATCTTTGCAGTGAGAATTCTTGTGAACATGTGTAAGAGTGTCTTTAGGGCAGATACATAGGAGTAGAGTTGCTACATATCTTCAAGTCTATGAAGATGCCATGTCCCTGTCCAAAAGTGATTGTACTGACTCACATTCCTGCCAGCAATGCACAAGAGTTCTTATTCATCCACATGCCTCCAAGCAAGAAACCAAGTTTCTTCCATTGAATTAATCCTACCAGCTTTGCAATGTTCAGTTTACAGTAGGAATCAGGATTTCTAATTCCAAACAACTGCATGGCTGGAAATCATGACTACACCTTAGGGATCCTTAAGTAGCCACTTCAATGTGAGATTGCCTTGTTTCTCATTTCCTATTGCTCCAGCCACTGCAGCTTGGGAACAGAGGCTTTAAATCTTAAAGGCTGAGCCAATTATGTCATTACACTGGGGTCCATACCTAAGGAGAAGTAGATCATGAATCAAATCGGGTTTTCAAATAAAATCCAAGCAAACATCACCTTTGCTTCTCAGTTAAGACACCTGCATAGTATTGGTTATGAAATTATTTGCAAGCACTGTTTTCCATTTGATACTTTGGTGTGTTTTATATAGAGCACATTTAGTTAGTGATCTAGTCAGCAAGTGGACCGTTGTCTGAACCGCTGACCTGCTCCCAGCCTTTTCAGTACCTGTTTACTATTGAATTAAAAATCAATAGAAGCTCTACCCTAAGTAGGTTCATCATGTATGGCATATTAATCAATTGCAGTTTTACCTGATGCCTCTCCATGTGAGCATTGTTTATCATTCAGATCCTAGTACCTTCTGAGTAGAGAAGAAAGAAGATTGAACCGGAAATCAGGAGATCTGAGTTCTGGACCCAGTTTTACCACTGACTCTCTGTCATTTGGGTGTCACGATCTTGGTGAGCCTAAGTTCCTTATTCAACTAGAAATGCGTATTACTCGATACTGACCTGGAACAACTTCTGAACCAGACACTGTCTTACTCAATTCTAACCCATTATAATAGCACAGCGATTAGCTCTTGCCAGGATGTGCTTGCTTATAGATCTTATTTCTATAATATCTTTATTGAACTGGCTGCATTAAATGTGCCTTTTAAGCAGATTGAGAATGAAATTTTGTGTTCAGTGCACGTTTACCAGTTGACAGGTAGAGGAAAAGGCAAAAGTATTAGAACTCCAGGGTTGTTTGCCTTTGAAAGAGCAGTGTAAACTCACTAAGCTCTTTCCTGTAGGATCTAGGGCAGTCTCCTTAATTAAGCCAGGTGAAGAGAAGGATCTTTGTGAGCTCTTTCAACATAGATTCCAACATCTATGTAACAAATATCTTACAGAAGGGAAGGGTGTTTGATCATCCACGTTAGAGCACTGTTTCAGTTATAATGCAGAGCTCTAACAAAGAAACTCCACTGGATTCGCATGTTTATCTTAGTATAATACAGTGGTAGTGTTACAAACCTAGCTAAGCAGAATACTGACTTTCCATTACAATTGTCAGCCTCTGCATCATCTTGCTTAATTAGGTCTTAGTGCTGTTGTAGCTGGGTGAGTGGGAACGCCGGTGCCAGATTTGAGATGCTGCTCCCAGTCTCCTGGTTCAAAGTCCAGTCCAAGCCTGTTTCTTCATGCCCAATGTAAACCACAAACTTGGATCCACGTCTGTACATTTAGACTCTGCTTCCACCCGGACTTACCAATCCCACACCCTCCTGACTTGAACCTCTGAGGCAACCTCAGCTGCCAGCTGGGACATTGAACCTTGCATGCAGCATTGCATAGTGTTTAGGCACACATGCTTCGGAGTCAGATCAAATCAAAGCTTAAAACTGTTCTTCTGCTTACAAGCCTTGTGGCCTTGTAGAGGTTATTCAACCTTTTGATTTTCCTCATTTGTCAAGTAGAGCTAATGATACCTAATTCGTAGAGTTGTAAGAATTTAATGAGATACTGTACACAAAGCCTTTTTAGCATGATGCCTGGTACTTAATAAATCACCATTGCCCTTGTCCTGTTTGAATTACTGCCCATGCCACCCAAATTGTACTGAACACTGGATTCTGACCTTGACGCTGCCTTCAGTATTGCATTCTCCTATCAATCTAAACTTCTGGCCTTGACCTACAGATGGCTTCTTGCTCTAGCCATAGTGCCCACCAGCTCTATCCAACTTTTGGCTCCAGCTTCTGGTCCTTTCTCACCAGTCAAACCATTGCCCAAACAAATTAAGTGTAGCAGCTCTCAGACTCCAAAAGACTAGACTGAGCCCATGAGTCTGCAATTGCTTCCCCCACCCCACCCCCCAGAACAAGCATCTTCATTTAGAAGCCAAAAGCCTTGGAGTCATCTTAGACTCCTTTCTCTGAAAACTCACATCCAATCCATCAGTGAATCCCATGGCCATATCCAGAATCTGACCACTTTTCACCATCTCTATCGCTGCCTTGTGATCCAGTCCACCATCCCAGTCTGCTGGACCATGCCAATAGCCTCCTAACTGGCCACCATGCAGTTTATGGTCAGTACAGCAGAGTCATCCTTGTAAGTCCTAAGTCAAACCACATCACTCCTCTAGTTTCTCAAAATTTGAATGACTCCCCCTCCTGAGGGTAAATATCAATGTCTTTACCGAGGCTCACAGGCACCTCTCCACTGCCCCCTCCTGCGCTTGCATGGCTTCAACAGCACTGGGCCACAGTTGCTCCCACCTTAGGGTTTCTTACATGTTCTTCTGGCTGCCTCGAAAGCTCTTGGCCCAGAGAGCTGCATCACTCCCTCCCTCCCTCATTAGAAGTTTTTGTTCAAGGTCAGGAGATCGAGACCATCCTGGCTAACACGGTGAAACCCCATCTCTACCAAAAAGTTAGCTGGGCGTGGTGGCGGGCGCCTGTAGTCCCAGCTGCTCGGGATGCTGAGGCAGGAGAATGGCGTGAACCCAGGAGGCAGAGCTTGCAGTGAGCAGAGATAGCGCCATTGCACTCCAGCCTGGGCGATAGAGTGAGACTCCATCTCAAAAAAAAAAAAAAAAAAAAAAAGTTTTTGCTCAAATGTCACTTTATCACAGAGGCTGTGCCTGACCAGCGCATATAAAATAGCATGCATCCCATCACTCATATGCCCCTGCCCCGCTTGATTTTGCCTTCCAGCACATAACCACTGATGTGATATATCTTTATTTACAGATTGTCTTCCCCTGTTAGAATATAAGCTTCTTGAAGCAGGAACTTTGGCTCTATCCCCAGCCCCTGACACAGGGTGTGGGACATGGTGAGCACACTGTGTTTACTGAATGAAGGCATGAAGGAAACTAATGCTGACTGTCTCGTTTGTAAATTCCCTCTGGAATGATGGTGCTCTGGAACAGTGAAGCTCTGTAGATAGGGCTGGGGTTTGCTTATTAGTTTTTGGGTTATAGTATTCGTAGTTCTCCAACTTTGTGTAATTTGCAAAGGGTTATCTAACTTTGGGATTCCTTAGATGTCACTCTCCTGAACCAGCAAGCTCCAAGTTGCAATCCCAAGAGCAGTTAGAAATTCTCGGAATATGTAAGGCTGGTTGGGCTGGTTTATTATCCTTAATTGCATTGTCGCGTGTAGGTGCAGTTTAGGTGAACGATTGTACTGCTCCTGAGTCAGCTGCTCAACTGCTTCCCTGTTCTCCTTGCTGGGTTGACTGTACCTGTTAGGATTGCACAACATACTCGTGACCCAGTTAAGACAGCGCCATGCAGTTTGGTTTTCAACTGCCTCTGCGCTATTGCTATTCGTAGCCCTGCCAGCTGAACCAAGCCTAGATTATACATCTAACTCAGGATCTGCGGCAAAAGAAACCACCTCACGGTAGCCTTTGCAAAAACAGTAAATTTCTCAGGATTCAAGTGTGATTTGTGGAGCCCAAGAACTGGATCTCAGGAAGAACCAGAACCAGGCCAGGGGTGGGGGAGCACCAGCAGCCCAAGCAGGACTCTGCATCTCATCTCTGCTCTGTTCTTTTTCAGCCAGCTGGGCTTCTGATCCCAACAGTGGCTAGAAGACGGTTACTTACAGCTTCAACTTCAAATGGTAACCCTCCAGCTATATAGAGTTCTTCTGTCTGTCCATCCCTCTGCCTATTTCTCTCTCCCAATTCAAGGTTTCTCTGAAAGCAAATCATATTGGCCCTCCCACTAGTCTAGTTAGCTATGGCCAGGTGGCAGGGTTATGTTGAGGGATTGCTGCTGCTATTGGGAGTCAACCCTTGTTGATAGGGAATGGAAGGCAGGTAGGAGAATCATTTTTAGCTGGCTGTCTCCAAATGTACCTGCAACACATGGCAATAAATTATCTCTTCCTGCTTATTTTTCTTATAGTCAGTTGTCAGACATATTATTCTGTAGGGCACTGCTTCTCCAGCCAGACCTACTGGGGTCCTCCAGGCATTGATGTTACCAACTTGTCTTTTTTTTGAGACAGAGTCTGTCAGCCAGGATGGAGTGCAATGGAGCAATCTCAGCTCACTGCAACCTCTGCCTCCTGGGTTTAAGTGATTCTCCTGCCTCAGCCTCCCAAGTAGCTGGGATTACAGGGTCGTGCCATCACGCCTGGCTAATTTTTATATTTTTAGTAGAGACGGGGTTTCACCATGTTTGCCAGGCTAGTCTCCAACTCCTGACCTCAAGTGATCAGCCTACCTCAGCCTCCCAAAGTGCTGGGATTACAGGTGTGAGCCACTGCACCCAGCTTACTGATTTTAAAATTTTAATTTTTTTAGAATCAGGGTCTCACTCTGTCACCCAGGTTGGAATATAATGGCACGATCATAGCTCACTGCAACCTTGAACTCCTGGGCTCAAGTGATATTGGCTGCTTCAGCCTCCCGAGTAGCTGGGACTACAGGTGTGTGCCACTACTCCCAGGTAATCTTCTAAAACAGGTGTCCCTTTTTTTTTTTTTTTTTTTTTTGGTAGCATCAGGGTCTCACCATATTGCTCAGGCTAGTCTCAAACTCCTAGTCTTAAGCATTCCTCCAAGTGCTGGGATTACAGATATGAGCCACTGTGCCTGGCACTACTTATTTTTTTTTGAGACGGAGTCTCGCTCTGTCACCCAGGCTGGAGTGCAGTAGTGGTGTGATCTTGGCTCACTGCACTCCCGGGTTCCCTCACGGGTTCACGCCATTCTCCTGCCTTAGCCTCCTGAGTAGTTGGGACTACAGGCACCCGCCACCACGCCCGGCTAAGTTTTTGTAGTTTTAGTAGAAACGGGGTTTCACCGTTTAGCCAGGATGGTCTTGATCTCCTGACCATGTGATTCGCCCGCTTCGGCCTCCCAAAGTGCTGGGATTACAGGCGTGAGCCACTGTGCCTGGCTAATTTCTTTATACATCACAGTTGGGTAATTTATGATTTACCAACTATATTCTGTTCATGGTTTATTATCTTCTAGAACGTAAGCTCCATGAGGGTAGGAATCTTTGTCAGAGTTGTTCACTGATGGACCTCAACACCTAGAACAAGACCTGCAAATCATAACATAAAACCTCAAAGATGTGCTAAATCTATTTTTTTTTTTTTTTTTTGAGATGGAGTCTCACTTTGTTGCCCAGGCTGGAGTGCAGTGGCACAATCTTGGCTCATTGCAACCTCCGCCTCCCAGGCTCAAGTCATCCTCCCACCTCAGCCTCCCAAGTAGCTGGGACCACAGGTGCCTGCCACCACATCTGGCTAATTTTTGTAGTTTTAGTAGAGATGGAGTTTCGCCATGTTGGTCAGGTTGGTCTTGAACTCCTGACCTCAGGTGATCCACCTTGGCCATGACCTCCCACAGTGCTGAGATTACAGGCATGAGCTATCATGACCGGCCTACTACTTCCCTCACTATCAGAAAACCCCACCATACATGCCAGGTAATCATATTTATCCTAACACAGTGCTCCTATTTTATACATATGTGTATGTATATACACACATGCACACACATATACACTTTGCAGATATTAAAGGATTGTTTTTCAAAAATGAGAATGTTGGAATCAACATTCTTGTACATACTGCTTTAAGACAAAGAACCTGCCTGAGTCCTTGATTTAGCTACCATCATGCTCAACAGGAGAAAAGACAACGGGGTTCTAAGACTTCTAACAAATGTTAATTTATGTACCATCTGCATTCAGATGTCATTTGGGTTCTATTGTTCATAATGACCAATTAGCATAAAAGAACTATAGAGGTTCAAGTCCATGTTTCACAAAATATACATTAAAGTTTGATGTTATGATGTCTCAGAGAGGACTTAACAAGGACACTAACATGATACTAAATATGTGACTTAGGGTGTTTCATTTTTATAAATATTTCCATCACCAACTCCCTTAGCACTATCTTCTAAATGGCTTCACTATTTAGAATCTGTCTCCTGCACCCCTGCATCACCAGGGCTTTCCTTATCTGTCCAGCTGCTGAGCAGAAAAGCATGAGGACATTGTTTTATTTCTAACTTTTAAGAAAGTGGGCCGGGCGTGGTGGCTCATGCCTATAATCCCAGCACTTTGGGAGGCCGAGGCAGGCGGATCACCTGAGGTCAGGAATTTGAGACCAGCCTGGAGAACATGGCAAACCCGTCTTTACTAAAAAATATAAAAATTAGCCGGGCATGGTGGTGGGTGCCTGTAATTCCAGCTACTCAGCAGGCTGAGGCAGGAGAATTGTGTGAACCTGGGAGGTGAAGGTTGCAGTGAGCCAAGATCTTGCCACTGCATTCCAGCCTGGGCAACTACAGTGAAATTCTGTCTCCAAAAGAAAAAAAAAAAAGAAAAAAAAAGAAAAAGAAATAAAAGCTCATTGTTGAGAAACTAGAAAATGCAGGTAAGGAAGTGGGAAAAATTCCCCAGAATCCCATTACCTGGGTATGATCACTGTTAATTACTATTAATATTTTGGGTCTTTCCTCTTCCCCTCCACTCCTTCCAAGCTAATTGCTTTATTTTTTCATATACAAAAGGTAAAAATCATTCAAAGATGCATAAAATAATTTCCTCTTTTCCCTCCCTCTATATTCTCTCCCCTCCAAATATCCCTATCTCCACAGGTAACCAACGTTAATAGTTTATTATACATTTATCCAGAATTTTTCAAATGTATATACAAACATATATGTACTTATAATTGGGTTATTCTGCTTACTGTTCTGCAACTTTCTTTTCTCACAATACATTTCAAGCATCTTTCTATGTTGGTAGTAATTGACTTTGTTGTTTCTAATGCCTGTAGAGTATGTAATTATGAGGATGCATCATCATTTGTAGAACCAATTTCCTATGAGCGGACATTGTTTACTATCACAAGCAACACTGTAATAAACATTCTTTGTGTGTCTTTGAGCCATTTCTGAGGATATGCTTTTAGAAGCAGAAACTCTGGAACAGAGTTGGTTTATGCTGAACATTTCAGTGGATCTCCCACAGGCTTTTAGCCTGTCTGCCCCAGTGCAGCAGATGGGTTATTGTCAGCTGGTGCTTCTGACCCAGGCTGTGTCACACCCGTCGGAAATGTTGTGCATTTCACTCCTGGATACCAAATTGTCCTCTAAATGGCTGGACCAATTTATATCCACAGTCTGTTTCTCCACCCAAGTACCCACTTTTCCCCACTCTGGCCAGTGCTGCATATTATCAGGGAGTTCATATTTTAAATATATATATATATTTTTTATATATACATATATTTATATTATATATATATTTTTATATATACATATATTTATATTATATATATATATTTATATATGTATTTTCCCCCCAGATGGAGTCTCACTCTATCGCCCAGGCTGGAGTGCAGTGGCGCGATCTTGACTCACTGCAAGCGATTCTCCTGCCTCAGCCTCCCGAGTAGCTGGGACTGCAGGCACACACCACCACGCCTGGCTAATTTTTGTAGTTTTAGTAGAGACACGGTTTCACCATGTTAGTTGGCCAGGCTGGTCTCGAACTCCTGACCTCGTGATCTGCCCACCTCGGCCTCCCAAAGTGCTGGGATTACAGGCTGAACCACCGCACCCGGCCTCATAATGATTCTAAAGAACCCTCTCTAAATATGTCACACAGGTTGCAAAAGTCCATGATAAATATTTTTTCTTGTGTCTTTCACAAAGTTTTTTTTGTTTGTTTCAATGTAGCTCAATCTGTTAATATTGTCTTTTATATAGCCATACTTGGGATGGCCTTCCCCATACCAAAATTATTGAACTAGTCTTCTATATTTAATGTTGTAGATTTATATCTGTAATCCACTTCAGATTATTTATTTTTGAGACAGAGGCTGGCTCTGTCACCCAGGCTGGAGTACAGTGCCACGATCTCAGCTCATGGCAACCTCTGCCTCCCGGGTTCAAGTGATTCTTCTGCCTCAGCCTTCCAAGTAGCTGGGATTACAGGCATGTGCCACCATACCTGGTTAATTTTTGTATTCGTGGTAGAGATGCGGTTTCACCATGTTGGCCAGCCTAGTCTCAAACTCCTGGCCTCAAGTGATCCACCCACCTTGGCCTCCCAAAGTGCTAGGATTACAGGCATGAGCCACTGTGCCTGGCCCACCTCAAATGTATTTAGCAGCTTAATTTTGATATAATGCATATACCATACAATTTGCCCTTAAAGTATACAGTGACATGCTTTTTACTATATTAACAAGATTGTGCAACCATCACCACACTCTGATCTCAGAAAACTTTCATATCCCCTAAAAGAAACCCTGTCCCCACTAGCAGTCACTCCTCAATCTATCCCCTGGATCCAGTGGTCCTGGGTCCCTGACTCTGGTGTCTCTCTGGACTTTGGAGTCCGCTTGCCCTGCCACGCCTGCCCATCTTCCCTGCCCCTCCCTGCTTTCGTGTTCTTCTCAGACCTTGGACTTGGCTTTTTAATGTATATTACAGTGTCCACCCCTCCCCTCTACCCTTGGGAACAGCGAGTCCTGGATGCTGCTTTCTTTCAGATCCAGGGCACCAACTATACTAATCAGCAACTTGTCAGCCTCTAATACATGTTTCTGCTTATCCCTGAACAACTCATCCTGACTCATCCCACAACTGCTCACGATTCAGTCTGAACATGTCTCACTCAGCCATGACACCCAGGAGACAGGGCCTTCAAGCTTGATTCTGTATTCCCCTTCCCCTGATACGATCACATGTAATAGATGCATGTGAAGCTATGGGAAGAAATGAGGTGGTTGAGAACAAGAGTGAATGGTGAGAAGGAACCAGGACTGACCCCTGTAGGACACTAACAGTCAGAGGCCAGAGACAGGAGGCACAGTCAGCAAGGGAAGCCAAGAAGAAGTGATGAAAGAAGTAGACAGAAAATCAGGAGAACAGGACTCAGAAGTCAAGAGACAAAAGTGCTTCAGCCTGGAGGGGGAGGCCAGCAGGATCAAATGCTGCTGAGAGAATTCACATATGAAGCTGACTAAAAGATACACAATGGACTTGGCAACAGAAAGATCATTGGTGACTTTAGCAAACTTCCGTGTCCATGATCAGGTAACTCCACTATTTAACATCCTTTAAGACTCCCCAGTGCCTTTCAGATAGAGTATCCTTCGTTCTGGCATCATCTTTTTTTTTTCTTTTTTTTTTTGAGACAGAGTCTTGCTCTGTCACCCAGGCTGGAGTGCAGTGGCGCCGTCTCAGCTCACTGCCAGCTCCGCCTCCCGGGTTCACGCCATTCTCCTGCCTCAGACTCCTGAGTAGCTGGGACTATAGGCACCTGCCATCACGCCCGGCTAATTTTTTCCATTTTTAGTAGAGACAGGGTTTCACCATGTTAGCCAGGATGGTCTCCATCTCCTGACCTTGTGATCCACCCACCTCGGCCTCCCAAAGTGCTGAGATTACAGGTGTGAGCCACCGCGCCTGACCCGGCATCATCTCTTATCACTTCCACACACTCACCCCAGGCTCCAGACATACTGAGCTACTTGCATGGATAGATGGCCCATTCTCTCTTGCTACCGTAGTGTCCCCTCTGCATGGAACCCTTTCCTCTCTGAAAACTCTCAAATGTCCTTCCTGATTAGCTCAAGTGCCATGTCCTCCAGGAAGCCCTCCCTGACCTCTCAGATTGGGTTGGGTGGTTCTCTTCTCTCTCCCCATAGCACCTTGTGTTGGTACAAGGTACATTTTCCCTTGGGGGTATGTCTTATCCAGCTTTGTTTCGCAGTCCTCTGGCCAGGGCCTGTCCCCCGGTTTTCCCAGGCACGCAGTGAAGCAAGCCTTGTTAGTGGAGGTGGGGGATGCATCCAGCTTCCCTCAGACCAGAAAACTTGCAAGCCAAACTGGCTGTGAGCCACGGACTCCTCTTTGGGTTCACATAGGTCAGGTTTGCTAAGAGACCTGGGCCAGGAGTGCAATTCCTGGCAATTTAGTCCTTGGGGTCATTAGGTTGCAAAATCCCCAGTGTCATCAGGTTGATTGCTTTTCCCAGCACTATCTATGTCTCCCCACACAACCGGCCTTGGCATCTCTCCACCTCTATCTGCTCTCCTGCCCCAGGTCCCTTCCCTCTGCATGCACTCATCTTCCAAGCATCTGAGGACCTCTCACCGACTCACATTTGCTTCTGCATGTATTGGTCTCCCTGGGGTCTTCCCTTGCCCCACAGGTCTTTGCACCGTACATGGGTAACCCTGAGTCTGGTCTCTCTGGTTGGATGTGAACTCCCTGCAAGGACGAGGAGAACACTCTTCCTCCTTGCATTTACGGAGTGCAAACCTCCTATACTCTACCGGCTGAGTTCAGGGAACATCGACTTGTATGTTATCAGTGACCAAAGAGGCAGGCATTAGAGGGCCAAAAGCTTTCAAACCACTTTGAGTGTGGTTCTTAGGCGCACTGGTGGAGCTACACCCAAGATGTACCCATGGCACACTCCTCCCCTAAAACCCCACTCCCAAAATCAGAGCTCAGTCTCCTCCTTGCCCTAAAGCCAGGCGCCCCCTTGTGGAAGAACGCCTTCTCCTCAGAGAGGTCAAGTGCCGCTCCTTGCCTGCAAACCACACGTTGCCCCTGACAGAAAACTCTTCCTAAGATTAGAGAGTAGATTCGCTCTGCTTTTAAAAACACGTAATAATGCATGTGCTTTATTACTGATAATAAAACTGTGCCTATTCATGTCATAAAATTTAGCAAGTGAGGCAAATTATAAAAAAGATCCCATTAAAAAAAATTACCACAACCCTACCTTCCACAGACAGCCACTGTTGACATTTTGGTGTTTTATCTAGTCCCTTTTCTATGAAAATATATGAAATATGTAAAAAATCTACGTATGGGTATACATAACATAGAAGTTAAAATATAAATTTGGCGGCTGAGGCCATGCCTCCTCCAGACCGTGGCTGAGCCCTCTGGCCTTGAACACCCCCCGCCTTACTCAGCCTGAAGCCTTGAAGCCTGCCCTCCCCCAACACCTTGGCACCCCAGCTTCCCTATCCTGTTCTACTTTTGTTTTCTTCAACACTTACCACCTTTCCCCTCTATACAGTTTCCTTATGTATCATGTTTACTGTGCATCTCTCAATCGCCCCTCAATATAAGCACCAAGAAGGCAGAATCCTTGTCAGTTTTGTTCAATGATGCACCCCAAATGCCTAGAATAGCTCGAAGCACACAGTAGGTACTAAATAAGCATTTGTGAGAAGATGACTTAAGATTATATAAATCTGCTGTTTTTCATCTTTAAAAATTATTTGTAAACCTATGTAATCAACAAGAGCATATAATATTCCACCCTTTTGTTATATCATGATTTATTTTACCATTCACCTCTTGTAAGTCATCTAGGCTGATTATAATTTTGCATATTATTAATCTCAATATCCATCATTTATCTACCTACCTACCAACTATCTCTCTACATTCCTAGCTCTGACCAGTAAAAAGGCCTATATATGTAGAGGGCAAAAAAAAAAAATCCTCATTTCTCATTAAAAAAATAGTCCCTCTAATAATTAATCTTAAAACTTCATTTCTCATTCTCTTGGCATTTTCTTTCTAGCTCTGTTCTCCTGGAAACCTGATAAAGGTGGAACGTTGGCTGTGTTACCAAGCAACAATGCTTGTGGTAAAAATGATCCACTTCATCTGGACAGCGAGGGCCGTGAATGAATCATAAGTACCTGGTGGGAAGCTGTGGCTCTGGAGTTCTGAATCTTGACTCTTGGAGCTCGGCACGCCCCTTGAGGAGACAAGGAAGCTATTCCCATGAGACTCTTACTAGAAATATCAGTTTCTCATTGGAATAAGGCTTTAATTTGCTATGTATGTGACATTTCAGTTTACCTGGGTATCCTGTATTTTATCTGGCAACCCTACTTGAGGAAAAGGAGCTAGAGAGACACCTGCCATCATGCAGTTGGAGTGCTGTTTCATGCCTTTGCATCCTTATTCTAAATTAAGTTAGACCAGGCACGGTGGCTCACGCCTATAATCCCAGCATTTTGGGAGGCTGAGGCGGGTAGATCACCTGAGATCAGGAGTTCGAGATCAGCCTGGCCAACATGATGAAACCCTGTCTCTACTAAAAATACAAAAAATCAGCCGGGTGTGGTGGCGGACTCCTGTAATCCCAGATGTTCGGGAGGCTGAGGCAAGAGAATCTCTCAAATACGGGAGGTGAAGTTTGCAGTGAGCCGAGATTCACCATTGCACTCCAGCCTGGGCAACAAGAACAAAACTCCATCTCAAAATAAATAGTTAGTGCCAAGCATGTCATGCTGTAGTCATGCGAGTCTAAGTGTCTAACAGACCCTGAGAAGAACTCCAAAGTGGGCATCGTAACCTAGCAACAGTGACCATCCTAGGAAGAATAGCACCCCAGGAACCCAGATTATGTTCTGTAAGTACTATTCTCCACGGAAAGGAAACAGCTCATTCTAGTCTGGGGCAGCAAAGGTACGGGATGAACCTGGAACATCCTGTCATACCAGAAAGCGAGGAACATATTGAAGACCACTGTGCTCATATCAGAGGACTCAGGCACTTGCCTGGAGAGGCTGAGCTTTGCTCATAGGAAGAGATGGGGAGTGAGTGTGGGTAGACATGTAACAAGATTGGCTGTTAGTTGATGATGATTTAAGCTGGGTGATGGGTATGTGAGGGAGTCACTATGTTATTTTCTCTAAATTTGCATTTTTGAAATTGTTCATAAAAAAAGTCTAAAAATATTAAAAGAAAAAGTGACTATACCAATTTCCATTCCCTCCAGCAGAGGTGTAGAATCATAATGGTAATTTTAGATGGCGACATGAAGTATTGAGTCATTTATACAGCCTATTATAAATATTTAAATATATATACATATATATATTTAAATTTAGACA
The DNA here is from genome assembly GCF_000001405.40 of Homo sapiens. Classification (NCBI taxonomy): domain Eukaryota; kingdom Metazoa; phylum Chordata; class Mammalia; order Primates; family Hominidae; genus Homo; species Homo sapiens. The sequence goes on from NC_000015.10 coordinate 52,081,453, forward strand.
GAGTCTTGCTCTGTCACCCAGGCTGGAGTGCAGTGGTACAATCTGGCTCACTGCAACCTCTGCCTGCCAGGTTCAAGCAATTCTCCTGCCTCAGCCTCCAGAGTAGCTGGGATTACAGGCATCCACCACCATGCCCGGCTACTTTTTGTATTTTTAGTAGAGATGGGATTTTGCCATTTTGCCCAGGCTGGTCTCGAACTCCTGACCTCAAGTGATCCGCCCACCTTGGCCACCCCAGGTGCTGGAATTACAGGCATGAGCCACTGCCCCCGGCCTGTATTTTAAATATATTTTAAAGATATGCTGTTATATAAGCTGGGAATTTGAGAAACTTGGATATAAAGAAGACTGAGTTGGCTGCGCGCGGTGGCTCATGCCTGTAATCCCAGCACTTTGGGAAGCCGAGGCGGGTGGATCACCTGAGGCTGGAGTTCGAGACCAGCCTGAACAACATGAAGAAACCCCATCTCTAATAAAAATACAAAATTAGCCAGGCATGGTGGTACATGCCTGTAATCCCAGCTACTCTGGAAGCTGAGGCAGGAGAATCGCTTGAACCTGGGAAGCGGAGGATGCGGTGAGCCGAGATTGAGCCATTGCACTCCAGCCTGGGCAACAAGAGCAAAACTCCATCTCAAAAAAAAAAGACTGAGTTGTAAAAAAAAAAAAAAAAAAAAAATTACAGGGACCCAATTCTACATAAGTATAAATGAATAAGTAATTGGAATCTCTGGCTTCAACAGATGAAGAGTTCAGGTTGAGAGAGAATTTAAATTCTGCTCAAAGGAGGAAACATACCGGCCATCTTGAGATGCCCAGGTGCCTCTGTTCTCCATTGTTCTCTCCTTTAGGAGCAGAAAAGCAGCAAGCCAAGCATGCTGGGTTCCCAGAAGACCAACACTGTGAGTCTAGAGGCAAAGGCAGCCTTTCTGCCGCTGCATATCCAGGGCTCCTGGGGACTGCTTAGCGCTCTACCTCACTGCAAGCAACAGCCTAGGGTGCATTACCTATCCCACACAAAAAGAGAGCCAGAGTTACTTAGAATTTGTTTGAGAGCTGCTTCTCATCTCTGCAGCTCCCAGCAGCAGGTTGTGTTGGGAGAGCAGGGCTGTGTCTGAGTGCCCCTCATCAGGCAGCACAGATGCCTGGCATGTCCCAGGCTGTGGCCCAGACTGTGTCAGGTAACCAGGCTGTATTCAGCCTATGGGGTACTCCCTCCCTCCCTCACTACATTGCTTTTTACTATCTTTTGGCCCCTTTTAAAAATCCAGCTCACCACACCTCCCACCTCCTGGTGGAGCCAGCTGTGAGCCTCGGCAGAAGGGTCTTGGTAGTTGCAGGCCTCCCAGGACAATTGCCAACCTTGAGGGTTTGCTCAGTTACTGGAAAGCAGCTTTAAAAATATAAATAGCTGTGGTAAAGACTGCACTTGTGAGAGTTGTCAAACCACAGAATACCCAACTTCTCCCTCCTGACAACTGATTTCCTTTTTTTTTTTTTTTTTGAGATTGGGTCTCACCATGTCCCCCAGGCCAGAGTGCAATGGCGCAGTCTCTGCTCACTGCAACCTCTGCCTCCCAGGTTCAAGCAATTCTCCCGCCTTAGCCTCCTGAGTAGCTGGGATTACAGGCACCTGCCATCATGCCCAGCTACTTTTTCTATTTTTGTAGAGACAGTGTTTCACCATGTTGGCCAGGCTGGTCTTGAACTCCTGACCTCAGGTGGTCTGCCCACCTCAGCCTCCCAAAGTGCTGGGATTATAGGTGTGAGCCACCACACCCAGCCCTGACAACTGATTCTGAGAAATGCTCTTCTCCCCTTGAATAGCTGGTCTATCTCCACTGGGGAAAACTCCAGTTTCTAAAGGTACCTGAATGACACAATCCTGTGAGTGGGTGATAGCCCTCCTCTCTCTTTATCTGACCTGATTTTTCAGTAGGAAACCAACTTCTTAGCCAGATGGGGTCTGTTCTGAATGTGTAATTGGTGCTAAATACATATCTTTTAAATCAAATTTACTCTTGCTCTAGCTGCTTGATTTTTTGGGGCAATGGAAACATATAATTACAATCATGCTGAACTGCATTTGTTTTTAGAAAGCTTCAATGTTTGATTTTTAGAATAAAATAAGCTTTATTTTTTACTCATTCTTTTGCTCTCTGTTAAAACCTTCATTCCAGGATGATCTACCTCGGGAGCACAGATTACAGGGTGATTATTATTTTGGTTCAACATATATAACAAGGAAGTAGCACACATGGATACAACTGTGCTTTAGAGACAACCTCTGCCAGACCTCTTGGGTCTTTTTCTCTCCTGCCGCTTTAACAGATGCCTCCCCTTGTTGTCCAAATACTATAAAACTCTGAGCTTGTAAAGAGAAAACGTGGCATTGAGTGTGGTGAGGTTTCAGGTGTTCTTTCATTGCCATGACGCTGATATTTTCTTGTTCTCCCCAAGCTCCTCTGGTATCTTCATTTGCTTCCCTTCAAGAAAAGCTCTTCTTGGTTTTCCTAATCCCTTTCTACAGATATTCTGAAGACACCAAGAAGATATTCAGTTTTTCCCCACTCAGAGATGACATGATTGCAGACATGACATCCATGAGCTCAAAGCTCTCATCTCCAAATAAACATTGAATTCAGCCAAACATTGGTCAAGCACCTACTGCCAGCAGACATGTATGTTAGGAGGATATTTGGCTGCAAGTAACAGAAAAAAAAAATCATTCTGTCTAGAGCCTTATTAAAAATGAATCTTGGGCAGAGCACGGTGGCTCAGGCCTAATAATCCCAGCATTTTGGGAGGCCAAGGTGGGCGTATCACCTGAGGTTGGGAGTTTGAGACCAGCCTGACCAACATGGAGAAACCCTGTCTCTACTAAAAATACAAAAAATCAGCCAGGCATGCTGGCGCATGCCTGTAATCCCAGCTACTCAGGAGGCTGAGGCAGGAGAATCTCTTGAACCTGGGAGGTGGAGGCTGCAGTGAGCCGAGATTGTGCCATTGCACTCCAGCCTGGGCAACAAGAGCAAAACTCCGTCTCAAAAAAAAAGAATCTTGGGCCAGGCACGGTGGCTCACGCCCGTAATCCAGCACTTTGGGAGGCCAAGGTGGGCGGATCACCTGAGGTTGGGAGTTCAAGACCAGCCTTACCAACATGGAGAAACCCCATCTCTACTAAAAATACAAAATTAGCCAGGCATGGTGGCCTGTAATCCCAGTTAGTTGGGAGGCTGAGGCAGAAGAATCACTTGAACCCGGGAGGTGGACATTGCGGTGAGCCAAGATCACGCCATTGCACCCCAGCCTGAGCAACAAGAGGGAAACTCTGTCTCAAAAAAAAAAAAAAAAAAACTCCATTAAAAGAAGAGATTCATTTTTCTTATGTAGCAAAAATTCAGGAGACATGCAGCTTCTGATGTTGGTTCAGTGGCTAAAAATTATCAGGGATAAAAAATATATATCAGGGATAATATCTGTGATTATTTTGCCTTTCCCTTATGAGTTCAAGGCAACTATTACAGTTACATATTCATACTACATTATCTGTTACTATTACATATTCATCCATATGAATCCATATTCAAGGCAAGGAGAAGAAAGGATCATGCTGGTATTGTTCATCCCTTTATATTAAAAAAGCAAAAGATTTCTCAGAACCTCCCAACAGACTTTTGCTAATATATAATTGGCCAGAATGTGTCACAGAGCCACATTTAGTTGCAAAGGTGGCTGAGAATGCAAATGTTTGGCTTTTCCAATTCCAAATGTAGAGTCAAAGAAAGAAAGAAGTTGGGAATGGGTATGGGGCAGCCAAACCATGAGATCTGCAGAGTGAGATCCTTCCAACTGTGTTTTGAGTTTCTTATTGGAATTTAACATGTGCTTTAGAGATGGTCTGGTGAGGTCAAGCTCAGATTTCCTTACCCTCCAACTCATCTTCTCTTCCTAGCTTCCTACCACCTATTAGCTAGCCCTTTCCTGCCTCCTGCTGAAGAGTTAACAACTATAGACTAATCTTGATTAATAGAGCAGGAGGAATCTTGGCTTAAAGCCAGAAAATAAGTCATTGTGTCAAAACTCCAAAGATGGCTTGCTTTGCAATCTTGGGTGGCATATAGTTTGAGCCTTGATTTTTTCACCTGTAACATATTTCTTAATATTTCTTACTGCACAGGGCTGTTGAGAGAATTAGCTGAAATAGGCATACATGAAATGTCCTGGTAAAGCACCTGGTCCATATAGGCTCTCCATGGATGTTTGTTGCATAAATGAATGGGACTCTGTTAATGAAACTGTCCCTATAAACTTTATAAAATTGGCCAGGCGCAGTGGCTCACACCTGTAATCCCAGCACTTTGGGAGGCCAAGGTGGGCGGATCACAGGGTCAGGAGATTGAGACCACCCTGGCGAACACGGTGAAACCCCGTGTCTACTAAAAATACAAAAAATAAGCCAAGCGTGGTGGTGGGCGCCTGTAGTCCCAGCTACTTGGGAGGCTGAGGCAGGAGAATGGTGTGAACCCGGGAGACAGAGCTTGCAGTGAGCCAAGATTGCGCCACTGCACTCCAGCCTGGGCTACAGAGTGAGACTTCGTCTCAAACAAACAAACAAACAAACAAACAAAACTTTATAAAATTAATCTGGGAATAAGGGGAGAAAGAAACAAAAATAAACTATGCTTGCAGCACATTCAGCATTAATCATTCAGTCAGCTTGCTCTCTGACCCACTTCCTCATAGTTGTTTGGTACCTCTTATACTATAATCACATAAGCCCTATAGTTCCCCTTAACTGCTCTATAGATAACAACTTGAACATTATGAAATATTAAGTTTTCCCTTTGATATATTCTTTCAGGTTTTGCATACCAGTGAAACTAGTGACATCGGCTGGTCTAAAGGACCCCACAAGCAGTTGACTCAAAGAACAAAGTTTCCAAGTTCTGATTTTCATACCCCTTCCTCGATCAATCAACAACCACAATTTTCTAGCCCCTTGCCCTTCATAATTCTCTTAAAAACCCCAGCCCAGAACCCCTCAGAGATGGATTCGAGGGTCTCCTTCCATCTCCTTGCTCAGCCACCCTACAATCATTAAAGGCTTTCTCTGCTGCAAACCTTGCTGTCTTGGTATATTGGTATGTCACTTCACAGTGGGCATACAAAACTGTTGGTCCTGTAACAGTATACATCTATTGGTTTGGGATGCCAGCATTCCTTACCCACTTCTGGTAACATCACCTCTTTCTCTTAGAGAATCCTCTGACATCTTGTGGTCTTCAAAAGGCCTCCCAATCACAGTACTTACCACCCCCTGGCCAAAGACTGAACATGACTCTACTGACCAATCACATTGCCCCATCTCCTTGGCTACAGTGACTTGCATGTGACCAGTAAGGCCAATCAGAGACTCTCTCTAAAAATCTTTACTTGTATATGCTGAGAAATGTTTTCTTTGGCCTTTGGTTTTTTGGAATGATGTAACTCTGAGGCTGTCTGTAGCTATGATATTCCCTTTCTCAGTCACCACTATCACCAGTTTCTTAACATGTGTTCGTGTGTTGGATGGGGGCATAGACTTACAGACAATAGATGACAGATACAGTGACAGAGAAGAACAGGGGCTTATGGGAGATTATCTGCTCAAGACAAGTGATGAACTAGAAAGGCCAAACTCTCTTTGAAGGGCAATTAAGGGACTCAGTGTATGTGATGGGGAAGAACTGCATTGAATAAGATGTGTATGCCTGGCATTTTAAGTCAAACTTTAATTCCAGTGAAGGTTTAAACCATACCTGGCCTCTATTCCTATTTGGTTGAAAAAAATCTGCACATAAGTGAACCCACAGAGTTCAAACCCAAGTTGTTTAATGACTGTACATATATATGTTTATTCAAGAAAGTACAATTGTAATTTACTGAACCTAAACAGTGCAGCTGGCCATCTTGGAATGAATGGCATGGATGCCCTTCTCTTTTTGGGCTCCCTAGGACATCACACTCTTGATTTTCCTCTTACCTCAGTTGCTTGCTTCTTCCTCGTCTTCTTTGCTGGACTCTTCTTTTCTCTGATCTACTGATATTGCACAGCCTCCCAACAAGTCTCCCCATTAGTACTCGGTCCCTCAGCCCAAGATGATTCTTTAAATCACAAATCTTTTTTTTTTTTTTTTTTGAGACAGAGTCTTGCTCTGTTGCCCAGGCTGGAGTGCAGTGGTACAATCTTGGCTCCCTGCAATCTCCACAGCCTGGGTTCAAGCGATTCTCAGCCTTCAGAGTAGCTGGGACTACAGGCGACCACCACCATGCCCAGGTAATTTTTGTAATTTTAGTAGAGGCGGGGTTTCACCATGTTGGCCAGGCTGGTCTCGAACTCCTGACCTCAAATGATTCACCCACCTCGGCCTCCCAAAGTTCTGAGATTACAGGCGTGAGCCACTGCACTGGGCCTAAATCACAAATCTTTTATGTTAATCCAAATCTGAACTTGATGTCCTCTCCCTACCCCGACACCTCTGCTTCCCTAGTGTTTTCCATCTCATAATGGCAACTATGTTCCTCCAGCTGTCTTGGCCAAAATCCTTGTCATTTTGACTCCGGTCTCTTATTCATCAGAAAATCCTATCACTTCCAACCTCTAAATATATCTAGAATTTGAACACGTGTCACTGCTGTGATGACGGCCATGATCATTCACTACCTGTGTTATTACAATAGCCCCTCCTTACTAATCTGTTTCTGCCCTTGCCCATCACCCTCTATTCTCAAAGGACAGTACTTAAAATTTAAGTCACATCAGATCACCACTCTGCTCCAAACTCTGCATTAGTTCTCCCTTCCTCCTAGAATGAGAGCCAAAGTCCTCACCACAGTCCTGAGGGCTATACATGATCTGCCCCTTGCCTGTCTCACCTCAGTGACTGCCATGTACCTTTGGCTCATTCTGCTCCTGACCACACTAGCCGTTATACCACTCAACACACCATGCATGCTTCTTTCTTCTATCTGCCTGGAATATTCTTCTCCCAGATATCTGCTTGGCTAACTCCATTCAACTGTTTATAAAAATCTCATCTTTTCAATGAGGATAACCCCTTCCTACCTACTCTTGATCCCCTTTACTCCACTTCTCTTCCCCTCCCTCTGATAGCACACACTGCTTTCTGACATACTGTATTTATTAATTTCATTCATTGTCTGTCTTTTCCAGTTACAACATAGGTTTCATGAGGTCAAGGACTTTTTTTTTTTTTTTTCCATGACGGTGTCTTGCTCTGTCTCCCAGGCTGGAGTGCAGTGGTATGATCTCGGCTTACTGCAAGCTCCGCCTCCCAGGTTTACGCCATTCTCCTGCCTTGGCTTCCTGAGTAACTGGGGCTACAGGCAACCACCACCACGCCCGGCTAATTTTTTGTATTTTTAGTAGAGATACTAATGGGGTTTCACTGCGTTAGCCAGGATGGTCTCAATCTCCTGACCTTATGATCCACCTGCCTCAGCCTCCCAAAGTGCTGAGATTACAGGTGTGAGCCACCGCGCCTGGCCAGGACTTTTATTTATTATTATTATTATTATTTTTTAAAGAGATGGGGTCTCATTATGTTGCCCAGGCTGGAGTGCAGCAGCTATTCACCAGTGTGATTATAGTATACTACAGCCTCAAACTCCTGGGCTCAAATGATCTTCCTGCCTCAGCCTCCTGAGTACAGGTATACCACCAAACCTGGCTCTTTGTCTGTTTTGATCTCAGATCATAGGAGATTGAGAATGTCTTCTTCAGGGACTCTGACCCTCCCAAGGACCTTGGGATAACAACTTTTGAGATCCCCCAACACATAGACCAACCAGATCACCCTACAGTGAAGCATGCTAATAAATACCTTCAAAGCTTTCAATCAGCATTTTATTTCAGGCCCTGCTCTTAGATACAGGCCAAGAATCTAAGATAACAAAACGTCCAAGGAAAACCTCTAACACTAAAGAAACGAAGCACACAAAAAAAATAATAATAAATTGGGGGTGGGGTTTGAAGTATTTGGAATAAATGAAGACTACAAGGAGAGTATATTTAATATCTGCAGAAAGATAATATTATGCATCCATGGAACAAAAGAAAAGGAATATATTATGAAAAACATTCAGAGAACAAAAAATAACTCTAGGAAACAAAGAATGTAAACAAATAAGAAATTCAAAAGAATAACTGGAAGATAAATCTAGCTGAAACAAAACAAAACAAAAAAGCCAAACAAAGGAATGGAAAATAGTAGTACAAGGATAAGAAAATTAGATACCATCAACGAAGTTCATCCAAATATTAACAGCAGTAGGAAGAAAACAGCAAAGCAGTAAGAAGAAAGTCAATGTAATGAACCAAGATAATCTCCCAGAATGGAAGAACATGGGTTTCCAGATTGAAAAGCTTCACCTAGTGCCCAGCACAATGGACAAAATTATACCCATATATCATCAGGAAATTTCAGAATTCTGAGTTCAAAGAGAGAACCTACAGGCTTCTGGACAGGAGAAAACAGACCACACACACAATCAGGAATCAACACTGGAAGCTAAATAACATGGAAGAATGTTATTAATATTGGAAGATAAACTAAAATGGAGAAATGCCTCGAAAATTCTGAAGGGAAATAATCTGAGATCTAGAGTTTTATACCCAGATATGATGGGTGCACCAAAATCTCAGAAATCACCACTAAAGATCTCATGTAACCAAACATTACCTGTTCCCCCAAAACCTATGGAAATAAAAAATTAAAAAAAATTTTAAAATAGAATATTATAACCAGACAAAGTATTATTCAACTGTGAAGGTGGAATAAAGAACATTTCAGAGGTACAAGGTTTCAAATATTTACCTCCTACCTATTCTGAGAAAGATATTAGAGGATATGCTCCATCAAAATTAGGGAGCAAACCAAGAAAGAGAAAGGCCAGGGATACAGAAACAAGAGATCCAACACAGGGGAAAGCAAAAGAAATCCCAGGATAATGATACTGAAGGGATGTTGCAGGATAACAATTGTATAGCAGTCACAGAGGACAATCAGTCCAGATTTGAGAAGATTAGAAGGCTATGGGAGACAGTTCTTCAGGAAGATAAAATATGCAAAATACCTGAGGTAGATAAATGTCTTGAGAAGAGATTTAAGTAACTGTTAGAGAATTTAAAGGTAGTTTCCTGAAAGTTTACAGAAAGCTAGTCAAAAGTCAAGTAAAAAAAATTAAGACAATTAACTCAAGGAAAAAAATGGTGCAAGAAAAGTAATCATAGTTAATTACATGGCTCAGCTCTGAATAGCATACAAAGTCAATGTAAATAATGATACTGATTTAACCCAAATTATGATATAATTATATTGGGTGAGGTTGGGAAATAGAAATTGTGTGTGTGTCGCAGATAATATGGGGCAGGAGGAGATGAAAGAGTTAAATCCCTACTTATCACAGTGCAAAGACAATTGATACTGTCCCAAACTGAAAATCAAGACATAGTCATCCAAGCATTCTATTTAAAGATATAGAGATAAATACTAAAAAGATCAGTTAAAATTATTAAAAGTACTTTAGGAGGCTGAGGCAGGCAGATCACGAGGTCAGGAGATCGAGACCATCCTGCCTAACATGGTGAAACCCCATCTCTACTAAAAATAGAAAAAATTAGCTGGGCTTGGTGGCAGGCGCCTGTAGTCCCAGCTACTTGGGAGGCTGAGGCAGGAGAATGGCATGAACCTGGGAGGCAGAGCTTGCAGTAAGCCAAGATCATGCCACAGCACTCCAGCTGGGGCAACAGAGCAAGACTCCACCTCAAAAAAAAAAACAAAAAACAAAACAACAACAAAAAAATAATAATTAAAAGTAGTTACCTCTGGGGCTAGGAAGTTGGGGGAGGGAGACTAGGCACTGCTGTTTTTCCTAAGAGACCTTATTAAACCATTTGGCTCTTTAAATTATGACTATGAATAATTTTGAAAAATAAAAAGTTGATACTCATCTAATTCAAGTGGGTGTCCTTATTTTAAGTATCTTAAAAGTTAAGAGAAATCTTAACTGGGTCAATTAGCTTGACTGAGCTCAAATGGAGCAGTATTATAAAAAGGTTGAGTATTAGATATTCGTTTGATGCAATGGTTCACAACCCCAGATGCACAACCCTGGTTGCACAATTGAACCACCAGGGGAATTTTTAGAGCCTACTCATGCCATGCCCCATCCAAGCCACTCAAATTGAGCCTCTAGGGCTCACAGGGGCATCCGTAGTTTTATTTTTATTTATTTTATTTTTGAGACAGAGTCTCACTCTGTCACCCAGGCTGGAGTGCAGTGGTGCAATCTTGGCTCACAGCAATCTCCGCCTCCTGGGTTCAAGCTATTCTCCTACCTCAGCCTCCCAAATAGCTGGCAGTACAGGTGCACGGCACCATGTCTGGCTAATTTTTGTATTTTTAGTAGAGATGGGGTTTTACCATGTTGGCCAGGCTTGTCTCAAACTCCTGACCTCAAGTGATCCGCCCACCTCAGCCTCCCAAAGTGCTGGGATTACAGGCATGAGCCGCCACACCCAGCCCATCCCTAGTTTTTTATTTATTTATTATTTTTTTTTGAGACGGAGTCTTGCTCTGTTGCCCAGACTGGAGTGCAGTGGTGCGATCTCGGCTCACTGCAAGCTCTGCCTCCCGGGTTCAAGCCATTCTCCTGCCTCAGCCTCTCGAGTAGCTGGGACTACAGGCGCCCGCCACCACACCTGGCTAATTTTTTCTATTTTTAGTAAAGACGGGGTTTCACCGTGTTAGCCAGGATGGTCTTGATCTCCTGACCTTGTGATCTGCCTAGTTTTTGTTTTTGTTTTTTTTTGAGGCAGAGTCTCACTCTGTCGCCCAGGCTGGAGTGCAGTGGTGCGATCTCGGCTCACTGCAAGCTCTGCCTCCCGGGTTCACGCCATTCTCCTGCCTCAGCCTCCTGAGTAGCTGGGTCTACAGGCATGTGCCACCACGCCTGGCTTTTTTTTTTTTTTTTTTTTTTTTTGTATTTTTAGTAGAGATGGGGTTTCACCATGTTAGCCAGGATGGTCTTGATCTTCTGACCTCGTGATCTGCCCACCTCGGCCTCCCAAAGTGCTGGATTACAGGCATGAGCCACCACACGCGGCCGCCCATCCCTAGTTTTAAAAGTCCTTCAGTTGGCTACACGTGGCCCATTCCTAGTTTTAAAAGTCCTTCAGGTGGCTGGGCCTGGTGGCTTACACCTGTAATCCCAGTACTCTGGGAGGCCGAGGCAGATGGATCACTTGAGGTCAGGAGCTCGAGACCAGTCTGGCCAATATGGTGAAACCCCACCTCTACTAAAAATACAAAAATTAGCCTCTACTAACAATAAAAATATTAGTTGTAGTGGCCTGCGCCTGTAGTCCCAGCTGCTCTGGAGGCCGAGGCAAGAGAATCGCTTGAACCCAGGAGGTGGAGGTTGCAGTGAGCAGAGGTTGCCGCCACTGCATTCCAGCCTGGGCAATAGAGCGAGACACCATCTGAAAAAAATAAAAAAAAGAAAAAGAAAAAGAAAAAAGAAAAAAATTCTAACGTGTATCAAGATTAAGAACCACAGTTCTAATGATGACCTGAGGAAATGTTTTTAAATTCACTCCTAAGTTGCCTTTAAATGCAACTCATAGGATACTTACTCAACAGCATGGAATCTAAGTTTTGGTCCCACTTCCAAGAGAGGGAGGCTAGGTGGAAGATGAAGACCCCACTTTGGAGGTAGGAACACAACAGAGAATCCAGGCTATACGAGGAAGTCAATTTCAGTGTTGCTACTAAATATAATCCTTAAGTCATGAGAGCAGTAGACTTCGTGGCCTTAGCATAGGGCGAAGAGTGGCAATGCAGGGCACGGATTTATTTTCTTCCTCCTGAAGAAAACAAAATGCTGGAAGAATTCCTCTTTATCATGTGTTCAGAGCACAAGTTAGCCTGTGACTCTTAAAAACAAACACATAAAACCAAACCTTCAAAACAATTGTGTTTAGCAGATGATAAGTGCAAACCAATGGTCCCTTCACAATCCCTTCCCTCTCTTTGGGCTGCTGGAACCACCCTGTATTAGTCTCGGAGGCAGAATGACTTTATGATTCATCAGATCTGCGCTTGATTTTTAAAAACACATTTTATGGGCAAGCATTAGGTCAGCAGAAACTTCCTTCCCACTTGGCATATTTCATAAATCAGACGCAGAAAACACTTGGAGGCAAGCCCATGCCGGATATTCAGGGCTGTGTCAGGAAGTCAAGGTCACTATCATTACATTCCAAGTCAAGAGCGATGGCCTCTATATGGTCTCAATTCTCAGGGAATGTCCTTACCTGAGGCACAGGATGGAAACTGGCTTTTAAGCAAAATGGAGTATCCCACCTCCCCAAAGGAGTCTACTTCTCCCTTCTGGCATGATGAGACCTGCCTGATGGTAGCCCCAGGACCCAGGATGGCTAACATTTCGCAGGCGCCATGTGCCAGGCGGTGTTCTAAGTGCTTTGTGCATTCCTCACCCCTGAGGTATTTGGGTGAACCACACTTGCTAACTTGCCAAATGCCACATCATGGTCAAATAAGAACCAGAATTCACAGTATAAGGCTCATGCTGGGACAGTACTAGGTTAAATATCCATGGAGAAAAAGGAAAGCTAGGAAATAGGTCAGGAGGGAGGCTGGGAGGCCATAGGAGGCGGAGGTGATGGTGCTGCCGGGTTGCCCACTCCTGGCTCCTCTCCTCCCCATCTGCCTGTCCCAGCTCATCTCAGCTGCTTGCCCTCTCATCCTTTCCTTGGAAAAACATCCCAGCTGTTGGGGCCTGGAATACTCCAGCATCAGCCACACCCCTCTGGCCTGATGTGTATGGCTGTGTCAATGTGCAGCAGGAGGCAAGTGGCTTCCACCCTGGTGCCAAGGTCTATGGAGCCAGCAGACTGGAGAGGACAGTCTGGCTGACAGAGGTGGCCTGCCTTGCAGCTGGAAGCACTTACGTAAGGATCGCAATGCAATGTGGCTGCTTTGCACAGCCTTGCCCCTCTGGACAAGTTTCCGAAGATTGCTAAAATGCAGTTCTGTGAAGTTAGTACTGCAGAGGAAGGTACCATCCAGATCTAGCTGTTCTGACTCAGGGATGCCTTCCTCAATTGGCCAGACTTGGAGAGTTACAGCCCGTACATCATAAGCATAGTCCTTCCACAAGCCATGCTCAAGGGGGTTGATGGACGAACCCAGCCCCCAAGGGAATGCTTAATTACATGGGGACTGTAGTGCTTTGGCTCTGGGTTCTTACTGACTACCGTCACCCACATTTTCAATTCCTTTGAGTTTCAAATATTACAAAAGGCATGGTTTAGAAACGTGACACTGTTAGCTACCTGAGCAGAACTTGGAACAGCAGCTGGATGGCAAACAGTGCCAGATGGAGGCCTTAGGGTGAGAAGCAGCTGAGTGATGAGGGTTAGAAGCAGCACCATTTGGCTGTGTAAGAGGCAGAGGGAGGATGGAGCGCAGCTGACCTCTGACCTAGTCTAGGATGGCTGCCCTGCCCTTCAGCTGTGGTGTTGGCAAGAGAGGGTGGGTGGCCGTGTGGTGTCAGGAAAGCCAAGTGGCCAGAAGTCACCCGTCCTCTCTATTTTAAAGGCACAGGTGTTTCTTCTCCAGGTCTTGCCTGGTGAGTCCTTTCCCTTTCTCCTTGAGAATCCTGAGGTTTCAACATGGGAGGAGGTGAAACCCTCCTACATTGCAGGTGGGAACATTTAATAACGTGGCCACACTTCACTGCCTGACTGCCGCCATCATGGGTCGCATGCATGCTCCTGGGAAGGGCCCGTCCCGGTTGGCTTTGCCCTATCGCCACAGCATCCCCACTTGGCTGAAGTTGACATCTGATGACGTGAAGGAGCAGATTTACTAAGTGGCCAAGAAGGGCCTGACTCCTTCACAAATTGGTGTGATCCTGAGAGACTGACATAGTGTTGCACAAGTACGTTTTGTGACAGGCAATAAAATCTTAAGAAATCTTAAGTCTAAGGGACTTGCTCCTGATCTCCCTGAAGATCTCTACCATTTAATTAAGAAAGCAGTTGCTGTTCAAAAGCATCTTGAGAGGAACAGAAAGGATAAGAATGCTAAATTCCATCTGATTCTGATAGAGAGCTGGATTCACCACTTGGCTCGATATTACAAGACCAAGCGAGTCCTCCCTCCCAATTGGAAATATGAATCATCTACAGCCTCTGCCCTGGTAGCATAAATTTGTCTATGTACTCAAGCAATAAAATGATTGCTTAACAACAACAAAAAAACCCAATAACGTAGCCACTGTGAAAAACAGGTTAGTAGTTTCTCAAAACATTAAACAGAGTTACCATGTGACTCAGCAATTCCACTGCTAGATGGAATTAAAAACATGTCCACACAAAAGCCTAAAGTTCATATCAGCATTATTCATAATAGCCAAAAAGTGCAACAACCCAAATGTTCATCAACTGATGAATGGATAAACAAAGTTTGGTATGTTCAAATAGCGGAGTATTACTCAGCCATAAAAAAAGAATCAAGTACAGACATATGCCACAATGTGGACAAACCATAAAAACACTATGTTAAATGAAAAAAGTCAGACACAAAAAGCCATGTGTTGTCTGATTCTATTGATATGCAATGTCCAGAATAGGCAAATCCATAGAGATAAAAAGTAGGTTAATGGTTGCCAGAAGGTGAGGGAAGGGAGAAATTGGGAGTGACTCCTAATGGGTATGAGGTTTCTTTATGAGATGACAGAAGTGTCTGGAATTAAAGATGATGGTTGGATAACATTGTTAATATATTAGAAATCATTGAGTTGTATAATTTAAAATGGTTTTATGTTATATAAATTTTATCTAAATTTTTAAATTGCAAAAACCATGGAAGAAAAAACCACCTTAAAAGATACTTTATTTATTTTTACTTTTTGAGACAGAGTCTCGCTCTATCACCCAGGATGGAGTGCAGTGGCATGATCTCGGCTCACTGCAACCTCTACCTCCCAGATCCAAGCAATTCTCCTGCCTCAGCTTTCTGAGTAGCTGGGATTACAGGTACGTGCCACCACGCCCAGCTAATTTTTGTGTTTTTAGTAGAGGTGGGGTTTCACCATGTTGGCCGGGCTGCCCTCAAACTCCTGACCTCAGGTGATCCACCCGCCTCAGCCCCGCCAAAGTGCTGGGATTGCAAGGGTGAGCCACCACGCCTGGCCAAAATATACTTTAATAAAAAGTTGTTATAAAAGTAATGCCCAGGCTGGGTGTGGTGGCTCACGCCTGTAATCCCAGCCCTTTGGGAGGCCGAAGTGGGTAGATCACCTGAGATCAGGAGTTTGAGACCAGCCTAGCCAACATAGTGAAACCCCATCTCTACCAAAAATACAAAAATTAGCTGGGTATGGTGGCACGCAGGAGAATCACTTGAACCCGGGAGGTGAGGGTTGCGGTGAGCTGAGATCGTGCCTCTGCACTCCAGCCTGGGTGACAGAGCAGGACTGTCTCAAAAAAAAAAAAAAGAAAAGAAAAGAAAAAAAGAAGAAGAAAAATAATGCCCAGCAAATTTATTTCAGCAATACTTTTGATTTCCAAGAACTGTAATGACAGAAATTAAAAAAAAAAATGGCTGGAGATTCTTCCAAATCTGAGATATCCATGTTTCCTTTAGAGTTTTATTCTAGTTTCTTCTTTGATTATGCATCCTTGAGAGTATTCTTTGTGCTGAGTCTGTTACTTCTCCCATGCAATTAGTTTTCTTTCAATATCTGGTGATCCTTGGGGTCAGTTAATAGCTAGAGCTAAGATGTGTGGGGTGGAAGATTGGCCCAGCCAACTGCTGGGGACTGCTGCTTCCCATCTTGGCATTGTTCCATCATTTTGTAAGAGAAAACTTTCACTTTTTTGAGAGGTGCTTTTTATTGCCTGAAGTGGGCTAGAGATCCCTCTAGCTGGGTTCTATTGTCAGTTTACTCCCATTGACATTAAATCTGGAAATTCCACATTGCTGATGGGACCCCCCCCCACCTCCAGTGTGTTAATGCTACTATTGATTATTGAGCTGTAATAGATCTTTTCAATAGAATTTGAAAACAGGGAGGACAAGATATAATCCAACTGAAAAAAATGAGCACTACTTATGCTTTAAACTAAAGCTTTAAAACACATATTCAATTATTTGCAAATACATTAAAAAAAAGAATAGTTGATTTCCTATTATCAAATTTGATACAAGTAATTTTCTGATAAAAATGATAATAAAGATAAAACACTAAGTTTTATCTCATTAAATGTAATCTTGCTAACAAAATAAAAATGTTAAGGTCAAATGAATACAGATGTATAAAAGTAAAATGCAGCTCAGATGTTAATACCACTGGCCACTAAAAGGAACCAGGACTCCTTGGAGAAAGGGTTTCCTCTTTCACTTATTTATATTAGTTAAAAAAACAAAACCATGAGCCAATGCTATCAGTGGGTTCTAATCCTTTCCTATTATCTATTTGATGCTCACATTGTCCCAAATTTGGCCAGTGGAGGCCTCTTACAGAAAAGTGGGTAAAGATAAAACACAACCATGAAATTCAAATTTCATTCAACTAAGTAGCTTTACAACTGGTTACAAGAACACCACCTTTAAACATATCATCCTCCATGTTTAGAAATCTAAATAAAATATCCAATAAATAATACATAAGGAATAAAAGGACAACTCATTTTTTTAAACTGCTAATAACCATGCTGCCTAATACATTATTAGATGTACTTAATGATACTTGAGTGAGGAAGAACCATTTTTTTTTTAGGGAATTTGGGTGTATTTGTTACAGCACAAATATAGAAATGGCCAACACTTGTTTCCTAAAGTGTCTTAAAATAAAATCCAGTCTCTTCCCATTTTGAAATACTAATGACAGCTGGTAGTTTTCATATGAGTGCATTTCAACTTTACAACCACTGTGAGGAAGCTAAAGTCCAGATAATTTAAACCTTCAAGACCAAAGACCCAAGTAAGTGGTTGCGCAACTACCGAACACTATCAGATCTCTTTGTACATTTTCCCCAGAGGAATCAGATAACTTTATGATTTTGATTTAAAAAGAAATGTAACTTTCAACCATATTGAAATGAAGGGGTCTTACCTCTCAAAGTACAAAAATCTGAGCATTTTTAAAGACCAAAAGTCTTGTGTGCAAGGTGTCTAAAGACGCAGATACCCTCCTCTTCCAAAGTCAACTATTAAAGCCTGAGTCATTCTTCTATCGGTAACAGTTAATTCCAAAATGAGCTTTGAAGACAAAGCAAGAAAATGGTTTCCTGGTGCTGTAAAGACCATTTGTTGCCAGGTGGACCTTTCAAACGAAGACGCAGAGGGGCGCCCATCTGCTCTGCTGCCCAAGCCCAGGTGAACCTCTGGGTGGAATAAGAGCCGAGGACTTTAGACCAAGCCCCTCCCCTCAAAACCCCAAAGCCGGGGCCTGGCGCGGTGGCTCACGCCTGTAATCCCAGCACTTTGGGAGGCCGAGGCGGGCGGATCACGAGGTCAGGAAATCGAGACCATCCTGGCTAACACGGTGAAACCCCGTCTCTACTAAAAATACAAAAAAATTAGCCGGGCGTGGTGGCAGGCGCCTGTGGTCCCAGCTATTTGGGAGGCTGAGGCAGGAGAAAGGCGTGAGCCCGGGAGGCGGAGCTTGCAGTGAGCCGAGATCCCGCCACTGCACTCCAGCCTGGGTGACAGAGCGAGACTCCGTCTCAAAACAAAACAAAACAAAAAAAAAAAACAAAAAAAAACCCAACCCAAAGCCTTTCCTTTGTCCTCGCTTTTTGCCTATTTCTACCTATCTGATTACTGTATGGAACTGGGCACCGCTGAGCTCGTGTGCTACATTTTTCATCTCTGGTGGCCTGAATATTATGCACCTCTCTCCCTAAAAAGCATCTTTTTGTTTTTAACTCTTGCATGGCTTATTTCTTAGAATTAATCTTTTTCTGTAGGAAAGCAACACTGACAAGAAGTAAAAAGTCTCTGTACTGTACCCACAAATAAACAGGCAGATAGCTTATAACAGCTCACCAGGACAAACGTGATCATTGTAAGAGAAGAAGATATGAGTTCATAGGACCACCAGAAAAAGGGAAATTTGGGTGTCCTTATAGTTTATCATTCTAACAGGGCAAAACCAGGGCTCATGATCACCCTGGTCATACCTTACATTGTACAGCGATTCCCAAAACTCTGTCAGGTGAATCAAGGGAGTATTAGAGGCTCGTTCTACAAACAAGGCAGGCGATATTCAGAGACGGGAAGTCTCTTGCCCAAAACTGATGAGCGATAAGAACAACAATGGTCTCAGGTAACACTTATTTAGCACTTGTTATAGGCCTGGCTGTGGATTTCAAGACAAACTTATGTTATAAATTTTTGTTTTTGTTTTGTTTTTTGAGACGGAGTCTTGCTCTGTCTACAGGCTGGAGTGCAATGGCCCAATCTCGGCTCACTGCAACCTCCACCGCCCGGGTTCAAGCGATTCTTCTGCCTCAGCCTCCAGAGCAGCCGAGACTAGAGGTGCCCGCCACCACGCCAGCTAATTTTTGTATTTTTTGTAGGGATGGGGTTTCACCATGTTGCCCAGGATGGTCTCCATCTCTTGGTCTCGTGATCTGCCTGCCTCAGCCTCCCAAAGTGCTGGGATAAATATTAATAGGCATTTATTTTCCCGATGAGGTTACAGAAGTTAAGGAAGGTTAAATAACGTGGTATTGTGATTTGTATATGTAGCTGTCTCTCTAATTTGGTTTTGAGGTCTCTCTTTGGAGGGGGTCAGAAACCAGCCACTCTCCAGGAGAGCCGTGGCCAGGGGGAAGGGTAGGTTCTAGGGTGTCAGTCAGGTGAGGCATAAGGAGGAGGCGAAACCAAAACGCAGGAACAGAAGAAATCTCTTACTTACACATCCCAGAGAGGTCCGGCGAGCAGAGGGAGCCCGAGGGGGAGTTCAGGGGCCACGGGAAGCCAGAGAGGAGAGGGAGGGCCTGGAGCTTTGTCCTGGGGCTTTCCCGTGGGGGTGTGGCTTGGCTGATTCAAGAAGAACACGTGCAAAGCGGGGCTTATTCACAGGAGTCTGGTGTTGGCCGTTAGGTTTGATCGTGGTCAGCAGCTGTGTGATGTGTGGGTTCTGGGTCAGTGCGATGAAGAGCAAATGGGCCGCATTACAAACAACCACTCAGGGAGGGGAAGTGTTACCCAGACCAGAGGTGATACAGTGAGACTGGGCTTCAGACAACTTAGGTCAGGCCTGAAAATGGATGCTGAGGCAGCCACTGTATTAAACAATTTATGACACTTGGCCAATGTCATTCAGTTAAAAAGTATCAGGGCTGAGATGAGAGCAGGCAGGGTCAGCAGGCCAGCCATGTCTTCTTAGTTTGCTTTCAGCATGTCATCTCGTGACTGGAACCCAGAGGGGAACCTCTGGGTAAGAACCAGGCAGACGCAGAGTCATGGCTGAGGGCCAGGCGGTGACTCATGCCTGTAATCCCAGCATCTTGAGAAGCTGAGGCAGGAGGATTGCTTGAGCCCAGGGGTTCCAAACCAGCCTGGGCAATATAGTGAGACCTCGTCTCTACAAAAGAAAAATTAAAAAATTAGCTGGGTGTGGCTGTGCCTGTGGTCCCAGCTACTCAGGAGGCCAAAGCAGGAGGATTCCTTAAGCCCAGGAGGTCGAGGCTGCATTGAGCCGTGATCCTACCATTGCACTCCAGCCCAGGTGACAGAGCAAGATCCTGTCTCAAAAACAAAAACAAAAGCAAAAAACAGTGTCATGGCTAAAACAATTGTCTTGGAAATCAGATGATTTTGGTTCAAGAACTGTCCTCTTGACAACTACATGTCTTCTGGCAAGTTACTCAACCTCTGGGTCTCAGTTTCCTCAAATGAGTAGAACTCAGCATAGAGTCAATGATGAATAAATATTAATTAACCATCATAAGTTACTGATTCTCATGAAAGGAGGCAGGAATATACAGAGGAGAGATAAAGGTAAAGGAGGGAAACAGAAAGGAAAAATCATGTATACTTTGAATAATCTTTTATTTCCAATTAACTATGAAACAAACAGTTCAGAAAAATTCCATGTTGATTTTGCAAAAATTTTTTTTCTTTTGTATTTTTAGTAGAGACGGGGTTTTGCCACGTTGGCCAGGCTGGTCTCGAACTCCTGACCTCGTGATGCGCCCGCCCCGGCCTCCGAAAGTGCTGGGATTACAGGTATGAGCCACCACACCCAACCTGATTTTGAAAATTTTCAAATCAGAAAACAGAACCTCAAGGAATAAAACAGGAGCAAAGGCAGTTTCTCCCCTTTCATGCTCACCGGAAAGAACTTTGCAATAACTAGCTCATTAGGCCTTGAAATGGCTCATTAATTAATGCTGATTCTTTAAAAATAAAATTTCCAGTGACTTGGCATTCGGATCACGTCCAAAGTTAAGATAAATTCCCGAACCCTGAGATGATGAGATTTCACTTCCACGCCACATGCCCCAGATGTTCCCTGTGTACTGTGTTTTAATGGCGGCCAAGCTGATGGACTTGCCCTCCTCTTCCTCATCTTAAGGATGGCGTGGTGGATAATTAGCACTCAGCCCCTGCTCTCTCAGTTCCTCTTTTCTCCTCAGACCTCTAATGCCTGGCTCTCAGATGAGAACTTTGCTTCTTATTTCACAGAGAAAATGAAAACCATCTGAACAGAACGTCCACACCCTCTCTCTTCTACATCTCCTAATACCTTGCATCTGTATCCATATGCAGTTATCCCTCTGTATTTGCAGGGGATGGGTTCCAGGACCCCCCACAATACCCCAACCAGACATACTCAAGTTCCACAGAACTTGAGTTCTACAGAACTGGGCCCCACAGAAACCAGTGTAGATGAAAGATCAGCCTTTCAGGTTTTACATCCCTCGAATACCATATTTTCCATCAGCAATTGGTTGAAAAAATCTGCCTGTAAGTGGATCCATGCAATTCAAACCTGTGTTGCTCAAGGGTCAACTGTACTTGGCCTCTGTCATCTTATTGTGGATGAACCTTCAAGGCTCCTCCTCCTCACAGCACTAGATCTCCTCTCCTCTCCTGCCTGCATCATCAAATGCTCCATCTCTTGCATCACTTCCATCTGCATTCATGCATGCTATTAATTCTCCCTGAAAACAAAACAAAACAAAAAACCCTCTTGGCTGGGTGCAGTGTCTTACGTCTGTAATCCCAGCCCTTTGGGAGGCCAAGGCAGGTGGATCACTTGAGCCCAGGAGTTTGAGGCCAGCCTGGGCAACAAAATGAGACCCTTGTCTCTACAAAAAAATACAAAAATTAGCTGGGCATGGTGGTGGGAGCCTGTAATCCCAGCTACTCGGGATGCTGAGGCACGAGAATCCCTTGAGCCTGGGAGGCGGAGGTTGCAGTGAGCTGACATCGCGCCACTGCACTCCAGCCTGGGCAATAGAATGAGACCCTGTCTCAAAAAACAAACAAACAAAAAACTGCATAATGAGTACATGTAGGTTCATTTTATTTTTCTCTCTATTCTTTTGTATGTTGGAAAATGTACATGAAAAAAGGTTTTAAAAATCATCTCAATTTTACTTCCTCTCCAATGATTACATTCCTTCTTTCCTTTTATAATAATGATCCTTGAAATCGTTTCTCTACATGCTGACTGATTTTTCTCCTCCCATACTCTCTTGAACCCACTTCATTCAGGCTTTCCCCCGCTACCATTCCAGCAAAATTGCTTTTCTTAAGATCATGAATGACCTCCACATTGTTAAATCCAGTGGTTATTTCTCAGTCCTTATCTTACATGACCCTCAACTAAACTGGATAGTTATCATTCCTTCCACCCTAAACACTTTCTTCACCTCACTTCCAGGACTGCAGCCTAGCAGGGAACTTGTAGTTGTCAACAGTATTAATGTTTTTCTTACCTCCTTAACTCCATCAATTAAATAATTAATTCTGAAACCCAGACTGTAGATTTGATTCCCATCCTGGTGTTAGTTTTGTACAAAGAAAGGATGTGTTCCCAGGCAGAATGCAAATGTTGGCAGTGGGTCACAGGAGTGAGGCTGAGTCATAACCATTAGTAAGACAGCTCAGAAATCAGGGCCAGCTCATGACAGGTCTGCATGATCAGTAGGAAAGGATGTTCCTGTGACCATCTGAACAGGGGCCCACAGCAGCCCCAAGAGAGCTACTTGCTTAGAAGCTGAAACGGGGGTGTATGTTTTGTTTTTTTTTTTTTGAGACAGAGTCTCACTCTGCTGCCCAGGCTGCAGTGCTGTAGTGTGCTCATGGCTCACTGCAGCCTCAACCTCCTTGGGCTCAAGTGATCCTTCAACCTACAGCCCCCTGAGTAGCTGGGACTACAGGTATGTGCCACCACACCCAGCTGAATTCTTTTTTTTGAGACAGGATCTCCTCTGTCACCCAGGCTGGAGGGCGGTGGCACGATCTCAGCTCAGTGCAGCCTCAACTCCCTGAGCTCTAGCAATCCTCCCACCTCAGCCTCCCAAGTAGCTGGGACCACAGTCATGCACCACCATGCCCAGCTAATTTTTGAATTTTTGTAAAGATAGGGTTTTACCATGTTGCCCAGGCTGGTCTCAAATTCCTGAGCACAAGTGATCCATCTTGCTCGGCCTCCCAAAGTGCTAGGATTATAGGCATGAACCACCACGCCTGGCCACCCAGCTAATTTTTCTTTTTCTTTTTTTTTGGTAGAGATGGGGTTTCACTATGTTGCCCAGGGTAGTCTCAATCAAACCCCTGGGGCTCAAATGATCCTCCTGCCTCGGCCTCCCAAAGTGCTAGGATTACAGGCATAAGCCACCTCACCCAGCCTGGGAGTGTATAATCAGTACTGGTGCTCAGATTCCTTCCATAGGTCCCTTCCTCCATCCCATACCAGACACTGCTAGGCACTGGGTATACAAATGCTGTAAGTAGGACACAGTCCTGCCCTCAAGGACATTATGGTTCACACAGGGTGAGACAAGTCAAGAGCCACAGTCTGAGCCATGAATGAGCACACAGTACAGGATGTTGTGCAGGACAGGGTCCTCCCAAGGGGACTTCTAGAAGAGAAGACTTGAATAGCAAGCAGGATTCAGCTGCAAAACTAATGCAGTAGGTAGAAGGGCAGATGGAAGCAGGGAAGAGACGGAATCTTGCTCTGTCGCCCAGGCTGGAGTGCAGTCGTGCAATCTTGGCTCACTGCAACCTCCACCTCCCAGCCTGGAGGTGGAGAAGGCACAGCGTGTGGTGGGGTGGTTTGTGCATAGCAGGATGTAAGACCAGAAATTTGAATAAGGGTGAGAGTTGAGGGGAGGAAACTTAGAGGATGGGTCAATAGGGGCAGCAAACCACCATGCACACGTATACCTATGTAACAAGCCTGCACAGTCTGCACATGTAACCCTTTTTTTTTTTTTTTAGAATAAAGAAAAAACAATTGAATAAAATGCTGATCACATAGGCCCTGGTGAATTAATTTCAGCAATTTGAACTATATCTGAAAGTTGGGGGTCACCATTACAGGACTTAAAATTGGGAAGCTTGAGCCGGGCACGGTGGCTCACACCTGTAATCCCAGCACTTTGGGAGGCCAAGGTGGGTGGATCACCTGAGGTCAGGAGTTCGAGACCAGCCTGGCCAACATGGTGAAACCCTGTCTCTACTAAAAATACAAAAAGTGAGCCAGGCGTGGGGGTGCACACCTGTAATCCCAGCTACTCGGGAGGCTGAGGCGAGAGAATCACTTGAACCTGAGAGGTGGAGGTTGCAGTGAGCTGAGATGGCGCCACTGCACGCCAGCTTGGGAGACAGAGCGAGACTCCATTTCAATAAATAAATAAATAAAAATTTTAAAAAAGCATGCATGCATAAAGCAATTAGGAATGTTATGAACTAATGATCAATGTGATTTTGTGCACCTGTGGGCCATTAACGATAACGAAGGTCGTTACTAAGATCATTAGTAAGTATTTGAACACCGAGGATACTAGAGGGAGGATGGAAGACATTTTGATTAACAAAGAAAAAGAATATGTCCTGGGAATGATCAGGTGCTGGTGGGGAAAAACAGCAGGGAGATGAGGGAGGCAGGTCCAGAAGGACTCCAAAGTTATAGGGAAAGTATAACTGGAAAAAAACAATGAGTGAAGCAAACAGCATTTACCTGGAAGTGCTAGAAGCCAGGAATGCAGGAAAAACTTGAGAGAAGATAAGTTTTCAAAGTAGACAAATGGTCGTGTATCAGGCCAAAAGTCTCCAAGACTTCACAACTGCCACCCCTTGAGAACTGCTATTGAAGTGGGCAGACCTGTGATTTCCAGGCTGATGGGTAATGGTATCTCAGGGTGTAAGAATCTGTATCTTGAGAGAATTGAAATTGTCCTAGCAATCAGCATTGCATCATGCTAATCATCCTTCCTCTTATGAGCCAAGAATATTTAGCTTGTGGAACAAGCATCCACACGCCAGAAAACAATGACGTGATTATCACATCAGAAAAATAACTCCCTCTTGCAGCCATTCTAGTCAAAACCATTCCCTGACCCTGGCAGGCCTCACCACTGTGCCATCAGCTCAGCACACTGTTAGGAGATGGGTTCTTGCTGCAGGATAAACCCATGTATGTCTAGAGGGAGTCTAGGTTGAACTGTGGTCTGGGCCAGGCTTCCATGTCTTCTTCCTCTTCAAATGCTAAAGTAAAAAAGAATGCCAGAAGAAAAGGTGGCCATCAATAGACCAGCAACTGAGGGAATTCCTGGTAGATAGAGAACGTTATCACTACCCTTCATGAACCTATGCAATTATCTAAGAAAAAGAAAGTTTGTGTTGAAAAAGAAACAGAACTAATGGTAATTCAAAATAGCCAGTTTAGAATCTACATTAAGTTTCTTTTTATGGCATCCATAACCGAATAATAAATGTAATAGGGAAAAATTGATAATCGGATTTGGGACTGAATTGAGTTTCACTTTCAACAACAAAGCAGAAAAGGAAATCTGAGTCCCAAGTAGCTTTAGGCACAGCCAAATTGTGAGATTTAAGTAATGTCACCAGAACTGTTTCTCCACACCCCATCCCGCCTCCGAATTTTAGACTCTCTCCTGTGCGGTGTTCTCCCCCAGGCAGGTTCCCTCCATACTCCAGTGGAAAAGAAGTGTCACCTGATAGTGTTTACAGGAACTCTAACATCGACTCCTGCCAGCTTGGCTTAGGGGTCGGCTCTCTAGGCCAGATCTGGGTCATAGTCCCTATCTTGGGTGGAATGAAGTGAGTCAACCCCACCAGAGCCACATGGTCTAAGAACAGAGGATGGGTAGGTTCCCACAGGAAAACTGAGCTGTCATCACAAGAGGACATGGCTTTGGGGAAGGCAGACATCCTCTACAGAGTCCATTCCCAATAACGACAGAAGCCAAAGAGCTGGAAAACATCTAAATAGAACCTATACAGAGAAAACCGTAAGAGACCTGAATAAATGGAGCAAGAGTTTATGTTCTTAGAAGGGTAGGCAATATTAGGCCGGGTGTGGTGGCTCATGCCTATAATTCCAGCACTTTGGGAGGCCAAGGCAGGTGGATCGCTTGAGCTCAGGAGCTCAAGACCAGCCTGGGCAACATGGTGAAACTCCGTCTCAAAAAACAAAACACAACAACACAACAAAAATAGGGAACACAATACTGTAAAGATACTATATATTTCCAAATTGATCCACTTTCATTCTGTCACCTAGTCTGGAGTGCCATGGTGTGATCTCGGCTCACTGCAACCTCAGACTCCTGGCCTCAAACAATTCTCCCGCCTTAGCCTCCTCAGTAGCTGAGACTACAGGCGTGCACCGCGCCTGGCTAACTTTTGGGTTTTTGTTCCTCCTTTATTCTGTTTTTTTCTTCAGACCAGACTGGCTAATTAAAAAATTTTTTTTCTAAAGACAGTTTCACTGTGTTGCCCAGTCTGGTCTCAAATTCCTGGGCTCAAGTGATCCCACTGCCTTGGACTCCGAAAGTGCTAGGATTATAGGTGTGAACCACCACACATGGCCTGAATGGATTCTTTGAGATGGAATCTTGCTCTGTCGCCCAGGCTGGGGTGCAGTGGTGCAATCTTGGCTCACTGCAACCTCCACCTCCCAGGTTCAAGCAATTCTCCTTCCTCAGCCTCTGGAGTAGCTGGGATCACAGGCGCATGCCATCACGCCTGGCTAATTTTTGTATTTTTAGTAGAGATGGGGTTCTGCCATTTTGGCCAGGCTGGTCTTGAACTCTTGACCTCAAGTGATCCGCCCGCCTCAGCCCCTCAAAGTGCTGGGATTCCAGGCCACTGAGCTGGGCCCCTGAAGGGATTTTTTATAAGCTGATTTTTTAAAAATTCACCTTACACTACTAAAAGAGCCAAGGATTTTTCTGAACAAGAGGGAAAGGGATTATACTTATCCCATCAGATATTCAAATGTACTGGGAACACATAGCAGTTGAGACAGTGCTATTAGTAGATGAAAAGATAATAGAACAGAATAGAGCATGTACTCAAATCAGCAGGGGAAAAAAGGACTGTCAATGAATAATGCTGAAATATCTACCCCAGCTCTTCAAGAAATGAGCCCTACTTCATATTACACTAAAAGAAATTTAGAATGGATTCATGACAAAGGACATAGTATACTTTTTATACTCTTGGAATAAGGAACTTCCTCAAGAAGGCCCCAAACCCTGAAGCCATAAAGGCAAACATTTAGAACGATCTAGCCAGGCACGGTGGCTCACGCCTGTAATTCCAGCTCTTTGGGAAGCTGAGGGGGTCAGATCACTTGAGGTCAGGAGTTTGAGACCAGCTTGGCCAACGTGGTGAAACCCCATCTCTACTAAAGATGCAAAAATTAGCTGGGCATGGCGGCCGGCATCTGTAATCCCAACTACTCCGGAGACTGAGGCACAAGAATCACTTGAACCCGGGAGGCAGAGGTTGCAGTGAGCTGAGATCTTGCCACTGCACTCCAGCCTGGGCAACAGAGCAAGTTAAAAAAAAAAAAAAATTCCAACACTGCCAAGAGTGAAGAACTAAGCACTCTCATGCCCTGATGTAAGTTTGGACTGGTCGAGCCTATTTTGAGTAATAACTTGGGAGTAGCCAAATTTTAATACACATCCATTGGGACTAGATTCTCTATATTCTCATTCTAGGATTCTTTTACCAATGTAATCATATGTGTGCAAGGCTATGCACAAAAAATTCCATGCAATGTTTCTAGTAGCCCCCAAAGGAGAAACACCCTGAAATACACAGCGGTGAAAAGGTAATTAAATTAGCATATCCTGTGATAAGAATGCACTGCAACAGTCCAAACAGTAAGGCAGAGCTGCATGTTCTGGAGAGAAAGACCTCATAAGATTAAGCCAAAAGAGCAGGTCCAGTTAAGTTTTATAAAATGCAAGTATAATAATGAGTGGGAAGGCCTGCAGGGAATCATGCTGTCAACCACCTTGCAGGTGGGTGACAGTTTGCAGAATGGAAGGGGGAGAGGAAGGAGGGACTTTGAGCTTGTGCATTAAGTGTTGGGGAAAAAAAAAGTCAAGCACCGTTACATGTATATTTAAGGAGACAATAAAAACAAATTGTCATCAATTCTACTTACTCCTAAGAATGAACGCTTATTGAATTAGGAAAGACAACTAAGTTTTTTTTAAAGGTACAAATTTATTAAAACTTTGCAGTTAACAATTATTGAAGAAATTAGTATGTTAACTATAAAAACCTAGAAGTCCCAGGAATTAGATTTCAAAGGATTTGGTTTCAAAGAATTCCTTATAAGTGATTTTAACATTACATTCTTTGTTAAACTGGGACTTTTTCTACTTTGGGGATTATTTTGCCCCAGCTGTGGCCATGTTTAAAATTAGTCAGCAGCACATGAAGTTGTGGAGAGATGAGAGGTTCGCACTCTTATCCAAGTTTTAGCAAATAGCACTGTATTTCCCATTTAATGGAATGCAGTTTCTTCTGCGGTTCTTTGGCATAAAGAGGCTCTAGACTCCCCATTTCTTTCACTCAAGGAAGAGCCATTTGCATTCTTGTCCTCACACCTGAGTACTTGTCACAAGTTAAAACACTGGCCAAATCACCACCTCAGGACTCCTTGTATGCATTCAGATAAAAACGTCTGGGGTGGGGGAAGGTGCTTTCCCTCAGTTCTTGTTCTCACACATCTGTCATTTAGTTGGTCACAGTTGGGCAGGTAGAAGCGGGTTAAAAGTTTTAAAACTCATAATAATCGTGTCCAGAGATAAATGAAGGCTGTTGTTAACAAGCATGACAGAAAAGCCTGGACCAGCTGTTTTCTCCAAAAAGCCAGTGGAAAGGGGGTCCTGAAGAAGTGACAAAAGCCATCCTACAGGGGGGAGAGAGAAAAGTTAGATTGCCTCATGATGCTGAGAACCTCACTCAAAACACGCAGGAACTTCCAGATTAAACAGCAAAGTAAAGTTTGGATTTAAAAAGTAAAAGGAAAGGAAATTCTGACCAATACACATCCAGTAATGAGGAGCCCCTGAGGAGTGAGGATTGGTAAGTCTAACAGAGTGAACAGAAGCAAGCATTTAACTTTGTCACTTGGTGCAGGAACACTCATATCTTGACTCAAAACCAAGAGGAAGGTAGCTTATTATGCTCTTTTCTGAGCAAAGAAGAGATGCCTTTTGGGAAACTGTCAAGTCACTAGATTGAAAAGTTATCACCTGACACTACAGCAAGCACCAACCCCATTTAGGAAGGGAATTGAACTCCAGGCTGTGGCATTTTAACTGCAATGGGCAGAGACAAGGGTGAACTATGTTTACCCAATTTGAGAATTTCAGCTTTTTTTTTTGAGACAGAGTTTCGCTCTTGGTGCCCAGGCTGGAGTGCAATGGCAAGATCTCAACTCACTGCAATCTCCACCTCCTGGGTTCAAGCGATTCTCCTGGCTCAGCCTCCCTAGTAGCTGGGATTACATGCACCTGCCACCGTGCTTGGCTAATTTTGTATTTTTAGTAGAGAGGGGGTTTCACCATGTTGGTCAGGCTAGTCTTGAACTCCTGGCCTCAGGTGATCCACCTGCCTTGGCCTCCCAAAGTGCTGGGATTACAGGTGCGAGCCACTGCACCCAGCCAAGAATTTCAGCTCCTTGGTGTTAAGAGATTATTCTTTCATCAACAGTGATTAGCCAAAAACAACAAAAAAAGGCTTCAACGGCCCCTTTCCAATTCTAATCTCTTCTTCAGGTACAGAGAGCCCGGAGGGGCCAGATGCCGTATTGAGACAGGGCTCAGGTGAGGCTCTTAGGCACGCAGCTGAAGGGAGTTCACCGGCCCAGAGGGTTGAAGACCAACACTAACATTATGAACAAGGCAGGAGTTCCTGCTAACACACCTCCCACTCCCTTTCCCTTCTCAGATAGAACCCAACTTGTCACTATAGAAAGTCTAAATGGGGGCCAGGTGAGGTGGCTCACGTCTGTAATCCCAGAACTTTGGGAGGCTGAGGTAGACAGATCACGAGATCAAGAGATCGAGATCTTGGCCAACATGGTGAAAGCCCATCTCTACTGAAAACACACACACACACACACACACACACACACACACACACACACACAGTTAGCCAGGCTTGGTGGGGCGCGCCTGTAGTCCCAGCTACTCCGGAGGCTGAGACAGGAGAATCCTTGAACCCGGGAGGCAGAGGTTGCAGTGAGCTGGGATCCACCACCGCACTCCAGCCTGGCCACAGAGCGAGACTCCGCCTCAAAGAAAAAAAGAAAAAGGTCTAAATGGAAACTGCCCCCAGGAGGCTACATTTCGGATCAAAAAACTTGCTGGTTTTAATAGTTTGGCTATAGGTATCCGATAACATGGGCCACTTCAGTCATTGAATCAACGCCAATAAGGTGGTGGGGAAAGAAATGGGGTCTAGCTCAGAGCCCCCAGAGGCATGCAGTGGGCTCATCACCAGGTGGCTTTCCTTGATCATCAGCTGCAGGGCAAGGGCCTGTCCCTCTAACCTTGACCACAGAGATGAAGGCTTGCAGCTGAAAGCCAGGGGCCTAGAACGTTCTCACCGAGGACTGGGTGCAGAGGACTAGAAATTAAGGAACCTTGGGTCAGCGCCACCACTGGGCGACCACCACACTCCACAACCTCTCTGGCCAGGCTGAGAGGCGTAGGGGGTTGTGATCAATGGGTCTGAGTCTCTCCAAAGGCGCATTTAATAGGCGAAGGAGAAAAACACCCCACCTGGCTGGGGCCCCGCCATTGCTGACTTCATTGGTTGGGGATTTCTATAGGAGCAAAACGTTCAGACCTAACGTGGGTGCCCCCCTAAAAGTCCCCGACGGCTAAGGCCAGGGCAAGGTCCAAGTGAGCAGACCTAAGCCTGCGCAGCTGCTTCGGAACGGTTCACGGCCGTCTAAGAAGGCCGATTTCTGCCGGCCTTTCTGCCAGGGGAGGAGAAACCCCAGACTTCACAGCGAACGTTCCAGGCCCGCTGAAACGAGCCTTTCTGCTTTCACGAAACCTCGTTCCAGGGGCCTGGCGCGGTGGGTTCCTCACCGTGCCAGCCTCGTGGGCGCTTCCCGGCTGCCCGTCCCGCCCCGTGTCCCGGTGTCCGCCGCGTGCTCACCCAGCCGCCCTGAGCCTGCAGCCAGGCGCGGTGCTGCCCCATGAGCCGCGAGCTCAGCAAGGCCACCAGGCGCTGGCAGTCCCGGGCGACGTCGCCCTCCTGCTCCTTTAGCCGCGGCTGGAAGCCCCACTTCTTCCACCGGGCGGTCACCAGCGGCCCTCTCTCCAGCAGCGTCCCTGCGAAGGTCACGAGCGTCACCACTCTGCCCCAGGTGGGGCCGGGGCTGTCGGAGAGCACGGAATCCGCCATCAGCGCCACCAGCTCGAAGCGGTTCCCGGGGTAGCCGAGGTAGGCGGAGAAAAAGGACCGGTGAATCTGCCGTAACCTGGCGGCCGCGGAGCGCAGCACGGCGGCCTCGGGCGTGGATGGCGCCGGCTCGGGGGTGCCGGGTTCCCGGGCGCAGTACCCCAGGTAGTCGGCCAGCAACAGCTCGGTGCGCTCCCGCAGCGGGTCGGCCATGGTGGTGCGCTCCCGCAACTGGTCAACCATGGTCCGGCCTCTGCTGGGGGGCCGGGCCTTCGCTGGTTTTCTTGGCCCGGCCGCGCCTCCCCCAGGGTAGGGCTGCCGTGCCCCGCCCCGGCCCCCGGCCCCCGGCCCCCGGTATATTGTTTTTCAGGACTGAGAGAAGAGCCTTTGATGGGAATCCCACCTGCACCTGTTCCAGTCCCCAAGGCAAGGCCTGGTGGTGCGCACGTGTTCGCGTAGCAATCAGATGCACTGTGAGACTCGGGTTATTTAGCTCCAGTGGCGCGATCTTGGTTCACTGCAAGCTCCGCCTCCCAGGTTCACACCGTTCTCCTGCCTCAGCCTCCCGAGTAGCTGGGACTACAGGCGCCCGCCACCATACCTGGCTAATTTTTTTGGATTGTTTAGTGGAAACGGGGTTTCACCGTGTTAGCCGGGATGGTCTCGATCTCCTGACCTCGTGATCCGCCCGCCTCTGCCTCCCAAAGTGCTGGGATTATAGGCGTGAGCCACCGCGCCCGGCCATCTAATATTTATATTAAACTTTCTCAGTTCATATTACTCCGTGGCTTCTTTCTCCTGATTGGATCCAGACTGATGCAGAATGGATACTAGCAGTGGTATTTCTGGGGGTTCAGGGGTCTGGAGCATGTTGAAATAGCCCTCCCAGGGTGAAAGATGAGTTGCTGCATCTTGCATCACTACAAAAGAGGCACGGCACTTGGCAGCTGTCTTAGTCTGTCCAGGCGGCTATAGCAGAATGCCATAGACTGGGTGACTTATAAATAAAGGCATTTATTTCTCACAGTTTTGTTGGCTAAAAAGTCCAAGGTTGAGGCCCTGGCAGGTTCTGTGTCTTGTAAGGACCTGCTTCCTGGTTCATAGACAACAGGCTTCTTGCTGTGTCCTCACATTGCAGTAGGTGTGGAGTAGCTTTCCGGGGTCTCTTTTATAAGGACAATAATCTCATTCGTGAGGGCTCCACCTTTGTGATCTAATACCTCCCAAAGGCCCCATCTCTGAATACCATCACACTGGGGGTTAGGATTTCAACATATGAATTTTGGGGGACACAGCCTGGAACAGTAAGCCATTTTGGACTTTGAAGGCAACATATACTGTGTTTGTGCTATTTCAACCCAATTGACAGGCTGGTGGATTGAGGAGCAGAATAAGAGAAGACTCTGCAGAAGGTTCAGGCTGCAGTAAAGCTGCCCTACCACTTGGGTCTTGTGATCCAACAGATCCAGTGGGACTTTGTCCAACAGGGATGCTGTATGGAGCCTCTGGCAAGCACTGACAGGAGAGAGTACAGACCTCTAGAATTCTAAAGTAAATCTAGAACCTCTTCTGAAGATAACTACTCTCCTTCTGAGAAGCAGGTTCTGCCTTGCTACTAGGCCTTGATAGAGGCAGAATGCCTGACCATGAAGCTTGAGCTCCCATCATGAACTGGATGTCATCTGACCTACGTAGCCATAAAATTGGATGTATACAGCAGCCACCTATCATCAAATGGAAATGGTGTATTAGAAACAGCCCAGGCAGGTTCAGAAGGTATAAGTAAATTGTATGAGCAGGCGGCTCAGACTCTTCCAACATCAACTCCTGTTGCTTTGCCTCCTCTCCCTCATTCTACAACTATGGCTTCTTGGGATGCTGCCTATGTCCAGTTGACTGAGGGAGAAAAACCTCCAGCCTGGATTATAGATGGGTCTGTATGATGTGCTGGTACCACATGAAAGAGAACAGCTGCAGTATTCACTCACACTCACTCAGGGGTGACTGTGAAGGGCAGTGGTGAAGGAGAATCCTTCCAGTGAGCAGAAACTCAAGGCTGTCCACTATGTCTGGAGTGAGAGATGGCCAGAATACAGACCTAAATTGATTCATGGACAGTCGCTGATGGTTTAGCTGGATGGTCAGGGCCTTAAAAAGAACAGGACTGGAAGATTGGTGACAAGAAAATCTTGGAAAGAGATATGTGGCTGAATCCCTCCGAATGGGCAGACTGAAGATATCTGCATCTCACCTGAATGCCCACCAAAGGGCATCCACTGCAGAGAAGACCCTGAATCAGATGGACAGAATTACATGCTCTGTGGCTGTCAGCCAGCCTCTCTATGCAGCTGCTGTGGTGTCTGCTCAACGGGCCGATGAACAAAGAGCTCTTGGCAGCAGGGACAGAGGATATGTATGGGTCCAACAACATGGAATTCTCCCTCCAAAGGCTGAGCTGGCTGGTGCTTCTGCTGAGTGCCTAATCTGCCAAAGCAAATGATTTCTTACAGTGAACTAAATAAGTGTTGTTAGAATATAAATTTCTGTACATCAAATTCCCATTTGAACTGGTTTTGACGTCTTACTGGTTTCCTTATTAATCAGTGAGTTAAAAGCTTGGATACATGTTCATGTTTTATTTGCAAGACAGTCATGATTTTACCTTTTTGTACATTAAACTTTAGCAGCAAGAACATTGTTTTCTCTTAGATTTGCAGTAGCTTTGGGGTAAATGATAAATCCTCTGGAACTGCCATTGGTAACTCAACAATGATGAAAAGAACTAAACAACAAATGAATAAATTAACCTCAACATAGAATTTCCAGTCCACACAATATGAGGCAGTTTGTAATAAGACTCGGTGAAAATCCTGTCTCTGCAACTTGGAAGCTGTGCAGCTATGGGCAAGTTATTCAACTCTCCTAACCTCAATCTCCCCATCTAAAAATGGGGCATCACGGGGCTGTCACAAGGATTACATGAATCGGTATATACAAAGTGCTTAGCACAGTACCTGGCACACAGTAAAAGGTTGTCACTCCACAGAAACTTTTATTTGTAAATGGTAAATCCTCTGGCAACGGTGACTATGCTCACTTGCCCCATTATCAGCCAAAACCAAAATGTGACAATATTGGTCTTACCTATGTGGTTTCTGTTTTATTGAGAATAGCTAGTGACTGCTTATTATTTTTTCCACGTTTTAAGTAACAGCTTTATTGAGATGTAATTCATATACCAAAAAATTCACCCTCTTACAGTCCAGTGGTTTTTAGTCTATTCACAGAATTGTGCAATCACCACCATCTAATTCAGTTCCCCCCGGAGAAACTCAGTGCCCACTAACCGTCACTCCTCACCCTAGCCCTAAGTGACCACCAATCTGCTTTTTGTCTTTATGAGTTTGCTTATTAGGACCTTTCATATACATGGAATCCTACAACATGTGGCTCTTTGTCTCTGGTTTCTTTCCCCTGGCACAATATTTTCAAGGTTCATCCATGTTGCAGCATGTGTCCACGCTTTCTTTCTTTGTATTCCATTCTGTGGATGCGCCATATTTTGTTCATCGATTCATCCACTGTGGAACATTGGGGCTGTTTCAGCTTTGGGCTATTATGAGTAATGCTGCTATGAACATTTGCATTCAAATTTCTGTGTGGACATATGTTTTAATTTCCCTTGGGGAGGCTGCCAATTACCGTGGAAAACACACAGGTTGGAAACAGTGACCTCTGCTTCATGGTTCCTGGTTTCTGACAAAGTTAATCTTTCACCATTGGTGTGCTGGTTAGATAACCTTGGGTTCAAAGACAGACATTTCCTGTTGTCACAGTCTTTACATAAACGCTCATACCATACTTACGATTAGTTGTTTATGTGGGTTAAATTAACCATGGAATCACTCCTGATCCCATCTCCTTACTAGAGGGTCTGCATCTTTTTTTCTGGTCCTATTTTTAAAAATAATGATCTTTAATTGACACATAATTGTATGTATTTATGGGGTACAGTGTGTTATTTTGATACATGTATACAATGTGTAATGATCAGGGTAATTAGCATATTAATCCCTTAAATGTCTATCATTTGTGTTGGGAATGTGAAAGTTGTTAGAATTCAAATAGAGTCACTAGTGTTTTAAAAAAACAAACCATGACAAATAGAGCTGGGGAGGCCATGAAGAGGGGATTCTCATGCTTGTATGCCTAATACCAAAAATGATCACAAAAGATTCTGCAAAAATTACAACCTTGCACATAGGCTGCTGCAACCTCACACAAAAATTACTTCTGCAAAGACATCTGCCTAGCAACTGCCTGTCCAACCTCGGACTGGTGTGACCTTTGTTATTGATATTTGTAGCCAAGGATAATTATTTCAAAACCATTATGTAATCCTCCTCATTTTTTCCTTTAAAAACCTTTGTTTTTCTTTTTTTTTTTCTTTGTTTTTTTGAGTCAGAGTCTCGCTCTGTCGCCCAGGCTGGAGTGCAGTGGTGCCATCTCGGCTCACTGCAAGCTCTACCTCCTGGGTTCATGCCATTCTCCTGCCCCAGCCTCCCGAGCAGCTGGGACTACAGGCACCTGCCACCACGCCCAGCTAATATATATATATATTTTTTTTTAGTACAGACAGGGTTTCACCGTGTTAGCCAGGATGGTCTCGATCTCCTGACCTCGTGATCCACCCGCCTCGGCCTCCCAAAGTGCTGGGATTACAGGCGTGAGCCACCGCGCCCAGTCACCTTTGTTTTTCTTTACCTCCTGGAATATGCACACAGTTTACTACAGCACACATATTCCTGTTGCAATGCCCTACTTTTGATTAAATATCTTTAGCGAGCCTGTCTTTGTTATTTAGGTTGACAGGAACATTCAAAATTCTCTCTTCTAGCTACTTGAAAATACACAGTAAATTATTGTTAGCGATAGTCACCCTACAGTGCCGCCAAACACTAGACTCCTATCTTGCTGCAAATTTGATTCCATTAACCAACTCCTCCCCACCCCCTGCTGCATCCTTTTTCTAATGACATGAACATATTCAGTCATTTCATTTCTTTCACTGGGGTTGGCCCTGTGGCAGCCCACGGGAGGCCAGAGTCCCCTGTGGAGACTGACCAACCCTGAAGGCCAGCCTGGCTCCAGCCAAGTGCTGTCTAGAAGCAGGAGTCTGTGGTATGTCTGGAAGAGTGACCCAATTCTCTCCGGTCACGGATGAGAGGGCAAGTGGTTTAGCATGGCAATCCTTACAAAGGATCCACAGAGACAAGATTCACTCGCGGCCTCCCCAGTGGGCCTCCGGCTCAGATTTCCTGGCCCACCTCAGGCCCGCCCAGTCCAGATCTCAGGGCAGGGCCCTGAAGGCGCAGTGCAGGAACCTGCCATGGGTGGGACGATTCTTCTCAGCAGGCAAGTTTGGGAAATGAAGATCTACAAATCCCCACTCAATCAGCTCTTCCAGGCTTGGGAATGGCCTGGGCCTCAGCCCCAGTCTTCTACCCCACCCACTGTGCCTTCCCCAGGCTTCCAGGCGTCCTCTTTTGAAAGGATTTTCAGGTCACAGGCCTCAGCTGGTCCCTAGCCCTTCCGACTGCCTCTCTGGGACTTCCTCCACCGACCGGGGCTGTCCCAAAGCCTCCTCTGAAGGCTTTCCCTAGGGTGGCTCTCCTCAATCATCCTGTCACCTCTTTCTTTGCCAAGCTCTTCCAAGGCCCTTAGTGGTTTCTGGGAGGTCTCACACAGAGGGGCTGGAAAAGGGCTCATTAGCCCAGATCAGCTGTTCTCAAAGCAAGATCCA
The DNA here is from genome assembly GCF_000001405.40 of Homo sapiens. NCBI lineage: Eukaryota > Metazoa > Chordata > Mammalia > Primates > Hominidae > Homo > Homo sapiens. Next base: position 52,118,287 of record NC_000015.10, read on the forward strand.
GGGCCCCCGAGGGTCCCTGAGACCCTTTCAGGGGGTCCTCACGGTCAAAACTATTTTCATAATAATATTGACACTTTTTTTTTTTGTATGGGTGATTTTTTTATTTTCATCCTCTCAGGAATTTTCCAGAGACTACTGGCATGGGAGAAAGATCACCTTGATGGCTAATGGAACGTGTGCATCTGTATTCTTGTGTTTTATAACTTTTTCTCAGTCTTAATTTCTAATACAATAAATATGGATAGATACAATCCACAATGAGCAAGTTATTTGGGGTCCTCAATAACTTTTAAGGGTGTAGGCTGGGCACGGTGGCTTACACCTGTAATCCCAGCACTTTGGGAGGCCAAGGTGGGAGGATCACCTGAGGTTGGGAGTTCGAGACCAGTGTGACCAACATGGAGAAACCTGGTCTCTACTAAAAATACAAAATTAGCCGGGCGTGGTGGTGCATGCCTTGTAATCCCAGCTACTCGGGAGGCTGAGGCAGGAGAATCGCTTGAACCCAGGAGGCGGAGGTTGAAGTGAGCCCGAGATCGCGCCACTGCACTCCAGCCTGGGCAACAAGAGCAAAACTCCACGTAAAAAAAAAAAAAAAAAAAAAGTGTACAGAGATCCTAAGACCAAAAAGTTTGAGAACCACTAGCCCAGACGAAGCTCTAACTGATGAGAATTACTAATTTGCTATATGAGTGGGGGCTGCCTATGGATGGGGAGGAGATGGGGAGAAAAGAAAGAGCTGGGGGAAGGGGAATGGGGAGGAGATGGGGAGAAAAGGAAGTGCTGGGGGAAGGGGAATGGGAAGGGAGGAGGAGGGAGGGAGAAACAGCAGAAGGGGAAGGAAGGAGACCAGGAGAGAGGTGGAACAGGGAGACAGAGGAAGAGGAGATGAGGAATGGGGGAAGATTGAGAAGGGTTAGAAAAAGGAGTCCGGATGAATGAGGAGAGGGGGAGGGGGCAGAGAAGAGGAAAGAGGAGATAGGAAGGAGAGAGGAGGCGATGGGAGGGAGGGAGGAGGTGATGAGAGGGAGGGAGGAGGGGTGACAGGAGGAAGGGAGGAGGAGATGGGAGGGAGGAGGAGATGGGAGGGAGGAGGAGATGGGAGGGAGGAGGAGATGGGAGGGAGGAGATGGGAGGGAGGAGGAGGAGATGGGAGGGAGGGAGGAGGAGATGGGAGGGAGGGAGGGGGAAATGGGAGAGAGGGAGGAGAGAGGGAGGAGGAGGGGAAGGGAAGAGAAAGAGGGAAGATAGGTGGAGGGAGAAGGGAGGGGGGCAAATAGGAAGGGGACTGAGGAGGACACAGGGAGAAGCTGGGAACTAACCCTTCCTGAAGATGTGCTAAAGGCTGAGGTAGGCACTTTACATATTTTAGTCCCATCCCATGTTACAAATGGGGAAACTGAGGCTGAGAAAAACTCAGATATTATCATATATTCTGTGACCGTGACAGAGGTGGGTGTGAATGAAGGCCAGCCCTCTTATGTCACCAAGGCATCCCTCTAACTCACAGAGGAGTCCCAGTATCGGTGGTGCCACCTTTCAGCCAGCTGGCCTGGCAACTATGAGAGCCCGGGACACAAAGGCCCTTACAACCCTGTGCTGTTTTAAGCCACTTATAACCTAGAGAAGGGTGCAAAGGAGGTAGAAGAGCGGGAAGAGGGCAGTGGCAACGGGATGCCCACCTCTGGCTCGCCTGGGAGAAGAGGGACGGCTGCCAGGGCCCCACCGGTGAGAGGCTGACCGCGCATTCTAAAGCACTGGACTTGGCTTCATGTCACAGATATTTCCCATAAATACCCATCACCCACACCTTTCTGCCTGAACTTTCTTTTTTCTGGCCCAGGAGGGGGCTGCCCAAGGCTCTACACCCCTGGGGGCCCATCTGTTTGGCCCCTTCACCACAATTGGTTTGGTAGGTTTATCCCCAAGTCCTCTGGAAAAAAGAAAAGCTGATTATAAAATGCACTCAGCATTATTTTCAATCTGCAAAATACAATCTATCCCATGGAGCTTACCCCTGAGTCTCCACATGCTGTCACATAGTCCAAATCAAGTATCTCATCAGCAAATCCCGACAGCACCCACTGCGAGAGCGCATGCTCACAGCGAAGGAGGCTTCCTGCCCATGCGGGGAGTGGAAGCATTCTCTGGAATACTTTCCCTGGGCCCTTAAAGTGGCTTTTTGGATTGGAAAGTCACAGTCTACTTTGCACATATCCTGAAGATGCTCTCCACCTCTCCAAACATGGAACCTGGAATGTGCTTCCCTGGGCCACCTTTCCTTCCTTTCTCGTGCCTTCCTGCACTTCTGGGAGCCGGAAGGCACAGTGCAGAGACAAAAAAAAAAATGGCTGTGGGAGAGAGGGTTGGGGATGCCACCACAAGGAGGCCAGCTGCACCAGGGGCCACTGTGGGACATTCTGGAGCAGAGCTCAGGAATCCCATGGTGCCCTGACCCCTTCAGCACCTGGCAGGAGCTGGCCAGACACTGGGCCCATTTCCTGAGCCCCTGCCCAGACTGGAATCTACTGGGACTAAAAAGCACTCTCTCTGGGCTCCCTGGAGGAAGGCAGAGGCCCTTCATTTTTCTCTCTCTACCCCAGACCCCAGTGTACAATAAAACCACCAGTAACTGCTCTGCAAATGATCAAATATAATTATTATGTTTATTTGAAGTGAGATGATGGAAAAGATGGCCTGGCTGATTTTGGACCGAGTGGCCCATCACGATACCTGAACAAGCAGTTGTGAGGGTGGGCCTGGCACACCCCTGGATGTTTACAGGAGCATCTGGTCCAGTCCTGTCTTATGGCTGTGCCCAGCTCCAGCTCTGGAAGAGTCTCTCTGAGGAGCAGGGCCTGGAGCTGGGCCTGCAAAGCCAGAGCTACCACTAGAAGAAGGGCTGGGCTGGAGCAGGGCCAGGAAAGGAGACCTGTCCAGGGGACAAGGTGCACGCAGCCTTCAGGTGCAGCCAGAACCTGCCGGCAGACCCCAGGCCACCGACGAGGCAGGCCTCACCAGGAATGACACCTGGTGTCTGAGGTGACCTTTTATTCCCCTAGGTGCATGCCATCTTTTTAAGTGAGAAGTTTTCTAAAGCAAAGAATAAGCATCTACATCTTACAAAAAAACAAAAAAAGGAAAAGAAGGGATCCTATAACAAAAAGCACTTCCTTCTTCTAGAAGGAATTCTGAGTCTCAAATAAAGAGAAGATCTTCTTTTAATATCGTTTTTCTATGTAAGAGGAGCAGACGTTATTATTCATGACTATCAATCAATCTGCATATGTAATTATAATTGCAATGCAATACATATGAATATAATTTTTTTTTTTTTTTGAGACGGAGTCTCGCTTTGTCACCCAGGCTGCAGTGGCTCGACCTCGGCTCACTGCAAGCTCCACCTCCCGGGTTCACGCCATTCTCCTGCCTCAGCCTCTCCGAGTAGCTGGGACTACAGGCGCCCGCCACCACGCCCGGCTAATTTTTTGTATTTTTTAGTAGAGACAGGGTTTCACCGTGGTCTCGAACTCCTGACCTCGTGATCCGCCCGCCTCGGCCTCCCAAAGTGCTGGGATTACAAGCGTGAGCCACCGCGCCCGGCCATGAATATAATTTATATGGACAAGATTCACTTTAACCTAAGTGTTTCCACTAATTCTACTAATAGGTTTTTAAATAAGTTTACTATCTTGTGTTCCCACACAGAAGACTTTTCTTTGCTCTCAGAAGCATTTGTTTACAAACACCATTGGCTTTCCCTTCAATTCAGAGAAAACGCCCTGTCCAAGTGGCACAGTGACATCATCATCATCCATGAGTCAAACCACCTGTCCTTTTTAGGCATTTCTCTGCGTCATTTACAGCAGTTCACCATAGACAAAAATGTTGTATCTGAAAAAAGACAATAGAACAGGAAGCTGAAAAAGATACTTTTACAATAAAAACACATTCTAAAAAAATGATTTTTGTCTAATTACATTTGGAATTGGAATTTGCTTCTATCACAGACCAGTCACCAGTCCTCAGTCCATAAAATCAGCACTTCCAGAGGAAGGTTCCAGGCATCACAGTGCACATCGAGAAATATCAGACTTTAAAGTGCTCTGAAAATGAATTGATTCAAAGAAATAATATGGAATATATTAACTGCTGAATTCTACTGGTGACAGAATGAGTTGAGGCTACTATAATTTAGAATAACCTTAAAAACAGATACATTTTAAAAAGTGTTCCAAAAGAAAAATACTGTACTTGAAGGTATTCTCGCAGTGCTGAAGGCTCACACTAGTGTATTTCCAGAGGTGACAGTTTTAATAGTCATATTGGAGACGCTTAGTGACCTGTGAGCCATGGGTTGCTCCCCTAAGCTACACTGCAATAAACTCTAAGCTCCTCTAGAAGTAATATCTATTTACATGTGAAGATTTCAAATTCTCAGGTATACATGAGTGCACTGTCAGAAGATGATTAGGCCCAGACCTGTGAAGACACAAACAGATAGTTTTTAGACCTTTGTAGTTAACAACTTATAAAACTTGAGCTTAAAGAGATAAAATTAGTCTATTCACACACATGCATGGGCATACATATATGTGTGTGTACACACACACACACACAAACATACACACTCCATCCAAAATAGGGTGCTCATGTGCCTTAGAAGGATAACACTGTACTCCTAGCAATGCAAAGGTGCTTCTTTGGACCTGATCTTCTCCTCCCTTAGTTAATTGTCTGTGGGGCATCTGCAGCCTCCTTACGGGCCTAGCTACTCTTCCAGATTGACAACCAAAACCATTTGAACCCATACAGCTCACCATATACATTAACATGACTACTCACTTAGGACACTCTTACCCAGGAAGATGAACTCACAGATAACTTTTTTATTTGTTTCAGGAATTTTGCAAAAATCCTTTTCTCTATCCTAACACTAGACTACTCAACTTACCCTCTTTAGAAAACACACCCATGTCTCAGGACAATATAGAGCATCAAATGACTATTTAGTTTTAAAGGGTTTGTTCGAAACCCTCCCCCACCCCTGCATCCAGCAATCCTAAAACTATTATGCCACAAAGTTGTCCAATCCTAATTAAGTGCCCCCCAACAAAGACCTGCCTTAAACCAGACCAAAAAAACCTCATGCATGCCTTTGTCATCCTCTTCTGAGATGCCACTACACCTCTACCAATTCTTGATGTTCCACACTGAGGTAAGCAATAAATTTAGCTTTGCTCTATGAATGGGCTACTTTTTTTTTTTTTTTTTGAGACAGAGTCTTGCTCTGTTGCCCAGCCTGGAGTGCAGTGGGATGATCTTGGCTCACTGCAACCTCTGCCTCCTGGGTTCAAGCGATTCTCCAGCCTCAGCCTCCCGAGTAGCCGGGACTACAGGTGCATGCCACCACGCCTGGCTGATTTTTGTATTTTTAGTAGAGACAGGGTTTCACCATGTTGCCCAGGCTGGTCTGGAACTCCTGACCTCAAGTGATCCGCCTGACTTGGCCTCCCAAAGTGCTACAATTACAGGCATAAGCCACCATGCCCAGCTTAAACAGGCTATTTTGGTAGTATTTTGGGTGAGCCAACACTCAACAAGGTTATGGAGCTCTCTTTGAGAATTTAATGAAAGCCACGAGGACAAAAGGCATACACCCCAAATTTGGCATATAATTTCAGGGGCTTCATTTCCAAGATTAAGCTATAGAAAAACCAAAAAAAAAAAAAAAAAAAAAAGGAAGAAAAAAGTAATAATTTCAGGGGCTTCACAGCCTCCTGGATTTGTGACCCTTGTCATCACAAGGTCAATAATCGTAATAAGAACCCTATACTATAGGAGGAGAGACTGGTTATCTGTGGTTTGCCAAAGGCTAGAATCACAAGAATCAGACTTTTAGGGTCAAAAGGAACTTTCTGGATGATCAAGCCTAACTATTCCCTCACCTACAGGCTGATACGCAGTTGTCGAATCTGTGCGAGAATACCTGCACTGATGCAGCACTCGCTACCTCTCCAGGCAACCCATTCCCTCTGTGGCTGTGGGCAGAGTGGAAATGAGAGCTCGGCGAGGCTGACCAGGCCCACCTGAGCTTACTCTGATAGCCTTCCCTCTGCTTCAGAAGGCCTGTCACCAGTCCTCTCTCCTCTCACACACAGGAAAACAGAAAACCATCCCTCTTACTCTGAGGGTATGATCCCATGATCCAGAGCAGAAAGCAGTCCCATCGGGGGAAACTCGTAGAGTGCTAACGCGGTTTTCATGTCCAAACAGGATGGAGACCCGGGACCCTTTGAGAACATCCCAGACGTTGATAGTGTAATCATTGTATCCAGCAAACAGCAGGCGACCTTGAAGCAGGGTGAGATGATAGCTGTTAAGCCAGTTCCTTGCTTCCTGTTTCTCATTACATGACTGTTACTCACTCATTCAGTAAGCAGTGATTCAGGCGCACTGAGTCCTAGGCACTGTGCTTTGCCTCAAGGATTCAAAGGGGAGAAAGCACAGTCCCTGTCCCTGTTGGAGGATGTGGGGCTGAAAGGAACAGATCACTGTAGCATCCCATGGTAACAGCCATAATGCAAGTGCTTTACACACGTAAAGTGCTATGGGACCAGAGAGGAAGGGGGATTAAGGAGGGCACTGCAGACACAAGTAAATTATTTTTAGTCATTTGCTAGTTAACAACTTGTAAAACTTGTTTAAAGAGAGAAAGTTAAAGTGACATTTGAGTTGGCTCTTGAGGGTTGAATCGGAGTCTGTCATGCAGAGAAGGCAGGGAAAAGATGTTCCAGGCAGTAGCAGGAACTTCACGTGCAGTTAGTCTAGGGATGTGTCTGGGGAAATGGAGTGGTCCAGGTAGCCAGCCTGTTACCTCTGCTTTAACTTTCTATTTTTCTTTCTTTTTTTGACATGATCCTTCTGGAGCTATGCTTTTTCACCAGCAGCTTCCCACAAAGGAGCCATGAGCTTCAAGGCACTGAGAAGGGACTCATTTTTTTTTTCCCTTTGAGTCAGAGTCTCGCTCTGTTGCCCAGGGTGGAGTGCAGTGGCACGATCTCAGCTCACTGCAAGCTCCATTTTCCAGGTTCAAGCGATTCTCCTGCCTCAGCCTCCTGAGTAGCTGGGATTACAGGCATGCGCCACCATGCCCAACCAATTTTTGTATTTTTATTAGAGACAAGGTTTCACCATGTTGGCCAGGCTGGTTTTGAACTCCTGACCTCAAGTGATCGCCTGTCTCGGCCTCCCAAAGTGCTGGGATTACAGGCGTGAGCCACAGTATCCCACCAAGAAGGGACTCTTGCTTCACCTCCACCTTACAGAAAAGTTCCCTTTGGGGCATGAAGAGAAGCAAAGGCTGGGGAGAAAATGCCTGAGAGCATTGTGGAAGTGAATTTCTGACACTTCATTGCCTTGAAGGACAGCATTAGGTGGGTACACAGCCTTCATTTCCCCCTGGAGTGAAGTTGCCTGGGGCAGGACAAAGTGGGAGGTCAGAAGCTCAGAGGAGGAAAACTGGTGCAAATATGGATGATTTCGCATACTGGTCCACAGGAAGCTCAGTTGATGAAAAGGAACTGAGCGATGATGGAGCGCTAGTTTCATTCTGGTCCTGTCTTACAGTCCTGGGAAAAGTTTCTGAAATAAAATCTTACCACTGAGGGAGAAGTCCACGCTGGATGCTCCAAATATGATGCTTTCTTTGGAATAGATGGCAACCTCCCTATCTGCCCGCAGGTCATAGAGGCGACACTGGGGAGCAAATAAATAAAGAAGCACTTACTTCTGGCTTCAGTTTGGTGACGTGATGACCACAGAGCTACAGGTAGGTGCTAGTGACTTGCGTAGTTTAAAAGATGAAGGAAAAACTTCTTAGTTTTCCCTACTGTTATTTCATCCTTTAGTCCCGACTCCTGTTAATTTCTATGAGTCAGTAAAGAGTCCTGATTCCTATTAATCTCTATGAGTCAGTAAAGAAACGGCAAATACAGCAAATTTCTTCAGGTATAAAAACAAAATGAGACCCCACTTTTTTTTCTGATAAAGGACACATGTTCACTGTAGAAAATTTGGAAATATTCAAAAATGTAAACAGAAGGAAATGAAGGTCACCCTAAATCCTAGAGGTATTTACTAATTCTCAGCTGTTTCCTTCAGTCTTATTTGTATTTTATGTGTGTATCTGAATGGGTTGGATGTTTCATTATTGCTTTTATTAACATTAGGTTATACGTCCTTTCTCATATCATTAAAAGAGAACTTCAAAAAACATTATGTACATAGTTATTGAATATATCAGAATCTATTTAGCCAAACCCTGTTGTTTTGGTTGTGTTTAATTTTTCTTTTTTATAAATAATATTATGATGACTATTCTTATATAAAAATCTTTACATGTGTTTCTGGTTTCCTTAGACTAGGTTTCCTTAGACTAGGTTAAGAAATAGAATCCTTAGAAGAGTTATCAGGAAATAGCATGACCAGATCAGAAGTAGAGATGTTTTATTGTATATTTTATTTTGAAATGGAATTTCGCTCGTCACCCAGGCTGGAGTGCAATGGCGCTATCTTGGCTCACTGCAACCTCTGCCTCCCCAGGGTTCAAACGATTCTCCTGCCTAAGCCTCCTGAGTAGCTGGGATTACAGGTGACCGCCACCACGCCTGGCTAATTTTTGTATTTTTAGTAGAGATGGGGTTTCACCACATTGGCCAGGCTGGTCTTGAACTCCTGACCTCAGGTGATCCACCCACCTTGGCCTCCCACAGTGCTGGGATTACAGGCATGAACCACCGTGCCTGGCCAAGTAGAGATGTTTTCAAGCTCTTGATTCATATGGCAAATCTGCCCTCTAGGAGGGTGGTGCCAACTATCCTGACCCCAGGGTTGATCCAGGCTCCCCATCAACCCAACCTCTGGGCATTTCTTTGCTAATCCTAGTGGCAAAATGGGCATCCGATGACTTAAAACTTAAAACATGCAATTCTTTGATTATAGGTGACTTTGAAAATATTTTCAGGTGTTTACTTGCCATTGTGGATTCACTGCTTTGTAAATGACCTGCATTTTACCCTCTTCTTTAATTGGAGTGTTCATTTTATTGTTTATGTAACTCCATTCGTATCTACAGGATTTCAACTTGGTCTGTACTGTATGTGGCAAGAATTTTTCCATATATATTTGTTATAATTATATTTTGTTATAATTTTGTTACAATATATTTCCATATATATTTTGTTATGTATCTTTGATATACAGAAGTTTTAAATTTTCATTATTTCAAAACTCTCAATCTATTCTTTTGTAATTTGTTTAGCAGAAAATTAGAATGAAAACCATTACTTCATAAGATATTTGATATTTTGAAGGCAACAAGAAAATATTTTTTTCTCTTGAAAATAATTTGGCAATCAGTATCAAAAGCCTTAAAACTGGGTCTATTTATGGCTCAGCAAGTTATGTCTGAGAATGCTAAGGAAATGATGAGAGGTACAAAAACACTTATAGTAGTGTTTTTAACAGAAAAAAAAAAAAACCTTGAGAAAAGCCAAATGTCCAAAAATTGAAGACGAATGTCACGTTCATAACATGGAATACTACTCAATCACTAAGAAAATATAATGGAGAGAAATATTTACCAGCCTGGGAAAATGTTCACATTCTGTTAAGTGAAAATGCCAAATTATAAAGCATTTTGTTTGTTAAAAAGAAAAAAAGACAGAAAGGAATTCATCCAACTATGATTTTTCTTGGGTAAGGAGATCAAGGTAATTTAATATTCCCCTAAATTTTCTTTATTGAATACTCGTTACTTCTGTAACCAGAAAAATAGTTATTTTCTTAAAATAAGTTAGCAGATCCCTCTATTGACTAGGAAAAGCTCTCAAAAACTTAGAAACATACCGTAGCGTCATCTGACCCTGAAGCAAAGGCATCTCCACTGGGGTAGTACCTGCAGAGAGAAAGTACTTTATCTACGGTTGTGACTCCTGACCCTGGATGCCCATCAGAACCATGCTAGGCCCTTGGAATCAGAATCTCTATTTCTAGGGACTCAAGGAACATTTGCAGCAGAAGACGGAAGAGGAAGCTCCTATGTCAGGCCCACTGATCTCTAGTTTTCTTCCCTGTTAGTGGGGGACAGTGACACTGGCCTTGCAGAGTGAGATAATATGTGTTGATATCAGGCACAGAACACAGAGTAGACCCCCTATAAATATAGTTTCCCTCAATCACATATCTAATTCCTAAGACTTGGCCCAGAGCTCAGGGATAAGAAAGTGGTTATGAGCACAGACACTGAATCAGACGCACAAAGCCACATTGGATGTCTGCACTGACCATTTACTACCTGCGATACTTTTGGCAAATGACTTCCTCTTGCCCAGCCTCAGTTTCCTCATCTGAAAAGTGAGAGTAATAATGCATATTTTCTGCTGTGAAGATTACATAAGACAGTCCATGCAAAGAATCTGGCATGGTGCCAATTAAATCACATTCAATAAATGATAATTATTACTGCTATAGTCATTGTCTTCTCAATGATTAGTGAGAAATATGGGCCCTAAATTATAAGCCAGAGGCAGAATGAGAGCAAATGTCTTTAAACCCCTCCGCTCTGCCTCACCCAGCTGTGTTCCCCACACCTTCCATTGTTTCTCCTTTTTTTTTTTTTTTTTTTGAGACTGAGTCTCATTCTGTTGCCCAGGCTGGAGTGCAATGGCGTGAACTTGGCTCACTACAACCTCCACCTCCTAGGTTCAAGCGATTCTCATGCCTCAGCCTCCCAAGTAGCTGGGATTACAGGTGTATGCCACTATGCCTGGCTAATTTTTGTATTTTTAGTAGAGACGGGGTTTCACCATGTTGGTCAGGCTAGTCTTGAACTCCTGACCTCAAGTGATCCACCTTCCTAGGCCTCCCAAAGTGCTGGGATTACAGGCGTGAGTCACCGCACCCACGCTGTTTCTCCTTTCTCGTACCAGTGACCTACCCTATAGTTCCACAAAAGCCGCAGGAGGAGGAGTCCTTTTAAAACATTATTTATTCCTCCTACCAGCGGGAGGTGAGAGTCAAAACATTTGGCAAAGGAGAGGGAAGCTTGACTTTGTGTGACTAACTTACATTGGCCTGAAAGACGGGGATGGAGAATTGAAAAGCTGGATGACAGATGTTAACCATTTTCAGCTCTGCCCCAGTCAGTCCATCACAGTGTGGGCACATTATATTTTTGAAAGCATTATGAATTCATGGAGTATCTGACGCATCCATATTCCAATGTCAAAATGATTTCTAGATTAAATACCATTTGGGGCCACATGGGCTATGATTTCCTTCTGCTGGTAGGAAGTTCAGGGACCAAGTGTATTATCTTCCAGGTAATACATAGATTATCTGGAAGAGACCTTTTGTGCCCCCAGTGTCCCCTCTCTCTGTCTCCTATAGCTATGGTTAAATAAAAGCAGGATTTTTTGAATGGCACTAAACCCAGGGGGTGCTACTGGAATTCAGTGGCTAGGCCATAGGGATGGTAAATGTCTTACATGGAACATTCCCTTACAATGAAGAAATGTCCTTCCCAAAATGCTAATACTGAACCCCATTGAGAAACACTAGTTCGTTTTGTTTTGTTTTTCCTGGGCAGGTGGCAGAATGAAAACTATATTTCTAGTCTTCCTGTAGCCAGATGTGGCCATGTGATCATGTTCTGGCTAATGGGATGCAGGCAGAAGTGATAAGCGCAACTCTCCTCTACCAACCAGCTGGAAAGAAGGCATGGTGGTAGGCCAGTGGGGGCAGGAGACTGAGCACCATCCTAGGAAATGGGTTGCGAAGACAGAATGAGCTATCGTAGCAGCTCAGATTTTAAGGTGAGAACAAACTCCCATCTGGTTTAAGTCACTGTGATTTGGGCTTCTCTCATACAAGCCCATGTCCTAATTAATTCAGTGTATAACCAAGGGCATGCTAAGAGAATAATGACAACGCTCAGTATAACCTCAGCCTTGGGTGGACATGGTAGCCAGTGTTCGCCCTGGAAGAAAATCAAAAGGCACCCTGAACATGGCCCACTGAATCAGTCCCTGTAGCATCCGTCACAGAAGTCTCAGCGTCAGTTTACACCATTCCATAAAATAACTTAATTGAAACTGCATTCACTGTATATAGAAAAATGGCCATTTAAAATTTTAAGTTACAGTGTTCCCTATCAATCAAGAATTGGGTTTATGTCTCCATTTATCAACATCTTCTTTTATTTCTGCCATTAAGAATTCATAAATACTTTAAAAAGTTTGGTTACCACCATAACATTTTCTCTCTGTCTCTCTCTCTGACTTCCTCAGTGCAGGAGATCGATGAGTAAACTGGCCATGCAGTGTGGTCTCCCTCACACAGGAGGGCACCTAACTCAGCCCTGGAAACCAGGGGGGCTTTCTGGACAGAGGGAAGCCTAAGTTGAAAACTGATGGTCAAAGGAGGTTAGAAGCAAAGGGTTCAGGGGAGATGAAACAGCTCAGGTGAGAGAGTGTGCATTTTATTTTATTATTTTTGAGAAGGGGTCTCGCTCTACTGCCCAGGCTGGAGTGCAGTGGCACGATCTCAGCTCACTGCAACCTCTGCCTGCTGGGTTCAAGCGATTCTTGTGCCTTAGCCTCCCAAGTAGCTGGTATTACAGTCATGTGCCACCACATTTGGCTAATTTTTGTATTTTTGGTAGAGACGGGGTTTCACCATGTTGGCCAGGCTAGTCTCAAACTCCTGACCTAAAGTGATCCGCCCACCTCGGCCTCCCAAAGTGCTGGGATTACAGGCGTGAGCCACGGTGCCCAGCTGAGTGTGTGCATTTTAAAGCTGTACATTGGCCCTCCATAGCCATGGATTCCACACTCATGGATAAAATCAACTGCAGATTAAAAATATTCTAAAAAAGAAAAAGGAATGTTGCATCTGTACTGAACCTTTTTTCTTGTCATTATTCTCCAAACAATACAGTCTAATAACTATTTACATCGCATTTACACTTACTAGATATTGTAAGTAATTGAGAGATGATTTAAAGTACACGGGAGAATGTGCATAGGCTATATGCAAATACTATACCACTTTAATTTTATTATTTATTTATTTTTATAACTTCAGCATACCCTGAGAAAATACTACATCATTTTATGTAGGATTCTGGTATCTGAGGGAGGTCCTGGAACCAATCTCCCACAGATACCAAGGAATGACTGTACTTTATTAATACACAGGGGCTTATTTTTGTGGCTTTATCTTCTATCTTGCATTTTACTAACTTCAATTACTATCTGTAGTAATTTTCAGATTGATTTCTTTTGATTTTCTAGGTAATTACTGCACAGTTACAATAAGTGAGTCTTTTTTTCTTTTTTCCTTATCCCACATTTGAGGGCAAGAAGTACTAAAGTAAGCAAGTATTCTTTTTTGTTCTTGTTTTTAAGAGAAATAATTCTCGTGTTTTCCCACTAAGTATAATGAAGATTCTTGGGAGTTCTGAGTATAATGAAAATACTTTATAAACTGTCTCAACAGTACCATCTTTCATACGTGGCAAGTCCTGACCTCTCTCTTGGGATCTAATTCATGGATCCTGCCACTTACTTGACATCTTGAATGTTTAACAGGCATCTCAAACCTAATTAGCCCCCAAAAGAACTCCTAAATCCATGTGCAAAGCCCACCTCCTCCCGCTATCCCTCCAGTCTTCCCTGTCTTAGTAAATGGACTGCTGCTTGCTGCCCTCGATAAAAGATGTGGGTTCCCTAAGCTCAGGGTTCTTCTATAGTGCATCCCTTGCATCTGCCAGTGTCATTTGGCCCTTTTCATGTCTCCCTGTGGAACTAGGGCTCAAGTATGCACAAACAGGCTGATAGCCTGGCTACTGCCATTGCTGTGAGTAATAAACTGTCCTTCATCTCTGACCCAGGAGTCTTGTGTCTTCTACCAGCATCCATGAGCTATGACAGCCCAACTTGTTAACTTGTAGGTAGATAAAATCTCAGATATTTCATAATTCTTGACATTTCTCTGTCTCCACCATGTCTTCCTTAGTTCCAGTCACCATCATTTCTTTCTTGAACTCACACAACCACCTCTAACTGGTCATCATATTTCCATTCTTGTTCCCTACAATGTATTCTCCATACAGCCAGTGATCTTTTTTGTTTGTTTGGGTTTTTTTTTTTTTTTTTGAGACACGGTCTTGCTCTGTTGCCTAGGCTGGAGTGCAATGGCACCATCTCGGCTCACTGTAGCCTCAATCTCCTGGGTTCAATCGATCCTCCCACTTCAGCCTCCTCCACACATCACCATGCCCTGCTAATTTTTTTTTTTTTTTTGGTAGAGACAGGGTTGAGCCATGTTGCCTAGCCTTGTCTCGAACTCCTGGGCTCAAGCAATCTGCCCGCCTCAGCTTCCCAACAGAGCGATCTTTTAAAGGCAAAACATGATCAGGTTAGCCACCCCTACCCCTCCCAACTCAAAACTCTCCAGTGACCACCTGGCCTTTTGTTAGGTCCCTTAACCTCTCATCTCTGTGCTCTTCCCCCAGCTCTTTGCTTGCCTGGCTCTTTCATGATCCTGGCCTCAATGTAAAGATCACCTTCTCAGTGAGGCTGTCTTTGACCTCTAAGAAATGACCCATCCCATCTCCCTGTTTTACTTTTATCATAGTAGTTATCAGTATCTGAAATTGTATATTTGTGTTTGGTCTAGTTTGTCTCCTGTAAGAGAATAGAGACCTTGTCCATCTTGTTCACTGATATATTCCCAGTTCCTAGAATAATATCTAGCATATAAATACTTAATAAATATTTATTGAATGAATGGATGAAAAATGCTGATTCAACTTAGGGAGGATATTAATTGCTCCTAATGTAATTAAATTAAAATTCTCCATGAGTTCTGGAGCACTGTTCAGTTCCACCACAATCAGCCTTTCTTCCCGGGGAGGCCTCTCTCAGCCAAGTAAACTGAGTCTGGAGGCGGTTCCTGGGCTAAGGATTACCCAAGCCAGGCAATGCCGGCAGAACAGAGAGGTGGCATGAACATTCTACTCACTGACCGGACACTGTTGATGTCAGATTCATGTGTTTCAAAGGCCTGCACGCACTGGCCGGAGCGCATGTCCCACACCATGGCTTTCTTGTCACATCCCTACAAATGAAAATTAGCCAGAGTTATGGCCACTTTAAGGAATGTCTATAGACAAGGCACGAGTCCCAGTTATATAACACAGACCATTTATTTCCCATTAGCAAATGGTTGACAACACACTTTTCTGAGACTAGCTTTACCTGAGGGCACTTTCCTTAGTCAGAAAGCCCTTAGACGCCTAGAACTAGGTCTTGGGATGGGAGGCAGGAGGGAAGGCACTCGGCTTCCTCTTTTAGCTTGTTTTCTTCTTTTGCACATTTCTGAATGGAGGCAAACCCTCCTTACCCTCCCCCGGGCATCTCCCTTCCTTTCATTTTTCCTTCTTTTCTCTCTTCTCTTTATACTTGCCTCCCTAAGCCCAGAGGGCAAGGCAGGCAGGCAGTGGTGTGTGGTGGGACCTCTCTAGTTGTGACATTAATAAATGGGTTGGCAGTGCCCAAATGGAGCAGCCGAGAGTCCCAGCTTTGTTTTGGTGTATGGGGCAGCCCTCAGCAAAGCTGGAGAGCCAGGTGCCCCGGGCCATCTGCACCCTCAGCAGCATGCTGGGCTGGGAATCTGCAAACCAGGGGCCCATAAGGGTGCTGCCATCGACGCGCAGGGTGGCTTAGGCAAGTCACCTCCCTGGGCGTCTGCCTCAACACCTATAAAGTCAATGCTCTCTTCAGGTTGCTAACATGACCCAGAAGGTCACAGACATGAGGGTTTTTCCATTATCCTATCAAGGCTCTGGGAGTAGTTTGATAAGTTCCTGCAGAGTGGTCATGTTATCAAGCTTAAGTAGTAGAATGTGGACTCTCAATAGTCAAATAGCTTATATGATCAAACAGCTAAAAAGTAACAGCTTAAAACTGGTGTCTAAGTTGTTGGTTTCAACTTGGAGCAGAGGGAGGTGTGTAATGAAGCACCATCACACATCTGAGGAAGGCCCGCTGTGGGAGTTCAGCATCCCGAGTGTCTTTACTGAAAATGTGGGCAAAGAAACCAGAAAGGCCTTCACATCTTTAGAGGACACTCAATTGGATGCAGTTTAGTGCTCTGAAAGAGACAATATGATCTACAGTAATAGCAGTAATTTTTTAAAAACACAGTAGAGTTGAGGAGAGATAAATACAGTGATACCAAGGCACAGGGTTGAAACATCTACACATGGCCAAATACCCAGGAAGAAAATCAGGGTCCCTGCTAACTACAGCTCATACAGCCCTGGCCTGGCTCCCAGGATCGATATGTGGGCAGCCTGGAGCAAAGGTCCCTTATGTGTCCCAGCTGCAGAAGTCACCTGACAGTGTGTGCGTCACTGTCCTGTCTCACCACTGCCTCCTGACGGAGGTGAGACAGGACCCATGGTAAGGTCAGCTGGCCCAGCTCTCTGTCCTTATTCTCAGGCTGGCCCCAGAAAGACTTGCCCCTCCCATTTGCATACACACTGCAAACTCTTCCATCTACTGCTTGTACCATCCTGGGGAGGGGAAGTGCAAATACCACTATGCACTATGGCCAACTTATAGCGGATGCGACTTACAGTCAGGTAGCAAAGCCCTGACCCAGGCACCCTGACTCCTAGTCTAGTGCTTCTCTGAGTCTCTGTGGCCCTGTCTGCCAATTCTGAGCTTTCAAAGCCTCTGTTTCTTGCACCCTGTGATGGGAGGGAGGATGGTGGCTGGCAGGGGTAGGGTAGGAGAGTGCCCCACAGGCCTCAAAGTCCTGGTGGCATCACAGCGTTGCCTCAGCTCAGTAGCCATCTGACCTGCCATGCCCTTGTGCGCATCTCTGATGCTCTCAGATGCTAACTCTCTGCTATTTACTTGAGGAATGACATTTTAAAATGTGGCAGATATGCACCTTGAGTTGCAGCACTCATACAGGAGAACATTCCAGATTACTCTATAGACTGCTAACATCAGTGGCAGAACAGAAGGAGGCCCTCACAGCTTAGCCCTGTAGCTGCCCACCAAGCCCCCGAGAGGGGCCTGGAGCCAGTGCGGTCACTGCAGGAGCTGGGGGTTTAGTGGGGAGTTGAGAACAATTCCTGCAGCCCCTTCTAGGGAAGTGCCTAGGCTAATCCCATGAATGGACAAGAACTGCCACCATAAGCCTCCTTAGTGGACACAGGAGCCCTAGGGAATTTCCACTGGGTCTTTACCCCAGACACGAAGGTGTTTCCAGTTTCTGAGGGGGCCAGGTCCAAGCAGAGGACGTCAGCCCCATGTCCGTGGAAGCTCTGCAGCAGCTGCCCGCTCTCCACGTCCCACAGGGCACATGTGCCATCGCCGCTCGCTGTCAGGATCTGCCCGCAGAAAAGGACAGGAAGTGGGTGGTTGTGGTTATTGCTTATGCCGGGGGCAGTCAATCAGAGGCTTAACGTTCCGCAGGGAAAAGCAGAACACACACACACACACACACACACACACACACACACACACACCCTACCTGCTGTATCTGGGTTCATGCACAGAAATCTCTCTCCTATACAAAGAAGGAAAGAGTGCATTTCCTACACCCTCACAGTCCTTGAGTTGTGTTTATATGGTTGTGGTTATTGCTTATGCCGGGGGCAGTCAATCAGAGGCTTAACGTTTTGCAGGGAAAAGCAGAACACACACACACACACACACACACACACACACACAGGGAAAAGCAGAAAACACACACACACACACACACACACACACACACACACACACACACACACACACACACACACCCTACCTGCTGTATCTGGGTTCATGCACAGAAATCTCTCTTCTATACAAAGAAGGAAAGAGTGCATTTCCTACCCTCACAGTCCTTGAGTTGTGTTTATATGCCTGCCTCCCAGCAGAGCTGAAATCCTGGCGGCCTCATGGTGGTACCTACAGGGCTCTACACATGCCTGGCTCGTAGGAAGTGTTCCGTGAGTCTCTACTGAGTGTTTAAAACCTTCGATGCCTCCCACTGCTGTGCAGGCCAAAAACTTAAAGTGCTTCTTGGATACTGATGCATACACATCACTGGGCTGCTTGCTAATAGAGTCTGGGGTGGGGCCTGAGCGTCTACACTTCTCACAGGCTCCCAGGGAATGCTGAGGCTGGTCACGGGGCACACTGGGAGCAGCAGGGGTCTAGGCAGCATCTTGTTGGACATTCTCTGTTGCTGCTTTTCCCGAGCACAGTGCTGCCCAGAGGCTTCCCAGGACCACTGACGGGTGCCAGAGGATATTCACGCATACACAGGTTCAAGAAACATCTGCTGTGTGCTGACAGTGTCTGCCAGGCACTCTGCTAATGCATGAGGGTTTGCAGAAAGATTGTGTCTCAGTTTCTGTTCTCCCAGAACTCAGTTTAATAGGATTGCCAGTAAGAATGAAACCAACATAATTCCCCATCCCTGTGTTAAACAATTCTGGGACCAGGCCAACTTTCCTGTTACTATGTTAAACCATATTGAGACCAAGTAAAAATAACTTAACTGCTTGCTGCAGAAAATACCTGCTCCTGGGAGAAAAGACTGTGAATCGATTAGACAACTTACCAAGATTAACAGCTTGCTCATCCAGACTCAAAGACTGTTCGCTTGCTGGGCTCACCAATCCAAAGCTAAAACGGCCTTGCAAGACCCACCTTAAAATCACCAAGCCTGGACCCTGAAATCCTCTAAGTACCCTTCCCTAATTCCTCCATTTTCAGAACCTACTAAGATTCTGCCAAGTGGAGGTTCTCCCTTACTGTGGCAGGTCAGATAACCTTAGCTTTGCTTGGTTGCAAGTATTTCTGATGTTCGCTTGGGGAGTTGACATCACCAGTAGACAAGGATCAATGACAACAGCATGAGAAGTGCTGGGATCCAGGTGTGCACACAGGAGGGTCCCAAACCCAGTGTGGTGATATCTGAGTTGGTCTTCAAGGAAGAGTGAGAGCTGGCCAGGTGAAAGAAGGGAAGGGGAGAGACAAACTCCAGGGGGGCCTATGTCTGCACTAAATGAAAGGTGAGCCCGTTCACAGGTGGGGACTCAGTCTGAAGCCAAGAGAGCACTCTGGAAGCTTCTGGGCAGGAGAATGAGAAAAGCAAACGTATGTTTTAGGAAACTCTGGCAGAGGCCCAAAGAGCCTCTGGATAGCTTACAAGTACAAAGGTCAGCCATAGAGTAAAGGCACACAGGGGTGCCCAGGGAAAGACATGGGGACAGGGCTGGAATTTTACTTTTTGTCACTGCCAGTGTGTATGAGGCCTGGGCTCTGGCTGAGCATACCTTCCTGGGATTGGGAGAAAGGCAGTGAGGACTCAGGGTTCGGGGCCCTCATAGGCCCAGCTGGCGGCATCACAGAGCCCTGGAGCCAGCTGGGTACTGACAGCAATGGAGGGGACCTGCAAGGGAGAAGCTCTCCCTGCCTTCTGGCTGCTCCACAGGGCCTGGGTGAGGTGATAAGACCGTGGAGGAAGTGGCTCTTGCAGCATAAGTGTCCACAAGAGAGCCCTTTGCGGATGATTACTGATGGCTGAGGAAAGAAAAGAGGAATCAGGCCTTATGCACCGCTAGCATGCAATGCAACCACTGACCACACCACACCTTCAATTTCCAGCTGCTGATGGGATCTCTCCTCCTCACCCTTTGCCCCCTTTCCCTTTTTCTTCCCCTCTCTCTTATATGTTAGGCCTTGAACATAAAGAATCTCATTTTTTTCCCAGCACTTTGGGAGGCTGAGGTGGGCGGATCACCCAAGGTCAGGAGTTCAAGACCAGCCTGGCCAACATGGTAAAACTCCAACTCTACTAAAAATACAAAAATTAGCCAGTTGTAGTGGCTCACGCCTGTTGTCCCAGCTACTTGGAAGGCTGAGGCACTAGAATCGCTTGAACCTGGGAGGCGGAGGTTGCAGTGAGCTGAGATCACGCCACTGTACTCCAGCCTGGGCAACAGAGTGAGACTTGGTCTCAAAAAAAAAAAAAAAAAAACTCATTTTTTTTTCTTTTTTTGCAGGGAAGGAACAAATTACAAGGAGGGGAATCTGCTCCCGCCCTGGTGTTGCACCCACTGGCTGTCCACAGGACCCCCTCCAGCCTTGACTTCCCTCAGGAGGCCTGCATACATCCAACAAGATGACTTAAGCTAGCAAAGTAGCTTATGGACACACAAAACCTGAACCGAGGCTGAAATTTGGGTACTCATATTTTGTTGGATGCTCAAATTCCCTCAATCTCTCCTGGCCCACACCCACTAGTGGCTGTTCCAACTCACTGCTTTCCTAATAACACTTGCAGTAACTTACAGTTTATTTTGAGACACCAGGTCCAAACAATTTTCTTTAAGCAACTACCCCAGTCTTGCTCTTTAATTTAGGAAATTTTCATACCATACTGTTTGATCAAAGAAATGAATAGTTTTTAAAAGTTAAAAGTAGATTTCTAATACTTTTCAATTTTGTGTTTCTGATCTTCATTATAATATAAGTAAAAATAAAGTTTAAAGACCAAACATTTATTCATATAAATGCATTAAACAGAACCCCTAACTCATTGTCACTCATTTGTTCTGGAATGCAGAGAATTTGTAAGTTTAATACCATAGTCTCATACCAGCCGCTTGAGTTTCTCTTTTATCAACCTAGATCCCAGGGATTGAAGAAAGCTGGAGGTTCATGAGTTCAGTAGTACCCAAACTAGGCCATGTATCAGCATCATCCATGAAGCTTTGTGTTAATAATAATAAAATTGGCTGGGTGCAGTGGCTCACGCCTATAATCCCAGCACTTTGGGAGGCAAAGGCAAGTGGATTGCTTGAGCTCTGGAGTTCAAGATCAGCCAGGGCAACACACCAAGACCCCATCACTACAAAAAATACAAAAATTAGCCAGGCATGGTGGCGTGTGCTTGCAGACCCACTACAGGCCTACCAGCTACTTGGGAGGCTGAGGCAGGAGAATCACTTGAGCCTGGGTGGTGGAGGCTTCAGTGAGCCCAGACTGTGCCACTGTACTCCAGCCTGGGTACTAGAGTGAGACCCTGTCTCAAAAAACAAACAAACAAACAAACAAATAATAAGAGTTAACGCTTACTGATATTTACCAGGGACTACACTATGTACATGAATCATCTAATTTAAGCCTCAGAAAACCTTATGCAGGACAGATTTACTACTTTACTATCCTCATGTGCAGGTGAGAAAAATGAAGCACGCAGAAATTCAAACGCTGTCTAGGATCACCAGCTAGAACACAGCGGAGCCAAGATCCAATCCTGCTGTCTGCCTCCAGAGCCACCCTTGACCTACCCTGCCTCCCAGGCCGCGTCCCCGCCGAGGTAGCCAGCTGTGACTTCCCTTTATCTCCGGCTAAGCTGCTTGTTGGAAAAGAAAGCACTTTCTCACCTACTGGTGCCCCCTTTCATCCCCAACCCTGCCCCGGGGCAACACAGAGCGAGTCTGATGGGTCTCCACAGAGGGGCTTCAGATGCCTGATGGTCGTGGTAGCCCCCTGAGCCTGCCTTCATCCAGCCTAAATGTCCTCTGTTGCTTTGGTTTGCCTCAGGCCCAAAGACATCTCATTTTGGCCACTGCACCAGTCAGTGGCCACAGCGCCCCCTGGTGAACAAGTCTGCAAGATTCCTGGTTAGGCTCAAATAATAGGTGTAAACAACAGGGGCACAATGGTGACACTGCAAGTCCCAACATCCCTCCAGTCAGCAATTGAACAATTACCCAGCCACCTGACCTCCCTGCCTCTAACCTCCCCATCCCTCCTGACATCAATTCACTGAAGCCAGAGTAAACTATGGAAGGCTTTAATCTAACTCAGACACTTTTCTCTTTTAAACAAACCAAAATCTGACTCACCCCTGCAAGGGCTCCCGTCACCTACAGGGTCCAGCCCAGGCACTCAGGGAGCCCTGGGATCTGGCCCCACCCACCTCTCGGCTGCCTGCCTCCCACTGTGCTCCCTCACACTCTGTGGCCGCCTGGAGTGGCAGCGGTCCCTCTTCACTGGCAGCAGCAAGTCTGTGACCAACCCCTCCTGCTCGGAGCTCCCCAGTTCCCCCACTGTCCAACCATTATTGGTTTTCATGAAGGTCCCTGAGGGCCAAGACTGAGCTTTTGGCCCCAGAGCCACGTGGTATCTGGCAATATGGGTAGTAGGTACTGAGAAGGTTTGCTGAATAAGTGTGAATAAATAAACGATGCGGTGCTTTCACCACTTGCTAAAGAAAACTTAAAGTGATAAAGGTTGTGTTGTTTTCACTGTAGTGTATTTAAAGTAGAGCAAAGATTTAATATGGTGAAGCATTTTCTTTTTGCATTGGTTAAAACAGGACTGTAAAGTGAGATGCATGCAGTGCACAGCTCTGAAGCCCGACAGCTCAGTGAAGCTTTACACACGTTAGCACGCAGACCAGGGCACAGTAACTGCCTGCACCCCAGGGGGTTCCCTGCTCCACTCCCACCCTCGCCAAGTCAATCAGAGGAGGATTTTCAATATGCCATGCAGTTTTATCTCAACACTACCAACAATCACTAGCCCCAACCTTCTCATGTTATTAAAATAATAATAACTAATGAGAAACAATAGGAGCTTCCTCTTAGAGCAAACTACTGGAGCACAGCCATCTTGTTCAGAGAGACGCCGAAAGCTTCCTCTCCTCTCAGCTCCTCTTTAGTGCTCCTTGGCAGGTCAACCTGACACCGGGGGCTGCCTATTTACCTGCATGTCAGAGTTGGTGAAGCTGCAGGCCGACAGGTAGTTGGTGTGCATAGCAACAGACTTCTTTTTGGCAGCCATGTTTTCATTTTTGTCAAACGTCAAGGGGTACACAGAACACTTATTATCCAAACCACTAGGATGGAAAGAAAGAAGTACCAAAGATTAATGCAGAGTCACAGAATATGTGTCTACTTTTCCAATCACATGAACTTTTCAACATATTCTCTTTAGCAGTATCATATATTGTACCCTTTCCTCCAACTTTTACTTTGAAGATTTTCTTTTCTTTCTTTCTTTTTTTTTTTTTAAATAGAGACAGGGTCTTGCTCTGTTGGCCAGGTTGGTCTTGAACTCTTGGCCTCGAACTCGTGGCCTCAAGCAATCCTCCTTTGGCCTCCCAAAGTGCTAGGATTACAGGTGTAAGCCACTGTGCCTGGCCAGTTTGAAGATTTTCAAACCTACTGTAAAACTGAAAAAAAAAATAGTATACTGAACACCCAGATCCCTTCCCTTAGATTCACAGACTTAACATTTTGTCATATCTACAGGAGCAAATTCTGAACCATTTGACTGCAAACTGCAGATATGACATTTTCCTTCTAAACACTTCCACTTGCAAATTTACATCTCCTAAAAATAAGAACATTCTCCTGTCTATCTACCACATCCTTATCACATTTGAGAAAATCAACAAAACCTCCATAACACCATTTAATAAGCCAGCCATATTCAATCTTCCCTGATTGTCGCCAGGATCCAGGGACCAACCAAGGCTCACATATTGCATTCATTTGTTATGTCTTTTTAAGATCTTTTAACCTAGAACAGACACTACCTACTGTTTGTTGTTCATGACAGGAAATCTTAGATTGGCTGTTTATAGAATGTCGCATATGGTGGATTTGTCAGATGGTTTCTTAATGGTTAAAGTACTGTAGAACATTTTGCCAATAAGAGTATCAAGGTGCTACTGTGTACTTCTTTCTTATTGCTTCATGTCACAAGGCTTGTAATGTCTCTTCCAAGATTGGTAAAGCCAACTTTGATTACTTGGTTAAGGTGGACCACTAGATATCTCCAGGGTAAAGGTAATTTGTTTGTAATCAGTAATAATCTGTGGTGTGATATTTTGAGACCATAAAAATATCATTTTCTCCAACCACCTTTCATACAAAGGCTTTACATGATTATCCTTGCTTGAATCAGATATTACTTTAGGGGTGCAAAAGGGTGATTTATTTTGATAATGTCTTCCGTATTTATTAGCTGGTGTTTTTCTGTAATGAAAAATCCTCCTTCCCAGTATCACTGTACACCCATAAATTTGTTTTTTTTTCTTAATTGTATCATGATCCATTATTATCATTACTACATTTGATGCTCAAATTACCCCAAATTTGGGGCCTCTTCAAGCCAGCTGTGTTTTTTTTTTTAATATATGTATGACCCCTATTGGTCCTTGAACGTTCCTTTACTTTCTAGAACAAGAAAATATCCTAGCCTCACTTTATTCTTTTCCTCCCAAAGACCTAACCTCAGCCTTACCCTAAGGTGCCCTGCTTTCTTTTTGTAGGGAACAATATTTAAAATGGGGTCACTTTTTTCTGAGGCACTGGGAAAGCCAAGGGTCCCTTCTGCTTTTCCAGCTGCTTGGGAGGTACACAGGTGTATTCTTGGGTAGTTTCTTATCAGTAATTAGCTTTGGCAAACTTGTTTATACAATGTGCGGAGGAGGCTGGGCACGGTGGCTCACATCTGTAATCCTAGCACTTTGGGAGGCCCAGGCAGGCCAATCACCTGAGGTCAGGAGTTCAAGACCAGCCTGGCCAACATGGAGAAACCCCATCTCTACTAAAAATACAAAAATTAGCTGGGCAAGGTGGCAGGTGCCTGTAATCCCAGCTACTTGGGAGGCTGAGGCAGGAGAATTGCTTGAACCTGGGAGGTGGAGGTTGCAGTGAGTTGAGACCACACCACCGCACTCCAGCCTGGGCAACAGAGTGAGATTCTTTGACTAAAAAAAAGAGAAAAAAAAAAAACAGAATGTGTAGAGAATGATTTGCACTTAGGCTATGGTAAGGGGACAAGCATGCTGTGGACTATGGTCCTCCCTGACCCCTGAGCTGGGATACATCCTCCCCATCCTGAGTAATTTCTCTGTTGAGATACTTATTACTTAGGGTTATTCGCATTGCTATGAGAAGCAGGAAGGTTTTGCAGGGTGATGCATCCAGTGTCGAATCTCTGCTTTAGTACCTAACTAATGTTGTGATCTTGGTTACGTATTCATCTTTGAATTCCAGTATGACACCTGGCCCAGTGCCTTGCACACATGAGATCATAGTAAGTGTACAATACCTGAATGAAAGCTTCTTGGGGATATGGCTCCTAAATAAGAAATACTTGTATATATAACCAATTGACACATTTTTGGGGGAAAGGGGATTGTGGCAATACCATTTGGGTTTTAGCTTTCAAGTTTGGAAACAACTGAGAGGGAGACCCAGGAGCCAGGTAAATTGAGATAAAAAATATCCCCATTATTACCTACAATGACTTTTAGAGAATGTGGCATCGGTGTGGGTCTATTACAGATAACAGAGTCACAGGGATGTCACACAGTCATGGTTGGGAAACATTATGTCAGACTTACCACTAGAAACTCAAATGAATCACAGCTGCTCTTAGCAGTTTTGGGAAAGGTCTGGGAAGGGGAGATGGTACTTTTACCTGCGATAAGGAGTCAGTATTAGTTTCGTCTTTGACGCTCTCTCATCCACTAGACCGCCACATTTTGAAAAATGCCTTCACAAATGTTCATGCCTTGAACTTCCTCTGTTTGGCCCTCGTAACAGCCAGTGAGGCAGCCAGGAAAGGTGCTAGCACCTCCCACATGCCAGGGTGGGGAAACAGAGATGACAAAGATCAGGGCGCCAGCCATCCCTCCACTCTGAATTCTGTTCTGCACCACGCTGAGTCACCAGAAAGCTATCTATCCGGGCCTGGTAAGGCTGCTCTCTTCCTTCCGTCCCGCTACCCCCATGGGAATTCTTCCGCTGCATTCCATTTAGTGAGGGTAAAATTAAGAAACAGCCACAGCATCATTTCCTAAACTACTGTTGAAGACATTGTTCACTGTTATCATATTCACTACACATTGCAGAAGGGCCTACCCAATATATTCTTTCTGTAATTTAGAACTGCATATCTAATATTTCAATATTGGATATTGACAGATTATGTAACACATCCAGCTCTATGCATCTGCTAAAATTCATGTCCAACTAGAAACATATTACCCTAGGATATAAAAAAATGTGGAGAACTTACGATTCCTACTGAGTAGTGAAGAACTGACACTGCAGCAGAGGTCTGGCTTTTGCCCTCAGCTACTTGGAAGTGATCTCTGGGCCCCTGGAATGTCCTGCCTGGTAAGAGTGGCTTGGTTTGCTTGGGGGCTCTGGCCACCAGTTTAATAATGTGATTTATGATGGGGGCTTTTGGATGCATCATATCAGGTCTGATCTCCAGAGGAACTTGAGACTAAAGGTATCTGCCCGAACTTCTAGAGACTGAAGACTTTATAAAGGTAAACCACACAGGCAGTGTGTGGTCAAGCCCCCAATAAAACCTCTGGACACCTAAGGCTCAGAGGAGCTTCCCCAGCTGGCAATACTCTGCATGTATTACCATACACCGTGGCCAAGAGGAAACAACGCCGTCAGTGACCACACCAGGGAGACGATGACTCGCAGCTCCATGTCTGGATGCCTCCTGGCTTCTGCCCCAGGGGTCTCCTCCTTTGGTTGGTTCTAATTTGTACCCTTACACTGTAATAAAACTGTGGTAGTAAGTACAGCACTTTCATGAGTTTGGCGAGTTGTTTTAGTGAATTCCTGGGGTTGTGGGGACCCTCAAATTTGCAGCCAGTATCTGAAGCAAGGGGCAGTCTTGGAACTGTGCCTTCTAACTGGAGTTGGCTAAACTCCTTTGCACCAACCTTATAATTGTGGCCTATTTCTCTCTTGCTTGCTTTCTCTAATAGATGTGTTACACATGTAGTACAAATATATATATATTTACATATATATCTTTTATTATAGCACCTCTTATCCTTTTAGGAAGTAGATGGTAATAAATTTTATATAAATACTGGCATCCATCTATAAAGTGGAGACACAATCCACTTTTGAGCTATTTTAAAAATTAAAAAATATGGGCCGGGTGCAGTGGCTCACACCTGCAATCTCAACACTTTGGGAGGCTGAGGCAGGCAGATCACTTGATGTCAGGAGTTCGAGACCACCCTGGCCAACATGGTAAAACCCCATCTCTGCAAAAAAAAAAATACAAAAATTAGCCAGACGTGGTGGTGCACGCCTGTAGTCCCAGCTACTTGGGAGGCTGAGGCAGAAGAATTGCTTGAACCCAGGGAGCGGAGGTTGCAGAGAGCCGAGATCATGCCACTGCACTCCAGCCTGGGTGACAGAGCCAGACTCCATCTCAAAAAATAAAAAGAGTGAAATACATGTATGTGAACATGGGCTCCAAAGGGACAAGTGGTCTTGGCCACTGGAAGGAGAGTGAGACTATGTCCCCAAAGCAGCCACCCTAAGGGAAGGGACACTGGAGAAGATGGTTGGTGTGACTGGCTGGAGAGGGCTCCAAAGCATTTGCCTGGGGACTCGGGCTTTTCCTCTTTAAAATAAAATTCTTTCTTCCTGATTATAAGAAGAAAAATCCCCATAGTCCCATCATCCAGAAAGAACTACTATTTTATTTGGTATAGTTCCTCCCAGCCTTTATAATATGACTTTTTTTTTTTTTTTTTTTTTGAGATGGAGTCTCGCTCTCTCCCCCAGGCTGGAGTGCAGTGGCGCGATCTTGGCTCACTGCAAGCTCCGCCTCCTGGGTTCACGCCATTCTCCTGCCTCAGCCTCCCGAGTAGCTGGGACTACAGGCACCCGCCACCGTGCCCGGCTAATTTTTTTTTATTTTTAGTAGAGACGGGGTTTCACCATGTTAGCCAGAATGGTCTCGATCTCCTGACCTCGTGATCTGCCAGTCTCAGCCTCCCAAAGTGCTGGGATTACAGGCGTGAGCCACCACTTGCCCGGCCTAATATGCCTCTTTTTAAAAACATGGCTGAGATACTGTGGCAGAAATATTTTGAATGGTCTCAGAGTTGTTCAACACAGGGACTGGGAATTATGTCGGTTTCAGTTCTCATTGTTAACCCTGTTAAACTGAGCTCCAGGAGAATAGGGAATAAGGCACACTCTTCCTAGTAATCTTGATGCCCTTTTCACACAGTGTAATTGAGAATTTTCCTTTTTAATGGCTGTATGATATTCCATTCAATTCGTGTACCACAATTCACTTAAGTTTTCTTGGATGGGTATGTTGGTTCCTTTTTCCTTTCCTTTTCTGCTTTATTTTATTTTTGAGACAGGGTCTTACTCTCACCCAGGCTGGACTGCAGTGGCATGATCACAGCTTACTGTAGCCTTAATCTCCCAGGCTCAAGCAGTCCTCCCACCTCAGCTTCCAGAATAGCTGGGTCTACAGTTGTATACCACCACACCCAGCTAATTAGATTTTTTTTTTTTTTTTTTTTTTCTGTAGAGACAAGGTATTATTATCACATTGCCCAAGCTGGTCTCGAACTCCTGGGCTCAAGTGATCCTCCTGCCTCTGCCTCCCAAAGTACTGGGATTACAGGCAAGAGTCACCACGCCTGGTACTTTTTGCTTCATTTTTAAAAATACTACAATTAATGTCATTGTCCATATGGCTTTTCTATGTTTTGGATCATTCCTTTCAAATGAGTTCCTGGATGTGGAGTCACCAGATCAAAGGCTATCCATTTTTCAAGGCTTCTGACAGACATTACCAAGTTGCTTTCCAAAATGTTTGCAACGTTTATGGTTCTGCCAAAAGCATTTGAGAGAGCAGGAGATAGGTTTGAAATGTAACTACTGTCAGTTTGTAATGAAAATAATTATGAAAGAGAGTTTTATGGTTTTGTTTTTTTTTTTTTTTTTTAAAGAGATGGGGTCTTGCTATGTTGCCAGGGTGGACTTGAACTCCTGGGCTCAAGTGATCCTCCCACCTCAGCCTCCCAGGTGGCTGGGATTACAAGCAGGCACCACTGTGCTGGCTTATGGTTTCTTCTTTGATCAAGTTCAGGGAAGGATTTAGCATACTGCTAAACAATTAAACAACAAAAACTGTGAGTTCTTGTTTGTTTGTTTTTGCCAAGAGAACAGTATTCTATGGTTAACACAAATTCTGAAAAGCTGCTGTAGCTCCAACTTACCCACAAGCAATGGCACATCCCGATGGGGCATAAGCACATGCCATCACCCACGTGCAGGGCATGGTGACCGCGTGCTCCTGAAACACAGCACAGAGTGAACAACTAGCACTTCCACACAAAAATCTTTTTTTTTTTTCTTTTTTTTTGAGATGGAGTCTCACTCTGTTGCCCAGGCTGGAGTGCAGTGGCACAATCTCAGCTCACTCCAACATCTGCCTCCGGGGTTCAAGCAATTCTCCTATCTCAGCTTCCTAACTGGGATTACAGGCATGCGCCACCATGCCAGGCTAATTTTTGTATTTTTAGTAAAGATGGGGTTTCGCCATGTTGGCCAGGCTGGTCTCGAACTCCTGACTTCAAGTGATCTGCTCACCGTGGCCTCCCAAAGTGCTGGGATTACGGGTGTGAGCCCCCATGCCCAGCCACAAAAATCTTAATGTTTAAATTTTAGAAAATAAAATCACCAGATGCCTACTGAATTACATTATAGTTTCAAAAGGAAGTGGTACGGGGTAAAGATGGGCTCAAGACTTATGAGGGGACTCTTATAATCAACTTGATGTCACATATTCGAAAAGTTAAAAAGCTCAACTAGCAAAAGCAAAAAAAAAAAAACCTTTCATGTTTTACTTCCTCCTTAATGTCATACTCCCTTTGTTCCTCTGCCTATCAGGGCCCCTTTTCTTTGGAAGGTATGCCCAAATCTCCTTTCAGATATATACTTTTCCTTATTTACTCTGATTTCCATTTTCAAAATATACTCTGGAATGACTTTTTATATTTGTATTTTAAGTCTGTTTACTTGTGAATCTGCAAGAGCCTGTGTCCACTATGAGCCCTAAACCATCCCAGGGAAGGTATGAATGGGTCAGGGGAGGGGAGGGTGATCTTGGGTTGTGCTCACGGATAATGAGAACTGGTAAAATGGAAACATTAAGAACTAAGCACAACAGTCCCTGGCTTCTGGCTTCACAGAGGAAGAATGAGAACCACCGTGGCACACATGGCTGGCCTGTGTGCGGTTGCACATCTTGGTGGTGGTAGAACCAGGACCAGGGTCCACGTCTCCCATGGGAATAAAACCTCAGGCTCAGATGTGTTGGAAACATGGCTCTGTTGTTTGCATATCTGCATGCAGGAGGATAGGGGTGACTCAGCCAGCCAGCAGCCAGGGATGGGCGCACTTAGTTCTTAATGCTTCCAATGTACATTCAAGTGCTGGTCTTCTTTTCTGTTATAATTACATGTGTTTTTGTGGGGAAA
Organism: Homo sapiens; assembly: GCF_000001405.40. Lineage (NCBI taxonomy): Eukaryota > Metazoa > Chordata > Mammalia > Primates > Hominidae > Homo > Homo sapiens. Next base: position 52,148,722 of record NC_000015.10, read on the forward strand.
CACAGGCCCCAATACTGTCTGCCCAAATACTATTGTCGATAGCAGCCTGGTAGGCTTTCAGAGGCCAAGAATAATCTACTGCTCTCCAGAGAACGAGCTGAGGTAGCCACTCTCAGCACAGGGTATCCCAGGCCCCTTTCCTCACAAGTAATGGCTATATTCCCTGCCACGGGCCACAAGTGGCACCCTCGGCTCCCCAGAAATCAGTCTGTGCTCTATGCCAGGATAAGGTGGAAACAGAAGCAACTACACCCCTGCATAGTCCAGAAGGTGCTGAGAGAGATGAAGGCTTCCAAGGAGCTAGGCGCTGTATAGCAAAGCCCTGTGCAGATTGCTGTCATTTTTATTCCTCAGGGGACTGACCATTAGGGACTCGACTCTACAAAATGGTTTCGGCCCCTCACTTGACCAGGTCATGTACCGGCTGCTTCCCATGACACTGACTAAACACATTCAACAATGCAGAATATGGCTGCTGTTCACTATGAGACAGAGACAGGTCTCATGTTTTTCATAGCATAAAGGAAGGCTTTCTAAATAAATATAGGAATTCTTATTTAATACACAATACTCTTTATTGTAAATGCCAATGCAATGCAGGTGTTCCAGCATACCTGCACATAGGTTTTGGTCTTATTTTCATTAAGAGCTAAAATTTAAATCTAAGTTGAGCTGTGCATGCCCAAGCCAGACTTGCAAGGGGATCAGACTGCATCACAGGGTAGCTCTGCCCAGTCCCACTGCAGCCTCATCTTCCCCACCCTCCACGTGTTCATTCCCACAGGGCTATGGAGTCTGGTCAAAGAGAGGGGAGAGAGAATGGAGAATTTTGGTGCCTCTTATCACTCAGAAGACAAATAGTACATGCAGTTGCACATGTGGTTGCAAGTTTTCCATGCTTTGCCCATTTCCATGTTGGTATTGGCAGCCCCTATGGTGGCTCTAATTGTCCTCTTGGGGCGAGAGGGGAATAAATGCTGCAATGGGCTGGCTGAGCTGTTCAAACACGGATAGGCCTTCTTGGGGTTTCCATCCGTAGAGGCAACTGCTTGCAGGGATACATGGAGAGAAATCAGGACAGGGCCGGGCAGCTGGACCAGAGCACCTTTAAGTAGGCTGGGATTCTGAAGCCTCTATAACGTGGCTGGGAACAATGCCTCACCTTGTTTGTGGTGAAGGAATCCCACACGATCACCTTCCCATCCTGGAGGGAGAAGAGCAAACAGTTTAGGGGTTGTCAAGTTCTTACAGATTACTGCTGAGAATTCCTCATAAAAGCTGTGTCCAGCAGGGCAGTGTGAAGTAGAAAGCCAGAATGAGGATCTGGATAATCAAGACCCCCTAATCTATCCATGAAAAAAAGTGGGGTGAGTGCAGGAGGGGCTGGATGTTCCAGCAGAGCCAAAGGATCAGTTCTCAACCTTACATTCCTTGGAAAGATACAACTACAGGAAACAACACGCAGACACTTCTTTCATACCATTTGCAAACCACGCACAAATTGTTGGTACACTATCGTCACCTGCCATACCCTAAATGTCAACAAATTATACAGGGGAAAGATAAAGCTGACATTACCTTTAGGCACCTGACAGGTAAATAATAAATCTTTTTCTCCCACAACATCTCCACTGCTTTGTCCTTTCCCCGATTTGCTTTGGAGTCCATGGTCCCTGCGGCACCATCCAGGAACCCCCCTCCCCATTCTCTGTCCATTTCTCTGCCAGGGACAGCTGCGGAGGGGGCTGTATGGGCCTGAGATCAGTCTAATTCCTCCAGGTGCTCACAGATGTCACAGCTCCAGCTCTGACATTTCACACCTACACTGAGAACAACATGCGATATGCACCCATCGTGGTGGGAACCCCTGTGGGCAGCCAATCAGTAAGCAAACAGCACTCCCTGCCAGGGTGAACGCAGAGCTGGCCCTGCCACAGAGAATGCTGCCACTTTCACTGTAACCCAGCTGTGGCCTCCCATGGGTGTGGGTTGTGACTACAGCATCATCTATTTGTAATGAAAACCCATTAGAGGTAAATCCATGTGAGCCCTGGTCCCTGCAAAGCAGTCCTCTGCCCAGACCATGGCATGCAGGTTGCTGGGCAGGCAGTGGAAGAGGATCAGATCCTCAGGGATCGGAAATCTACAGCCTCTATGGCAGGCTCAATTTTTTAATCACTCAAGCCATCTGGGGCCAAACTTTGGTGAATGAGGTGGCAGAGATATGGATGGAAAACATCACTTAAGGGCAGAAGCAAGATCGGATCTGCAGTGACATAGCTGCTTGCTTTGCATGAGCTGACGGAACATTTCTGTGTTAATGCCATGCATGGCAGATGGACCCTGAAGCAAGGTCAAATTTGGTGGTTTGGGGGCCTTCTGAGATTCCAAAGCACATTGGTTCTTCTGGTCTAATTCTGCCTAAATGGCCACACACAGTGTGTGGGGTGGATTCAGTAAGCCTTTAGCGCAGAAACTGGAGTGGGGCCACACACCTGTATCGTGGGGTCCTCCACACCTGGAGCCCCTGATGGCTGGGGACTGGTTCCTAGCATTGCCCACATCAGCGACCACGTTAGGGGCTTCTTCCACCTCACTGCCTGCCTGTCCCCCATGTGTGCTCTGGAGTCCCTGTGTGTGCCACCCACTGTGTGCTCTGGCGTCTCATTAAACTAAGTGTGGTCTCCTCGGTGAGCACAGATTTATGTGCAGGGGCCTACGTACCCAGAGAGAATGTGCCTCTATCCCCAAGCCTTAATCCCACATGGCTGGGGTGACTACTCTCCTGCATCTAAGCAGGAAGGCTGTTGATGAGTCCAAGTCTGTTCCAGAGGCTTCCTGCTTTCCAGCCTCCTCCCCACACCCACATCCACCTCTTCCTGCTCTGGAGCAGAGAGGGATGGACAGTGTGTGCCCAGCCCTGCTGAAGGTCCTCCCTCCCAACAGCAGTATGTGAGTGACAGAAAACCCAACACAAAGCCTACCTTGTCTGGATTTAAGAAGTCAAAAGGCTAGAGAGCGACATGGATATCCTGATAAGCACCTTATAAGAATAAGCTCTTGAAAAAGACTAGAAAGAAGTGCTCTAAAATAATAATAATGGGCAGGGCAAGGTGGCTCACATCTATAATCTCAGTGCTTTCAGAGGCTGAGGCAGGAGGATCACTCGAGCCCAGGAAGTCAAGGCTGAAGTGAGCTGCACTCCAGCCTGGGTAACAGAGTGAGACCCCATCTCAAGAAAAGAAAAAAGAAAAAGAAAAAAATAATAATGGTTGTGACAGGATGGTGGGAGTAAAAGGTTTTTATTTGTTTGTTTCTTTAATGTGGTAGAATACATAAGTGATAAATTTATTTTGATCTTAAAAAAAAAGCAAGTGCAATGTGACATACTAGATTTGTAGGTAATCTAGGAGAGTAATAACATTTGTCCTATCAAACGCAAAACTGACACAGACGTTACAGTTTGTGGATTATCTAGAGTATATCCAGTTTCACAAGGGTTATAAAAAAAAGCAAACCAACCTGCTTTTGGAAAAACTGAGCACAAGGCAGGGGTTGGGAGAAACCTATGCTGATCATAAAAATAGGATTTATATAATATCTTTTTTTTTTTGGAGAAAAAAAAACAGTCTCGCCCTGTTGCCTAGGCTGGAGTGCAGTGGCATGGTCTCAGCTCACTGCAACCTCCGCCTCCTAGGTTCAAGCGATTCTCCTGCCTCAGCCTTCCGAGTAGCTGGGATTACAGGCTCCCACCACCATGCCCAGCTAATTTTTGTATTTTTTAGTAGACACGAGGTTTCACCATGTTGGCCAGGTTAGTCTTGAACTCCTGACCTCAGGTGATCCATCCGCCTCGGCCTCCCAAAGTGCTGGGATTACAGGCGTGAGCCACCATGCCTGGCTGAATATCTCTCTTTTTTTTTTTTTGAGACAGGGTCTCACTGTGTTGCCCAGGCTGGAGTGCAATGGCATAATCTCAGCTCACTGCAGCCTTGACCTCCTACACCCAAACGATACTCCCACCTCAGCGTCCCAAGTAGCTGGCACTACAGGCACGCACCACCATGCCCAGCTGATTCTGTATTTCTATTTTTATAAAGACGAGGTCTCACCATTTGGTCTCGAACTCCTGGATTCAAGTGATCCTCCTGCCTTGGCCTCCCAAAGTGCTAGGATTATAGGCATGAGCCACTATAACCAGCCTGTAGAATATGTCATGTGACTTCAGTTTATAGCTTTATGTTCAATACATGTTACATAAAAATAGACATCAAAAGTACTAAGCTGTGGGAGCCAGACTCCAAGTGAGTCCCAAATCATTCCAGCCTCTTGATAGTCACACTTTTCTATAGTCTCTTTCCTCTGTGTATCAGGGTTGTTCTGTGTGACCAACAGAATACAACAGGAGCAATGGACTGTCACCTCTGAGGCCAGGTCATGAAATATGGCATGGCCCTGCCTCTGCCCCTTCTTGTGGATCACTCGCTCTGGGAGAGGCCAGCTACCATGTTGTGAGCAGGTCCAATGGTGAGGAACTGAGGCCTCCAGCCAAGAGCCACGTGAACAGGGCACCCTGGAAGTGAGTCTCCACCTTAGTCCAGCTGTCGGCAACCACAGCCCCGACCAACATCTTCACACAACCTCACAAACCACCTGAGCCCGAACCACCCAATGGAGCCACTCCCAGATGCCTGACTCTCAGAAACCATGCGAGATAATTAAGCTGCTAAATTTGGGGGTAATTTTTTGGAGGAATAGATAACTAATAAATAATATATAAAATAAACTGTAAATGATATGATTTTTAAAATTGTATTTTACAAGATCTGTATCTTAACATTGTTCTTTATGACATAAGAATTGCTAAGCTCCTTAAATTGAAAGAAAGTCATTGACAGAATCTTACGCCCTCAATTTGGAAAAAAAAGAAACTATTTAAAAACTGGTTTCATTTACAAATAAGACTTTGAAATTATTTTCAATGGTTCATCATATTGGTTACATATAGTCTACTGTTTCAACTATTACCAACTTTAAATCTACCCAAATTATGAAGTTCTATAATATGTAAGAGAGTTCTTTATGCTAAATCACATCCTTTGGAGAATGAGCAAAGTCACAAAGATCAGAAAAGGGCTTTTGGAAAGGGACAGCTCTCCTCCCCCTTAGCTATAAAATCCAAAACCCGCTCACCTGTTATGCAGCAGGTGTGACATACCTGTGACGAGCTCACGATCCTCCTCTTATCTTTGCACCAGTCCATGCACAGGACTTTGTTCCCGTGGCCTTTGAGGGTCCTTCTGGTCTTCATGACAAACTGCCCCAGGGCCTCCACCCGCTCCGCCACCTGGTGCACTGGAATGACAAGGCCATAGTCAGTCCCCTTGCTAAGGACCAGGTTCTGGGCTTTGGGCTGACACAGCACAGACATATGTTCCGCAGAGGGAGGCGGCCCCATGGGCTTCCTCCATAACAAGCCACAGCTTGATTCTCTGATTCCTTACCATTGCATCCTAGCAGCACTCCTTCTTTTAAGATCAGTAGAGGGTAGAGACAATACTGCCATTCTCTCTTTGTGTTTAAGACCCTACATTTTTCAAAGCAGTTTTATCTATGCATGTTGAGGGATTAACAACAAGACCACCTCATATTCATAAAGCACTACATAAAATTATTCCCTTTAAGGGCCACAGCTCTAAGAGGAGGGCAGGATGGGCAGGAGAGTGAGACCGCTATGCCCATTTAGCAGATGGGGAAACTGAGACTCAGAGAGGTTATCTGGTTAAGACAAGTTCATACAATCAACAGTGAACCAGGCTGGGGCTTCTAGTTCTCCTGCCTACCACTCTCTCATCACAACGAAAACTGACTTTACAAAACTGTTCCAACAGGACTATAAGGTACACCCTGCAGCTCTAGAGCTTGCCGTGTCTAGCTGACCCTGTGTGCCTAGCACTGGCCTGGACATGGCAGGTTCCTCATACACATGGCGCAGGAAAGAATGAACCAGCAAACTGCCAAGCAAGCTGTCTGCAAACTGCACACCTGTGAGTTTACTGAAAAACCTAGTGTCCACAGAAATCAATGCAATGTCCTAAAAGTCTGAATATATGATCCACTCACAGCACCACCTACACCAGAAAGGAGATCCAAAAGTCAATCTCTCAGGGCTGGGACCACAGCTTCTTTCCTGAGGCCAAGGGCAGGCTTTCTAGGGGCTTGCAGAGAAGCTGAGACTGATGAGTCTGAGAGGGACAAGTTTGTAGGAAGTGGCTGGAAAGCCACAAAGACCAGCTGGTCCAGGCCCTTCATCATGCAGGGGAGGACGCCAAGGTCTGCAGGGATCCCATGGCCACTCTCCACTTCCCTCTCTTGTTGGTAGCTATGTGAGAAGGAGAAGCCAGGGCTCTGAACTGTCCATCTACATCTCCTTCCTTGAAACCTCCCAGCTGGCCTTTCTCCAGGTAGGTGAGGAGGGAAGAGGGCATTTTCAGGGGGAAACAGCCTACGCAAACAGACAGAGGAACAGGGTGGGAAGAGGCAAGGCAGCTGCCCCTCATGTCTTCCCAGGGAGCTGCTGAGGCTTGACGGGGCCGTGGCCCATTTCCCTTCAAATGGAAGCCTGTGCCGAGAGGTGCCAACTCTGTGGTCTGAGTCCTATGACAGCAGCGTCCCTTCCTGGGAAATCCTTCCTCCCATCCTTCCCTCCCCAAAATGCTTCAGTGTGTATGTCCTAAAAACAATGAACTCTCTTAAATAACCAAAGTGTAATCATCAAAATTAGAAAATTAATGCTGAAACAACACTAATCTACAGACTTATTGAGATACTGCCTATTGTCCAAATAATAACCTTCATAGCAAAAGAAAATCCACGATCATAGATTGCATTCAGTTGCATGTTTAGCCTCCAGTTATATTTAGCCTCCAGTTATATTTAGCCTCCAGTTATGTGGCTGCTTCTTGTAATGTGGTTTAATGCTTCCTTGAGATTAGCTTGGGTAAAACACATTTGGCAGGGACACAGAGATGGGGTGCTGAGTTAATGTCACTGCATCCCACCTGGGCACATGAGTCCCACTGCTGGTGGGGTCACCGGGGATCATCTGGTTAAGGGGACACCTGCCAGGTCTCTCCACTGGAGAGTTACCATTTTATCTTTTGTAATGAAAAGTGTCTTGTTAGGGAGGTACTCTGAGGCTATGTAAACATGTTACCCCTCAAACCTCAACGGCCTTATTTTAATTCCACTAATGATTCTGGCCTGAATGAGTGATTGTGATGATGGCTGGCAAGTGGTGATCTTTCTCACTCCATCCTTCCCTCTGCATTCATTAGTCAGCTTTCTAAGGAGGAGTTCTGCCTCCTCTCCCAGTTATTTATTTATTCATTCATTTACATTAGTAGAGACTCATGGGTTCTTACTTTATTCAAGAGGTTGTAATCCATTACTAATACTATTGACTTTGATCTTCAAATTGTCCCAGGTGATGGGGAGCCCCGTCAAGCAGGTTCCCATGACCTTCTGACATGTCCCCCTCATAGTCTGAGCACTTCTCATTCCAAGCTTCCGTTGTTCCTTCCCTGTCCTTGCTCTAAAATCAGCTGTTTCTCCATGGAACTAAAAGTTCCTTTTAGTTGCCTCATTTCCTTGTGATAAAAGAGCAAAGTTGCACATGGGCTAAAAGTCTTTGTGAAAACTCAAACTGTAAAAATACTTGCTAAACTAGGCCAGGCACAGTGGCTCACGCCTGTAATCCCAGCACTTTGGGAGGCCAAGGTAGGTGGACTGCTTGAGCTCAGGAGTCTGAGATCAGCCTGGGCAACATGGTGAAACCGTCTCTACCAAAAATACAAAAACTTGGCTGGATGTGGTGGCACATATCTGTGGTCCCAGTTACTTGGGAGGCCGAGGTGGGAGAACTGCTTGAGCCCGGGGGCAAAGGTCGCAGTGGGCAGAGGTCGCAGTGAGCTGAGATTGCGCCACTGCACTCCAGCCTGGGTGACAGAGCTAGATCTTGTCTAAAAATACAAACAAACAAAACAAAAACCTTGCTAAACTCTAAAGTGCTACATGAATGTTCAATTATTATGCCATTGCTTCTGCTAAAACATTGCATTATTTACTGCCACAAACAGCATATTCGTCTTTTACAAATACGTTCTTTACAAAATACATCGAATGAAGTTTAAAAATAGATTGAATTTTCCAAATTCTTTTTTTTTTTTTTTTGAGACGGAGTCTCGCTCGGTCGCCCAGGCTGGAGTGCAGTGGCGGGATCTCGGCTCACTGCAAGCTCTGCCTCCCGGGTTCACGCCATTCTCCTGCCTCAGCCTCCCAAGTAGCTAGGACTACAGGCGCCCGCCACCACTCCTGGCTAATTTTTTGTATTTTTAGTAGAGATGGGGTTTCACCAAGTTAGACCAGGATGGTCTCAATCTTCTGACCTTGTGATCCGCCAGCCTCGGCCTCCCAAAGTGCTGGGATTACAGGCGTGAGCCACGGCACCCGGCCTGATTCTTATAGGCCTTTTTTTTTTTTTTGAGTCGGAGTCTCACTCTGTCACCCAGGCTGGAGTGCAGTGGTGCCATCTTGGCTCACTGCAACCTCTACCTCCCGGGTTCAAGTGATTCTCCTGCCTCAGCCTCCAGAGTAGTTGGGATTACAGGCATGTACAACCATGCCCAGCTAATTTTTGTATTTTTAGTAAAGACAGGTTTCACCATGTTGGCCAGGATGGTCTCGATCATCTGACCTCGTGATCAACCCACCTCCACCTCCCAAAGTGCTGGGATTACAGGAGTGAGCCACCGCGCCCAGCCATATAGGCCTTTTATATAAGGCTCTATCGGCCCAGAGTTGTGAGCATATTGTATTTAGTATTTTACTTAGAAATTTTACATCAATATTATTGCTGCTTCCCCCAATTCAGCATTAGGATAGCCATAGCTTTTTGATAATTTCCCTTTTAATAAAAAAGATGATTCACCCAACCAAAATAGGGCCCTCCTTACATAATGTGAATTTGAATAGATCCCAACTATTAATTATTTTTTCTCACTACATTTTTTCTTCCCACATGTAGATCACTGCCAACCCACTCCATCCTGTTTCTATCTGCCAAATTTTGCATCCACTGAATTAAAACAAATTTTAAAAATTAAACATTAGGAAGTTAAAAAAAAAAAGACCTGGAAATGAGCTGAATATGTGCTGGGTATTATTTGTGTGAACTTGGTTCAGGACACATGTAGTTTCCCCTTTGCCTTCTGGAGGACCATTCCTCCAGGATTTAATTTTTTTTTTTAATGGTGAATATAACCAGCTGGTTTCTATAATAAGAATTTGCTAGAATATAATGGTAACCTGTTAAGAAATTCCACTAGCTCTAGGAAGACAGGAGTGCTGTCTTGTTTGATCTTCTTCAGAGGCAAAACTGGAGCAAAGCAGTTAAAAATCCAGGCTCTGGATTTGGGGGCTTGGGTCAAAGCCTGGCTCTGTCGCACACCAGCTGCACAACCTCGAGCAAATCATGTACTTTCTCGCCACCTCTCTTCCCCTGTGGGGTTGCGGGGACAACTATTCAAGCCTGGCATAAAGGGAACACTTCATAAGGGTTGGCTATGACATTCTCCAGCATGGCGTACAGTGAGTACCCAGTAATATTTACTGAAGGAATAAATGAAATGCTTAGTATTGATTAAACTTCAATCAACGGTAGCAATCCTAAGCAGCAGTCTTTGGTGGGCGAACAAAACAATGCCTCTTTGCCTTCTTTTTCTGTACCTCTCCCTATCCCTAATCCATCATCCCTACTTCAGCTGTCAAGCAACTCACCAATTTAACAGGGCACGCTCACTAGCACTGGGAGTGGGAGGCACACACAGGGTTTCAGACCTACTTTCTGATCCAAGGAGCTCACCAACCTTTTTTTTTTTTTAAAGTTCCTTTTTTTTCTTTTCCCCCTCCTGGCCCTATCCTGTTCCCTGAGCAACTTGGATTTGGTCTTTACCACGCACAAACCCTTACGCCATTCAGATACAGCTCAAACTCTTTCCTAGTTCATTCCAGTTCAGTCTGTGCCAGCCTCTGGGACCATCCAGGTATATGAGAGTCAGTCCCTGACCTCACTGTAGTTCAGAGTCAAGGGAAGAGATGGAGCCATAATGATGATTTCCATACAACGTGGGACTTGCTAAGCTAGATGTGTGGACACAAGAAGCTTCTGTCCCAGAGGGTGGGGCACTGCACTGGGTCTTTTGGGGTGGTATCTGAGCTCAGTCGAAAGGATAAAAAGGTGAGTCAGATGAGAGGAGGTCCTAGGTGGGTACGCTAAGCTGAGGAAATGGCAAAAGCAAAGGCCCAACAATAATACTGATGTAAAATTTTTACATCAATATTTTTTAGGGGTGGAATAAACAACCTGATTGCAGAGTAAGGGGTAGGTGCAGGCAAGTAATGGCGCTGTACACCCATGACAGAGCTCATTTATCCCACCGTGACAGCAGCCTGCTGTCATCAGAAGAGTGGCATGGTCGGATCTGCCTTCTCATGACTATCTGTGGCTGCAGCGTTGGAGGACAGCGTCGATGGAGACAACACTGGAGGAGGGAAACCAGGGAAGAGACTCCTCTTCTTTGGCAGCCCCCTCTCCAGCGGACACACCATCTGCCGCACCACGCTTCTTTGTGGTCCCTCCAAGGTCAGACTGGAACAGCCTAGAAACTGCTCCCTGTCCCTGGATGTTCTCCTTCCCATGTCCAGGGAGAGGACGCTTGCCTCTGTGGCCTCCCTGCTCAGTTGGGTCCTCTGAAGCTTGAGATGCTGAATATTCTGGATGCCAGTCCAGACCAAGGAATCAGAATCAAAGTCATGGCTGGAACTCAAGAGGAAGTGTAGGCCAGTGAATGTTTGCTGCTTGAATGATGGTTCCAGAATCTCTACTATGTGCCAAGAGCTGTGCCAGATGCTTGGGTACAGAAAAGAGTAAGACAGTCTCTGCTCTTACTGAGCTCACAGTCTGGAGGGGGCAGACAGGTCAGCACCCAGGTAACAACTACAGTGCAGTGCGATGGTGGCTGACAGAGGCTGTCACCCAGGGTCAGGGAGCCAGAGGGGAACAGGGTTGACTCCGCTGGCAGGCGTGGTCATTAGAGGTGATGTCACTGAAGCCTGGTTTGAAGGATGCATAGGAGTTGGGGTGGAAAAGGGTAGGTGGGAAATTAGCTTCTTTTTTTTTTTTTTGAGATGGAGTCTCACTCTGTTGCCTAGGCTGGAGTGCAATGGTGTGATCTTGGCTCACTGTAACCTCTGCCTCCTGGGTTCAAGCGATTCTCCTGTCTCAGCCTCCTGAGTAGCTGGAATTCCAGGCCCATGCCACCACACCTGGCTAATTTTTGTATTTTTAGTAGAGATGGGGTTGCACCATGTTGGCCAGGCCGGTCTCGAACTCCTGACCTCAGGAGATCCACCCGCCTCTGCCTCCCAAAGTGTTGGGATTACAGGCATGAGCCACTGCGCCTGGCCAGGAAATTAGCTTCTTAATGTCTACTTTAGTCGCTGTTTTTTAGGAAAATGGCAGACAATGACCCAATCCATGGGAGTGTTGTGAGGTTCAACTGAGAAGGCAAATTAAAGTGCCTAACAGGCAGCTGGCAGGCCAGGAGTGGCAAATCTAGAGTTGGTGTACTAGGAGCTGCGAACTAGAAGACTGGAAACAACATGACCCGGAGAGCAACGGGGCTTTTGAAATGGAGGAGCCATGAAAACTAGAGATCATGTTTAGAATAGCAGAGAAGGGGTGAATGAAAAGAGGGGTTGTGAATGGAGAGATGGTTTTGTCTTGATTGCCTTTTATAGAATTATAGAAGTAAATGCATATTCATTAAAAATAATCATAAAATAAAAATATATGGTCACTTACAATTCTGCTTAGCCTGACCATTCTTATCATTTGGTGTGTACCCTTCCAGCCTTTCCTCCACATATGTGCACACACATATATATGTGTATAAGCAGACAACATGCCACATAAAATTTGGGGGACTACAGGCATGGGATTACAGGTGTGAGCTGCCACACCCAGCCTATCATTTTTAATGACTCCATAACATTCCACTGTATATACATACTATAATCTCTGAATCTCCTACTGGTGGACACTTACTTTGTCCCAGGGCTACCATGATACCCTTGTACTGTATTATCTCCTTAGATAAATTTCAATTCGTGGAATTACTGAGTCAAAGGGAAAGCATATTTTTTAAGGCTTTTGATGTATGTTACCAATATCCACCATTGATTGTGTGTCTCCTGGGTGACGGGCACTGGGCTGAGTGCTTTACACAACAGCCTGAGGACAAAGGCTTTATCTCCATTTCTACAGATGAGGAGCCTGGAGCTCAGAGAGGCTAAGGACCTCATGCACACATACTTGGATCCCTAAGAACATTTACATACCTTCAATAATGGGAGAATCTGTGGGCGGGTAGCTATCATTATTTAGAAAATCAAGGAGTAGGTGAGGCACTGACAATGGCTTCTTAGTCCAGGAGACATCCTAACTTTGGATCCTCCATGCCTCTTTCTTTTTTTGAGACAGAGTCTCGCTCTGTTGCCCAGGCTGGAGTGCAGTGGCGTGATCTTGGCTCACTGCAACCTCCACCTTCCAGGTTCAAGCAATTCTCATGCCTCAGCCTCTCAAGCAGCTGGGATTACAGGCACGCGCTACCACGCCCGGCTAATTTTCGTATTTTTTTTAGTAGAGATGGGGTTCCACCATGTTGCCCAGGTTGGTCTCGAAGTCCTGGCCTCAAGTGGTCCACCCACCTCAGCCTCCCAAAGGGCTGGGATTACAGGTGTGAGCCACCGTGCCCAGCCATACCTCTTCGAGGTAGCCAGATCAATGGGTCACAGAGCTAGAGAGCCTAGATCAGGAGTGAAGAAACCTGCCTGGGTCTTGGCTTGGCAGCCACTTGGCTGGAAGAATCATGGAAAGTTACAGCCAGAAGAGACCTGAATGACTCAACAAGCAAGGACTGAGCACCTTTCGCAGGCTGGCCCTGTGCTGCGTGCCAGACTGAACATGATGGACGGGTCCCAACTGGATGGCACTTAGAGTTGGATAACCATGTGGACCGGTAGTCTTCAAGCTCCCATTTTACCTGTAGAAGTCTCCCCCAACTGCCTCTGCTTTGGCTCATGGACAAAATCTTACCAGAAGTCCAATACGGAAAACAGATGAAGGCAGAGCTGAGCTGGTGAACAGTGGAGGGAGGGTGACGGCCAGACAGGAAGGCACGTCTACCCCTAAGTTCCAAATATCACATCTACCCCTGGAGTCCAAACAGCAAGCGTGAAGGCCAGTGAGCCACATCAAGCCCCCTTGCTTCTCAGAAAAGGAAAATGGGGCCTGAGGGAAGAGCACAGTTAACAAATTAAAGGTGAATGCATATCTCCTCGGAGCCTGCACCCTGCTCTGTAAAATGAGGGTATTAGAGAGTATCTCACAGGGCCTTGGAAATATAATTCTGGCAAAAACTTAACTTTTCATCACGATGTGGCTTACTCTCAACTTTCAGGGAATACTTTTGTTATTTATTTTATAATCTGTGCATACATGAACTGAAAGCAAAAGATATGGTGTGCAGCTCAATACACAAGAATTCAAACCATGTAAATTTATAAAGTGAAAATTCACAACAGGGTCCTTCTCATTACATCATCAGGCAATGAAAAAACAAGGAACCAAAGCATGAACAAGCTCTAAAATATCCGTGAAAATAAATACTCTGAAACCGACTGCAAAGAAGACAAGCGAAATGTCTTAAATAGCAAAACAAAACTATTTAAAAAATGATCTGGAATCACTTTCAAATTTGCACTAATATATACAGTCTTTTCATGGCCACCTTTTGGTAGATTAAAGGAATCAAGGAGAAAAAAAATTTAATGCTAATTAAAAAAACTCATGTAGTCTGATTCTGTGCCAAAGTAGAATGGGATAGGATGGATACAAAACCCTCAAACAGGCTGATCCGAGTGCAATGGTGTTTACTACTAATTGATTACAACCAGTTACAGATTTCTTTGTTTCTTCTCCACTCCCACTGCTTCACTTGACTAGCCTTAAAAAACAAAACAAACAAACAAAAAAACCCCACACAAGGCGGGCCAAGATGGCTGGTTAGAAGCAGCTGCAATCCGCAGCGCTCGTGGAGAACGGAATGGCGAGTGAATTCTACACCTTCAACTGAGGTATTCAGATTCTTGCACTGGGACTGAATAGCTAGTCGGGGCGACTCACAGAGAGCGAGGAAAAGCAGGGTGGGGAGATGGCCCACCCGGGGGGCAACACTGAGCCAGGGGAGCCCCGACCACCGGCCAAGGGAGGCGGTGAGTGATTGTGAGACCACGCCCGGGAAACCACGCTTTTCCCACAGATCTTTGCAACCTGTGGATCGGGAGATCACCTCGTGAGCCCAAGACGCCGAGGGCCTTGGGTCTAAAGCACAGAGCTCTGCAGACTCTCAGTGGCAGCGTGGCCACACACGGAGACCCAGGAGTTTTCGCAAACTCCGGCCCAAGAAAGTCCTGTGAGGAAGGAGATCCATCTATTCCCCTAGGAAGGTGGGGTGATGCCAGGGAGCTAAGCACCGTCGTTCAGCGGGCCCCACTCCCACAGCACCTCACAAGCTAAGACTCACTGTCTTGTAATTCCAGCCAGCCAGTGGTAGACGTTGGAGACGGCCTGAGACGACCGAGCTGGGTGGACGTGTAGGAGGGACAGACACTATCTCTGCAGCTCAAGTAGGCCATCCTGGCCTGCCAGCTCCTGGGAGTCAGGGTGGTCCAAACTGGGAGGAATTCCCCACAGCGCAGCACAGCTGCTGTGGCAGATCATGGCCAGACTGCTACTTTCAGTGGGACCTGGATGCTCTGGAGAGTCTGGGTGGTCTGGATGAGGGAGGTTTCCCCCAGCACAGCGTATCTGCTCCACCAGGGGGCAGCCAGACTGCTTCTTTAAGCGGGTCCCTGATCCCATTCCTCTTGACTGGGTGAGACCTCCCAACAGGGGTCTACAAATGCCTCCTCCAGGAGCGTTCCAGCTGGCATCAGGTTGGTGCCCCTCTGGGATGGAGTCTCCAGAGGAAGGAGCTGGATGCCATCTTTGCTGTTTTGCAGCCTTCACTGGTGATACCTCCAGGTGCAGGAGGGACCCAGGCAATAAGGGTCTGGAGTGGACCCCCAGCAAACCGCAGCAGCCCTGTGGAGGAGAGGCCTGACTGTTAAAAGAAAAACAGCCGGGCACGGTGGCTCACACCTATAATTCCAGCACTTTGGGAGGCCGAGGCAAGAGGATCACGAGGTCAGGAGTTCAAGACCAGCCTGACCAACATAGTGAGATACAAATATACAAAATACTAAAAATACAAAAATTAGCTGGGTGTGATGGCGGGCGCCTGTAATCCCAGCTACTCGGGGGGCTGAGGCAGGAGAATCGCTTGAACCTGGGAGGCAGAGGTTGCAGTGAGCCGAGATGGTGCCATTGCACTCCAGCCTGGGAGACAACAGCAAGACTCTGTCTTAAAAAAAAAAAAAAAAAAAAAAAAAAAATGCTGGGTGTGGTGGCTCAAGCCTGTAATCCCAGCACTTTGGGAGGCCGAGGCGGGCGGATCACGAAGTCAGGAGATCGAGACATTCTTGGCTAACACGGTGAAACCCCGTCTCTACTGAAAACATAAAAATAAAAAAAATTAGCTGTGCGTGGTGGCAGACACACCTGTAGTCCCAGTTACTCAGGAGACTGAGGCAGGAGAATGGCGTCAACCTGGGAGGCGGAGCTTGCAGTGAGCCGAGAGCACGACACTGCACTCCAGCCTGGGCGACAGAGCCAGACTCCATCTCAAAATAAATAAATAAATAAAAATAAAATAGAAAGAAAGCAACATCATCATCAAAAAGACTCCACAAAAACCCCATTCATAGGTCAGCAACCTCAAAGACTTAAGATAGATAAGCCCACCAAGATGAGAAAGAATCAACACAAAAACACTGAGAACTCAAAAGGCCAGAGTGCCTCTTCTCCACGTGATCACAGCATCTCTATAGCAAAGGCACAGAACTGGGTTGAGGCTGAGATAGAGGAAGTGACAGAAGTAGGCTTCAGAAGGTGGGTAATAATGAACTTCACTGAGCTAAAGGAGCATGTTCTAACCCAATGCAAAGAAGCTAAGAATCATGATAAAACATTACAGGAGCTGATAACCAAAATAGCCAGTTTAGAGAGGAACATAAATGACCTGATGGGGCTGAAAGATACAACATAAGAATGTCACGATGCAATCACAAGTAACAACAGCTGAACAGACCAAGCATAGGAAACAATCTCAGAGCTTGAAGACTATCTTTCTAAAATAAGGCAAGCAGACAAGAATAGAGAAAAAACAATGAAAAGGAATGAACAAAACCTCCAGTAAATATGGGATTATGTAAAAAGACTGAACCTACAACTGATTAGGGTACCTGAAAGATATGGGGAGAATGGAACAAGCTAAAAAACATACTTCAGGATATCATCCAGGAGAACTTCCCTAACCTAAGAAGACAGGGCAACGTTCAAATTCAGGAAATCCAGAGAACGCCAGTAAGATACTCCCTTTAAAGATCAACCCCAAGACACATAATCATCAGATTCTCCAAGACTGAAATGAAAGAAAAAATGTTAAGGGCAGCCAGAGAGAAAAGCAAAGGGAAGCCCGCCAGACTAACAGCAGACCTCTCAGTGGAAACCTTACAAGCCCGAAGAGAGTGGGGCCAATATTCAACATTCTTAAGGAAAAGAATTTCCAACCCAGAATTTTATATGCGGCCAAGCTAAGCTTCATAAGCAAAGAAGAAACAAGATCTTTTTCAGACAAGCAAATGCTGAGGAAATTTATCACCACCAGGCCTGCCCTGTAAAAGCTCCTGAAGGAAGCACCAAATATAGAAAGGAAAAACTGTTACCAGCTACTACCAAAAAAAAACTGAAGTACAAGTACGCTGTGAAGCACCTACACAAACAAGTCTGCAAAATAACTAGCTAGCATCATGATGACAGGATCAAATTCACACATAACAATATTAACCTTAAATGTAAATGGGCTAAATGCTCCAATTAAAAGACACAGAATGGCAAGCTGGATCGAGTCCAGACTCATTGGTATGCTATATTCAAGAGCCCCATCTCACATGCAAAGACACACATAGGCTAAAAATAAAGGGATGGAGGAAAATTTACCAAGCAAATGGAAAACAGAAAAAAGCAGGCGTTGCAATCCTAGTTTCCAACAAAACAGACTTTAAACCAACAAAGATAAAAAAAGACAGAGAAGGGCATTACATAATGGTAAAGTGTTCAATTCAACAAGAAGAGCTAACTATTCTAAATATATATGCACCCAATACAGGAGCACCCAGATTCATAAAGCAAGTTCTTACAGATCTACAAAGAGACTTACACTCCCACACAATAATAGTGGGAGACTTTAACACCCCACTGGCAACATTAGACAGATCATTGAGAGAGAAAATTAACAAGGATATTCAGAACCTGAACTCAGCTCTGGATGAAGTGGACCTGACAGATATCTACAGAATTCTCCATCCAAAAACAGAATATACATTCTTCTCATCACCACATGCCATTACTCTAAAATTGATCACATAATTGGAAGTAAAACTCTCCTTAGTAAATGCAAAAGAACTGAAATCATAACAGTCTCTCAGACCACAGCGAAATCAAATTAGAACTCAAGATTAAGAAACTCATTCAAAACCACACGACTACATGGAAATTGAACAACCTGTTCCTGAATGACTCCTAGGTAAATAATGAAATTATGGTAGAAATCAAGAAGTTCTTTGAAACTAATGAGAACTAAGAGACAACGTACCAGAATCTCTAGGACACAGCTAAAGCAGTGTTAAGAGGGAAATTTTAGCACTAAATGTCTATATTAGAAAGCTAGAAAGATCTCAAATCAACAACCTAACATCACAGCTAAAAGAATTAGAGAACCAAGAGCAAAAAACCCCAAAGCTAGCAGAAGACAAGAAATAACCAAGATCAGAGTGGAACTAAAGGAGATAGAGACATGAAAAACCCTTCAAAAAAATCAATGAATCCAGGAGCTGGTTTTTTGAAAAAATTAATAAAATAGATAGACCACTAGATAGATTAATAAAAGAGAGGAGAATCAAATAGACACAATCAGAAATGATAAAGGGGATATCACCACTGACCCCACAGAAATACAAACAACCATCAGAGAATACTACAAATACCTCTATGCACATAAACTAGAAAATCTAGAAGAAATAGATAAATTCCTAAATGCATACACCCTCCCAAGACTGAACCAGGAAGAAATGGAATCCCTGAATAGGCCAATAATGAGGTCTGAAATTAAGGCAGTAATAAATAGCCTACCAACAAAAAAAAGTCCAGGACCAGACAGATTTACAGCTGAATTTTACCAGAGGTACAAAGAGGGGCTGGTACCCTTTCTTCTGAAACTATTCTAAACAATTGAAAAGGAGGGACTCCTCCCTAACTCATTTTATCAGGTCAGCATCATCCTGATATCAAAACCTGGCAGAGACACAACAAAAAAAGAAAACTTTGGCCGAGTGCAGTGGCCCACGTCTGTAATCCCAGCACTTTGGGAGGCTGAGGCGGGTGGATCACCTGAGGTCAGGACTTTGAGACCAGCCTGGCCAACATGGTGAAACTCTGTCTCTACTAAAAATACAAAAAATTAGCCGGGCGTGGTGGCAGGCGCCTGTAATCTTAGCTACTCAGGAGGCTGAGGCAGGAGAATCGCCTGAACGCAGGAGGTAGAGGTTGCAGTGAGTCAAGATCATGCCATTGCACTCCAGACTGGGCAACAGGAGCAAGACTCCATTTCAAAAAAAAAAAGAAAAGAAAAAAGAAAACTTCAGGCCAATATCCCTGATGAACATTGGTGCAAAAATCATCAATAAATGATTCCCAATACTGGGAAACTGAATCCAGCATCACATCAAAAAACTTATCCAACACTATCAAGTTGGATTCATCCCCAGGATGCAACATTGGTTCAACATACACAAATCAGTAAATATAATTCATCATATAAAAAAAACTAAAGAAAAAAACCACATGATTACCTCGATAAGACAGAGAAAAGGCCTTCAATAAAATTCAACATCCCTTCATGTTAAAAACTCGCAATAAACAAGGTATTGAAGGAACATATCTCAAAATAGTAAGAGCCATATATGACAAACCTACACCGAATATCATACTGAATGGGCAAAAGCTGGAAGCATTCCCCTTGACTGGCACAAGACAAAGATGCCCTCTCTCTCCACTCCTATTCAATATAGTACTGGAAGTTCTGGCCAGGGCAATCAGGCAAGAGAAAGAAACAAACGGTATTCAAATAGGAAGAGAGAAGTCAAATTATCTTTGTTTGCAGATGACAAGATCCTATATCTAGAAAACCCCATCGTCTAAGCCCAAAAGTTTCCTAAGCTGATAAGCAACTTCAGCAAAGTCTCAGGATCCAAAATCAATGTGCAAAAATCACTAGAGAGCCAAATCATGAGTGAACTCCCATTCATAATTGCTACAAAGAGAATCAAATACCTGGGAATACAGCTAACAAGGTAAGTGAAGGATCTCTTCAAGAACTACAAACCACTGCTCAAGGAGATCAGAGAGGGCACAAACAAATGGAAAAACATTCCATGCTTATGGATAGGAAGAATCAATACAGTGAAAATGGCCATATTGCCCAAAGTAATTTATAGATTCAATGCGATTCCCATTAAACTACCATTGACATTCTTCATAGAATAGGAAAAAAAACTATTTTAAAATTCACATGGGACCAAAAGAGAGCCCATATAGCCAAGATAATCCTCAGCAAAAGGAACAAAGCTGGAGGCATCAGGCTACCCAACTTCAAAATATACTACAAGGCTACAGTAACCAAAACAGCTGGGTACTGGTACAAAAACAGACACACAGACCAATGGAACCGAATGGAGAGCTCAGAAATAAGATTGCACACCTACAATCATCTGATCTTTGATGAACCTGACAAAAACAAGCAATGGGGAAAGGATTCCCTATTTAATAAATAGTGTTAGGAGAACTGGCTAGCCATATGCAGAAGACTGAAACTGGACCCCTTCCTTACACCTTATACAAAAATTAATGCAAGATGGATTAAAGACTTAAATGTAAAACCCCAAACTATAAAAACCCTAGAAGAAAATCTAGGCAATACCAGGCCGGATGTGGGGGCTCACGCCTGTAATCCCAGCATTTTGGGAGGCCAGTGTGGACGAATCACTTGAGGTTAGGAGTTTGAGACCAGCCTGGCCAACATGGTGAAACCCCGTCTCTACTAAAAATACAAAAATTAGGTGTGGTGGCGTATGCTTGTAGTCCCAGCTACTTGGGAGGCTGAGGCACTTGAATCACTTGAACCTAGGAGGCGGAGGCTGCAGTGAGCCGAGATCGCACCACTGCACTCCAGCCTGGGTGACTGAGGCAGGCAGATCACCTGAAGTCAGGAGTTTGAAACCAGCCTGGCCAACATGGTGAAACCCCGTCTCTACTAAAAATACAAAAAATTAGCTGGGCATGGTGGTGGGCACCTGTAATCCCAGCTATTCAGAAGGCTGAGGCAGGAGAAGAGCCTGAACCCAGGAGGCGGAGGTTGCAGTGAGCAGAGATCACGCCATTGCACTCCAGCCTGGGTGACAAGAGCGAGACTCTGTCTCAAAAAAAAAAAAAAAAAAAAAAAAAGAAAAGAAGAGAAGAGAAAAAGAAAAAAAGAAAAGAAAGAAAAGAAAAGAGGTAAAGAGGAAAACCTAGGCAATACCATTCAGGACATAGTCATGGGCCAAAGATTTCATGACAAAAATGCCGAAAGTAATTGCAACACAAGCAAAAATTGATAAATGGGATCTAATTAAAACAAAGGGCCTCTGCATAGCAAAATAAACTACATCAGAGTGAAGGGACAAACTACAGAAGGGAGAAAATGTTTGTGATCTATCCATCTGATAAAAGTCTGATATCCAGAATCTACAAGAACTTAAACAAATTTACAAGAAAAAAAACCCCATTAAAAAGTGGGCAAAGGACATGAACAGACACTTCTCAAAAGAAGACACTCATGCAGACAACAAACATGAAAAAAAGCTCAATATCACTGATCATTAGAGAAATGCATATCAAAACCACAATGAGATACCATCTCATGTCAGTCAGAAAGGTGATTATTAAAAAGTCAAGAAGTAACAGATGCTGGTGAGGTTGCGGAGAAAAAGGAATGCTTCTACACTGTTGGTGGGAATGTAAATTAAATTAGTTCAACCCTGTGGAAGACAGTGTGGCAATTCCTCAAAGATCTAGAAGCAGAAATGCCATTTGACCCAGCAATCCCATTACTGGGTATATATCCAAAGGAATATAAACCAATCTATTAAAAGATACATGCACGAATGTTCATTGCAGCACTATTTACAATATCAAAGATGTGAAATGAACCCAAATGGTCATCAATGATAGACTGGATAAAGAAAATGTGGTACATACATACCATGGAATACTATGCAGCCATAAAAAGGAATGAAATAATGTCCTTTGCAGGGACATGGAAGCCATTATCCTCAGCAAACTAAGGCAGAAACAGAAAACCAAACACCACATGTTCTCCTTTATAAGTAGGAGCTGAACGATGAGAACAAATGGACACATCGGGGGAACAACACACACTGGGGCCTGTCAGGGGCATAGCAGGAGGGACAGCATCAGGAAGAATAGCTAATGGATGCTGGGCTTAATACTTAGGTGATGGGTTGATCTGTGCAGCAAACCACATGACACATGTTTACCTATGTAACAAAACTGCACATCCTGCACATGTACCCTGGAACTTAAAAGCTGAAGAAAAAAAAAAAAACCCTCTCAAACCCCTGTATGGAAGGAAAACATTAATAGTCACATTTATCTCACTTGTATTTGTCAGAGATTTGTGAATTGCCTTAAAAAAATTCATGAGGCTGGGCGTGGTGGCTCATGCCTGTAATCCCAGCACTTTGAGAGGCTGAGGCAGGCAGATCACCTGAGGTCAGGAGTTTGAGACCAGCCTGGACAACATGGCTAAACTATAAAAAAAAAATTAGCCAGGCATGGTGGTGTGCGACTATAATCCCAGCTACTTGGGAGGCTGAGGCAAGAGAAGCACTTCAATCTGGGAGGTGGAGGTTGCAGTGAGCCATGATCACGCTACTGGACTCCAGGTGAGCAATAAAGTGAGACTCTATCTCCAAAAAAAAAAAAAAAAAAAAAAATTCATGAGCCACAAAAAATTCTACCCTGAATTCCCTAATTAAAAGTTTGGAGAATTAAGTTATGGGACCATCTTTAAGATTGAATACTGTAAGGTTCCATATAAGAATTTTTAATGATGACATTAAAAGAAATGTAAATGACATGGGGAGCTACTCAATCCATTGTGCTGAATGTTAAAACTGGGCTCAAATCCTCTATCTAGTACAGTCCCTAGTAAGCTTATAAATATATACACAAACATGGAAACATAAGCTATGAAATACATGAAAATATTAAAAATGGCTACCTCTAGGTATTGAGATTATGAATGACTTGTTTTCTTCTATATTTCTAGATTTTTCCACAGTGAGCATTTGTTTATTGGGAAAGTACTCTAAACACCCTTGCATTAGCCAGCTCGAGTATAACAGTGAATGCAGAGAAAGGAAGGGGAAAGGAAATGAAGGCAGGTTAGCTTTCTGCTGCCTCTGATGGCTGCAGGAGGCATGTGGCCAAACAGCAGGGAAGAGGATGACTGTAGAGAAACCGACTTCTGTAAGCGTCGGTACACAGATCACATTTTCTTAGAATATGAAAAAAGTCAAGGAATATGTTTGCTCCAGGCTAATCTAGAAAGTTGGTTTTCCTAGATTTTTCCCTAAGCCATAAATCAGAATAGTCCAAGACTCTAAGCCATAAAGCATTCAATAATAAAACTTTTCAAAAAATTACATTTAGAATAGATAGAAAAGTTAATGGTATCAGATAATACATCCTTCTATCAAATTTAGTCTAGATTTGTACTCAGAGAAACGACATAAACTTGCTTTGTTCCTTAACAATATTAGCATCTGCCTCAAGGACCTGGGAATTGGAGTAAAGCTCCCACACAGCCCCAGGAGGCTGCTGTGCCTGTTGGCTGAAATGAACACCATGTCCTTCCTGGTCTGTCTGGTTTGAGCCTGTCTTGCAGATTATTCCTCAGTTTAATTTCAAGTTAAAGACTCTTTAGAGTTGAATTGTTTTCCCCTTTCTCTTTTTATTTTTTATTTTTTGAGACAGGATCTTATTCTGTCACACAGGCTTGAGTGCAGTGGTGCAATCATAGCTCTTTGCAGTCTCAACCTCCTGGGCTCAAGTGATCCTCCCACCTCAGCCTCCCGAGTAGCTGGGACCACAGGTACACACCATCATGCCTGGCTAATTTTTATTTTTTTATTTTTATTTTTTTGAGAGTTGAGGTCTCACTATATTGCCCAGGCTGGTCTTCAACTCCTGGGCTCAAGTGATCTTTCCGTTTTAGCCTTCCAAAGTGAGCCACCATGCCCGGCCTCCTTTTATTCTTGATCTTGACTCCCATTCTAGTACTCATTTTTCCCTTATTATAAAAAGCAGTAAATGTGCTGGGTGCGGTGGCTCATGCCTGTAATCCCAGCACTTTGGGAGGCAGAGGTAGGTGGATCGCTTGAGCCCAGGAGATCAAGACCAGCCTGGGCGACATGGAGAAACCTCGTCTCTACAAAAAAATGCAAAAATTAGCCAGGTGTGGTGGCACACACCTGTAGTCCCAGCTACTTGAGAGGCTGAGGTAGCCAGGAGTTTGAGGCGGCAGTGAACCATGATCGGGCCACTGTACTCCAGCCTGTGTGACAGAGTGAGAACCTGGCTCAAAAACAGTAAATGTATAGATGGGTATAAAATGAAAAGCACCTTCACTTTCCATACCCCTCTCTAGCGATAACAAGTTCCTTGCGTATCCTTCCAGACATTTACTGCATATACAAGCACCTCTTGTTTGTTAAGATCATGTTATATATACTGTTTGGCACTTTGCTTTTTATTTTCTTTTACTGAATAAAAAAAATCGGCACCTTTTCATACGTGGATTTACTTTTCTTTCTTTTCAATGCCAATCTTTTTTTTTCATTTGATAAATATTTACTTAGCCTAGCTCACTGTTGTAGGAGGGTGATCCACAGTAAATGATACAAATAAAGTACCTGCTGCCAAGGTACTTACATTCTAGTAAGGGAGACATAAAATCAACCAATCATCAATCAGTCAACAAAGAATAAATGAATGAAAGTAATTTTAGAGAGTGATGAAGTGAACAATGAAAGGGAGCTGAAATTGTAGGAAGTTGGGACAGACATGGCCATTTTAGATTAAGGAGTCTCCATGCTGCCCAGGCTGGTCTTGATCTCCTGGGCTCAAGTGATCCACCTGCCTCTGCCTCCCAAAGTGCTGGGATTACAGGCATGAGCCACCGTGCCCAGCACATTTACTGCTTTTTATAATAAGGGAAGGTGCCTCTGAGGAGGTGGAATATGAACCGAGACAGAATATATGAAGTAAACTAGGCAAAGAAGTGGGAGAACATTCCAGAAGAGAGAATACAACATGTCTGAAGGCTGAAGGCAAGAACAAGCTTGATGGTCTGAAGCTCACCAAGATGGCCAGTGTGACTGGCGATAGTGAGCAAAGCATAGACTGATCCAAGGTGAAGTGGAAGAGGTAGACGGAACTAGGTCAGTTAGGGAGACTGTTGGCAAATCTCAACTTTCTAAGAGAAGGTCTAGCATGGTGAGGAGGACAGCTGTCCTGGGAGCTTGAATCTTCTCTACTCCCTATTCAACATTAGAGTAGCTACAAAATCTTAGGGAAATCCCTTCACCCCTCCCTGGATCTCAGCTGCTTTTTCATCTATAAGGGACAGGGCTGTTAGGAAGAGAAGGAAATGTTTTGTGCTGGAAGACTGAAGCTGAAGCAGGGGAACCCTCCTGATCTAAAAGCTGTGTGATAGGCTAAATAATGGCCCCCAAAGGTATCCACATCCTAATCCCCAGAACCAGTGGCGATACTATCTTACGGCAAAAGGGACTTTCTAGATGTGATTAAGTTAAGGATCTTGAGATGGGGAGATTATCCTGGATTATCCAGGTGGGCCCAACATAATCACATGGATCCTAATAAGAGGGAGCAGGTGGGTTAGAGTCAGAGAGAGAGGTGACCACAGAAGCAGTGCTCAGAATCACGTGAGCCTTGGGCCAAGAACATGGGCAGCCCCAAGAAGCTGGAAAAAGCAAGAAATGGATTCTCCCCTAAAGCTTCCAGAAGGACCTGCCCACCCATTTTAGTCACCGATTATAGACCTCCAGCACTATAAGAAAACAAATGTATGTTATTGCAAGCCACTAAGTTTGTGGAAATTTGTACAGTAGCAATCAGAAATGAATGCACACTGTAACCATATGATTCTAAAATGCCTTGGAATCAAGCGAGGTAGTACTCGCCTGTGGTAGAAGATAAGCAGAAAGTGACAAGGAGAAAGCTCTGGGGAGAAGCAGGAAGCTCTGTGGGAGGAAGGGGAAAATGGGGCTTGGGGCTGTGGAGTTTGATGTGAGCTGGCTTCCCATCAGAGGACCCATATAAGCTATTAATACTTCCTATATTTAATGTTGGCCAAGGGTCTGGCTTGGGGATGAGGGCCAAAGGGATGGAGGTGAAGAACTCAGTGTCTGAAGAGAGGAAACCATTTTTTCCTCAAAGTTTATGCTATACAATTTTAATATGTTGCCTTAAGCTACCTTAAGGCAAGAATTTGGGCAAGTCCAAGCCAATAGGAGGTAACAACTATCCTGGTTTGCCTAGGGCCGCAGGGTCTCCTGGGGTGCAGGACTTTCCATTTTAAAACCTAGGGTCTGGCTAGGCACGGTGGCACACGCCTGTAATCCCAGAACTTTGGGAGGCTGAGGCGGGTGGATCACCTAAAGTCAGGAGTTCGAGACCAGCTTGGCCAACATAGCAAAACCCCATCTCTCCTAAAAATACAAAAATTAGCTGGGCGAGATGGTGTGTGCCTGCTACTAGTGGGGCCGAGGGAGGAGAATTGCTTGAACCTGGAATGCGGAGGTTGCAGCGAGCCGAGATCGTGCCACCGCACTCCAGCCTGGGTAACAGAGCAAGACTCTGTCTCAAAAACAAACAAACAAACAAACACACATACCTAGGGTCCCAGGCAAACTGGGATGAGTTGATTACCTTAGCTGATAGCCTAAAGGGGTCTCCCTGACTAGGGCAGAGGCTACTGGGCCACCTATATAGCAACACTAAAATGCAAAAATGTACAGGCATCTAACACATGTTGCTCTGGGGAATAAACCATACCCCTCTGGTGTCAGCCGCATACCCTAATTTGGTACTATAAAACTCATGTGTCTGGCCACACATTCCCAATTCACAGGAAACCATCCTTGGATTCCAAAATGGGAAATATCTGCAGAGGTCATCACGAAGCAGGGGCTGGGAATCTCAGCTGGGCAAGAAACAAGGCCTGTGTGTGTCAGAAACAAATCTGTCAGGCCAGGCACATTAGCTCACGCCTGTAATCCCAGCACTTTGGGAGGCTGAGGCGGGCAGATCACCTGAGGTCAGGAGTTCAAGAACAGCCCGTCCAACATGGTGAAACCCGGTCTCCACTAAAAATACAAAAATTAGCCAGGCATGGTGGCACATGCCTGTAGTCTCAGCTACTTGGGAGGCTGAGGCAGGAGAATCGCTTGAACCTGGGTGGTGGAACTTACAGTGAGCTGAGATTGTGCCACTGGACTCTAGCCTGGGCGACAGAGTGAGACTCCGTCTCAAAAAACAAACAAACAAACAAACAAAAAACGGCCAGGCGCAGTGGGTCACACCTGTAATCCCAGCACTTTGGGAGGCCAAGGTGGACGGATCACAAGGTCAGGAGTTCGAGACCAGCCTGGTTAACACAGTGAAACTCTGTCTCTACTAAAAATACAAAAATTAGCCAGGTGTGATGGCATGTGCCTGTAATCCCAGCTACTCAGGAGGCTGAGGCAGGAGAACTGCTTGAACCCAGGAGGTGGAGGTTGTAGCGAGCTGAGATCATGCCATTGCACTCCAGCCTGGGCAACAGAGCCAGACTCCATCTCAAAAAAAAACAAAACAAAACAAACAAACAAACAAAAACATCTGTTAACTAAGGGGCTGCCAGTCACCATAAGAGATACAGGAAAGTGCATGCTGCCAGCCCCTGCTCTGGGGAGTGAACAGATTCAGTTTATGGTCCTCCCCAGCCTCACCAGACCCTTCCCACCTTCCCCCAGGCTCTCAGCCACTTGCTCAATGGGGAGCCCTGCAAAGAAAGCTGCATCATTCCTAAACTGAATCCTGGCCCAATCACTAACCAGCTGCATGACCCTGAAGGAATTATTCGACTTTGCTAAGCCTGCTCGCTCATCGCACAGATGGGGATGATACCACTTTCCTTCATACAGGGAAAAATGACAGCACTGTTGTTTGCACCTGGCAGGGCTCTAGCTTATACTTCCACAAGTAAAACTCATCAGCATCCTTTCCTCCCTTTCCCACCTGAGTGCCAAGGGACAAACACACTTAGGAAGGAGCTGGGCGAGTCTGGGCTGGGGTAAGGTAAGAGCGGCTGCAGGGTCAACTATGGGACCAAGACAAGCTCAGAAATCATCTCTCGCTCTTCCACCTTCAGCTGTAACTTCCATTAGGAGCTGGCAAGTGGCACGCAAGGTAGGCTCTCTGATAAGAGGGAAAGAGACATTTGTCAAGAACTCTTACCCCAGGTCACTTACCTCTCACACTTCATTTCCCTCCCTCAAGCTGTCTTGTTCTGCCACAAAACATGGCAGGCAGAGTGAGCCCAGTAAAGCAATCAGATCCATCCTCTCTCTCAAAACCCTCCAAGGGTTTCCCAACTCACTGGGAGTAAGAGCCCAAATCTTCACTGCACCCATGGGGTCCTGCATGAGCTCCCAGCATAACCTGCAGCTGGACTCTGCCCTGCATACTCCCCTCCAGACACACCTGCCTCCTCACTCTTCCTCAGATACATCAGATACACCAAACACACCCCCTCCTGGGGCCTCTGCCTAGCTCCTCCTTTTTTTTTTTTTTTTTTTTTTTTGAGACGGAGTCTCGCTCTGTCGCCCAGGCTGGAGTGCAGTGGCAAGATCTCGGCTCACTGCAACCTCCAACTCCCTGGTTTAAGCTATTCTCCTGCCTCAGCCTCCCAAGTAGCTGAGATTACAGGCACCTGCCACCATGCCCAACTAATTTTTGTATTTTTAGTAGAGACGGGGTTTCACCATGTTGGCCAGGATGGTCTCAATCTCCTGACCTCATGATCCACCCGCCTTGGCCTCCCAAAGTGCTGGGATTACAGGCGTGAGCCACCCTGTCGGTCCGAGACCCTGTCTCTTAAAAATAAAGATGAATAAAGAAAAGAATGGCTGAGTGCGGTGGCTCACACCTGTAATCCCAGTACTTTTGGAGGCTCAGGCGGGCAGATCACTTGAGGTCAGGAGTTCGAGACCAGCCTGGCCAACATGGTGAAGCCTACTAAAAATACAAAAATTACTTGGGTGTGGTGGCACATGCCTATAGTCCCAGCTACTTGGGAGGCTGAGGCAGGAGAAACACTTGAACCTGGGAGGTGGAGGTTGCAGTAAGCCAAGACTGTGCCATTGTACTCCAGCCTGGGTGACAGAGGGAGACTCCGTGTCAAAAAAAAAAAAAAAAGAAAAGAAAAGTAGAGAAATGAGAGAACCTGGCTGGGAGATCAGGAGACATGTCAAAGGGGAAGAGGTCAATACAGTGATAAGAACCTTCAAGAAGCAAAGGCTTTATGCGGGGTAGAAGAGAAGTGGTCTGGAAGCTGCAGGGGAATCAAGAGGGACACAACCACATGACTTCTGGTCTTTCCAGCTCACAAATTCTGACATATGCAGGTAGGGATAGACCCTTCCACTGTGGGTCTAAAATCTGGCCCTAGCTTTTGAGGGCACCACACTCTTGGCAGGACAAAAAAAAGTTTCTTCTTTTGGATTGACTACATTTGCCCCCTGAGGTTCCCTTTGAAAAGCTGCATCTCTGCTCTCTGTCTTAAGGCAACTTACAAATTCACAGAAAACCTGAAAATATCCAGGCATGCAGCCTGCACTATTGAATAAGTGAGTTTCTGGAGAACGCCCTCTGCATGAAGCTCAAAACGGGTTTGGCGAAAATAATCTGAAGTGAGCCTGAGCTGGCACTCTGATTGCCTGGGGGGAATCCGGGTCCCAACACTTAGCAGGGGACCTTCGGTAAGTCCTTTAATTCTTTGTGCCTCAGTTTCCTCATCTGTCAAATGGAGAAATTAGATGACCTATGAATACTTTTCACCATGTTGGCCAGGCTGGTCTCAAACTGGGAGAAGGATTTCTGGGAAAACTTTTGCTTTGCTTTCTTGATAGGGAGCAAAGAGAGATTGGTGTCCATATTCCCCCTTCTTCCTGCCTTGGATACAGAAGTGATGTTTGGAGCTGTGGCAATCATATTATAATCATGGGGCAAATGCCACTGCTCTAAGGTGTGGAGAAGAAAGGCAGAAGGAGCCTGGGTCCCTTGGTGGGGGGTGCATGGTGCAGCTGAACAACAGCAGGTGATCATCCACCTTTGCTCTTGTTATGTAAGAAAAGTAACTCTCAATTTGCATAACTACATTATTTGGGGTTTACAGTTAGTGATTGCTGGACAGGATTTCTAAGCTTAGAGTGCCTCCTATTTAAAGAAGACCCCTAGGAAAGCACAGCACACGCTAGATCCAGGTCATCCACTTCTCTTAAGTGATCTTCAGAGATCAAAAGGTAAAGGCCCTAGCACGAACCCCATTTTTCCATTCCACATAGAATGTAAAGGGTGGCATCGATTAGGAATGGCAGGAGAACAACGTCAAGGTGTGCAGGAGGGCACCGTGGGAGGTGCTCAGCAAAGGGGAGATGCCACCCTCAGAGCTCAAAAGTGAGCAGATACAACCACTTCCCCAAGCCTGGCCCCCAGCCCAAGCTCTGCTGAGGAGGAGCCCTCTGACAAAGTAAAGGAACGCTGTTTTGGCCAAGAGCCGCTGAACCTGGCTATTTAATCGCTCACTCATAAAAATCACAGAGCCAGTTCTGAATTACGGTGGTGGTGGTGAAGAATGCAAGTTTAAGATCGCTATGGCTTTTTTATGCCAATCCACCACATCGATCCAAAAGCTTTTTAAACAGCCTTAAACGAACTGAACGGTTGAATTTAGTGAGCTCCTCCGTTTCCCTTCTCTCTCCGTCATCCAGCTCCCCGCCCCAAGGATAGGGGAGAGGTTGGAAAAATGAGCTTTGAAATTGCAGTCTCATAAAAGCAAAACTGAGAAAAGATACAACAGTGATGGAGAAAGCCAGACGGGCATTAAAAAACAAAACAGGAGTCTCTCCTAGGCCGCGCCTACACGGGCTCGCCGCGCTCGCTCGTCACCACCGACACCCCACCCCCTGCCCTCCGCATGGGAGGGGCAAGAACGCGATCCGTTCGCAGCTTCCAGGCAGGTGATGAGGATAGCTAGTCCCGCGGTCCTCCGCTAGCTGGCGGCGGGGGTCGGCCAGGTGCCCGGACCCTCCGAGGGCCCCACCGCCGCGCGTCCCGGGGATCGGGACCGCTACCCGCGCCTCACCTGCGCGCCCGGGCCCCAGGGCCCTGCTCCCGGGCGGTGGCGCGGGCCTGGCTCCCGTCGCAGCCACGACCGCCCCCACCGCCCCCGCCGTCCCCGCCCGGGAAGTGGCGAGCCGGTCCGGCTTGCCCCGCCCGCCTCCCGGCCCGCACTCACGCTCCACATCGTGCAGCTTGGCTCGCTCCTCCTCCAGCTTGCCCTTGAGGCTCTCGGCCTCGCTCTTCAGCGACGCCAGCGTCTCGTTCTCGTGCAGCCCCTCGGTTGCCATCTTCGCGCGGGGACGCAGCGGAGAGGGAAGCGGAGAGCGGGAATGCGCTGAGCCGCGGCGGGCGCCGCTCCAGCAGCCGTCCCCGGCCCCGAGCACCGCCCCGCGGCCCCGCCCTCCGCGATGACGCCAGCAGCTGCGGGCCCGGCTGCTGCGCCTGAGCCCCAAGACCCCGCACCTGGGCGCGCGCTCTGGCGCAGTGCCTGGTGCGATGTCCGCGTCAGCCTCTCTCCTCCGGGAGAGGCAGGGAGTGTGACGCCCATTTTACCAGCGGGCAAACTGTGGCTTAGGGATGCTGGGTGATTTGCCCGAGGACGCACACAGAGGGAAGGGCCAAGCCGGGATTCCAACTCGGGACTCCCCGCTTCTGGGGAGACCGGTGAGGCCCCCGCGACATGGCCCTCCCATCCCCAAGCCTCTCGTGCAGATCTCCGCTCTGTGGGACTTGATTGCGGGCTGCGGGCCCGTGGCTCCTGCAGGCAGAGAGAGGACGGGAGAGGAGACGGCTACGAGGCTTGGCCGCAGGTAGCTACGGTGCTCCCCCAACAAGGAACCGGAAACCCTCTTCGTTTGTTGATCTAAATATACAAAAATAAAACTAGTTGCTGGGTTCTCAGACGGAGTCTCTGCGGCATTAGGAGGCCCACCCTTATTTTCTCTTTTCTTCACGCAGGAATCAGGTCCCTGGCCTGGGGGCGGCAAAAGGAGATGGCGGTGGGTCAAGTGGGCGCGCAGGCTCAGACCTGGGGCTTCTGAGCCCACGCCCAGGCATCTCGGACCTCTCACTTCTGAGGCCACCTCCTGCCCTTTAGAATGAAGGGCTGGCACAGTTCTGCCAGGATGCACGTTTAGCGACTTCTGTCAGACTGAAGCATCCCCTCTCCGCAAGCGCCTGAAGTGTGAGAGGCACTGTTCTAAGTGCTTTAATTTGCACTTGTTTAATCCTCACAGGAGTCAACTTGAATGGGCACACTTATTCCCACTTTACAGAAGAGGAAACTGGGGCACAGAAAGACTGAGTAATTGCTCAGGGGGCATGCTCCAAGAAAGAGGGAGAGACAGGATTTGGACCCAGACAGGCTGGCTCCCTAGTGCTCTGGACTTTGGTGTGGATGATCCAACTCAAGCCTTCTCCTTTTTCCCTCCTATGTGATCTTGCATGCGTTTGTGCAGAGAATGAGAAGGCAGATCAAAGTTACAGATGCTGCGAGAACATCGCCAAGCAGAATCTTGGGTGCTGTCCCCACCTCTCTGTACCTGCTCCCTCCCAGAGAAGCCAGCCTCCACTTGCTGTCCCGGGCCTTCTCTATCTGAGAAAAGTTGAAGGTACTCGATGTTAATCTGTACATAGTTGTTTTGCAGGTTAGAGTCTGGGATCCTCCGTTTCCTTATCTGGAAAAGCTTCTTCATAGGATCTGCTTCATAGGATTGTTATGAGAATTAAGTAAGATGGTGTGGGCCGGGTGCGGTGGTTCACACCTGTAATCCCAACACTTCGGGAGGCCAAGGTGGGTGTATCACCTGAGGTCAGGAGTTCGAAACCAGCCTGGCCAACATGATGAAACCCTCTCTCTACTAAAAATACAAAAATTAGTCGGGCGTGGTGGTACGTGCCTGTAACCTCAGCTACTCAGGAGGCTGAGGCACGAGAATCGCTTGAACCCTGGAATCAGAGGTTGCAGTGAGCCGAGATCGTGCCACTGCACTCCAGCCTGGGCAACAGAGCAAGACTCAAAAAAAACAAAAACAAAAACAAAAACAAAACAAAAAAAGGTAAGATAGTGTGGGTGAAGACTTTAGCAGACTTCTCCGTACATAGCAGATGCTTATTCACTGCTAGTTCTCTTTTCCGTTCCCATCCGTATAATAATAGGTTTACTTGTCGCTGTTCCTTAGTATTTAGATATTTAGCATAGTACTTGCATATGGTAGGTGCTCAGTTAATGCTAGTTTATTAAATGGATGTATAAAAAATATATAAAATATATAAATCTGTATAAACTATGTTAAAAATATAAACATATAACAAACATGTTTATAAATGAATAAATATATAAATACAATTATTAAGTATAAGATAAGAATATATAAAAGCAAAAATATTACACCTGTTTGAGAGTTTGTAAAGCAAAAGGTTAAGAGCACAGGCTCTATCTAGATCTGACTGCCTGGGGGCAAATCCTGGCTCTGCTCTGTGGCCTGAGGGATTTACTTGTGGTGCCTCAGGCTCCTCATCTGTGAATGGGGGACAACACCTCCTTCAGACTCTGTATGGCATTCGGAGAGAGCAGTGCGTGGCACACAGTATGCATCTGTTATTATTACTGAGGCTGCCTGATACGCTTGAGCAGTTCACATGAGGTAATTTAAATGAGACACTGGGTCATGGGGGATTCTTCTCACAAGGGCCATCTCAGGGGGCCCAGGCAAGGCAGCCTCATCTCATCACCTCCTTAGGCTGGCTCTGTTTGGACCGTTGCAGGATGTGTGTGTGGTTCAAGGTCCTCCTGGCTGTGAAGACCTGAGGCACGTGGTACTTCTCACTGGTGTGTGCCCTCTTCTGGGGGTTCTTTGTGTAAAATAAACCTCGAACAGCCTCCAACCTGGAGAGTCAACTATCTAGAGATGAGGCCATCAGACTTTTAATGGTTAGGCAGTTTTCCAAGTACTTTCTTGTATTTTGGTGTTAACTCCCACTGAGGAAGCTGGATATCAGAAAAGTTGAGGTCAGCTACATTCCACAGTGGTTGAGATAAAGGGTCACTCCTATTCACAAAAAGGGCCCAATGGGGACTGTGTCTACATAATCCCAAACAGTTGGATGAAAGGCCAGCTGTCAGTCACTGGATGTCTCTTCAGCTGAATGATGCTGTCTGAATATTTGGGAACCCCCAAGTAGAGAGTAGAGATTGTATTAAAGTAATTGTGGTTTTTGCCATTGCTTTCAATTGAAAGCAATGAGAATTGTTATGAGAATTAAGTAAGATTGTGTGGGCCGGGCGCAGTGGTTCACACCTGTAATCCCAACACTTTGGGAGGCCAAGGTGAGTGTATCACCTGAGGTCAGGAGTTCAAAACCAGCCTGGCCAACATGGTGAAACCCTCTCTCTACTAAAAATACAAAAATTAGCCAGGCATAGTGGTTTGTGCCTGTAACCTCAGCTACTCAGGAGGCTGAGGCACGAGAATCACTTGAACCCTGGAGTCAGAGGTTGCAGTGAGCCGAGATCGTGCCACTGCTTCAATTGAAAGCAATGGCAAAAACCGCAATTACTTTTGCCCCAACCTAATAGTAGCGCTAGCTGGCAACTATTCCCTAGAAAAGTATCTCCAGGCATGGCCCCTGTGCTAGGGAGAACCTGTGTGCCACAGAGGACTCAAAATCTGGGATTCTTGGGCTTATTCCACCTGCAGAGGAAGTTGTTTAAAAAGCAGAAGAGTTAGATTAATAAATAATGGGGGGGGGGTAAGGCCCCCAGAAAGCAGGTTTATTTTTAAGAACTAAATGTCCTCAGTTCTACAATTTGCAGGGCCAAGTTAGAACGTAGACTGTAGAAATATACTACAGGTAGAAGCCCACTACACCTAGGCTGAAGACATATCCAAATTGCTATGCTGTATCAAAGCCTTTTTATGCCACCCTGGGCTGTTTACTTGCTATTTGCTTTAAGGGAATAATTTTTAATGTAATCATGGTCAGGGGTTACAGTGGAATCAGGAGGATAAAAAGTGCCTTTTCTTTTTCAGTTAGATAAAATGTAAAAGTCATCTTTCCTCTCTTTGGTTGTATTATGGATTTTGTTGTTGTTTTTTTAAATGTGTGGGGATTTCCTACTGGGCTTTTCAGGAGGAGTGCTTTACCACTTTTCACCAAGTGGGGGCTCTGCTCAGCTGCACTATTGAGCGCAGCTTTGCAAATTCTCAGAGATAGGACTAATTCTTAGGGCTTCAGTGATGCTGTGGGCATTTTTGCTGCAAGATCTGAAGCCTGTGCACAGCCACCTCTGGTGAGGACTTGATTTTGTGTACTTTGAAAAATTCCAGGATTTGTATTCCATTCCTAGTCTTTGTTGAAGGCTTAGGCCCAAGGAGTACTTCTGAGCTGAATTTTGCTCACTACTGAGGCCCTGTGAGATTCCATCTTCATTAGAGCTGGACCTACACACCACTGGGACCGGTCCTTGGAAAGATGCTCCTAGACTGTTTATTTGCCAGCTTCTCTTTTAGCTTGATTGCCTGCCAAGCAGACTTGTAGAAGTCAGAAGAAAAAAGTATTAGCCCTAAGAAATAATAGAAGCTAAAACATTCATTGAGTACTTTCCTTGCTGGGTACTATTTAAAATAAGTTATCAAATGAAATCATTTGATCATCATAAAACTCTTATGATGTAGGTGCTATTAGCATTCCTATTTGCAGATGGGAAAAACAGGCTTCAGGAGAGAGGTGAGAACCTCCTTGCACACCAATAACTAGGAACATCAATAGGATTTGGACCCAGGCAGTCAGACACCAGAGTCCACACCCTGAACCTCTGTACTATACTGCCTCACCAAGCCCAGGCATACTGAAAAGTGTGTGTTATATAAGCTGATTCTATGGCATCTCATCTGTCACAGGACCCTCGCTTGACTGTTTTAAGACAGATAACTG
This sequence comes from Homo sapiens, assembly GCF_000001405.40. Taxonomy (NCBI): domain Eukaryota; kingdom Metazoa; phylum Chordata; class Mammalia; order Primates; family Hominidae; genus Homo; species Homo sapiens. The sequence continues at coordinate 52,184,528 of NC_000015.10, forward strand.
AATTTTTTTTAAGTGGCACTTACAATTTCTGCACATGTTGAACAGTAGCTGAGTTGTTGAGACTTCTTGAAAACTGGTCTCAGAGCTCGTTGTTTGAAACATTTGTCACATGAGCCAAATACATTAACGAGAAAGGTCTGATCACACATCTTTTACCCAAGATAAAGCTGAAAAAAAGTGAAAAGAAGGGAGGGGGTGTGAGAAAAGCCAATGGTTTTAACTTTCTAAAATCTCTTCTTGCTTGTACCGTGGTAGCTATTCAGACGTCTACATGTGGGATAGAGTATATGCAGTTAATTTATAACCTTTCAACTATTACAACATGCTGGGTCAATACAACTCATTTAATCAGTGAGAAAGCATCAGACAATAGGTTTTCTGAACTTAACACGTTTAACCAGTTTTTTGGCAGCTGGCAGACCTGCGTCAGGCAGGATTGATCCTTGCAGCACAATATCAATTCTGTGGGGTTTCACAATGGAAAACGTTTTTGTAATGGATGCTATAACTTAAAACTTTTAAAAACATTCCTCCCCTCAGGGTGAACTTTTAAAGATAAGGGTCAGCAAATGATGGAGCCTGACCCCAACCAAAGCCAGGGGCCTGAGTAAGTGTGGTGTGGGTTCCGTGCAAGGCAAGCACTCACTTATTAAACATTTGACAGCCAAAGACCCAGGGTCCCTGCCTGTTCACAAGGAAGTCAACAGACAGGCCCAGGCCGCTGCAGGGAGGCAGCACAAGCATCTAGTGGTTACAGGGACAGGCTCTGGCTGCCTGGTCCCGGCCCACCACTGAGGCTAGTTAGCTGACCTCTCTGAAGCTTGGTTTTGCTAATCTGTCAAGTGGAGATCTTAAAATCTACCCTTCTGGGGTTGTCAAGAGAATGATAAGAGTCAGTGCGTAAAGCACTTAGCTCAAGGTCGGTAATACAGGGAGTGTGCCAGCGAGGTCATGCTGCCCTGAGTGGCAGCAATAGCGGGAACAGTGGCTGCCTTGGGAAGGAGGGACATGGGTAGGGGCAGGGTGAGGCTGGGGATGCCAAAGAAAGCATAAGAGGAGCCTATGGCAACGGTTCAGACAAGACGCGAGGAAGTCATGGACTAAAGGTGAGAAAGTAACTTTTATCTGAGGAATGCAAGCCCTTTTAAATTATCAGGCCCAGAGAATCATGAAAATGAGACAGCAATAACGTTCTAGTCCCCACTTTGAGCTGTGTATTCATCTTTTTATTATTATTATTATTATTATTATTATTATTATTATTATTATTTGGGACAGTATCTCTCTGTCTCCCAGGCTGGAGTGCAGTGGCACAATCTTGGCTCACTGCAACCTCGTTCTCCTGGGTTTAAGCGATTTTCCTGCCTCAGCCTCCCAAGTAGTTGGGATTACAGGCATAAGACACCATGCCAGGCTAATTTTTGTATTTTTAGTAGAGGCAGGGTTTCACCATGTTGGCCAGGCTGGTCTCAAACTCCTGACCTCAAGTTATCCACCCACCTCGGCCTCCCGAAGTGCTGGGATTACAGACATGAGCCACCACACCTGGCCTCATCTCTTGAAACTGCTTGCCATTGGCACAAGTAGCTAAAAAATAACCTAATAATGCCACACTGGACACTATAACCCACACCCTGTAGTGTAACAATGTATAACCAGTCGCTAATCAATGTTATTTCTGTAAACTAATGAGAATTCCTAACAACTTTGTATCAGCCCACTCCCGGTCCCTCTTTTTTGCCTTTTTAAAAAAACTGCTTGTAACAAAGGCCAAACAGAGATAATGTCCAAGGTTACTTGGGTCTGGGCCTTCCAGGAATCTGTCCTCACTTTGGCTCAAGTAAACTCCTTAAGTCTTGGTTTGTGCTACAGCCTCTTCCTTTTAGGCCCACAAAGCAATGTAGTGGGATGGACTTGGACCATGCTTAGGAAAGAGAGAAGGAGCTGGATTTGGCATGTGGAGTTGAGGAGAGGGAGATGTGGGTGCTGTGGCCTAGATTTCTTTGGGAGACCGAGGGGTTATGTTGCCATTGCTGGAGATGAGGACAAAGCGGTTAAGGGGGAAGGGAGCAGCCAGTGTGGCCCTGTCAATTTGGTAGGTGTTCTAGAGTGAGCCCCGTCAAGATTCAAAGAAATGAACCCCTGAACATAAAGATAATTGGGGGCGCTGGTCTGAACATTTCAACAGAGTCAAATCTGAGAGGGATGCATTTATGGGGGAGGTGACAGTTGGGGACATTTCTGATGAGGAACGTCTGCCATGTGGAGCCCACCCTGGGGCTGGAGAGATAATGGGGGCTCATGAGTTGGGCTGAGCTCTTACAGCAAAGGGGCAGTCAGCACAGTTCGAGACCTCTGGGCAACAAAGGTGTACAGGGCATCCCTTAGGGACAACAGCTCGCAAGGAAACCAGCTACCAACTGCCACAGAGTGCCCAGCCCTCGCCTCTCCCTGGGAGGGAGGCAGGACATCTGTGTTACAGCTGAGGAAAAGCAGGGGGATTAAACAAGTTCAAGGTCAGCGGCAGAGCTGAGTCTGTAAGTAGCATGAATACACACTTTGGAACCCTATTTCCAAGCTAGCATGGTCAAGCTGCATGGTTTTGTCACAAAAGGTGAGTTAACAAAAAAGGGCCTGCCCTCCAGAGCCTGGCCCATGGTGGGGCTTGGTAACTGTTGCATCCCACTCCCCAGCCCTGTAAAGGCAGCCAGTAACAAGGTTGGGCTGAACACTCCCAGTAATAGCATTAGGACGGTGAGCCACAGGCTGTTAAGCAAGGGAGCAGTGTCATCCACGTGGATTATTCCAGCATTTGTGCTTCCAGAAGTAGGTCAGAGAGAGAGAGAGAAGGGACGGCAGGAAAACAAACTAGGTTAAGAGATTGCTATGTTCTGGAGAAGAGGAAATGAGCTGCGGACAGAGGAGCAGCTATGGGAATGGAAGGCGAGAGGAACCTATGGCACCAAGTGGAGGAGGAATAGAAGGATGGCTGGGAGGCACGGGAGAGAAAGACAAGTTGAAAAGATAGCCGATATTCCATATCTAGATAGAGGCAATGTTTTTCTTCTCAAACTAAATTTTGAATTTTTTCAAATTATAAAAGATGCTGATAATGTTCATTATAAATAACTGGAAACAGGGCCAGGTGTGGTGGCTCATGCCTGTAATCCCAGCACTTTGGGAGGCCAAGGCGGGTGGATCACTTGAGGCCAGGAATTTGAGACCAGCCTGGCCAACATAAGGAAACCTCATCTCTACTAAAAATACAAAAATTAGCCTGGCGTTGTGGTGCGCACCTGTAATCCCAGCTACTCGGGAGGCTGAGGCAGGAGAATTACTTGAAGCCGGGAAGCAGATGTTGCAGTAAGCTGAGATCATGCCACTGCACTCCAGCCTGGGTGACAGAGTGAGACTCCATCTCAAAGAAAATTAAAAATTAAAAATAAATAAATAAATAAGTGGAAACAGAAGGACACAAAAAGGGGAAAGTAAATCGCCCACATGCCCTACACCAACAACTGACCTGTTGGCATTTTATGTTTTCCTCTAGTATCTTTATAAGTATATATGTGTGTACTTTTTAACAAATTGGAATTATATGCCATATACTACTTTATATAATAGCATTTTCATCTTCACGTCATTGCATATTACTGGAAAACACCATTTTTTAACGGAGACTCCAATTTTTGAGTCCTATGGGCCTTAAGTCGTATCACATAGCTAGCATTTTAGACCTCACTGGTTAAACATGGGCAAGCTACAAACTAAATTTAAAGCATTTTTAAACTGTAAATATTATACATATGCATTGTAGAAAGTTTGGGGGAAAAAAAGATATAAGGAAGAAGATAATCACCTATAATCCCACCACTCAGAGAAACTTCTTTTTACATTTTGGTGTAGCAAGAATAGATTTGAGACCACTGAGGTCATACTGTTCATGTATACTGATTACATTTCTGTATCTTGATGTTTTTCACTTAGTATTTGTATCAGCTAAATTTTAGTACTTTGTTGTACTTATTGTCAATATCCTTTTTATGATGAGAGAATTTTTCACAGCTAGAGCCAATGTTTCGATGAGCATTTTGACAAGAAAGACAGAAATGCCCCATTTAACAAATTTTGACATGAAGTTGCTCTGCAGTAGTTCATAGAACTTCTCAAACCTTCCCCTAATAACTTTATGCCAAGCACAAACTTTCTTTGATATCTGTTTTACCTAAATATGTGACTTAAAAAATTACCACAGAAATACGTGTTTATTTTAAAAAGAACCAGTACCAAAGATGAAAAAGTAAAACTTGAATCCCCCATCACATGCCCTGCATTTTCACTGCCCTTAGTTTGTTGTTTATTCTTCCAGACTTTTCTGGCACAAACACATAGATACAGCTTTGGTAGTCATGCAAATAGGGCTACTTGCTTTCTTCATCTAACTTATTCTGTTAACACTTATAGATCAACCTTGTTTGGTAATAGGTTCAGCATTATTCTATGCTGTGGAGTGTCATAATTTATTAAACCAACTTCCGTGTTTGGATACATAGGGTATATCCAGTTTTTACTTTTAAAATACTGCTTCATTAACTCAATTAAAAATGGACAAAAGGACCTTCATACATTGCTGGTGGGAAGGTAAAGTGGGGTAGCCGTTTTCCAATGGTGCAGCTGTGGAAAACGGTTTGGCAGTTATTCAAAACTTAAATATACAGCTGTTACCATAAGACCCCGCAATCCTACTTCTAGATATATACCCAGGATACTTGAAAATGTATGTTCACTGGCTGGGCGTGGTGGCTCATGCCTGTAATCCCAGTACTTTGGAAGGCCCAGGCGGGTAGATCACCTGAGGTCAGCCTGGGCAACATGGTGAAACCCCATATCTACTATACAAAAATTAGCCAGGCGTGGTGGCAGGTGCCTGTAATCCCAGCTACTTGGGAGGCTGAGACATGAGAACTGCTTGAACTTGGGGGATGGAGGTTGCAGTGAGCCAAGATCGCGCCACTGAAATCCAGCCTGGGCAATGCAGTGAGACTCCGTCTCAGAACAAAAAAAAAGAAAATATATGTTCACATAAAAATGTACATACTAATTTTCATGGCAGCATTATTAGCCAAAAGTGAAAGCAACCCAAGTGTCCACCAACCGACAAATGAAAAACAAAATGTCTATCCCTCCAGTAGACTGCTATTCAGCAATAAAAAAGAATGACGTTCTGACACATGCTACAACATGGTCAAACCTTAAAAACGCTATCCTATGACAGAAGCCAGACACAAAAGGCCACATATTGTATGATTTATTTATATGAAGTGTACAGGATCAGCAAATCCATAGAGACATGAAGCAGATGAGTAGTTGCGAGGTGGAGGGAAGAGAGAATAAGGGGGAAGGAGGGAGCTGAGAGTGAGTGGCTGCTTAAGGGGTATGGGATTTCTTTTTCGGGGTGATGAAAATACTCTGGAGTCAGTGGCAATGGTTGCAAATCCTTGTAAATAAACTTAAAAAACACTGAAATATATGTTTTAAAATGATGGGTTTTAAAACATGAAACAAAACGTGGACATCATATCTCAATAAATTTTTTTTTTTTTTTTTTTAGACAGAGTCTTGCTCTGTCGCCCAGGTTGGAGTGCAGTGGCGCAATCTCGGCTCACTGTAAGCTCCGCCTCCCAGGTTCATGCCATTCTCCTGCCTCAGCCTCCCAAATATCTGGGAATACAGGCGCCCGCCACCTCACCCGGCTAATTTCTTGTATTTTTAGTAGAGATGGGGTTTCACCGTGTTAACCAGGATGCTCTCAATCTCCTGACCTCATGATCTGCCCGCCTCAGCCTCCCAAAGTGCTGGGATTACAGGCATGAGCCACCGCGCCCAGCCCAAAGATTATTTTTAAAATGGACAAAAGGCTTGTGTAGTCACTTCACAAATGAGGATACTTATATGGTCAATAAACATATAAAAAGGTGCTCATTATCATTAGTCATCATAGAAATACAAAGTAAAACTACGATGTGATACAACTACTTAGCCATCAGAAAACCTAAAAAGCCTGACAACACAAAGTGTGGGCAAGGATGCAGAGACTGGAACTGCCTTTCTCTGCTAGTGGGAGTATAAGTCGGTATAACCACTGTAGAAAACTGGTTGGTAGGAGCTACTAAAGTGAAACGGATATAGTCTATGACCAGGCAATTCTACTCGTGCATACATACACCACAGAAAATAATGCTTATTTCCTTAAAAAAAAAAAAAAAAAAAAAAAAAAAAAAAAAAAAAAAACATAAATGTCATAGCAGCTATTCATAGAAGGCCTAAACTTGAAAGACCCAAATGTTCACCAGTCACAGACGAAACTGTGAAATGAGCATAGAATAAAAAATAACTGATACACACAATGTGGATGTATCTCAGACTTACAACTAAAAACCTCTTTCTAACCCCATAAGCTGTACTCAGAGGCTTATGTTGCCATGTGTCACCTGGATCAAATTTTAAAACTGACTTAGTGATTTTAAGTATGCTTAATCTCTTTCCTGATGCCAATATTAATGTAAAAAATATTGAAATATTTCAATTTGAAATATTTGAAATTTACTATTTCAAAATAAATTCATGTGTATTGTAGAAAAATTAGATTCTACGGATTAACAACAACAAAACCCCTCACCCATGCTCCCACCGCACAGAAAGACCTGCTAACACTGTGCCCTGTACTCATCTGGATGCTTTTCTGAGCATTTCAAAAGCTGGAGTATTTTAACCGAATGTCAGCATGCACATACCTTCCAGAGTCAGCACTGGGAGCCACAGAGCAGATGGTGAGAGGTGAGGACCAGCGCGCAGCTTGAGGTGTGAAGCACGTCTCCCACTGGCTAATCTCCTTATCTTCTCTGGAGTGCTGCTCAGCTTGCTTCCTTCCTCCACAGCACTTCCATGCTCCCTGCTGGGCACGCACTGCCATCTGCATCCCTCACTCACCCCTGGAACCTGCCCAGCCCCTCTGTGGAGGGAGGCCTTGGCAGGTTTGACCTCTGTGTCTGCGCCCACTCACTGAGCAGCCCTCACATTCACCTGGGCCACATGTTCTTAACATTTCTCTATTTTGGTCTCCTTGCCACTGTCAGCTTTGTAGAACTGATCAAGACTGTGGGATGAGTGCCTCCCTTTCCCCATTTTTCCACACATAAACTCCTCAGCCTCCACAGGTCTCCCTGTCCCCAAACATGACCTACTTTTTCCCATGGTTGACTCCCCACCACACACACACAGTCCTCCAACGGGACTTTGCTCCTTCAGTTCTCTTCCCACCTCATCAGCAGTAGGATGAAGGCAGGGATGAGGAGGATGTGGCACCTGCCCTCTGGGGCTCACAGGCCTACAGAGGAAATGGGCAGCATTTCTGGCTTCCAGTCCAGGGTAAGTGCTATAAAACAGGCATAAATCCTGAGTTATGGAAGCCGAAAACCAACAGTGATGGCTCCTCATGGTGTGGGGAAGGTCTAGAAAGGGCATGGAGGCCGCAGCTCAGGATCAGAAACCCTGCCAATTCTCTGCCAAGTAGCCCCTCATTCTGACAGTGTGGAAGCGCCCTGGAGACACAGCCTAAGCCAGCACTTATGACATATTTACTTCTTCTCTAAACATTTTAATATACTTTAAATGAGATATTATGAATCTATAAAGATTCTAGCATCTTTCAGTATGACCGTAAAGAAAGGCATACAACTTGTACACTTAAGAGACATGTCATCTCCTCGCAATGAAAGAATCTGACCCAATTCATTTGGTAATTAATTTTATTGATTAAAGTATTACAAAGTTCTACTTTTCATTTTTTCATGTACAATGTATTGAAATGAACTAAACTCAATCACTTATAATATAAAAAGACATTATTATGTATTAGCAGGGTGATGCTTCATAATCATGTATTATTCCTACCTCTAAGACACCAGTCTGTATTATAGAATCACAGCTGTCACCTGTGACTGTCAGAAACAGAAGGTGCAATTGGGATTCTTAGGTTGGTGACAGAATAGCACTGGATCCACAGGCCAGAGACTAGGAGTGCTTATCAAATGAGGTTTTAGGCTCTGAAAGGAAGGAATGAGAAGGTGTGCCGGGACAAGGAATAGCCAGTTCCCATAAAACTTGGGAAACGTAGATTTCTCAAAAGTAGGGTCCGACACAATTTTTTAGTTACTTTTTGAGAAAATTTAAAAATAAATACATTGAAATGCTGATTAGAGAGCGAAAGTAATTTAGGTTGCTTTTTCAATCTGAGGTTGTTTTAAAAAAGTTATTGTATGAAAGGTATTAAAAAATAAAAAAATTATGGTGAATATGTTGGCAGGTAAGATTTGAAGTTCTTTCAGAGAAGATAAACGGCATGGCAATTAAGCTTTAATAATATATTAGTTTTAAATAGATATACATATAAAAATACTTCAAATGATTCATCTCGGATTGAACACTCTTAAAAATTAAAAGGGTCAGCCGGGCGCGGTGGCACACGCCTGTAATCCTAGCACTTTGGGAGGCTGAGGTGGGCGGATCACGAGGTCAAGAGATCGAGGCCATCCTGGCCAACATGGTGAAACCTGTCTCCACTAAAAATACAAAAATTAGCTGGGCGTGGTGGCAGGTGCCTGTAGTCCCAGCTACTCAGGAGGCTGAGGCAGGAGAATTGTTTGAACCCAGGAAGCGGAGGTTGCAATAAGCCGAGATCATGCCACTACACTCCAGCCTGGCGATAGAGCGAGACTCCGGAGTCTCAAAAAAAAAAAAAAAAAAAAATTTAGAAGGGTCTAAAATAAACATTTTTAAATGCAGGGCATTTTCAGTAAAAAGAGTTCATGAAAACCTTCTGTCCCCAGCAGGCATGGGGCAAGAGAACTTTTGGCAGGTCACGGTGGCCAAACGGGATTTTTTCCTGGAAGACTCAGCACTAGAATCCACTTGCAGCTTTGTAAATGTACTCAGGTTTCACATGAACCTTAGAAAACTTGGAAGCCACTGTGTCCCCAGATCTCACTCCCTCCTGGTAGAGCCCTGCCACAAGACAGAACAGATCAAGAGGCACGTGGAAGAAAATATGAGCCCTCCAGGAATTTCAGTGAAAACCAGCTGAGATTCGAGAGTGAGACATGGCTTTTCCAAATACAGCTGGTGTGTGTGAATTCTTACAAAATTACAGGAGCAGCATTGTCACTGTGAGTGAGAGATGATGTGGTCCATTTGAGAAAAGTCTGTTTTCTTCCTTAAATCACATTCCAATTTCCACTGCCAATTAATAAAACACATCCCTCATATTGAACCTTCACTTAGCTTTTGAAGAAAAAGTGCATTGACTTTTTCTCCTGCTATAACCTATTCAGAAAGCCTAGCTTGAAACTGCTGGGGATCTGAATCATTTCCAGAGCATGTGGAGAGGGGGTAAAAGGAAATGTGACTTGAAAGAGATATTTGGTATCCAACATCAGCTGTGATGAATCCTCCCGGCTATTTAGGAGAGCCTGAAATTAGAATCAGAGGAAAAATGAGTAAGGAAACTAACATGTTCTGCTTTACTGCTACCTGAAAGTCAAGGCAAAACACAGCTATCTCTAGTGGAGAGCTCCTTGCACCATCACATGAAATGACATACATGAGAACTTTTTAACAACAGCACAATTCCAAAGTCTATCCAGGGCTTCCAGATCAGCTCTCAGAACAATTAACTTGTCCTGTTTCACTTCAGAAGTTAATTTCCCATGGGATGAGTTGACCATAAATCTGTTTTCTATTCTAATCTATTCTCATGGCATAATTCTAAGGTCAAACATGAGTAGATTTCAAGTATTACATTTTTATTGAACCCATCTTTCTTCTTCATTCATGGGTTTGCAACCTTTTTGGTCTCAGGACCGCTTTATACTAAAACATGACTGAGGCCCCAAAAGCTTTTGTGTATATGGGTATATTGGCATTTGCCATATTAGTAATTAAATATACATTGTGTATATGTGTATATCGGTATTTGCCATATTAGTAATTAAAATGATTTATTAATTCATTAAAATAAGCTCTACACATGTTAAACATAAGTTTCCAAAACAAAGAAAATTTAGTGAGAAGTGGTATTTTCTATTTTTGCAAATCTCTTTCATGTCTGACTTAATATATTATCATATATAACCATATATTATATACGCCATATTTTAATATATATGCTATATTATCATATATACGATATATCATATATATCTGCTTCTGCATTCAATCTGTTGTGATATGTTATTTTGGTTGAAGTACACGAAGAAAATCCACAGATAACTATTGAGAAAATCCACAGATACCTACTTAGAAAATCCACAGGTACATATTTAGAAAAAGGAAGAGTTTTGCAGACCCTCTTGAAAGTGTCTCAAGGACTCCCAGGGATCCTTGAGCCAAACTTGGAGAACTGCTGCCCTAGAGTTCCTTAGGGGACAAACTTTAGGGATTATATAAGAAAAAATGGTTATACAAATGATTATAAAAGAAAAATGGTCTCTGTTTCCATTCAGCCTCTGCCCACTTGCACAGTATTCAACGATCAGTAAGAAATAAGATATATTGACAGAATACAGCACGGGAGACATGATTTTGGTGCTTTCATTCCCCTCCCACCTGGACTAAGGTGGATTCTGAAAATTTCACAGGAAAATTTCCTGCTTACCTTTGAGCTGGGTGCCTTTCATTTGTATATGTGGGTAAATGTACTTTAATCCTGGATTTCTATAATGTTAATTAAGTATCAACATCTTATACCATAGTTAGGAAGTAAAATTAAAAGGCACATCCTTAAGAATCTCACCTGTACTTTGCGAACAAAGGATGGAGTCACTCTCTTCTCAAAGTCATCTATAGGTGTGTATGAATTAAGGATCTTTATGATCTGCAAACGGTACATAACATGGTGTTAGACCATGCAAAATAATAACTCTGTTCATAAAATAATGGTTCTGGTTATTGGGAACCATTGGGAAGCACAGGTGGTTCTTTTAGCCTATAATTTGGTTCAGGAACTGTATGTTACCTATTTCCAAGAAAAGAAAACAAGGGGAGAAAAGTGCCTTAGGGAGCAAAGGCAAATCAGATAATCAGAAAACAGTAAGAGGAGCCCCCTTCTAGCCTCCCCACCTCCCACATGGCCACCCCTCCACATACACATTTGTGAGTTTAATGGGCAGGGAATGAATGCATCATAGACATTTGTGTATATGTGTGTGTGTGATTATTATTATTATTATTTTTGAGATAGGGTCTCCCTTTATTGCCCAGGCTGGGGTGCAGTGGCATGATCATGGCTCACTGCAGCCTCGAACCCCTGGACTCATGCGATCCTCCCGCCTCAGCCTCCCAAGTAGCTGGGACCAAAGGTGTGTGCCATCACACCCAGCTTTTTTTTTTTTTTTTTTTTTTTTTTTTTTTTGGTAGAGCGTCTTGTTATGTTGCCCAGACTAGTCTCAAACTCCTGGGCTCAGGCAATCCTCCCACCTTGGCCTCTCAAAGTGCTGGATTACAGCTGTGAGCCACCTCGCCCAGCCCATTTCTATGTTTTTAAGACCTAGTGTTAGTATTTAATAAATATTTATTAGATAAAAGGGTGGGCCATGGGTGATAGGTATGCTCCCGAGAGTACACACAGAATCAGGGTGCCCACAGCTGGCTAAACCAAGAAAGGCAATGCCCACTGCACTGATGTGTCAGGGAAGAGCCAGGGAGACACTAAGCAAGCCTGGTCACCTGCACAGCAGACAGTGAGGTGCAGCGTTCGTAGATCTCCTTGGCATCACTGTCTGTGGTCTTCTTGACCTGAAGCAACCAGGCTGCCTGAGAGAGGGGCTCCAAAGTTTCCTTTGCTAAGCTGTTCTGCAAGTTCTTATCTTTAAGCCATTCTTCTAAGTAGCTGATATTGCACCTGGAGGGAAAGGCAGAAGAACAGAGAATACTTTAGGGAAGGGTGCCAGATACTCCTGTGTGTCCCGAGAGGGTACCAGAGTTCGCTGAGATCCTTAAGACCACAGCTCAGCAGTTACTCATCTGCAAAATGAGGGAGTTGGACTGATGATCAGCTCTCCTAATCCAGAGTTCTAAGACTCATGGTGGTCTAGGCTGAGGGGCCGGAACAGCTACAGACTTTGGGGAAAATCTGAGCAAAGAACAGTGATTGCAATCACTTACGAAATACAATTTTGAAAATTGATTAAAGGAAAGAAACAGTGATATCTGAAGAGAAGACTTCCATAAGTATAAAAAACTGTTTTCTTTTTCCTGAATTGGCAGAAATCTTTCAATTAGTGAAGGCTTTCGGTCGACTGCAGTTTTTATTCTTATTTCTGTCACTAATTGCCACATGGGTTTATGAGTTAAGAGGCATGGGTTTTAGTCCTGCCAATCCACTGTGTGAGCCTGGGAAGTTAATCGACCTCTCTGGGCACAATGAGAGTGTTGAGAACCCTCAAACATTGCTAGTGGGAACGTAAAATGGTACAGCTGTTGTGGAAGACAGTTTGGTGGTTTCTCAAAATCGAATACAGACTTACCATATGACACAGCAATTCCACTCCTAGACATGTACTCAAGAGAAGTGAAAGCATGTCCAAACAAAACTCTGTACACAAATGTTCACAGCAGCATTATTCATAATAGCCCAAAAGTGAAAACAACCCAAAATATCCATCAACTGATGAATGAATGAACAAACTGTGGCATTATCCATGCAATGGGGTATTATTCAGCAATAAAAAGGAATGAGGTGCTGATATTTGCTACATGGATGAACCTCCCAAACATTACGTAAGTGAAAGAAGCCATCCACAAAAGATAACATTTTATGATTTCATTTATTTTTAAATGTCCAGAATAGGCAAAATCTGTAGAGAAAGAAAACATATTAATGGTTTCCTAGGCTGGGCAGGGTAGGGAGTTGGGGTGGGGGATGAGACTGGCTGCTAATGAGTATAAGGTTTCGTTCTGGAGGGATGAAAATGTTCTATAATTACATTACAGTGATAGTTGCACAACTACGTAAATATATCAAAAACGATTGAACTATACACTTTATTTACTCATTTATTTATTTTTGAGATGGAGTCTCCCTCTATCACCCAGGCGGGAGTACAGTGGCCCAATCTCATGAGGCTCACTGCAACTTCCACCTCTCAGGTTCAAGCGATTCTCCTGCCTTAGCCTCCTGAGTAGCTGGGATTACAGGCGCCTGCCACTACACCCGGCTAATTTTTGTATTTTTAGTAGAGACAGGGTTTCACCATGTTGGCCAGGCTGGTCTTGAACACCTGGCCTCAAGCAATCTGCCTGCCTCAGCCTCCCAAAGCGCTGGGATTACAGGTGTGAGTGACTGTGCCTGGCCTGAACTATATACTTTAAACAGGTAAACTGTATGGTATATAAATTACATACCAATGAAACTGCTAAAAAAAATTGAGTGTTGAATAAAGTGATCTCTAAAGTCAGTTCCAGCTCTGGGCCAGGCATGGTGGCTCACGCCTATAATCCCAGCACTTTGGGAGACCGAGGCAGGCTGATCGCTTGAGGTCAGGAGTTCAAGACCAGCCTGGCCAACATGGCAAAACCCTGTCTCCACTAAAAATACAAAAAAATTAGCTGGGTATGGTGGCGGACGCCTATAATCCCAGCTACTCGGGAGGCTGAGACAGGAGAATCACTTGAACCCGGGAGGCGGAGGTTGCAGTGACCTGAGATTGCACCACTGTAGTTCAGCCTGGGCGACAAGAGTGAGACTTTCTCAAAATAAAGAAAATCAGTCCCAGCTGTGACCTTAAGGATTAGCAATGCCCCATGTGGGTCTTCTTTCTGGCTGTAACATTTGGACAGTGATGCTGAATTAATGTTATTCCATAGGATAGTGGGTGTGAGATGATATATCTTGGGTTGGTTCTCACTATCCCTCATTTTTGCATTGCTACTTTTGTCCCACTAGTTTGAGTTCTTATTACTTTTGCTTAGTTTTTGTTGTTGTTGTTGTTGCTTTTTGTTTGTTTTTTTGTTTGTTTGAGACAGAGTCTCACTCTGTTGCCCAGGCTGGAGAGTAGTGGTGCGATCTCAGCTCACTGCAACCTCCATGTCCTGGGTTCAAGAGATTCTCCTGCTTCAGCCTCCCGAGTAGGTGGGACTACAGGCGCCTGCCACCACGCCTGGCTAATTTTTGTATTTTTAGTAGAGATGGGGTTTCACCATATTGGCCAGGCTGGTCTCGAACTCCTGACCTTGTGATCTGCCCACCTCAGCCTCCCAAAGTGCTGGGATTACAGGTGTGAGCCACCGCGCCTGGCCTACTTTTAGTTTTTTGTTTTTGTTTTTGTTTTGAGATGGAGTCTCGCTCTGTTGCCCAGGCTGGAGTGCAGTGGCACGATCTCGGTTCACTGCAAGCTCTGCCTCCCTGGTTGACGCCATTCTCCTGCCTCAGCCTGCCGAGTAGCTGGGACTACAGCTACTGCCACCAAACCTGGCTAATTTTTTTGTATTTTTAGTAGAGACAGGGTTTCACTGTGTTAGCCAGGATGGTCTCGATCTCCTGACCTCGTGATCCGCCCACCTCGGCCTCCCAAAGTGCTGGGATTTACAGGCGTGAGCCACCACGCCCGGCCCTACTTTTAGTTTTTATTACAGGTTTCTAATGGGGCTCCCATCTCAGCCCTTCTAATTCACCCTATTCAAATACTGCCACAGTCCTTTCTAAAATCTGAATTTTGAGCACATTAATTCTCCCACTCAAAGATGTGTGGTGGGTTTCCAGTTCCCAGTGAGATGGAGTAACCACACTCCATCTTGTCTGTCCCACTGAATGCAGCTATAAAGCCTGAATGGAATGCATTCGGCAGCTATTTGAGGACTTGGAAAAGTAAATAGTAGCAGGTGTATTGGGGAAGATGACCAGAATTTGAAGTCCTTCCAAGTCAAAAGTGAGATCATCACTTTTCCCCTCTGCTATTCACTGGCCTCTACTCGCCACAGGTTGAAACTCAGAGGTGGGCATCAATGCCAACAAAGAGCTCCAGGGGAGCTCTCTGATTCTAGCTCAAGGAGCTGAAAAGGGGCCTCCTAATGCTCAATGCCCTACCTTTTCCCTCTCCTTTTTCTCTATTCTCTCATGCTCAAGTTCCAATCCCATGTCGACAGCAGTGGTGGCGAAGGAGGCCAGAAGGAACCTAAAACTCGAAGAGAAGGGAAACTTCCCTTCCAATTGGAGGATCTGTGGTTCAAGGTTCTCTCTTTGCCCTCACCATTTGGCCCCAGATAGAGACATCTGCAGTAAGTACACTGCAGAGCAAATTAAGGAAAGCTCCAGTTTTCTAGCTGAAGCACCAAAAAGGGGGCAGAAAGTAATAGGAATGCCACAGAAAGGGAGGAGCCTGGGAAAGTTGGGAAAAGCAGTTTGTTAAGTTCTTTATTAACTCCTGGGTTTATCCCTGAGCCCACGCATGAATCTGACCCTAAACAGCATATACAGAATTTAAGAACTGAACTATGAAACATACCATTACCCAAGTTCCAAGCTGGCCACCATTTTTCACACATATGAAACGGACCCAAAGAGCACCACAAAACCCTTACACATGGAAATGGCATGAGAACCACAAAGCATAGAGGGTGGTCAGAACTTGCAGTCTGACCCAAGTGCATTGTCCGCCTGATGAAAATATTGACATTCTCCATATGATTTAAAGACTTAGAGTCTTGGCCAGGGATGGTGGCTCACACCTGTAATCCCAGCACTTTGGGAGGCTGAGGCGAGTGGATCACTTGAGATCAGGAGTTCGAGACCAGCTTGGCCAACATGGTGAAACCCCGTCTCTACTAAAAATGTAAAAATTAGCCAGATATGGTAGTGGGTGCTTGTAATCCCAGCTACTTGGGAGGCTGAGGCACGAGAATCGCTTGAACCCAGGCAGAGGTTGCAGTGAGCCAAGATTGTGCTGCTGCACTCAAGCTTGGGTAACTAAATAATAATAATAATAATAATAAAAACATAAACTAAAAAATGAAGACCTAGAGTCTCATAATACAGTATTTAAAAATATCCAATATACAATTCAAAATTGGCATATGAAGAACCAGAAAGATCTCAACTCACATTAAACAAAACAACTAATAGAAGTCAACACTGAGATGACACAGATATTCAAATTATCTGACCAAGACTTTAAAGAAGTTATCATAAAAATGCTCTAAAAAGTAAAGCCAAACTCTCTTGTAATGAATCAAAAGATATAAAGTCTCAGAAAAGAAACAGAAAATATAAAGAAAAACCAAATGGAAATTTTAGAATTGAAAAATACAATAATAGAAATAAAAGAACTCACTGAATGGGCTTACTAGCAGAATAGAGATGACAGAGGAGAGTCAGTGAACTTGAAAGGATTAACAGAGATTATCCAATCTGAACAGCACAGAAGAAAAGAACTAAGAAAAAGGAGCAGAATTTTATGGACCTGTGGGACAATAACAAAAAGTCTTTAACAGCTGGTTCACTGAAGTTCTGGAAAGAGAAGACAAAGAGTATGATGCAGACAAAATATCTGAAAAAACAGTGGCTGAAAATGTACCAAATTTGGTGAATGGCCAGATTCAAGAAGCTCAGGAAATTCCAAACAGGCTAAACCAAAGAAATCCACACCCAGACACATCACAAACTATGGAAAACTAAAGACAAAGAAAAAAAAATCTTAAAAGTAATCAGCGAAAAATTATGCATTATTTATGGGGAATAATTCAAATGACTATGGATTTCTTATCTGAAACCACAGTAGCTAGAAAAAAGTAAAACATTTTTAAAGTGGTGAAAGAAAACAACTGTCAATCCAGAATTCTACATCCTACAAACATACCCTTTAGGAATAAAGGTAAAGTGAAGACATTTTCAACTGAAAGAAAACTAATAATTTATTGCCAACAAAACTGCTCTAAAAGGAATACTAAAATACTTTCTTCAGGCAGAAGGAAAATTATATCAAAATGAGACTTGGAAAAAAATGAGACTTGGAACATTAGGAATGAAGAAACAACAGAAATGGTAAATACCTGGTTGAGTATAATAGACTATTCTTCTCTTATTGAGTTCTTTAAAATATGTTTGATGGTTGAAAACTAAAATTATAATATTGTATGGTACAGTTTTTGATGTATGTAGATCTAATATATAAGACCACTGCAACATAAAGTAGGGAGGCTAAAGGGGCCTACATGATGGTAAGATTTCTGCATTCCACTTGATGTGGTAAGATATTGATTCTAAATAGACTGTGAAAAGTTAAGTATATGTACTGGAATCCCTAGAGCAACAACTGAGAAAAAAGATCAAAGGGATAATACTAAAAAAAAAAAAAAAAATAGATAATTTAGAAAGGGATACTAAAAAATTTCAAATAACCCAAAAGAAGCAGATAAAGAAAATGGAGAAATGAAAACCAGAAGCAACAAGCAGAAATTAATAAAATGGTAATCCTAAATATAAATATTATATTACATTAAAATGATCTAAACGTCCCCATTTGGAAGCATAGATTCCAGCCTGAGCAACATAGTGAGACTCCGTTTCTACAAAAATGGCATATGCCTGTAGGAGTTCAAGACCAGCCTGGCCAACATGGTGAAACCCCGTCTCTATTAAAAATACAAAAATTAGCCGGGCATGGTGGCGCATGCCTGTAGCCACAGCTACTCAGGAGGCTGCGGCAGAAGAATTGTTTGAACCCGGGAGGCGAAGGTTGCAGTGAGCCAAGATCGTGCCACTGTACTCCAGCCTGGGTGACAGAGTGAGACCCCCATCTCAAAAAAGAAAAAGAAAAGGATGGCCACTTCCACCTGGTGGAAGGGAAAAAGTACTGGGTACCTGGGGGGCAGGTGTTCGCCTGTCCTCAAAGAAGTTGTTCTAAGACCTGGAGTCATGTGTCTCCCTCATGATCCTTTTCATTCATGTCTCTACTCAGTCTTGGGGGATCCACTGAGGGAGTGAGAACTGAGTTTAGCAAAGGCTCTGATGTGGCTTTACTTTAGGGCTGAAATCTACTACAGAGGACTACAGGATCTGCTTGGAGCTTGTGAAATAAACATAACTCATTTCTCAATGAAGACATAAAGATCTGCAAAGACTAGTCCTTCTGAATACCCCTTTCTATCTGAAAACCATGCCCTGCTGTCATGAGAATTTGTGGGAATGGTCTATGGGGATTGACTCCAACTCCAAAGTTTCACTAATGCTAAAAAGGTGTAAGGGATGCCTCTCACATGTATTTTTTGACTTAAGATACTCAATTTTTAAAAAATTTTTCTGGGTACATAGTAGGTATATATATTTATGGGGTACATGAAATTTTTTTTTGTTTTTTTTTTGAGACGGAGTTTTGCTTTGTCCCCCAGGCTGGAGTGCTGAGGCGCGATCTTGGCTCACTGCAACGTCTGCCTCCCCAGTTCTAGTGATTCTCTTGTCTCAGCCTCATGAGTAGCTGAGATTACAGGTGTGCACCACCAGGCCTGGCTAATTTTTTTGTATTTTTAGTACAGACAGAGGTTTCACCATGTTGCTCAGGCTGGTCTCAAACTCCTGACCCCAAATGATCCGCCCACCTCGACCTCCCAAAGTCCTGGGATTACAGGTGTGAGCCACTGTGCCTGGCCCATGAAATGTTTTGATACAGGCATGCAATGTGAAATAAGCACATCAAGGAGAATAGGGTATCCATTTCCTCAAGCATTTATTGAGTTACAAACAATCCATTACACTCCAAGTTATTTTATCTTTTTTATTATTTATTTTTTTGAGGCAGAGTCTTGCTCTGTCGCCCAGGTTGGAGTGCAATGGTGTGATCTTGGCTCACTGCAACCTCTGCCTCGGGTTCAAGCGATTCTCCTGCCTCGGCCTCCCGAGTAGCTGGGATTACAGGCATGTGCCACAACGCCCAGCTAATTTTTGTATTTTTAGTAAAGACAGGGTTTTGCCATGTTGGCCAGGCTGGTCTCAAACTCCTGACCTCAGGTGATCCACCCACCTCGGCCTCCCAAAATGCTGGGATTACAGGCATGAGCCACCCCGCCCGGCCTCTAAGTTATTTAAAAATACACAATTAAGTTATTATTGACTATAGTCACCCTGTTGTGCTATCAAATAGTAGGTCTTATTCATTCTTTCTCTCTTTTTTTTGTACCCATTAACCATTTCCACCTCTACTCAGCCCCCCACTACTCTTCCCAGCCTCTGGTAACCATCCTTCTACTCTCCATCTTTATGAATTCAATTGTTTTAATTTCTAGCTCCCACAAATAAGTGAGAACATCTGATGTTTGTCTTTCTATGCCTGGCTTATTTCACTTAGCATAATGATAGATACTTTCTTTGTCACCTTCCCTTACGTCATTACCATCATCACTACCCCAGGTTCTCATAACAGATACAGGTATCAAATTTCTGCACACACTATAAGAAACGTAAATATCCTATATTATGTGTTTTCCAATCACTTGATCAGTGTTAATTCAAATAGTGGCTCAGGGTCCATGGTGTCTCAATTAAGAGATAGTAGACACACCTCAAAACTAGATTCCCAAGTCTTCAGGATGAACTCCAAATGCCTTAGCCTGGTATTCCAGACCCTCCCAGTGTGGATCCAACCTAGCTCTTTACCTTGGTCCTGCTGCTCCCCACACCAGCCTCCGCTTACTCCACATGCAGCCTGAGCAGAGGTCCTCACTCACTCCCCGCAATGCCTCTGACCGTTTCTCCTGCTTGGAACGTTCTTCTCCGTTTCCTTTATCACTCAAGGCACAACTCTCTGGCTTCCCCAACTGTTCCGTCTGCAATGTCTCTCCTCTCTGATACATTTCCTGCACCACTTGTTTGTGATTTAATCATAGTTGCCTTTCATTATTATTTAGCTATTCTGAGCTTCTCAAAGGCAGGGATCATATCGACTTTTCCTTGTTTCCTGTGTTCTCCCCCTGGCAGTGCTATTCAGAGAAGGTAGTCACTACTGGTTGAGTGCATGACCACCCTAGAGGGCCAGAATTTAAGATGAACATCTACTGGTTCTGGGTTAAAGCGGCTAGGCCAGTCCATCTAGTTGGCAGGGTGTGGCGTGAGGGGAGTAGGCCCTGGGCGCCAGCATCCCGGGGCTCCTAGGGTGACTCGAATATCCCTACAGCAGTAGGGCCTAAACAGGGGTTTGACGCCACAGCAGGGAGGGTCAGGCGCGTGGGGCCTCGGACTTCAAGAGCATCCTTTCTGCAGGCCTCTCCGCGTGAGCGGAGGTTTCTGGGTTTTACCTGATCTGCATCCCTTTTCTGCAGGAGCACATGTCCTTGCGCAGGAAGAGGCTGTTCAGCGTGACCGCCCCGATCAAGAAGAAGAGCTGCTTCACCGCCTGCCTCACAAGCTCGGGGTCCAGGCCGTTCTGGCACATGGTGGTGTAAAAGTAGCTCAGCTGTTGCAGGACGGAGGTCATGGTGTAGCCGTCCGTGTCGTCTATGCTAGAGGAGCGCTTCCGGAAGCCTGTGGGCTTCAGGCCGGAAATGCCCTGCAGGCTCTCATACTCCAGCATTCCCGGAACTGCGGAGAGACAGGGAGGCTGTGCTGACACGCCAGGAGACACACGCGGAACGTTCCCGACGCTCTTCGGTTTGTTTCAGGAGATGGGACATTTTTCTACAAGAGTCAGTGGATGTACTTATGATAGAGAAAGCAAAAGAATCAAGGGTTTGGGACACCAGGGTGTGTGTCAGGGTTAGGGATGGACGGCTGTTTCCAGCGGGGCTGCAGCTCCTCTTGTAGGTTTGAAGCAGCACGTTTTTCAGCTTCACAGGAAAGAAAGCTGCTTAGCATGACAAATCATGGCCTGGGCATTAAAGCCTAAAGTATTTAAATTTCAGGAAATTAAGGAAAGTATACAAGAATTCGAATGGGGCTTTAGGATTTCAAAAATACTTGGCTACGCCAAGAAGTAGAAGTACCACATAAATAGCAGTAGTAGAAGTTTCCCCAAGTTTTTTCCTTCAGGATAAATCATCCTTATATAAAGAAAACTACCAACAGCGTACTATTATTTATGGAATCATTATAAGCAAGCAAAGAATTAAAAGGCAGATATCTACATGATTATATTTCCTTGGCTTTTTAAACAATGTTACACATAATCACACATTACACATACCAAGTTTATGTTTTAAAAAGTCTTAATGTTACTATAAATATTTTTTGGTCATCCATTCTCTTCTTACCTATTATCGGTTGGATATTCTTTTCCATTATGATAATAAATTGATGATATATTCGTATAGCCACATCACTGAGAATCTGTCTGTATTCTGAAAGGTCAAAATTGTTCAAGCAATTCTTATTCTGCTGTGGACTATTATGCTTCATGAATTCCTAAAAGTAATTTTAAACATAAAATATTAGAATAATACAAACATGTAGGAAATTAATAATCAGCTACTATAACTCTTTTACCTTAAAACTTAATGTCTGATTTATATCAAATGAGTTCATGATGCTTGGGGTAGCATGTACCTTCTATAAGAAAAAAATTGCACTGATTTCCTGTATGATCACAGTCTATCACACTGTCATTGTCCCACCCACTTCCCTACAAACATTGTCCCTGGAACCTATAGACTAAATGGAAAAGCTCGTAGAAGGCCCATGGAAGCGCATAGGAAAATGAAACAAAACTGCAGAGCATTCAAGGAAACAAACTGCTATGAAGAGGTAAGTGGATACAATAAATGAGATTCATAACCTTATAATTTACAGGGTACAAAGTTGAAATATTTTAAAGTGTGTGTTATGGATTTTATGTGTCTTCCTAAAAATCATACATTGAAGCCCTAACCCCCTAGTGTGGCTGTATTTGGAGATGGGGCCTTTAGGGAGGTAATGAGGTTAAATGAGGTCATGAGGATAGGGCCGTGATCTAATAATAAGATTGATGTCCTTATAAGAAGAGACACCAGAGAGAGCTTGCCCTCTCTCTCCCTCTTCCTGACCCATGCACCCAGGAAAGGTCCTGTGAGGACACAGGGATGGAGAAAGTGGCTGTCAGCAAGCCAGGAAGAGAGCCCTCACCAGGAAGTGACCATGCTGGCACCCTGATCTCAGATGTTTAGCCTCCAGAACTGTGAGGAAACAAATCTCTTGTTTAAGCCACCCAGCCTGCGGTATTTTGTTATAGTAGCCTGAGTGAACTAATGGAATATGTTTAACATGTTCAAAGAGACTAAAGAAAAAGAAAAAATTAAGAATAGAACATTATAGGGCTGGGCGTGGTGGCTTACGCCTGTAATCCAGCACTTTGCGAGGCCGAGGCAGGCGGATCACTTGAAGTCAGGAGTTCAAGACCAGCCTGGCCAACATGGTGAAACCCCATCTCTATTAAAAATACAAAAATTAACCGGGCATGGTGGCGCATGCCTGTAGCCACAGCTACTCAGGAGGCTGAGGCAGGAGAATTGCTTGAACCTGGGAAGCAAAGGTTGCAGTGAGCCAAGATCGTGCCACTGTACTCCAGCCTGGGTGACAGAGTGAGACCCCCATCTCAAAAAAGAAAAAGAAAAAAAAAAAAGAACAGGACATTGTGGTAAGAGACAGAGGTGAAAAGGAACAAGAGAAATTTTAGAAATAAAAATATGGTAACTGAAAAAGCAGTCAGACAGGGAAAAGAATATTCTATACATGGCTGAAGGGGGCAAAGAAAGGATCATAAAACAGTGCTGAATAAAACATTCTTCCACTGATGTCTCACAGATGCCAGTTTGTTGTAAACGGACTAGTCTGTGCCTCCTCCTGTTTTGGTATTCCTTTTAGTCAGAGGTTGGATTTTCTTTACTTCTCCTTTTGTTCTATAGTACTAGACAGATTGCTGTTATATTTTATTTTAACTTCCTTCCATTGGGACAACTGGTTATCTATATGGAAGAGGATATTAGATCATTACCTTACATACCAATTTTGGATAGGTAAAAACATAATTAATTGTGAACTCTAAATATGAACTACAAAAGTTTAGAAGAGGATCTTCATGATCTCAGGGCAGGGAAGAATTTCTTAAGACACAAATCATAAAAGAATAGGATTGACAGATTTAAGCATATCAAAATTCAAAAACTGTGTGACAAGGGACTTCATAAGGAAAATTAGAAGCTAAGCTACAGTCTATCCATATGATATAAAGACCTCCTACAAATCAGTAACAAAAAAACCAACCCTAAGAAAAAGAAAGGAAGGATGTGACTAGGCAATTCAAAAGGAAACCCAAATGACCAATAAACATATAAAATTATGCTTGACTTCACTAGTGACCAAATAAATGCAATTTAAGTCAACAAGATATAATTTTATACCCTGACACTGGTAAAGGATAAAAATGTCTGTCAATACCAAGTGTTGGTGAAGGTATGAGACACTGGAAACATCATACACTGCTGGTGGGGCTGTGCAATGGTACAGCCATTTTGGAGAGCACTGAAAACCCTGAAAGCCACTTTGTTATTTTAGTTCAATGAAATTTTTCTCTGTGAGTACTTGAAGGTGGAGAACTCTTTCATGACATCAGCCTCCTGGAAGCAGAGTCGGAATGGCAAAGGAAACATATTTATAGATTATGGAGGAACAGTCAGGGTCCTGTAGAGAGAACAGCTGTGAAGAAACAGGCATTTTAAACCAAAGCCTGTATTTTAGAGTCATAATGCTAAACGTCTTACAGCCAGAAGGAAACTTAAAAGTCATCTTATCTACCTATTGATTTAAAAGTAATGGAGACCTAGGAGGCCTAGTACCATGCCCAAAATCTAAGCTGCTTCCAGAAGTCTCCTGCCTGTGGTGTATGCCCAAGAGTCCAACAGATAATGTGCTGTTGGCCTCCTGGTGGAGAGGATAGAGGCTCTATTGAGCTCTGGCTCAGGAGGAGGTTATAGACTGGCTGTCAGCACAAAACAACAAGCAGGTGGGCGCCCCCTACCTCTTCTCCGCTGTACTGCTTCAGGCAATTGAGAAAATGACAAGTGTTGGAAAGCCAAAAGGACAGCATTTCAAAGTCTTCTAAATGTTCCTTAGGAAAATAAGAAAAGACAAAATTGGTCTTGATGATTACTTGTACCTCTGAGCATTTACCTGTTTGGTTATTTGTAGCTTTTGACCAAAATTAGTTTTTCTTTTATTCACTAAAGCCTTTATCCAATTCATATTATACTTATAAGAACTTATATTTATTTAATAGGTCACAGTTTGTAACATGTTTCTGTACAGGTTGTGTCACTCATTATGAAGTGTGAAGTGGGTCCTGAAGGAATGCATGAGAAATGCAAGTTTCACTTCTTGCTCTCCTAAGTTCACACTCTCACTGGGAAGATAGAACAGAGTTTTAGTAGGTGGTCAAGAGCCCATACGATGGCTGTAGACTGTGCTACCAAAGCTCAGAGGACGAGGAGAGAGGATGGGGAGGCAGAGCAGCCAGGGAAACCTCAGAGAGGAAGGAGGTCTAGCCTTTGAGGGAAATGGGTGGAGAGACAAGAGCTCAGGACTAGGACTGTTGGGGAGAAGGCCTCCACTTACAGGGCAGGAAGAAGAGGAACAAGCAGTGAAGGCAGAGCTACAGTGATCAGAGGGGAAAACAGAGAAAATCCTGGGATTTAAAAGACAAGGGAGGAAGCTTTCAAGGAGATGGTGCTAATGCTTTGGTCAATTTAGAGAGAATAAAAAGTAAAGAAACACCACTGGTTTTAGTAAGAGGAGTTACTGGTGATCTCTCTGTAGAGTGATGGGTTAGAAGCCAGATTGCAAGGAGTGACAAAGAGAATTGGTGGAGAACACTAGTTTAAGCACTTTGGCAGTCCGGGGTGGAGGGAAAGGAATAGTGGCTGAAGAGGGTATATGGGCACATTGCTGTAACTGCTGTGTGCTGGAGGTGGGGAGAGGCAGGTCCTGGGCACATGCAAAGGCAGAGGGAGGGGGACACAGAGAAGTTGAGACTGAAGATGCTGGTGAGAAAGGGGTCTTATAGTCCTCATACCACACATCTCTTGATTTATGAATATTTGGCGAAACATTCCAGAGCATCAAGGGGAAGCAAATACTGTGTGTCCTGGGCTGGAACACAATGCCAGCTTGTCTTAAGAAAACCCAATTTATGCAAATATGGACAGGGAAAACATCAATTTATGGGAGCCCCTTCCAAAAACACTGTGGTGGCTCCTGTGAAGATGGTGACTATAAAGTATCCAGCACCAAACAAATGTGAATTTTCTATTCCTAACTCCAGATAAATAATGAATTCATGATATTTTTGGAAGGAGAGGAGAATTACCATACTCTGATCTCTCACAAATCTAGTTTTTATATTTCTTTCTTCCTAGAGTTTATTAATTAATTAATTAATTTATTTATTTTTGAGACAAGGTCTGGCTCTATCACCCAGGCTGGAGTGCAGTGGTGTGATCTTGGCTTACTGCAACCTCTGCCTTCCGGGCTCAAGTGATCTTCCCACCTCAGCTTCCTGAGTAGCTGGGACTACAGGCACACACCACCGCACCTGGCCAATTTTTGTCTTTTTTGTAGAAACAGGGTTTTGCCATGTTGCCCAGGCTGGTCTTGAACTTGTGAGCTCAAGCGATCTACCTGCCTCAGCCTCCCAAAGTGCTGGGATTACAGGTGTGAGCCACCACACCTGGCCTTCCCTAGAGTATTTAAAATAGAATTTAATTCCCCATTACTCTTTAGAACACATATTTTACTAAAAATGAGGTAGGGTCTCCCTAACTAAAAATTCAAATATATCCTAATATCAAACATCACTTCTCTTTTGGAGGGGCATGGAAAACACTGTTATTTTAGTGTTATTTATGTCTTATTGCCCCCTTCCAATATGGATCAGTACATTGTAATTCCCAGAAACGGGTACTTTTTAACATAACTGTAAACTGGTCATTTCCTAGAAAAAGAGAGAGAGAGAAGGTTTTTGTACTAACTCCACTGTGGCTAATGGAATTTCCACATTCAGGGTAGCACCAGGTCTGGCTTAGAACTAAGTCAACCACCCTACCCACACCCAAGATTCCAGAATGCGCCAAGCATTACCAGAGAACTCTTTTTACAAAGCAACTATCCCTGTAAGCAAGGATCCAGGTCTGCTTAAAAAAATCTTCAATGCTTAGATACAGTTATTTACTCATTGATCACTTATGGAGTTTCCAGGAAAAATAATCAGTATGCTAAGAATGATTTTAGGATTATGTTTCAGTTGGAAAGGAAATTAGCAATAAACTTTATGTTACTGTTAGCCTTCACAAAATCCCGCCCTTTGTCATTGTCACTTTTGATCATTATCCACTTGTCACACCATGAAGAGATGATTGCTCATAAAGAGTTCAGTTGGTGACTTCTGATATGTATACCATACACACATGGTCTGTGTCCTATGGTAGGTTCCCTCTTGCCCAGTGGTAAACTGCTGGCTGCCTGCTTGTCCAGTCATTCCAATAAGGACACCGACTTAGGGAATGGCCAACAGCAAGTTGGAAGGAACCTGGGTCCCTTCATGATCACGTGGAACAGAGCCACCTTCCAACCTAGATGGCTCATTATGGAACCGCTATCAGCAAAGAAAAATCCTCCATCTTCTTTAAGACACTGTATATTGGGCAAAGGGAGGTGGCAGGTGTCTCATAGCTACAATAGCTTAACTTTACTAAGTAACTAACCTAACTAATACACAGTTCATCTTCATTTGTGGACTGGGAATAAAAATACACAATGTGCTTTTAGGAAGAAGAATTATATAATTGCCAAGGGAAGAGATGAATAATTTTTCACTCCATTTCATTTCTCATGATTTACCCTTGTTACAGAGATAGAACCTATACCCCTCACAGCTGATAACTTTACACCCTAAGGGGATAGCAGTGGTGGGGCAGTGGCTACCAGGTTGCAGTCTCGCCGGTAAGGCTTTGAGGCCTATGGCAGATGCTCATCCATTTATCTTTCCCTAACAGTGTGGCTCCCTTCACTAGTTGGGCCTCAAACTTGTTTGAGGAATCATGTGGCTCACCACACAATGGAGGCTCAGGATGGGCAAAGACTGGGCATCTGGTCATTCCCATAGATGTGATACCAGGGGCCAATGTCAAAGGCATTTCCTACCTTAACCACCTGCTTGATGCCATTAATGGTGCTGTTCATGAGGGACTTCAGCATGTTGGCATCATTCAGAGAGTCTGCGTAGCGCACACACATGAACAGGATATGAGCCGGCAGCCCGGGGATCATGTTCACCACCACGCCACGGGGCTTCAAGTCTGAAGCAGAGAGAGCCAATGAGGATTACAGCTGACAGGTCAGCTCTTCTCCTAAGGAACTTGTGACTAGGGGCAGGGGCTTGTTTGCTTTTCTGTGCTTGACACAGTGCCTGAATGTATATGGATTTATTTCCTCTTTGAGGAATTCCATCTGGCTCCTTTCTTGGCACAAGATACACAGGTGTCACTTGTTCCTCTTCTTGTTTACAAAGGACTTTCTCTTTCTTAAAAGGTTGAATAAGAGACAGAATCTTTATTTTTCCCTGGTGTGGAAACCCTGGATTTCAGACCCCCATTGTAAGAAAGAAACTCCATTCCATGCACCCCTACTCCAAGCGCTTTGATGAGGATGGCGTACAGTGTCCACAGTCACATGAAGCTGCCTTGAATAGGGAAAGCAGGCACACCCAGTGCAGCAGAGGATGCCTGGCTGGCCTTGAGGAGAACAGAATGGTGGAAACGCTCAGTGGGGATGAAGGGGAGAGAGAAATCTTACAAAAAAAGTTAAGATAAGCAAACAAGGATGTCCCCTGGCTGCAGGAAGACAGAAGAACAAAGAAGAGGCTCACACTGCATGACACCAGTGATGAGGGGAAAGAAAAGGGTAGAGGTGCTCATATGAGCCAAGGGGGTCACTCGCAGAAGAGGAAGGAAGGCTACACGTTGGCTTTCTGTTTTGAGATCTTGGGGCCAGCTGACAGGGAGGCAGATTTTTCTCCCTATGCCAGAAAACCACGTGGAAGGTCACAGTGAAGACAGTGCAGTAAGATTGGTTCTATGACCACCAACTCTTGAGCATGCACATGGGACATTCCTGTAACTGAGGCATGGCTGGGAAGCCCCATCACATTGCCCGCAGAGAAATTTCTCAGAAGTCAAATGGAGCACAGAGCCACAATTGCTTCCATGATGGCTCCTGTGCTGAGACACAAAAATGAGGTGATGTTTCTCTTCTACCCTGGTCCTACAATTTGGAAAAGGTCAGGGCAGTGGTTCTCAACTGAGGACAGTTTTGGCCCCCACAGGACATTCGGCAATACCTGGAGATATCTTTTATTGTCATCACTAGGGGTTGCTGCTGCCTTCTAGTGAGTAGAAGTCAAGGATGCTGCTCCATCCTTTGTTACTCCCCATTCACAGAGTTAACAGGTCAACAGTGCTGAGGTTGAGAAACTCTGGGCTGGGGGAAGAAGCAGTGGAAGAAAAAGTAGAAAAAGGACCACCCCTGCCCAGGACTTTGGCACTGACTGATATGCAAGTTCTCAAAGAGAAAGCAAAAATCCAGAGTTCCAGGTTTCACTACCAAGAATGAGGTTCTGAATGAGCTTGGCCTCGTCTTCTCTCTTGTATTGCAGCATTCCAAGGTACTCCTTGGGTCCTGAGGACGAGTGCACATCATTGGCTGTAGACAGAGGCAAACAATCAGCTAAATACACAAAAGCAGCTTTCACAGGTCTCACAATGTGACTACTCTCCTACCCCATTCTGGCTGGTTTGCACGTAAATGTCTGTGGCTTTCAGATACATTAAAACTGTACTGTATTGTATCCTGAAGAATTTCTCCAAGTAGTGATTCCTCTTTATGAGTACATCAGTGAGTACAGCTGCTGCTGAAAAGGCCCAATTATCCTTTGAAGAGCCTTATGAGTGCCTGATATGTATCCAGCACATGGTAACAGGAAAGAAATCCAAGATGTTGCCTTGTCTTCAAGATGCCAATGCTACTGTGAAAGAAGACTTGTGAAACATTTGGTGTGCAAAATACCAATGTGCATGATCCTTACTGAGACAGCTGTATTAGTTTCCTGTGGCTGCTGTAAAGTTATCACAAACATAGAGGCTTAAAACAACACAAATGTTTAATCATACAGCTCTGGAGGTCAGAAGTCTGAAAGGTGAGCCAGGGTGGTGAATGATGGTTCATTCATTCATCCCAGCAGTGGGGATGCAGCGGGGGCTGGGAAGCACAGACCTGGGCCCTGCTCTCATGGGGCAGACTGCCATTTGTCATTTATTACTGAAGGAAAGGGATCCTCAGTTTGCTTGTGGACATTTCAAATTTGAGGTGAGAGTTGGATAAGTAAGAATAAAGCTGCTCTTCAAAGAGATGAATATAGAAAAAGAAACAAGATACAGCCTTGGCAGTAAGGCTGGGAGGAAGGGGAAAAGGTAATAAAGAATGAAAGAGTGAGAAATGTGAGCAGGAGCTGAACACAGAAAAGTTCAGTGACAGAAGCAGAAGGAGGGAAGAAGGGAGGAGGGTCCCTTTCACAGAGGCTCACGAGGATGCTTTATGTGTGCCATGCAGTCCATGTTCAGGATGTCTGCTTCTTAGCTCTCTACTTTTCTAATAGAAATTTGGATACTTACTGATCCTACATATGTAACAGGGAGAGAAGGTGAATTTCAAAGCAGTAAATTGAAAAATTGTTCACAATTTCATTTTTTAAAAAAGGGAGCTAACAGAGGAAGAGGTTAATGTGTTAATTATAGGATGTCTCTTGCGAGTACATGAATGTATCTGGTATCATCTGAGTGGGAGGGAGCTGTCTTCCTGACCCAAAGGATCCTTTCGTTAGCCCAGCACTAGGTCACAAACCTCACCACTTGAGAATCATTCCTTTGGGTTTCATAAGCTTTGGACCAGAAAGAAAATAAACACTTGAGCGCATGTTAGCCTTAGCTCAAAAGAATAAGAAAACAAGTATTGTTTCTTACCTTTTCCAATTGTCTTGCTTAGTGTCTTGACTTGATCTTGTAGCTTTTTAATCACTCTGTCTTTCATGTCTAATTCTTCTTCAAGATCCTACAGCAATAAAAAGAAACCAGGATTTAGCTTAGAAGCACTTTAATCTATTTTTTTTTTTTTTGGGTAACAGCTTTATTGACATACAATTTGCATACCGTACAACTCACCCATTTAAAGTGTAAACTCAAAGGTTTTTTAGTGTAGTCAGAGTTGTGCTACAATCATCATTATTTAATTCCAGAACATTTTATTACTCCAAAAATAAAACTGACCTTTAGTGTCACTCTCTAGTTTCTCATTACCTTCCAGCACCTGGCAACCACTCATCTACTTTCTGTCTCTATGGATTTGCCTATTCTGGACATCTCATATAAATAAATTCATAGAATAGGTTTTTTGTGTGTGTGTCTGGCTTCTTTCACTTAGCATAAGGTTTTCAAAATTCATCCATGTCGTAGCATGTATCAGCATTTCATATATTCGTATGGCTGAATAATATCCTATTGTATGCATATACTACATTTATCTTGCTCTTATTACATAGGAGTGCCCATCATAGAGAATTTAAAAATATGAATGTGGGAAAATGGGCTTTCTAGATTTCAGAAGCTGGAGCTAGAGAAATGTTCAGAGATTTGGGCCTGGTTTTGCCTTTCTTTCCTGATAAGTAGGTGGCCTTGCCCATGCTGAATTTGGCTCAAGAACCAGAAGAGTCCTTGGATACCTAGAAATATTTCCTATAAAGGACATAGTGTTTAAGTTCTTCCACATCTGAGCATTTGACACATATAGAATTCAGGCTTCTCTGACCCAGAAAGACCCACCATGCAGGGTCACTGCAGCTGTGTGCCCTCTAGGGACTCTTGGGGCCGAGGGACATTGTGCTGTTTCTACTCTGTGCGGCCACCTCTCTCCCTGCCACCATTCTGTGTCCCTGGCTAGACATGTTAGGAACTCTATTGACCTTAGAAGTGGCGGTGTCAGTACAGCTTCCTCCCTCCAATTCAAGCCCATCTTATAATATATCTAATAAAATGGGTCACCCATCAACCCATAACCCAGAAAAAAACCACTCTTCACATTTTGATTTCATTCCTTTTTTCCCAATATGGTAAATGTACATTTTATAAAATTGGGATCATATTACATGCAAAATTTCAAATCCTACATTTTTCTCTAGTTATACTGCAGACGTTTTCCCATGTCATTGATAATATACTCAAACCATCATTTTAACAGCCAAGTCATATTATATCATACAACAATTTAACCTTTGCTCTATTGTTAGGTATGCATTTCTCTCCTTTGGGTTGCTTTTTTTCTCTATGATTAATAACACTAAGATGATCACTCTGAACAAAAATCTCGTCCACATGTTCAAGTATTTACTTAGGATAGAACCTTACAAGTTGTGTTACTGAGTCAAAGGGAATGTACTTTCCAAAGGTTCATGATCCATACCTTCAAATAAGCCCTCAAGAAAGTTTATACCAATTTATATTCCCAGCAACCATGTATGACAGTGCCCATTTCAAGATGTTCTCTCCAGCAGCATAAGATCTCTATTAATTATTATTATTATTAGTAGTAGTATTTTTAGAGACAGGATTTTGCTCTGTCATCCAGGCTGGAGTGCAGTAGTGTGATCATAGCTCACTGCAGCCTCAATCTCCTGGGCTCAAGCAGTCCTCTTGCCTCAGCCTCCTGAGTAGCCAGAGCTACAGGCATGCACCACTATATATATATTTTTAAAGTTTTCCTTGTAGAGATGGGGTCTCACTACGTTGCCCTGGCTGGTTGAACTCCTGGCCTCAAGTCATACTTCTGCCATGACATCTTAAAGTGCTGGGATTACAGGCATGAGCCACTGTGCCAGGCCCAGGTCTCTGTTAATTTGACAGGCAAAAATAGTACCTAGTTTTGATTTTGAATTTCTTTGATAAATAGTGAAATGATTACTAAAAGTTTTTTTTTAATCTCTTAATAAGAATTCAGTGACAAAAGAGTCTGGAAAAAAAAAAGAAATTTCTTTGACTCAAAGCATCACATAGTGGTTTGAACAGTGTCACCTTGAAATTCATGTCCAACCCAAACTCCAGAATGTGCCTT
Source organism: Homo sapiens (assembly GCF_000001405.40). NCBI lineage: Eukaryota > Metazoa > Chordata > Mammalia > Primates > Hominidae > Homo > Homo sapiens. The sequence continues at coordinate 52,216,743 of NC_000015.10, forward strand.
TATATGGAAATAGGGTCTTTGCAGCTGTGGTAAGCTAAGGGTCAGTATGAGAGGTGGCTACTACAATTTAGGGTGGGCTGTAAATCCAATGCAGGTGTCCTTATAACAGATGGAAAAGAACACAGAGACAGGGAGAAGGCCAGGTGCAGAGAGGCAGAGGCTGGAGTTACACTGTTCCAAACCAAGGAATGCCTGGAGCCCTCTAGAAGCTGGGAGAGGCAAGGAAGGGTTTTCCTTAGAGACTTCGGAGGAGTGTGCCCTGCTGACACCTTGACTTCAGACTTCTGACCTCCATAATTGAGAGAACACATTTCTGTTGTTTTAAAGCACCTGGTTTGTGGTCATTTGTTACAGCAGCCCTGGCAAACTAATACAGATCAGGTCTCATTTGTGGGTAGAATCCGCCGGCTAATGTATAGAGATGATACTCTTGTTGTGTGTCCGTCTGCTTCTATGTAACAGTGAGGCTACTCCGGGTTCAGAAAGAGCTATTGAAATGAGCATGTCAGGCCTGCCAGCTCCTTAGCTCAGCGCACCTGTGGGGAGCAGAGCCAGACACTTGGAGGAGCTCCAGAAGAGGGCGCCAGGACCGAGCTGTGCTCCAGGGCACCAGGAACGAACTCATAAATCCGTCACAATGCACAGGGACAGTCAGAGTAAAGGATCACATGGGATGACATGCGCAGCACACACATGACCCACCCATGTAGCTTCTCCCTGACCGCTGACTCCATTGAGATCCCAGGGGCCCACAGGAGGCAAGGCAAGGCAAGGCAGCCTCACACATGGACAACAGGCGGTTGCTTCTCTGTTGTAACACGAGGATTCCAGTCTCTGAGAAAGTTGTATCCACCTCAGAAAAGGCAGCTGTCATGTAGGTGTCACTGATTGGAATTTGTTACTTCCTATTAAATGTCAAACTCCTGGAATTTCTCTTTTTGGATGTAACCACTCTTCAAAGTTAAACCCTGACACTCAAAATATGTTTTTCCTCTATCAAGGTTTTCCTGTGAGATTGGAAATGGGGGCCCTGTCAGCAGGGAGAAGGGTACGTGGGCATGTCCACACTGACCCACTGGACTCGTCAGCCCTCCTGCGTTACCCTCTTGGAAGCTGGAAGCTCTCAGGTTTCGAAGGGGCCCGAGAGGGTCCCAGCTCCTAGGAAAGTGGCCTGTCACTTCAGCACTTCTCAGTCTTCTGGGTTCCACACAGCATCACAATTTCAAAATAATTGCTGGGAATTGATGTAAGGTTACCCGATTTCATTTTGGTAAGGGCATTTAAAACTCAGAAAAGACCTTAAACACTTTTAAAAAGTTTTTAAGCCTTCCATCGACATCATGATCATTTCATAGAAGAACATTTTGACTCTAAAAATTGTAGGAAGGCCATACCCCCAGAAGAAAGCATGGGCACTTATATGGGGTGAGTTTTGCTGGGTAAAGCACTCACACGTAGGCCTTGCTATCCTCAGTGTGTTCCAGAGCACAGTGACTCCATCCTGGGTGGTGCCGTGCACTGATAGTGCTGGGGAACTACGGCCTGCACCTCTCTGTCTCTCCTCCTTCACCCTCCCCAGGCGGGCCTGTAAGTCCCCAAGGCCTTCCCAAAGCCAACCTCAGAGACCACCTGTCTTTTGGGATAAGAAAACAGACTGCTCTGATGGAAGGACTTTTGGTCTATAGATGTTAATCATATGCTTTAGGTGGCATGTCCCCCCTTTCAGCAACATCTGCACACAGACAGTCTTTATCACCAAGTTAGAAGACTTCTCACCCTGTTTTCCAAAGTGAGCCGGGATGCTTCCTGCCGGAAGTTACACTTGACTTCACTTTCAGTTTCAAATTGTTTCTTCAAGTGGTCACTGGCCTCCTGCATTTCTTGAATCTTATCAATCAGCTTCTCCTTCTCTTTGGTATGTATTTCATTTTGGGCTTCCAAGGCCCTGAGAAAGGGAGGGAGGAATGGCTGGTATCAGTATGACGGTCATGGAGAAGTCACTCACTGTCATAGCAAGTGCTGATATTTCCAAAGATGGAAGAACACCTTGGCCAATTTCTGTGTAAAGCAAATAGTATTCGAATAGGGGTGTCCTTCCAGGGGAAAGAAAAGAGACCAGGACTGGCTGGGATAGAAAACTGTCCATGGACTGCTCTGGTCTCCTTCCCCCAATAAGAGTTCCATTCTCCACCCAACCTCAGCCCCACTTACTGTTCCCATGGGACATCCACGCCCACCATACGCTGTGACAGCTAAGCAGTCATCCCCTTTGTGACCAGCCTGGGGACCAGACACTCACAAAGCCAGGGATCAGACAGAAGAGAGGAGGAGAGACCATTAGAAGAGTTCCAAAATGGTGCCTCGCTCCTTTTCCACTACTTTGGGTCCTCATCCTACTGATAAAGTCACATAACTAAAGATGCTCTTGGGGATGTCAAGTGCCCATTTATTATTTTGGAAAAATAAGTGTCTCAACAAGTTGGCAACAAAACAGAACATTCTCCCCACAAGGCTCTGCCAGGGCACGAGGCCCTTTATTGGTCTCGTGATGGAAATTTGGGGGGATTAGCAATGAAGATTTTCCATCAACATGGGCTTTTAATTCTTACCCTAAATAGTCTGCTAATAGAAACCGTCCTCTCTCACACACTCTTATCTGTTGTTTGAACAGATAATTCAAGTGCATGGTATAGCATTTCAAGGGTACAAAAGTGTACGCATACAGTGAAAAGTACGTGTCCTCCCCTCCTCTGTGTATCAGTCACCAAGCCTGAAGGCAACCAACTGCCTGGAGGCAACCAATGTTTTGTTCCTTAACAATCTCCCAGAGATGCTGCTGCTGCTGAGTGTGTTGTACATACACATATTTCTTTCCTTCCCATCAGAATGGCAATATGTCATATATATTAATTAGCATCTTGCTTTTTGGCATTAGTAACACATCTTGGTATATTCTACAGTTTCAGAAAAGCATTACACGAGCATGAACTTGAGGTACACACATATTTACACTTACTTTCTTTGTGTTCCTTCCTCCTCTTGACTGCGATGTAACTGATTAGACAATTCTTCTAGTTTTCCTATAATGAGAAGAACTGTCAGTACTTTGGGGGGGCACATATCACTGCATTCTGATTTGGGTTTGGTATTATTTTCAATTTTTAGAGGTCCTAAACTAGGGGTGTCCGATCTTTTGGCTTCTCTGGCCCATATTGGAAGAAGAATTGTCTTGGGCCACATATAAAATACACTAACACTAACAATAGCTGATGAGCTGAAAAACAAAACTGCAAAAAAATCTCATGTTTTAAGAAAGTTTACGAATTTGTATTGGGCCTCCCTGAAAGCTGTCATGGGCTGCATGTGGCCTATAGGCTGCGGCTTGAACAAGCTTGTCTTAAACTGTATCCAGACAGAGATTAACTTTTATTTGGTCTGAACAATGTTTAAACATTTTTAAACCATCATTTAAAAATTGTTCCACATAAATATTCCACATAAAAATCTGGATTCCTGGGTTTTCTTTAAAAATAGGAATCTCTAGCAATACTGGGCCCACATTCCCACTGGGCAACAATCAGTGGAGCTTGGAGGCAGCAGCCTGTTTATTTTTTTGTATGTTTTTTCAGAGACAGGATCTCACTCTGTCACCCAGGCTGGAATGCAGTGGCACAACCACGGCTCACTTCAGCCATCACCTCCCGGGCTCAAGTAATCCTTCCACTTCAGTCTCCCACATAGCTGGGACTACAGGCGCATACTGCCAAGCCTGACTTATTTTAAAAAAATTTTTGGGCTGGGTTCAGTAGCTCACGGCTGTAATCCCAGAACATCGGGAAGCCAAGGTAGGTGGATCACCTGAGGCCAGGAGCTCAAGACCAACCTGGCCAACATGGCGAAACCCCATCTCTACTAAAAATACAAAAAAAAAAAAATTAGCTGGGTGTGGTGGTGGGTGCCTGTAATTTGATATACTCAGGAGGCTGTGGCAGGAGAATCACTTGAACCCGGGAGGCGGAGGCTCCAGTGAGCCGAAATCGCACCATTGCATTCTAGCCTGGGCAAGGGCGAAACTCAGTCTCAAAAAAAAAAAAAAAAATTTTTTTTGTAGAGATGAGGTTTCATCATATTGCCCAGACTGGTCTCAAACTCGAACTCCTGGCCTTAAATGATCCACCCATCACCGCTTCCCAAAGTGCTGGGATTATAGGTGTAAGCCACTGCACTCAGCCTGCACCTCCTTTAAATGTCCTACATACCTTCCCATATCTTTCAACTAGCCCCCTTCTCACATTTGTTACCTGCCCAGCCCCCTAGAGAACCAGAGTTTAAAAGCCCTGAGTACAAGGACATTTCAATGTCATTTCCGGGGTACAGGAAACCGTTTTCTAAAAGCAGGTTAATGAGGGTTTCAGTTACCTTTCATTTTCTCAGCTTGTTCATTCAGGCGGATTTCAAGATCTTGCTTCTGTTTCTCCAATTCTGAAATTTGCTGTTTAAAGTCTGGGATCATCTTTAGAGAAGAATTAGAAATATTAGAATATAAAATACTTTTATCTATGAACTTTAAAATCTTAGAAGCAAACTGAACTATCTTGGTGTTCAGCCTGCAGAACAGATAGCTGTGTAAAAGAGCTAGCCACGACATTAGACTGGATTAACATTTTTTTTTAACCTCAAAACCTATATAGTCTCAGGAAACACCAGTATGCTCAGAGGAAGCAGTTCTCACACAGCTACGACAGGGAGAGAAGGATGTGTACATGTATAGAAATCCTATGCTGAGTTGAGGGAGGAATTAGGTGAAGAAATGGCAGCCAGCGTCTTTGGTCCAAGCCCAGAGCCATCGTCTCCTCATCTAGGAACAGGAAAAGCCATCTCAAAGGGTCCCACTGCTACTTTTGAATTCAAGGACATGCACTGCTCTGTTAGTGGAGGTCTGGAATCACCCGGTAAGTTTCTCAATCCTTTGTCCCTATCTGTATATTTCTTTACATGTCCATCGCCTCCACCCCCAGTTAGGTTAAAACAGGGTTTTTTTTCCTTCCCCAAGTTTATAAACATGCTCATTTTAAAACTGAGTGGCTGAGATCCAGGCCTCTGAAGTCTAAATGAAGAATACAGACAGCCCCTGATTTACGATGGCTCAACTTACTATTTTTCGAGTTTGTGATGGTGTGAAAGTGATATGCATTTAGTAGAAACCATACTTCAAGTACCCATTCAACCATTCTGTGTTTCACTTTCAGTATAGTATTTGATAAGTTACATGAGACATTCAACACTTTATTATAAAAATAGGCTTTGTGTTAGATGATTTTGCCCAAGTACAGGCTAATGTAAGCATTCTGAGCACGTTTAAGGCAGGCTGGGCTAAGCTACGATGCTTGGTAGGTCAGGTGTATTATATGCATTTTCAACTTACAATACAATACTTCCAGCATACGATGGGTTTATTGGGACGTAGCCCCATGGTAAGCTGAGGAGCATCTGTACTTGTTTGAATGTGCAATTGGGTCTCACTGCAAATTCCTCATTAAAGTTTCATCCAAGGAATAAACAAAGATGTAAAGGTCCCCCACTACCGTTCCCTGTGTCCACCCCTGGTCCTCAACTGCTGCTACAGCCCCGAGATTTCCTAACACTCTCAGTTTAGGGAGAGGAGGGGGTAGTAAGGAAGTAGGGGAGCAGCAGCCAGTGAGGCGGGACAAGAATGCTGGGAGAGCGGGGCGTCCTGGAAGCCAAGAGAACAAGGCAGAGAGGGCAAGATTAGCATCGCCAGAGGCTGCTGAGACACTGAGTAAGATGAGGGTGCAAAGGAACCCTTAGTGCTCAGCTCTGTGCAGGCAGAGTCAGCCAGTGGTGGGGACACACGACAGAATGGGGTGGTGGGCAGTGAATGGGAGGTGTGCGGAGGAAGTATGCCTAGAGGGTCTTTGTAAGTCTGACTAAGACCCCAAAGAAATGGGTGATGGCCACAGCAGTGTGGGGTTAAGACAGAGATGGCTTTTTGAATGAGGAGATTCCTAAAGCATTTCTCCAGGCCAGTAGGCATGAGTTGGAAGAAAGAATGAGACAAATGCAGTGGCTAGGAATGCACGTCATGGAAGAGGAAGCCCTTGAAAAGGTGAGATTTGAAGGCCGGGCACGGTGGCTTATGCCACTTTGGGAGGCTGAGGCAGGCGGATCACGAGGTCAGGAGTTCGAGACTAGCCTTGCCCACATAGTGAAACCCTGTCTCTACTAAAAATGCAAAATTAGCTGACCGTGATGGTGGGCGCCTGTAATCCCAGCTACTCGGGAGGCTGAGGCAGGAGAATTGCTTGAACCTGGGAGGCGGAGGTTGCAGTGAGCTGAGATCATGCCATTGCACTCCAGCCTGGGCAACAGAGTGAGACTTCATCTCAAAAAAAAAAAAAAAAAAGGTGAGATTTCAGGCATGAGCAGGACTGGCCTTCTGACACACTCCTGTCTCAAGAGCTACCCTTCAATTTTGTGGTCACTTTCCAAGGGGTTAGGGCTTGATTTAAATATACAGGCTTTAAAACATACACACTTACGCGCACACACAGACAATCACAGCGCCTGCAGCCATCCTGTGGTGAACACACACACTCTTGTATCAGAGTGCTCTCTGGTCTGCAGTCATTTTATAGTTTAATCACCAGACCAAGTTATTTCACTTCTGGAAAAAGTAATTTATATCCACTCTTTTACTGCCAAGAAACTGAATTTGACGCCACTGACAAAGAACAACTCTAGTATGATGGCCACGACTGGGGCCCCTGGCTGAGACCATACCATGTTCTCTGATGTTAGCCTGGTAACTTCATGACGGATGCTTTCATTGATGTCATTTTCTTCTCTGAATAACTTCTGCAGGTGGTTGATTTCTTGACTGAGATGCACCACTTTGAAGTTCAAAGCTTCAATCTCCTTTTCATAGCAATCCTTCTGAGACTGGAAATGGCTCTCCAAAACACTATTAAAGGAGGGGTCAAGAAATAAACCACATGGCCTTTGTTCTGTTTTATGGACTGCTGGGAGGCAGTTATGAAGACCCACAACAAGAGCCGTGCACGAAGTACATCAAGTTTACTTATGCACTCACGGTTACAGGCTACAGAATCAGGAATGCCTAATTATAAAATCTTCTAGCTAGTTAGGAAGCATTATGTGGGGGTTAATATGTAGTTAACAATGAAGAAAATTTTAGAAGTTATTATATTTTTACACTCTTAATAGTTTAAAAAATACTGGCCAGACGCAGTGGCTCACACCTGTAATCCCAGGATTTTGGGAGGCCGAGGTGGGCGGATCACTTGAGGTCAGGAGTTTGAGACCAGCCTAGACAACATGGTGAAATCCCGTCTCTACTAAAAATACAAAAATTAGCCAGGTGTGGTAGCGCATGCCTGTAGTTCCAGCTACTTGGGAGGCTGAGGCACGCAAATCGCTTGAAACCTGGAGGTGGAGGTTGCGGTGAGCCAAGATCTTGCCACTGCACTCCAGCCTGGGTAACAGAGCGAGACTCCATCTCAGAAACAAAACAAAACAAAACATGTTCTGTATGATACTACAGTTGTGGATACGAGTCATTATACATTTGTCAAAACCTACAGAATGTACACCAAGAGTGAACTCTAATGTAAACTATAGACTTGAGGTGACAGTGGCGTGTCAGTGTTGGTTCACCAGTCATAGTAAACACATCACTGTGGTTTGGGAAGTTGACAGTGGGGGAGGTTGTGTGTGTGTGGTGGCAGGGATATATGGGAACTCTCTGTATTTCTGCTCAACTTTGATGTGAACCTAAAACTGCTGTGAAAAATAAAGTTTATTAATTTAAATAAATGCAGCACATGCCTTAAATTTAAATGTATCTACATATTTCTGGCAACATTAACTAACTTATTTGATAATCAGTTTTCACTGTATGGGTTATGGGGTTTTTTACTAGGCATTTTATCCCACAAAGAGATTGCTCTTCATGAATAAGCTACTTACTTACTTCTCAGAGAAATATTTCTAGTGGTTATTCAGTCATTCTACTATAAGGAATTTGTGTATCAATCTATGTAAGGTAAACTTTGGACTTTCCAATAGTCTATTTATTATCTCTGAAAAATAAAGAAGATCCCTGAGGAGAATTTCTAACCGTGTTGCTTTCTTTAGTCCTTCATAAGCAAACCAAAGTTCTCCATCCTCATTTAAATGTTCCAGATCTTCCACAGAGAGCCTGCAAAATAAGGAAGATAAGAAAATCTATCATCTCTGTCACGTTTTACATGTTTACATGTCTTAAAATGTTTGATAATGCAAAAATGATTACCTGCTTCTTACATCTTCAATGTCATAGCTTTCGAGAAGTTGTTTGGTGATCTCTGACATCTTTTCTGAAAGGGAAAGGCAGAGTTGTATATATTACATTTGTGGATGATTTATCTTTTCCCATTCCCTTTCCAGGGCCCAGTTTTCTAGCTTCACAGTCTCCAGCTAAATAACTCACCAGCTATCCAATCAACCAACTAACCAATCTTCCAGGTATTCAACCAACTAGCTATTCAACCTATCAACTAAGCAATCTACCATATGTCCAACCAAATTCATACCAAAGGACACGTTTCCTTAGCAGCGACACAGCTATGATAAATTCAGTCTGCACCCATGGACTAAGAGACTCATATTTTTATTACCTCTCATTTCCCGTTTTTGTGACTGCACATGTTTCTCCACATCTATCTTCTGTGCCTGAAGTAGTTCTATCTCTTTTTCGAACTCAGAGATTGTCTGAATCACAGCAATGACGGAATCAGGTAAAGAAAAAACAACGATTATGCTTTATATAAGACAAAGGGAACACAATTACAGCGTTGCGTGTCTATGCAAGACATCCTCACTGCAGTTTCTTTCTTAGCTAAAATCTTGTTAAACCATCACTGCCTACACAGCTTGGCCTTGAAGCATGCTTAACTACTCAAAATGCCAGATCTAATGGGTTGTATCAGTAGAATTAACTTCCCTGGGCCAGGCATGGTGGCTCACACCTGTAATCCCAGCACTTTGGGAGGCTGAGGCAGGTGGATCACCTGAGTTCAGGAGTTTGAGACCAGCCTGACCAACATGGTAAAATCCCATCTCTACTAAAAATACAAAAATTAGCCAGGCATGGTGGCAGACGCCTGTAATCCTAGCTACTTGGGAGGCTGAGGCAGGAGAATCGCTTGAACCCGGGAGGCAGAGGTTTTAGTGAGCTGAGACTGCACCATTGCACTCCAGCCTGGGGAACAAGAGCAAAACTCCACCTCGAAAAAAAAAAAAATTAACTTCCCTGTTACATAAAGAAAAAAAAATACCTACTATAAGCTTGGGGTGGGGTGGGACAGGGGGAAGACTGAGAAAGGTAAAATCACGGGCTAAAATTCTCTTTTAATGGATAATAAAATATTGAGTGCAAGGACATGGGCAAAGTTGCCACCTTCATAACTGTGGGTTTTGGCTTCAGCTCAGCTTAGATGTGGAGCAGTGGCAGAGACTGGTGAGTCCAGGAGGTCTGGGAGTTAGCTGGCTGTTGGGAAGGAGGTGGCCTGGGCAGCTCTGGTTGTGGGGAAGAGGCAGTATTCTGCCTTTATTCTCCCTTGTGAGCTCAGCTTGAATAAGAATCACAGGTCTGTGCTTTTGCTTTGTATCTGAGGGAGATATAAGGACTTTCAGGGACAGCAGAGGTGAATAAACTCTCCTTGATATTTTTTCAGTTACCCTGAGTATTTAAGGGCTCCAGCCCCTGTTTCTACAGAGAGTAAGCAGGAGAATCAAACTGATATGTGCTGAGCACTTTACCTAGAAGACCTAATCCTCCTAACAGGCCTATGAGGTAAGTAGAGTGATCTTTTCTCAATTAGCAAACAGCAGCTACATTTAACTGAAGGCTGACTGGCACGTTCAGGGTCACATGCCAGGTTTATGGGGGACTCAGGACTATCCAAATCCTGAAGGCCATGCTTTTCTTTGTAATGTTTCAGTAAATGTTCCAAGTCAGATTTGCATTTACTTAGGCTTTTAAGACTGACTATAACACATATAACTTGATGATCATGAGTTATTTTCTTTGAAAACCAGAGTAGGCTGGGCACGGTGGCTCACGCCTGTAATCTCAGCACTTTGGGAGGCTAGTGCGGGTGGATCACCTGAGGTCAGGACTTCAGGACCAGCCTGGCCAACATGGTGAAACCCTGTCTCTACTAAAAATACAAAAAAAAATTAGCCAGGTGTGGTGGCAGATGCCTGTAATCCCAGCTACCTGGGAGGCTGAGGCATGAGAATCGCTTGAACCTGGGAGGCAGGTTGCAGTGAGCCAAGATGGTGCCATTGCACTCCAGCCTGGGTGACAAGAGCAAAACTCTGTCTCAAAAAAAACCCAAAAAACAAAACACAAAAACCCAGAGTAATTTTTTTTTTTTTTTTTTTGTTGAGACGGAGTCTCACTCTGTCACCCAGGCTGGAGTTCAGTGGTGCAATCTCGGCTCACTGCAACCTCCACCTCCCAGGTTCAAGCGACCCTCCTGCCTCAGCCTCCCGAGTAGCTGGGACTACAGGTGTGTGCTACCTCGCCCGGCTAATTTTTTTTTTTTTTTCTAGTAGAGATGGGGTTTCACCGTGTTAACTAGGATGGTCTTGATCTCCTGACCTCGTGATCCGCCCACCTCAGTCTCCCAAAGTGCTGGGATTACAGGCCTGAGCCACCGTGCCCAGCCCCAAGTAATCTTAATGGATCACATTGGAGAGTGAACCAGTCTTAGCTACCAAAGAGGAAGTGAGTGACACCTACTGGTACCTCTCTGCAAGCGCAGTCTCACAAGTTCCTACATTTAAGATACAGACCTCAGACCTCAGCCAGATGACAGGACTCCCACAGACTGACTGACATCAGGCTCATGTGGCTGCTAAGAGTGAAGCAGTCACAGGAATGAAAGTGACCCTTCCTGATCATGTGGTCTGACCTCCTACTTTTAAACAATAGGGGACGGGGCCCAGAAAAGACAGACACTTCAGTTGTGGAATTCAGTGGCCACCCGGATGCAATTCCAAAAGCTCTTCTAAACCACGCATGGCTAGTTCATGACAATTACAGAGACTATTTCCATAATCCTACAAATACTCTACTAATATGTATTTCACATATTTAGTAGAAGCTTAAAAGCTTTCCAACTTAATGATGAAATGTCTTACATTTAAGAACGTAGGTACACTCAGGTTTAACTTTTCTGGTAGGGAAACAATTCACTTAAGCCTTGATTGTCCAAGCATGGATCATTACTTCATCCATTCATTCATTTTTCTCTAGAGCATTTTATTAAATTGCCCAGGAATATTTATATATTTTTAATGATAGATACAGGTAACAATTTTTTTTTTTTTTGAGACGGAGTCTCGGTCTGTCACCCAGGCTGGAGTGCAGTGGCGCGATCTCGGCTCACTGCAACCTCCGCCTCCCAGGTTCAAGCAATTCTCCTGCCTCAGCCTCCTGAGTAGCTGGGATTACAGGCACCTGCCACCACGCCCAGCCAATTTTTGTATTTTTAGTAGAGACAGGGTTTCACCATGTTGGTCAGGCTGGTCTAGAACCCCTGACCTCATGATCCACCTGCCTTGGCCTCCCAAAGTGCTGGGATTACAGGCCTGAGCCACCGTGCCCGGCAGGTAACAATATTTTTATATATCATTATGCAGTTTTAAAAATTCTATGTGATTTTTCCTTCTCAGCTTTATAAAAATTTACTTAAAAATTTCTACCATTGAAAATTTATAGCTTTATTGATGTTATAATTTATGAATATATTGTGGAATAATTCAAGCTGATTAACATGTTATCACCTCAAATACTTGTCATTTTTTGTGGTGAGAACATTTAAGATTTACTCATAGCAATTTTGAATGTACAATATGCTCTTATTAACTACATTCACCACACTGTGCATTGGATAATTGTTTTAGTAAATTTTCTAATAACAGTTTAAATGAAAGATTTTGATAATAAGGTAACTTAACTTTAATGCAGGTGTTTATAGATTTATAGTGATGGATTATATAATAAGGATTCACCTCAATTTACAGTCTAATTTGGGAGTATTCTCTACATCGACATATTTAAATAACTTTACATAAATGTAATTTCAAAAAAGTTAGAAAGTTGACTTTTAAAATATGGAATACAATGATTGCTAAATCAAAGGCAGCCTGGAGGTGCACAGTTGGAAGGACTGAAGGAATCAGGCTCCAGTTGCCTGTGGCCTTTACACAGATGCTTTTAGCTGTCTAATCTGTGGGAACTTGGAATTGCAATCAAATGACGTAACCAGAGGGCGGGGCTGAACGTGAGAGCCGCTCTACCTTGACCTGCTTGCTCAGGCGGGCCACTTCCGCCTTCAAGCCATCAGAAGTGACGTGCTCCCCCTCCACCAGGTGTTGGAGTTGCATCTTCTCATCCTTGAGAGCTTTAATTTCTTCTTTCAAAGACTGAATCTGCTTCTCATAGTCTTGTGTTTTCAGTTCAAAACTTTTTTCAAGAAGCCTACGCAGCAAAAGAAGAAAATAATTTAGAGCTGAGCATGGTGGCTGAAACCTGTAATCCCAGCACTTTGGGAGGCCAAGGCAGGCGGATCCCTTGAGCCCAGGAGTTCAAGACTAGCCTGGGCAACAAGAGAGACCCCGTCCCCACTAAAAATACAAAAATTAGTCAGGTGTGGTGGAGCACGCCTGTAGTCCCAGCTACCCAGGAGGCTGAGGTGGATGAATCGCTTGAGCCCAGGAGGTCCAGGCTGCAGTGAGCTGAGATCGTGCCACTGCACTTCAATCTGGGTGACAGAGTGAGACCCTCCCCACAACACCCCCTAAAAAAGAAGAAAATAATTTAGAATTGTCTCTACAGTCTTTACTTTGAATTAGAATACATCATTTTGAAAACAACAAGAGGAGACAAGTTAATTAGAACCTACTGTGACAGTTCCAGCAGGTAATGGCCTTATTTTTAGCAAACTGTTTCCTCTTCCCTTAGGTTAAAGACAACTTCTTACACCTCCTGATTTGAAAGGTGTGGCTTTACAGTGATCACGCACAGGGCACACTGGCTAGGGAGGCTGAACTTAAAAGACACACTGGGTTTTGGGGCACTGTATTCCCAACCCCCCGGGTTCCATGCAGTCCCCTGGAAGGGCCAGTTTCCTTCAGCGAATACCTTGGCGTGCTCTGCTAAGTCCTGGCTCCTTCCTCGTTCCAAGGATCCTGCTGGAGGTTTGTTTGATCCTAAACAATAGAGCTATCTGCTATGTCCAGGGGTCTAGCCCTTCAAAAATTCTAGAATAAATGGCAGCAAATCCACGTGCCCAAAAGTGCATGTAAATCCAACTGCTCTAGAAGGTTGCTCAATTAAAAATTTGATGATTAACTAAGAAAATAATTGAAAAGAGATACATAACCTAGACAAGCCCAACACAGCCCACAGGGGCCCTTGAAGCAGTGCCAGGAGCTCTATGAGTTTACTAAATGATTCTACCTGCTGAGCTGTCATTTCAGTTCCTTTTAAAACTTGCTTTTATAGCACAAAGGGAAAAACTCTGAGAAAGAGAGCCACATTCCTAATAAATTTGTTTGATTTCTTTTTTATAGATTTTTTTTTTTTTGAGATGGAGTTTTGCTCTTTTACCCAGGCTGGAGTGAACTTCAGTGGCATGATCTCAGCTCACTGCAACCTCCGCCCCCCGGGTTCAAGTGATTCTCCTGCCTCAGCCTCCCGAGTAGCTGGGATTATAAGGTGCCCAACACCACACCCAGCTAATGTTTGTATTTTTAGTAGAGATGGGGTTTTGCCATGTTGGCCAGACTGGTCTCAAACTCCTGACCTCAGGTGATCTGCCCGCCTTGGCCTCCCAAAGTGCTGGGATTACAGGTGTGAGCACTGCACATAACCTCTTTTTTCTACAGATATTAACGAACTTTGTTTCCAGGTTTTTTAAAAAAAAACTGCAGTGCTCCCAAGAGACCAGTAAAATGCCTTTGAAAAAGGAAAAGGCAGCCAGAAGTCTTCCTTTTTTTTTTTTTTTTTTGGAGACAGGGTCTCACTCTGTCGCCCAGGCAGGAGTGCGGTGGTGCAATCTCAGCTCATTGAAACCTCCGCCTCCCGGTTTCAAGTGATTCTCCTGCCTCAGCCTCCCAAGTAGCTGGGATTACAGGCATCTGCCACCACGCCCAGCCAATTTTTGTATTTTTAGTAGATACGGGGTTTCACCATGTTGGCCAGCCTGGTCTCAAACTCCTGACCTCAGGTGATCTGCCCACCTTGGCCTCCCAAAGTGCTGGGATTACAGGTGTGAGCCAGTACGCCTGGCCCAGAAGTCTTATGTAAAAAGAATCTTAGACCCACAGCCTGAGCTGGTCAGGAGGGTGCCCACAGACTGCAGGCCTCTTGGAGCCTCCTGAGAATTTTGACAGGGGCCAGGAATTCCCCCCTTGGCTGACCAGGGACTAAACCAAGCTACAGATGAGTGCTAATGAGGAGGCAGAACACGGGCCTAGAGAGGGTGAAGAGTTTTAATCCCTTCACTGGCCTGCCTCGCCCTGACCCAGTTAGGATTGCAAACAGCCCAAAATGACCTGGCCTCAGCCTGGCTCTCCAAGACCCCTGCTTGAAATGATCACTCCCAAGTGGTCCCTGCACGTGGACAGATGCCGAGAGCCGAGCTCTTCTCCTCACATTAAAAACTCATCGACAATTATATTTTTCTAGGTAAATGAGTTAATTAGACATATTTAAAAACTGATGGAGGATCATGAAACACTTCATATATTTGTTAACTCCTGGAGCGATTCTGTGATATTCCCTCCTCTCTTTAGAATCCTGCTTCCTCACCCAGACGCAGGCTGTCCTGCTCACTGCATGGGGAAGTTTTGTATCCTACCACCACAGGCAGCCCTGAGCTTCCTAGCCCCCAAAAGAGATGTGCCAAGCATGTTCTATCTCTTTCCGGGACCCTGCCATGTACCCCAACTTTGAGATCTAAAAACCTTTGACTCCTTAAGAGAAGGGAAGCCCAGATTGGAGTCCTTGGAGGTTAGCAAAGGGTTTGCTATTGAGATAGGAAAGGTGGGCTGGTACAGTACAAGGTCAGGCACCTGCCTTAATTTCTGTGAGGTCCATTACTTACCTTATCTTTTGGGATAAAAGACAAACTAACAAGGACAATAGGTGGGGAAGGAAAGGAGGGAGGTTTATTTCCTAGGCAAGAATCTTAATTCTTGGATTTGGTAGAAGTTGAAGGTGGTGGTAGTCTCTGAATTTTGCACTGTCTTAGCAATAAAGTAAAAAAAAAAGAAAAGAAAGAAAGAGAAAAGAAAGAAAAGGAGAGGAAGGAAAGGAAGGAAAGGAAGGGAAGGAAGGGAGGAAGGGAGGAAGGGAGGAAGGAAGGAAGGAAAAGAAAGAAAATGAAAGAAAGAAGAAAGAAAGAAGGAAGGAGAGAAGGAAGGAAGGAGAGAAGGAAGGAAGGAGAGAAGGAAGGAAGGAGAGAAGGAAGGAAGGAGAGAAGGAAGGAAGGAGAGAAAGAAAGAAGAGAAAGAAAGAAAGGAAAAGAAAAGAAAAGAAAAGAATTCCTGGTGGTCCACTGTACCCACCCAGCAGAAGCTTTATGGACTAGTCTAGAATGTGTTCAGTATCTGACAGTACACATTGTGGAACTTAGCTCTCATAAATCTCTAATCTCACTTCCTAAAAACAGTCACACCCCACTTTCTTGTATCTGTGTCTGCTATATGCAAACTGAGATGGAAAATATAAAACAGCACAGACAGAAGAAAGAAAGTAGCTTTAAGGCAAACTAGATTCCATACATTCTTTGCCGTTCTTCCTTTTGTACATCATCAAAGAGCTGCTTGGTGAGGTTGTCCATTTTTTCTGTAAAAAGAGAATGCTTTTTGAGATATGTCTGCCAAATCAATGCCTTGATTGTTTCATGTTATGTTTAAGAAAGTGAGAATGTCAGGACAATCATGTGATGTTTATTATTAACAGGACTTACAATGAGAGTATAGCTCATTTTTTATAAACAAGAAATAAAGATGAGGGGGTTTCAAAATAATAATTCTCACAAATTTGTCAGATTGGAATTATCAATAAATAGTTTCATTTATAGTACTTTTGTTGGTCTGTTATTTATTAAAGTAGATATTGGCTTTGAGACAATGAATATTATTAAAAATAAATAGAGGCCGGGCGCGGTGGCTCACGCCTGTAATCCCAGCACTTTGGGAGGCCGAGGCGGGCGGATCACGAGGTCAGGAGATCAAGACCATCCCGGCTAAAACGGTGAAACCCCGTCTCTACTAAAAATACAAAAAATTAGCCGGGCGTAGTGGCGGGCGCCTGTAGTCCCAGCTACTTGGGAGGCTGAGGCAGGAGAATGGCGTGAACCCGGGAGGTGGAGCTTGCAGTGAGCCGAGATCCCGCCACTGCACTCCAGCCTGGGCGACAGAGCGAGACTCCGTCTCAAAAAAAAAAAAAAAAAAATTAAAAAAAAAAAAAAATAAATAAATAAATAGAAACCCTTTGGGAAGAAAATGATCCATTTGTGACAAGGTTTCTCGGTCTTGGCACTATTGCTACTTTGGGCTGGATAATTCTTTGCTGTGGAGAGGGGCTGTCCCACGCATTGCAGGATTCTGAGCAGCAACCCTGGCTTCTACCCTCTAGAAGCCAGTAGCACCTCTGCTCCAGTTGTGACAACCCAAATTGTTTCCAGACATTGGCAAATGTCTGGGGGGTGAGGTGGCAGCAAAGCTGAGAACCACTCATCTGTGATAACCAAGAAAATAATCAAGTGTCTGTCTCTATCTGGGAAAGAGGAAGTACAAAAAAGGCAGCTGTTAACACTGAAATACAAGAGTCGCAAACACAAAGTCTGCAGGCCGAAGGGCAGGACGTTCCATGGCTATGACAACCCCACATTCCCAACACACCCATATGCCACAGGGGCCATCAAAATGGGAGAATGGCAGTGCAGCCCCTCAAATGGTGATGTCCCTATTTGCACTAAGCTGATATCTCATCCTTGAGCTCTACCTCACCTCTGAGCCCCACCCCAGAAGGAGTCCTCGGGGTGCACCGTCGATAGCAATTCTCCAAATTACTTTTTTTTTTTAGCCAACAGTTTAATAGTTTGTCTAACATAGTGCCAAATGTTTCTGAATCAAAATGACTGCTTCAGAACGTTGTAAGGCAGCCAGGAAATACTGGGGGAAATGCTCAAGCTTTAATTTAGAAGCCAACACGTTTTATATAACCTCAATTTTCAATTAACCAAAAGCATTGGCTTTAATTCTGGTGCTTACCATCTTAGGCCATTTGCAGATGCGCTAAAGAAGCTGCTCGAATGTGATTTACTTCTCAAGAGGAATGGGATTATGTCCATGTTAAGTTAGAATCTCAAAAAGGAGAAACAGCATTTGATAGCATCCCTGGGTCTTAGGTCACAAGCATAGGTAAAGGTTGGTGCTATTCACAAAACACTGTTTGCCATGTCGGGGGAGGCGCACAGGATAATCAGTTTATAAATATTACATTGAAAGTTTTCATGGACTTTTTGGAAGAGGATGTAAAATTATTCACCCAAACATGACATGGTCTCAGAAACATAATTTTCAGGTTATATTCCTGAGAATTTAAATGCCCTTGTGGGAAATTCTATTTGAAGTTAGGGGGGAAAAAAGCCAAAACAACCACCCAAGAGGAGTGTGCTGTAATAAAAAGGGTGGAGATGAGGAAACCCTTTCCTAACTCAGGTTCAAGGTTTACTCCCGGACCTCTGACATGCTCCTGTTCATCTCTGACATTCACATGGCTTCTGTGCCCACACCATCAGCCCTACAGAGACAGGGTGGAGGGCACGCAGCACCTAGAACAGGAGGGCATGGCCTGCTCCTCGTCAGCACCTGCACAGCCTTTCCTGCCCCAGTGCCCTGGTGTCAGGCTGTTTACTCCCTCTTCACCAACATTCGCTCCTCCCACTCTCCGCCCTGAACTCCCAGGGCTCTGCACTCCTCTGGGCCCCATCATATCCACCATTTGCTGGGCTAGAGGTGCGTGTAGAATCCCCAGGCCTGAACCCTCGTGTTCCTGCTGCCCCCACGTTGGAGCTCAAGGAAGAGATCCCTAGGCAAGATCACTGAGAGTGGTGATTTAAACTATCTGGTCAGGGATCACCAGGCTCTGTTGCCTGTTGCCTTTTCTGGGGTACAACAAGTATTGTCAAGTTGAACTTGAGCTGAAAAGCTCAAATGTGTAGAGCTAGGCTAAGCGTAGCTGTTCCACAGCCCTAAAGGAAGTGATACCTACTGGTTCCAGGGTCTGCCCTTCTTCATTCAGGGCAGGACAGTAGCAGAGGACATGGGTGTCACTTAGGCTAAGTAACTCCGACAGATCAGAATTTTTTCTGCAAATCTTTGGTGAGCACCAAACATGACTGCAGCATTACTCTGACTGTACATCAGGATTACCGTAAAGGTTTTCTAAAATTACGGATGTCTGAACCACCTCTGACACCACCACACACGAATGCGCACACACAGACACACACACACCCATTTCCTGATGCAAAAGCTCCGGGCTCATGGTCCGACCATCTGTACTTTGCAAAGGGCCCAGGAGGTTCTGAGGCACAGAGAGGAAATGCTGTGCTGTCTGACAAAAGACAGAAATAAAACAGACGAATCTGTAGGGCAAAGTTACCACGACTTAAATATGGCTATTCCTTGTGAGCAAAAATTGCCTCACTAAACTAAGTGTACACCAGAGACCCCTGGTTCTAAAACTGGTCAACCCCAGTATTGTTTACTGAGTGACTAAATCAGTGAATGTCTGGATTTGTGCCCCCCAAGCTTTACCTTTTAACTCTTCAGTCTTCTCTTGAAGCTTCAGCTGTATTTGTTCTTTCTGTGTTTCCAGTTCTGAATTATGCTTCTGAAGCTTTGCCAATTTCTAGCAGAGGGAAGGGGGAAAAACAAACTTTTTTGAAAACCTCACTTCAAGTTGTCACCATTGCCTTTCTTCACAAAAAGATGTATATTCTTAAATTAGTTTATTTTTTCTCAGCTCCTGTCTATAGATAACAGCGAGCACCAGCCACTGTAAGACGCTGCCATTTGTTTCACATGCAAGAGCTCAACGTGACTTCAAAGGTGACACTATTCCCGACCTGGCCAGCAATGACTGAAACAAGGAGAAAGGACACATTCAAGGGCTCCTCAATGTCAAGGACATACTTCTTCCTTTTGTCGAGCTTCTCAATAGCCAGGGGACTTTATATGTCGAATATGCTATGATTACACAGTTGATGGCGTAAAGGGGATTCACACTTTGCAACTGTTATGACTCAGGAAGGATGTGTGAGCACAGCAGGATTCCTATCATTTCAACTTCTCCTGGTAAAGTGTCTGCTGGGCTGGCAGCAGGCCCCGTGGTGCTGACTGATGGTGACTGGCAGCTGGCGATGCCCACGGCAGCAGTGTTGGTGCACCCAGCACCGGGTCATGGGGAGGGCAAAGGGATGTCTTCTGGGCCTCCAAGCCACCAACCCTGGGTGCTAGGACTTTGAAAATGCAGCAGAGGCTGGGCACGGTGGCTCACACCTGTAATCCCTGCATTTTGGGAGGCCAAGCGGGGGTGGATCACTGGAGGTCAGGAGTTCGAGACCAGCTTGGCCAACATGGTGAAACCCCACCTCTACCAAAAATACAAAAAATTAGCCGGGCGTCATGGCGCATGCCTGTAATCCCAGCTACTCGGGAGGCTGAGGAAGGAGAATTGCTTGAACCCGGGAGGTGGAGGTTGCAGTGAGCCGAGATTGCGCCACCGCACTCCAGCCCGGATGACAGAGCAAGACTCCGTCTAAAAAAACAAAAAAAAAACAAAATGCAGCAGAGTGGATGATAATAAAGATCACCTTCTTAGAACACACTAGCTCACACTTTTGCAGGGACTCACCATAGGCATTTGGCTACATTATTTCATCTGACCATTTTATTCTCACAACAATTCTGTCAATCTCTTTTTGTTATTCTCATTTTATATAGGAGGAAACTAAAATTCATTATGGTAGGCATTTGGCTAACGTATTTCATCTGATGATTTTATTCTCACAACAATTCTGTCAGTCCTTTTTTGTTATTCTCATTTTTTTATATGAGGAAACTAAAATTCAGAGAGGGTAAGGGACTTTAGCCAAGGCTGCCCAGCCAGACAAAGGCAAGATTTGAATCTAGGGCATCTGGTTTTTATGCTGACTGCTCTTTTCACTACACCAGAGATGAAAACCCTACCCTAGCTTTGCATCGCTGTTCAGGGGAAGACATTTCCAGGGCATAGACCTTAAGGACAAGTGATAGGAGACCAAGGTCATCCTGGAAGAAAGGGAGGCAGCCAGCCAGGGCTCTTTGGGCCTGTCATCATTTTGCAAAACTTGAAAGAAAGAGAAAACCTATGTTGCATTTCTCTCATTATTAACCTCCTCCCTTCCCCTAGACTCTAATCCTCTGATCTCGCCTTTCCTAAAAGGTAGGCTCCCTTTGGTAATGGAAGTTGATAGCAAAATCTGATTTGCTCTGCAGAAATCCACTTCATAGGAAAAGCTGGCAGCGCTCATCTTTTTCACAGAGAGTCCGCATATTTCCATCCCGTCTCACACGCCCGCAGCTGACCTCTTCCACAGCATCCCTGTATCTCTTCCCCTTCTCCTCGTAATTTCGCCTGTGAGTGGCTGCTTTTTCTAGTTCTGCTTCCAGCTTCTGAATCTTTTCCACATCCCCAGCTCGAAGAGCAGCCAGGCTAGTCAGCTTCTCCACCAGCCCATGGTTTTCTTTGTTCTAGAGAAAAGAAAATTCAGATGTTTAGAGGTTAATCCAAACAAAGATGCTGTTCCATTTAATTCTCATAGCCTTTGACACAGCATCCAAATTTGAGAGGTTGCTTTATGCTGATCACACTTATCACTGCACTGACATTTGTTAGCATCTTCTTTGTGGTGAAACAGTATGGCAGATCTTGCTGGGTACACATCTTCCCAAACTGGTGGCTATTTTAATGTGGGAAGTTTCCAATTCTGGCAAACCAGGACAACCCTAGTGTTATGAACTGTGCCCCCCGCCAAAATTCATTTGTTGAAGTCCTAACCCCTGAATTTAGGAATATCGCTGTTTTGAAGACAGGGTCTTTAGAGAGGGAATTAAGGTAAAACCAGCCCTCAGGGTGAGCCCTAGTCCAATAAGATTGGCGTCCTTAGAAGAAAAGGGGATTAAGACACAGACACAGGCATGGAGGGAAGATCATGTGAAGACAGAGGGAGGTGGCAGCCATCTACAAGCTAAGGAGAGAGGCCTCAGAAGAAACCAACCCTGCCAAAACCTTGATATGGGACCTCCAGCCTCCAAAACTGTAAGACACTAAATTTCTGTTGTTTAAGCCACCCAGTCAGTGATACTTTGCTATGACAGTCCTAGCAAACTAACACACCTAGGACAGAGCTCAGGCAGCGTTGGGACTCCCACCAGGCATTGCTCCTGGCCGGCTGCGGCTATTTTTAAGTGCTATTCTGCACAAGCTGTGTAGCATGCAGGCTTGTTACACAACAGCACAATGAGGGAAACCCCACCAGACACCAAGTCTATTTCTTCACCCACTCACCCTTTCATTCAGGACCCCTATGATATAGCTTAAGGCTAAGTTTAAAGCTCACCTTAGGAGAGCCTCAGAATTAGTGGAGACAGGCCTGGGAGTGAGTTTTACGGATCTAGACACTGTGTGTTCCATAGCCCTCCCCACCAACTGAGAGCATATGGATGTTTCTTTTCTTTTCTTTTCTTTTTTGCCTGTTTTTTGAGATGGAGTCTCGTTCTCTGTTGCCCAGGCTGGAGTGCAGTGGCGCGATCTCGGCTCACTGCAAGCTCCGCCTCCCAGGTTCATGCCATTCTCCTGCCTCAGCCTCCTGAGTAGCTGGGACTACAGGCGCCCGCCACCACGCCCGGCTAATTTTTTGTATTTTTAGTAGAGACGGGGTTTCACCATGTTAGCCAGGATGGTCTCGATCTCCTGACCTCGTGATCCACCCGCCTCAGCCTCCCAAAGTGCTGGGATTACAGGCGTGAGCCACCGCACCCAGCTGGATGTTTCTTTTCTTTTGTTTTTTTCTGAGATGGAGTTTTGCTCTTGTTGCCCAGGCTGGAGTGCAGTGGCGCCATCTTGGCCTACTGCAACCTCTGCCTCCCAGGTTCAAGCAATTCTCTTGCCTCAGCCTCCAGAGTAGCTGGGATTACAGGCATGCATCACCACGCCCGGCTAATTTTGTATTTTTAGTAGAGACGGGATTTCGCAATGTTGGTCACGCTGGTCTCGAAGTCCCAACCTCAGGTGATCCGCCCCCCATGGCCTCCCAAAGTGCTGGGATTACAGGTGTCAGCCACCACGCCCGGCCTTGGATGTTTCTTTTCATACCAGTGGGAATGGTATGGGGAATCTTCCCAAACTAGGCAGGGCTGCAGCTAGACCCTAAGGCACCTGTGGGAAAATTAGAAATGGCAGCTCCTCTGAGCTGATGTCATCCCAAGGCAGCACGCTTGGCATGCGGACAGCATCTTTGAGCAAATTAGGAGGTACCTTTGCCTCAAGGCAACACAACTTCACACAGGAACACCTGCCTTGGCAAGCGGAGCCAGGCTGGATCTCAGCCCCACCTGCCCTCTGAGGTAGGCACACTTGTGCAGTATACAACTATACAACCTACACCACCATAGCAACCCTTTACAGTGTACTTCTGTTTCCTAGCTCAGGTGGTCCACGTAAACTGAACCTCCTAACATGGCATAAATTTTAATAGCACAGCTAAGGAACTGCTCCAGAACAAACTACAGCCATGTAAGAAAAAGTAAATGTAAAAGATGCACTATGAGCACCTACCTGATCTTCCAACTTTTTCTGCAAACGCTGGACCCTGTAAGTAAGCTGAATATTAAGCACGAATCGTCGGATACTCTGGAATCTGCGTCTGGCCAGCCACGCCCGTGCGTATTTCTGTAGGATCACAGCCTTATGTTCCTCCAGCATCTTTAAAACAAGATTTTGTGAAACATAAACTGGATCCCAAGTGCTTCTCTAACCAACTCCTTCAACACTGGAAGATGCAACTACCACGGTGTAGAAAATGAGTTTCTTCTTGTCAACCTGCACAGCCGTATTACAGCTAGACTTTTCAAACAATAACCAAATCCTACCTGTAGCAGGTGTATATGAACAGACACTCTCATTCTAGAACCCCCTGTCTCCAGGAAGGTCTTTATGCAGAAAAACAGTCTTACTATTGTTGGTAAAAAATGGCATGAGAAACCCATGTCCCAAGAAATTGGTCTCTGCCATAACTTTCTTTTTTTCTTTTCTTTTTCTTTTTCTTTTTTTGGAGAGACTAGTTATTTCAAAAAGATACTTGTCATATTCAACATCAAAACAGTTGCACTAGGGCCAGGCCTATGGCTCACACCGTAATCCCAGTGCTTTGGGAGGCCCAGGAGGGAAGATCGCTTGAGGCCAGGAGTTCAAGACCAGCCTAGGCAACATAGCAATACCTCATCTCTACAAAAAAATTTTAAAAATTAGCCAGGTGTGGTGGCACGTACCTGTAGTCCTAGCTACTCAGGAGGCTGAGGCATGAGGATCCCTTTAGTCTAGGAGCTCAAGACCAGCCTTGGCAATATAGAGACTCATTCTCTACAAAAAAAGAAAAAGAAGAAAAAAGAAAAAAAAAAAAGAAAAATTAGCTGGGCATGGTGGCTCACGCCTGTGGTCCCAGCTACTCAGGAGGCCGAGATGGGAGGATTGCTTGAACCTGGGAGGCTGAGGCTGCAGTGAGCCATGGTTGTGCCACTGCACTCCAGCCTGGGCAACTGAGTGAGACCTTGTCTCAAAAATAAATAAATAAATAAAATGTTTTAAAAGGTGATTCCAGGAGTTAGCCAGAATGAAACCCCCCAAAATATACTGTTCAGGTTTTCAGCTTTAAAGTATCTTTGGACAACTTTACTTTTTCATCAGAAGTGACCGAATTAAGATTGTGAAATCTCTGAGACCAAACTTTTGTCCTATCTCAACCCCTTTCCCATCCACTCACAGGATGGATCAGGCACCCCTTATGTTGAAGTGAACACTTATTGCTCTCCTCCCTCCTTGAAAGAAAGAAAATTATTTTTTTGCCGTATGAAACTCATCTCATCACCCTTTTCTGAGTCTAAAGCTGCTGCCTCTAAAAGAGCCATCTCATTGTGCTTTGTATTAGTCAGTGCTGGAGAAATCTTGAATAGCTTATGTAGAAAACTTGTTCAATTTTATATTACTTTGAATTCGTTTCTTTGGAGTTGGACACCCTGGACATCCCATCTGGCTGTGAGAGCTCTCTACAGTCTGTGGGGTGGCAGTGGGCTAATCTTTTTTTTTTTTTTTTTTTTTTTTTTTGAGACGGAGTCTCACTCTGTCACCCAGGCTGGAGTGCAGTGGTGCAATCTTGGCTCACTGCAAGCTCCGCCTCCCGGGTTCATGCCATTCTCCTGCCTCAGCCTCCCGAGCAGCTGGGACTACAGGTGCCCGTCACCACACCCGGCTAATTTTTTGTATTTTTAGTAGAGACAGGGTTTCACTGTGTTAGCCAGGATGGTCTCGATCTCCTGACCTCATGATCCACTCACCTCGGCCTCCCACAGTGCTGGGATTACAGGTGTGAGCCACCGTGCCCAGCCAGTGTGCTGATCTTTTAAAATTTCTTTCCCCAACCCAGTCTCTGCTTTAGGTGAGGTCTGTTAGGTGTATATCCTGTCTGTTAGGTGCACATTATTGGCTTAAAATGTACTTTCCTTTGGTGTGGTCTCTTTGGGGCCAACTGGGAGAAAGAGAAACCAACAGTGCAACTGGTGTGTGTGTGTGTGTGTGTGTGAGAGAGAGAGACAGGGTCTCCCTCTGTCACCCACGCAGGCTGGAGTGTACTGGCATGATCATAGCTCACTGCAGCCTCGAACTCCTGGGCTCAAGGAACCCTCCCATTTCAGCTCCCTGAGTAGTTGGGACTACAGGCATGAGCCACAGCACCTGGAAGAATCTCCTTTCTGGCTTGGCTGACACTTTGTACAAAGTGAGGTTGCCCATAGTGAAGTCTTTCCCTGGGCCCTGTTTTGTTCTCAGTAAGGAAGGCCCGTACACCCTCCCTTCCTCTAGACAGAGGTTGGCCTCACCTTTCGATACCTCCTCCTTGCCAGGAATCCTCGGCTGTAGGCCTGCATTGTGATGGTGGCCATGCGAATCAACTGATACAGGCTGCGAACAAGATACCCGCGGCAGTGCTTCTGAATGATTATGGCTGCCCAAGCTTCTTTTAAGGCCACTGCAGTAATAGCTTTCCTTGGTTAACAAGGATGAAGAGTGAGTCTGTTACCCACAGAGCATCAACTTCCATAACAGAGCTGCAAGCTTGGCTAGCATGTGTTTATAAGGAAGGTTCAAATATTTTACACCTCTCCACATTAAACTCTGTGGGCAGTTTATTCTAATGCCTACTTGAGGCCAGTCCCCAGTTCCCTGTCCTTGAGGAACCACATGGGAACTTTCACTCTTTTCATTCAGGCCAGTCGATTCACCTCCACTCAGGTACCCACAGAGACGATGATGAGACTGTGCACTGGTGCTGCACTTGCTCAATCACGTACTATTTACATATCCCCCACGGCTGCTTTCATGACACAGCAGCAGGAGAGACTGCAAGCCCCCAATGCCTTAAATAGTTATCATCTCGTCCTTTACAGAAAAAGTTTGCTGCCCCTGTCTAAATGACTAGAGGTGAAGATAATGTCCTTACCTTTAGAGTTTACAACCTCATGTACAGAAAGACTAACAAATGGCCAAGAAAGAGGAAAAATAAAATACCACCTAACTAGATCTGTAAGTGAGAGGGGAAAAAAACAGTTATTCTGCTTGGGGAAAGTGGGTATGTGAGCCAGCCCCCAATGCAGTAGGATGTCTGTACACAGTGAAGGCTGGAAAAGGCTTTCAGGATAAGGGACCAGCATGAGTAAAGGCATGGAGGCTCTACAGTGCCTGAAATACTCAGAAAAGGAGTTTGTTTGGAATCACTAGAATAAGATGGATGAAGAAAATTAGACGTCAATGAGGTTAGAAAAATAGATGTGCACCATTTGTTATTTTAAAAACATATTTGTTGAACACCTTCTATGACAGCCACCATGCTAGGTCTGGGTATGAATGACCAGACAAGTGTGGCCCCTGCCCTCATGGAGCTTCCATTCTTATGAATGCACCCAGGCTATGGAGGGCTTTGAATATCACGTCAGAGACTGAATGCTATTCTGTAGGAAACACGGGCCTTAAAGGCAGGTGCAGGGCAGTGTCTCAATCAGGCTCTGATGTAGGAAGATGGGAAGGAGGTGGGAGGTGGAGCACGGTGCCATCAGAGTGCAAGGCAGGTGATGCCGTGAGCCTAAACTGGGGGCAGGAGTGGGATGAAATGAATGGGATAGGCAGGAGGCCAGCAGGGCAGGATGATCAGGCTCTGGTGAGCCCCAAATGGGAAGGGAGCGTGGCCTTGGCGGGTAAGATAACTGTGATTTCCTTCCCCAAAGACTGCTGTTATCAACTGGGCACAGAAGCACAGGAGGGCAAGCCAGCCCAGCTGTGTGATCCATGCCACACCACGCTGGTCATGCAGAGAAGGCCAGATGCTGCCACAGTTCAGCCTCCAGCTCAGGAAGAAGTCAGGCTTGCAGACGCAGCCTGACCCTAAACGCCGGCCTTCTCAAGCATCCTCACAGCATCCCAAAGAAGGGGCAGAGCAGGCAGAGAGAAACACAAAGTTTATCTAGGGGCACCCTGGTCTTGTGCTTTCCAGCAGGTACACCAAAGCCCTGGAAGTCCCGGAATGACCGTGGTCCTTCAGTGGGCTGGCAGGGTTGTGTGGACTCTCAGGACCCCTCGAGGCAGGTAGGATCAGCGCAGCTGGTGGACCACCCTCCCCTCAGCCCTTGGCTTGGCTGGGGCTGCTGTGGTCTTCCTGCTTAGGGGTTCTGTGATTGGTTTGCTGCCAGGCCTTGCAGGGACCCCCTCTGCCATGGTGCACCCCACCTGTTGCTGGCAGGCTGGTCGCTGGCTATTCTTGACATCTGTCCTTTGGATCTTCACTAGGGCCTTGCTGATCTTATGCATTTTCAGTTCCCATAGGAAAGGGGCCCCGGGCCTCTCCCTGAGCTTCCGGAACCCTGACTCTCCTTAGTAACACTCTCACCAGCGCTTCCTCCCTGCAGGGCCCTGGGTGTCGGCTCACCACACAGACACCAGGCAGAGCCAGCACTACCTGCCCCTGAGAGACGGACCTTTCTTGCCCTAATGCTCACGACCACAAAGGGGACCCATGCACGTCTGCACCCTGGGTCACAGGAGAAAGGTCCCTTGTCCTTGATGAGTCCTCCCCGCCGGAGATGATCAGCACAGAAAGCCCCACAGTTCCACATGTGTTCCTTGATTCCAACATACCTCACAGTTTGCTGACCCCGGAAGTACTGCTGGATTATCAGGGCGGCTCGTCTCTCTCGGAGGAATTTTTTCCTCTGGAGCCAGCCACGCATGTGCTTTTGTACCATAACACAACTCTGCCTCAGTTTATCCAATCGAAGTTTCTCTAAATAAGCCACTTGTCCTGCTCTGAAGAAAATTTTGGTTTTACCAAACTGGTACTGATTAGAATCCTGGAAGAGAAAAATGATATAGTTAGAATTAAAATCTGTCAGATTTTCTATAATACAGTATTTGGAAAAGAGCTTTAGGGATTCAAAGGTGCCAGAAATATTGTGATTTTGACATTTAAGGCAGAAAACTCACATCATGATCTAGAAATGTATACTTTGAGTTGTTTGTTTAAAATTACCCTGGAGGAAGAAATGGGACTTAGGCTGAGGAATCCATTTGTGGGTGAGAAGGGGAGTGAGTGTCATTTGCGGCGATTCTCAGTTGGGCTGCCAGAGAACTTCAGCCACTCTCTCGTGGTCTCCACATTGGAGTAGAAGAAACTGGGGAAGTTTGGTTTTCTGTCTCCATTTTGGGTTCTCTTCACCATCCCCTTTGCTGGACCTTATAACTCCCCATCTCTTTCCCATCACAACTCATCGCTGCAGCAATGATGTCAATCCACACAAGGCACCATGCCTGGAGCCCATGTGGCTTGGTGACAACCCCAGTTGACCATATCCTATAAGCCTGGTCCACAGAGGACTGGGTTAGATCGTGGGAGAGCTAAACAGGATACGAGGACACTGGGGAGGCCGGAGTTCGGATGTGGGTCCCTAACGGGGACTCATGGCCCACTGAGCACTCTGCTATGGTCTCTTCAGCAGACAAATGCTCAGGGCACATTTTCTTTCCTTTCAGGTGTTCATGATTACAGTCCTGAGCATTCAAGACAAAGATGAAACAGCATGTTTGGGAGATGTGCTTCCAGGAAGGAGACCATGATCCCAGGAGGTGGGGAAACTGACCTGGATGAGTCTGTGTAAAACCACCTTGCACACCTCCTTTTTATCGCTGAAGGAAAGCTCTTGCTTGGTCATGAGAATGCCGTAGCGACTGTAGAACTCGATGTATGTCCACCTGGAAAATCAAAGGGGATCAAAGCCAGGAGTGTCAGAGGAAGCACATTGTGTCTGGGGACTCCGCTGCCTTACCTGCCACTGTTGTCATAGGGCGGGGGTGGTGCAATCTGTCCTGAGGATAAAGGCACTGATCTTTGATACCCTGCCTGCCTGGGACACTACCAAGACCACCCTGAGCACTCCTGTCTGCCCCAGCAATTGTGCTCTTTCTCCCACTCAGCGTCTTCCCTAGTACACGGGGGAGGCGGTGGGGCCACCACCAGCAGCCGAGATGCAGTGATGGGGTGAGAAGGTGGTGTTGACCTCCGACCCCTACAAAGCCTATTTCTCAACCTCTTCTGGACTTCCACAGGGCAGTGGGAAAATCTTGGGGGCACTTTACAGAAGCCAAAAGTATGTGACAAAAATCATGGCAGCCATGTCCTTGGTTCTCAGCATAGCTCTGATGTCAGGTACTTTTCCCTCCAAGACAAGGACGGACAACATACCTGGAAGGGTAGCTCTGTGCACTAATGCGAATCGTTTCTAAAACGCCGCAGGCTCGCAGCTGCTGAACAATTCTTTTGGAGTCAAATCTTTAAAAAGACAATGATATTATGTGTTGAGGCATCGTAATTGCTCAACATGCCCATAAACAGGCACAGCAGACCTGGCTAGACTGTGACCCTATGCCAGGTACCCAGCAGATACTTAATAAGTTTCTATTGCATGACCAAGAAAAATAGCACCTCTGCAAAACAGTCCATAAAGATGCAGTGGGATATAGAGAAAGGAGCAGCTGACTCTGATGGAGGTGGCATTGAGAAGGCCATGGGGGAACTGGCCTTTGAGGTGAGCTTCAAACGACAACCAGGTGGAAAGAAATATGCTAGCTCGCCTGGCCCAAGCACCCACTGATGCTTGAATTTCCTCTACAGAACACCCAACAGGTAGCTCTGCAGCTTAGGTCTCACCCATCTGGTGACCCATACACACACTCACCACCTCCATAGACAGCTCATCCCCCTTTAGGCACCTCTTTCAGCTCTAGCAAGCTACAAGGGACTTGTTACACCTTATATTCACAAGCTTTGGGTCTCCTCCATGGGTCCCAGAGAACAAGAATAATGCCTCATGCCATCATGTCTGAGGACAAATGTTCTGACCTTCTATGACCTTCTACAAACACACATACTCATTCTTCTTTTAATCAAGTAAAAGGTTCAAGTTGCAAAAACTTTAGTTGTAGAAGATTCTTTCAAATCTAGCCCTTTTGCTTAGCCCTGGAGATGAGGGGGTTTAACCAGAGGGGCTGAGCTAACATTTTATGTAAAGGGCAGCATTGTTCTGAATCATTAAAAAAAAACCCAGAAACAGGGTAATCTCAAGACAATTGGAAGCAAATTCTCCAACTTTATGGCAGAAACTGCCTTCCCACGTCTTCGCTGTGTGTTGCATAAGAACACTTACTCAAAGGGTAACTTCTCATCATTTGGCTTGATGCATCGAACGTAGTGGGGCGTCGTCGCATTGAGGGTCTCCATGAGCAAGTACAGAGAGCTGCGGAACTAGGAAACAAAGCTAGAGATCAAACATGGCTCTGAAATAATTTACTGCTTACATCACGGTAAAAAGCAGCCCAACCTTGTTAAGTTACTCAATAGGAAGAAAAGTTAACCTCATGCATAAACACCTATTATGAAAGGTTTCAGTCCGTGACTGTGGTTTATCAGCATGTCCTACTGTTGTGGACAGAACACTAATACTCCCAGACAGCAGAGAACTGAATAAACCATGTTATTGTGCAAGAGCGTGGTTTGCTCCAGTGCGTGCTGCCTTGGAGGTGGAAGTATGACGACGATGAACTTTTTGCAGTGGAGTCCATGTTAGATTGGAAGAGCCCCAGCGTCTGTCCATGTCCAGGCCTGGAATGCGGGTCCTCTGAGTGCCCTGGCTCCCCAGGGCCTGGCCCTGCCTTTAGACCCCTCACTCTCAAACACCTTCTCAGTACCTTGCTCCCAACTGTGGTCCGGAAATGCTTGCTGTTTGGCTTGATGACTTGCTTTGCAGATTTAACTGTAATCATTGAACCAAAAGGAGAAGGAGGAGTTGGATTTTCTTGAAAAAAGTTGGCACAGAGATGAAACTGGAAGGAACAGAGAGGATCTCAATGTCCAAAAGCAACTGCCCACAGTACTCACTCATACAAGCCACGTAAATGGTGACAACAACTCAGCTAAACTAGTGGGCGGTGAACAACCTCACCAACATCTACAGCCAAATCTCAATTCCACAAGACGATCGTCTTTCATAGGGATGGCCCGTGACTTCTTTCCCGAGAAGGGGAACAGAGAAGAAAAGTGTGTAAATGTCTGTATGTGGGTATCACTCTAAGTGTCAGAAAGTGGAAACATCTACTATTCTCACCTCCGTGCCTGGCTCACACTGTGTCTCCACCTGCAATCTCCTCCCTCCTACTCCACATTCTCATCCCTGCAGATCCAAACCCTACCCAGGAATCTCTTAAAATGTTTTCCAGCCCCACCCACTTCGCAATGAATGAATTAATCCCAACTTCTCTGAACCGTCTTCATCTTGTATTTGTACCTCATTTAAAGCACTTACTACCTTCTGCTTTGTATCAGTTATTTCTTTAAATGTCTTATCTTCTCTCAGAGTGAATTTCATATTTTGTTTTGTTTTGTTTTGTTTTGAGACAGGGTCTTGCTCTGCTGCCCAGAAGAAGAGTGCAGTGGCGCAATCATGGCTCACTGCAGCCTCTATCTCCCAGGGCCAAGCAGTCTTCCCCACCTCAGCCTCCCAAGTAGCTGGGACTACAGGCATGTCACCATTCCCTGCTAATGTTTTTTTATATTTTTAGAAGAGACAGGGTCTTGCTTTTTTGGCCAGGCTGGTCTCAAACTTCTGGCCTCAAGCAATCCACCCGCCTCTGCCTCCCAAAATGCGGGGATTACAGGCGTGAGCCACCACGTCTGGCTGGAATTGTGATTCTTCAATGGTTCTATTAGCTGTCCTTCCTGTCATCTGCATGTTTGATTTCTGATTTTGCATATAGTAGAGATTTACAGTAGTTATCTTTTTGAATCTGTGAGCTACAACTTACCACTGTCCAGAGAGTTCACACACACACACACACACACTCTCTCTCTCTCTCTCCTTACTCTTTCCTTATATACATCTAGATCCATGTCAATTATATAATAACTTTAGTTACCCCTAGGACTTTACAGACCTTGCTTGCTCTCAGGATTTCAACCAGCATGTCATAGACGGTGTCTCTGTTTTTCTCCAGGAAACCTTCACATTTATACTCTACCTATACAGAGAAAGCAATTAATTATTCCCAAAGAGGCCAAAGAATATAGCCTCTAAGCACAAGTTTCATCTCTTTTTTAAGAAAGATTAATAAAAAAGGCTACAGAGGCAATCTTACAAAAAGACGTCTGGCTTCTGTGCATCATGGCAGCAGCCCCATTATGTATAAGCTGGGAATGTGTCTTCTCTCCCACCACCTGGGTTTCTCACCTGCCTGCTGATCACTCTGCACTCACCTGTTGGCTCCCTCTGGCCACAGGGGTCCAGTTGCTCCCTGCGGTATGTGCAGTTCCTACAAGAACACCTGACTTAGGTCTCCCTTTGCCTTTGAAGCCACCAGGAGGAGGAAAAAGCTTAGTGGTGTTCATTGGGTTCAAACAGACATCGTTTCCTAAATCAACATTAATGTGGTAGAAAGGATAGAAAAACCGACCAGCTGACCACCAAGCCTTCAAGAGCCACCAAGCCCTCAGAATCAGGTTTAGAGTGGGTCAACCTTTGCACTGCTTGAATCTAGCTTAGAAAAACTCTCCATGCTGCCCTTTCTGATGAAGAAGGCTTCTCGAATGCCTCAAACCATGGCATATCCAGGGTGGCTGCTTCAACATTCAACCTCCCCCTAGTTTATGCCTCTGGATTGCATATCTTAATATGTGATAATTTATTTTTCATAAATTAAAAACGTATATTAAAATTAATTTTAAAAATTGACAATGAGGAAACAGGGGAGAGTGCTGGAATCCGTAAGCAGAGGGTTCCCTGGGCATGGCCTCTGCTTTGTCCCCCAGGTAAGGAAGTATCCTTGCCGGTAGGTAGGTTAAGATCCAGGAACACCGGCTGTTTGCAAACACTTCTTTGTGAATGAAGTACCTGGATTGTTGTACAAATTCTTCCAGAATGGTGGTGTGAGCCACTAGGACAGATAGACAAAGGTGGCAAATACAGAGCTTTCCTGGTCTGGGCGAGCATCTGTGGGGACAGTGTCACATGCAGCTGGTGCCTCTGTTGGGGACTCTGGGACCAAAGGAAGATGTGCTGAGCTGCTACATCTAAGCTCAGCTGACTTGCATTCAATACGACCTGATTTCCCTGGCCAATGAGATTGAAAACCTAATCTAACCCCATAGTGCATGTGGGTTCTTCCCACCAATCAATCCATAGTCCAGCCCAAACGCTGCCTAGTTCTTTTAAGGGAGACTTCTTGGAAGTGGCAGGTGAGAGAATTACATGTCCAGAAACTACATCCTATAAAGAGAGACCCTTGAAAGAAATCCCATATGTGCTTTTTATGGAGTCTGGTCTTTCCCCCTCCCTTTTCCTATGGGACCAGAACCCTGAAATTATGACAATAGCTAGGAAATATAATTTGACATATGATCATTTCATTTCATAGGCATCTTTTCAGGAGCCCATCTGAAAAAGTCTAAGCACTAAAAACTTATCTTTTTTTTTTCTTTTTCTTTTTCTTTTTTTTTTTTGAGACAGGGTCTCACTCTGTCAGCCAGGCTGGAGTGCAGTGGCGTGATCTTGGCTCAATGCAACCTCCGCCTCCCAGGTTCCAGCAATTTTCCTGCCTCAGCCACCTGAGTAGCTGGGATTACAGGTGCGTGCCACCACGCCTGGCTTATTTTTGTATTTTTTAGTAAAGATGGGGTTTCGCCATGTTGGCCAGGCTGGTCTCAAACTCCTGGTCTCAAGCGATCCACCCGCCTCAGCCTCCCAAAGTGCTGGGATTACAGGTGTGAGCCACTGCACCCGGCCAATCCTATATTTTAATATTTTACAGTACTCTGCTAGCACACAAAGGTGATCACAGCTTTCCAGGTTGCTGTCCCCTCCCTCCACCATCAGTCACTCGGGAATGACCAGCTCTGACTCACAGCACCGGCCTCTGCGATAAACATAGACAAGCACAAGCCATTCCTGTGAGCCCTGGCACTGGGCTAGGCCACCAAGGCAACACCCAACCAGGACATGGGAGGAGGTAGGAGCTCCCTTAAGGAAGGAAAACAAATAAGAATGTACATTTAGGGCAGGTGGTTATGGCAATTTTTTCCTTCTGTTTTCTAAGCTTTCTATAATGTGATTTTAACAAAAATTTTTCATTTTAGACAAGTAACATTTGTTTAGTAAAAAGAAAAAGGAGACGTATAAAGAAAAAGAAGACACAAAAGATGAAAAAAAGCACGAAGATAACCCATTATCATCTTGAGTTAACCTATGTTGCCACTGTAATATAGTCCAGTTTAATCAAATAGAACTTCAGAAAAAAATATAGCTTTCATCATAAGGAAGAATTATGCTGTCTTGATTATCACAATTTCATATAGAAAATAAACTGATAAGAGGTTAATGAAATTCAGTAACTTCAGTACATCCAAAATCAGAAGTGTGGTCTTCTAACAACACATTCGTCTTTAAAGTAGTACAGTTGGAACTCATGTATCTCGCCACAAAAACAAATAAGGAACTGTTAAACACACACTCATCAAAGCTACATGTTAAGTATGACTTGAATCTGATCAGAAACATTCCTGGCCTGCCTACTCCTTCTGGAGGCTGTACAGGTTCCGGGGTTGACAGCATTGATGGAGACCTTCACGGTACCTTATCAGCAAAGTGCTGGATGACAAAGGATGTGTTTGACATTCTAGGCTTTTCAAACAAAGGGTTCCTGTTGACAAAATTATTATACAGCTTTTGAAGCCAGTTTTCATCAGTTCCATGTGGTAACTGGAAAAGAAAAATAAACCAAATAGCAAGTAAGAAAACCAGAGATTCATACAGGTGAGGAAAAGCACTAATTCTAAGAAACCAAGGTGATTTGGCACTTAGTGAACTGCTCTCAATTAGAGGCTTTTTATTTATTTATTTATTTATTTATTTATTTATTTATTTTTGAGATGGAGTCTGGCTCTTCCACCCAGGCTGGAGTGTGATGACGCGATCTTGGCTCACTGCAACCTCTGCCTCCTGGGTTCAAGCGATTCTCCTGCCTCAGTCTCCTAAGTAGCTGGGATTACAAGTGCCTGCTACCATGCCTGACTAATTTTTGTATTTTTAGTAGAGACGGGGTTTCACCATGTTGGCCAGGCTGGCCTCCAACTCCTAACCTCAGGTGATCCACCCACCTTGGCCTCCCCAAAGTGCTGGGGTTACAGGCAAGAGCCACTGCGCCTGGCCTTAGAGGCTTTTAAAAAAGCAACTTTAGGCATTAATTTATCCTTGATCTTAATCTTTAGGGCACTTTAAAAATTATTATTAATTGACAAATAACAATTATATATATTTGTGGGGTATTTGATGTGATATTTTAATGGATACATCAAAGTCTCTTTAGAAGAACAAAACTTTAAAAAGAAATGGTCACACAATGACTTTAGAATGAAGAATTTTATTTCTATAAAATAGGCAGTATTTTATTTCTTCCCAAAGAAATCTAAAGGTTCAGGAAAAAATAGTGTGGGTTCCATTACACGAACATGACCTTTATTCACGGGTGAATGGGAAAAGACTGGCACCTGAATAGAGAGTCCTCCCCTTCCCCTGCCTCAGGAAAATAGTTTTTCTTATTTTACTTCCTAATTAACTCACTCCTTGAAATAAGGGCATACCTCCTTGTACTAAGCTAGTTGCGAAATTTGATCTTGATACATGTGATTTTTTTTTTTTTGAGATGGAAACCCCATCTCTACTAAAAATACAAAAATTGGCCGGGCGCAGTGGCTCATGCCTGTAATCCCAGCACTTTGGGAGGCCGAGGCAGGCGGATCACGAGGTCAGGAGATCCAGACCATCCTGGCTAACATGGTGAAACCCCGTCTCTACCAAAAATACAAAAAATTAGCTGGGCATGGTGGTGTGCGCCTATAATTCCAGCTACTCCGGAGGCTGGAACAGGAGAATCACTTGAACTCAGGAAGCGGAGGTTGCAGTGAGCCGAGATGGCACCACTGCACTCCAGCCTGGGTGATAGAGCAAGACTCCGTCTCAAAAAAAAAAAAAATCCTTTAACCCCGAAACCTTATTAATCCTCACTTTGGGATTATTTGTTCTTGTGGCCCCATGAGAGACACTGCCAGGCTGGCCTACTTCAGAGTTTCCCAGAGGGAAATGGTAAGAAGAAAACTCTAGAAAGCTCTTCTGGTGAATCATACGATGTTGATTTTTCTTGATGACTCACAAGAATCAGGATGTAAAAGAAAACTCAATTCTTATTAGTCACCGACAACTTGAGTGGAGTCACTTGCTGTTTTCATGCATGTTTCTACATACACTTTGGGACAGCCTCCATGCTGGAAGTCAGGTAAAAGAGGTGGTGCAGCTCCCCAAGCGTGGTCTACACAGGCTGAGGGCAAAAGGCCCAGTGGGCCCTCTGGGGTCCCTGCTGTGGATGCTGTCCCAGCATTAATATCCATCCAACCAACTGGATAAACATCAGGACTTCACAAGCACACTTCAAAAAAACTGCTTTGCAAAATGCTCATCTGTTACTACTTAAAAGCTGAAAAAAACAATTATTCTTAAAAGTTACCAAACATTCTTCATCCAGTAACTCCAGAATTCCCATTTTTGCTTCAATCAGGTCAATAACTGGTTGATTGTCATAAAAATCTATCAGCGTCCAAGGTATATCTTCCTTCATGTATTCTTCTTGTTCCAGTTTGAAGACATGCTGGGAATCCAAAGTTAATACAGAAAGTAAAACAGAATATTAAAATACGTTTCCAAAGAGCAGGATGTAAGCATTTGGAAAATGTAAATGGTTGATCTGTAATATTTATGTTTAAAAAGAAGGACCCTGAAGTATAGACAAGGCCCATACCGTGATCAATACCGCCGAGTTCCTAAAGCGAGTCTAGCTGTCATCCTCCCACCTAGTCTGAGTGGGTCTCTACCTCCTAGGACATGGCTTGGGCCAGCCTGTGTCACCACCAGCACCACATGGTACTCAGTGTGGTCCTACAGCCCCTTCCTGCTAGCAGCTATCCAAGGACAGATCCAGCCTCTTTGGCCTAATGCAGCCTGGCTGGGTGGAGCCAGCTACCTGAGAATGCTAGCTGCGGGGCCGGTGGGAGAAGCCCACTGCTTAGAGATCTTCGTGCACTACTCACTTGGGCTGTAAGGGTATCAGGGAGGCTTCCCAGAGGATGTACTCAGGCTTACCATGGAGGATGAAAGAAAGTTTGGCTGGCAGGTGGTGAGGTGGGGTAGGGTGGGGTGGGGTGGGGCATCAAGAAAACCCTCCTATGGAGGAATCCCAGTGGGAACCACATGAAAGCTCAATGGGTGCTTGAGAAACGCACCTCAAGCAGGTTAGAAATTACAGGAGGACAGCAGCAATGTGGTGGCAAAGAATGGTACAGTCAAATCACCTGAGACCTTCACACCCTCCTTAGAGAATTCTGGGCCTATGGCCTTTTTCTAGGAGCAGTGAGGACCCGCTGGAGGGCGGAGGGGTTATGATGAGACCTGGAGGATGGCTCAGAGGAGGGAAGAACCGGAGGCAGTGAGACCAATGAGGACTCAGCCCGATGCTCTTGATGGCTGGGACTCAGGGAGGAGGAAGAGGAGCGAAGAGGTCAGGATGAATGTCAGGCTCAGGACATGGGGTCCATGGCGTGACTTGACCACAGAAAGTCACGTGGAGGGTAAGCGGGCTGAGAGGAGAAGGTGGCACCGGCACTTCTACACTTGCTACTGCTGAGCTCCCTGGGGGCATCAGGTGCAAGGCCCAGTGGCAGCCAGAAGAGGGGGACTGGAGATCAGGAGAGTCCTACCCAAAGCTTTCTGTGCTGACAATTGAAGATACTACCCCTCCTGGGAGGATCTACACATTGATGGATGACTCAGAAAAAGGAGAAGAGGAAAAAGGAAGAGAAGGAGGAGGAAGTGGAAGAGGAAGAAGAACAGGAGAGGAGAACAAAAGCAAAAAAAAAAAAATAGAATTACAGCCTCTGATTTGTGATTTTTGGCAAGACATCTGGTATAAGTGTCACTTTGAGGTTAAGGTGGACATGTTGGGGAGCAGCACGCCATTGCAGCCAGGGAACAGGGTAGCAGCCACAGAGAGTTTGACTTCAGGTGAGTTATACTGAATATGCACTTGGAATAAACCTCAGCTGTAGTTATTAATGTTAAACTTCCAGGAGAGCCTTGCAAATGCTAAAGAAATGAAATTTACAATGGAATGAAATTTAATGGTTATACATGAATTAATTCTGGGCCAAAAAAAAAAAAAGAAACTTCTACTGAGTAGGATTCAATGTTAGGTCTTCTCACAATATTAGACAGTTATTATTGACTCTTTTTAAATTGATACATAATAGTTGTACATAGTTTTGTGGTACATGTGATATTCTGACACATACATACAATGTGTAATGATGACTCATTTTTAAAACAAGGAAACAGAGGCTCAGAGAACCCAAGGTCCCAGAGGGAGGTGGTAGAGCTGAGATTCAAACCCAATTTAGTTTGAGCCAAAGCCCACACTCTCCAAGACGTCATGCTATGTTTTCCTCAGGGGTTCTGAGGGAGCATAAGACTGGACACTAACAAAGGTATAACCTTTCCTTGGAGTAACTGTTAGGGTATTAAAGTGTGATTTCTATTATGAACTGGAATCACCATTCTTCCCATAAACATGTAGCCAAAGTTTAGAATGTAAGCTAAAGGGAAAATGTGAGTTAGTAAAGCATTTTAGCTTTCATGGCTTTTCAGAAACAGAGCCAAATATAAATGTTAAGGAGGCAATTATAAAAAAAATATGAGAGTAGTTTCATGGTAGGGCCAATGTAGAAAGATGTTCAATCAACTTTTAATTTCATTGACTTCTGTTAGGAGCAGAAAGGCGTCAGTACTGTTGGGAATTCAAAAGTGAATTCAATAAAGTTCTTGCATCTAGGGAACTGATTTAAGAGGTTGAAATTGTATTCAATACACATAGCAATAATAAATGCCCAAACAGCCACAAGTAGCATTTACTCAACATTTTTTAAATTGTTTTATTCATCTTTCTACCTCAGCACTTAACTTGGTACCTGGTATACACAGTATACACTCAAAAACGTCTTTTGAATAAACAAATCTTCCCAGTGGAAAAAAAAAATTGGAATCCATCTCCTGTCTGTTTCCATGGGATGATACATTTGATCTTATTGT
This sequence comes from Homo sapiens, assembly GCF_000001405.40. Classification (NCBI taxonomy): domain Eukaryota; kingdom Metazoa; phylum Chordata; class Mammalia; order Primates; family Hominidae; genus Homo; species Homo sapiens. The sequence goes on from NC_000015.10 coordinate 52,255,947, forward strand.
TAGTTAGGAAGGTACCATATATGTCTTGTTCTAAATTAAGGTTGGAGAAACTCATTCCCATAATCCATTGGCCATCTGCTGTTTAGTGCTGCATGTGCCGAGATAAGCACTGGGCTGAGAGAGACAAAGAATGCCAGTCCTGGCCTCTCCAGGTGACCAAGTCTATTTGGAAACTTGCATGCAAATGATGATAATTCCATGTGACAGGCCTGCGATAAGGAAGCACATAGGAAGAGGCCAGGAGGTATCGCAGGAGGCTCTCAGGGAAGCTGGATCTCAAAACACAAGCTGGAGTTGGCCACGTGAAGATAAAGCAATGGGGAAATAACAGGAGCACGTGGGTTAAGGCAGAGAAAGCAGCAAGTGCAAAGACAGAGAGGCTCGAAAGAAAGTGGAGGCCTCAGGCAACCAACTAAATAGTTTTGTCTGGCTGCACAGAGGGTCTGTATCCAAGAAGGGCAGTGAGGCTCACACATTGGCAGGTGATTCAAAAAAGATGAAATAGATGAGAGGGTGTGATTTCAAGATTTGGCCACAAGGTGGTGCAGTGACCCAGCGTGAGGCTCCTTGCATAAAAATTTGCAACCTCAAGAAAGAAGAATGCCTCTTTCCACGAACACACACACACACACACACACACACGCGCGCGCGCGCGGCTGAGAACTAGTCAAGAAGGCAGAAAGGTCACCTACCATGTTAAACTGTTGTTGCAGTTTTTCATTAGCGTAATTGATGCAAAATTGTTCAAAGCTGTTCACATCAAAGGTTTCAAAACTGAAATACAATTTAAACAAGTTAAAATATAACCTGAAGCAAGACATATGCATTTGTTTATAGATATTTTTTGACACTTAAAAGCTTAAACGTTTGCTATGTCTTCTACAAGTTTTAAATACCCCTCAAAGCTTCTGGTTTTAATGATATCCTAGTAGTCAGTTTATAAATAACCCTTTTCCTGGTTGTCCCCCGGAAGAAATCTGGTAGGTATAAAACACCTACCTCAAGCCAGGCATTAAAATAAGCATGTCACCATATGGTGTAGTCCGCACAACAACAGTGATATTGGCAATTATTATTCTGACTTTATAGGTCAGAAAATAAGCCCGAGAGGTTAAGAAACTTGCCAAAGGTCACACAGCTTGTGTCAGAACTTAGCTGCGAAGCTGCCTGACTGTGATGCCTGTGCCTCCAATGAGAAGGCAATGTGGTTTCCTATTCTCTCCTTGTCTGTTGAGGGGAGGAGCAGCACAACTGCAGCACAATTTTGCCTCCCTAAGGGGTGCTTTCATAGCTCCTAGAGGAAAAGGGCAAAGTCATTTCATATCCTACAGCCCAGCACACCCCATCAGGGACGAGACAGACATGGCTGGCTTCCATATTCAGACTTTCATCAGCTGCCTCTGCAGTTGCCTTGGAGTTGCAAGCTCAAGAACTGAGAGGAGCCCTTGGGGAGGCAGCTGCTACTCAGCTCCTGCCGGATGTAGCCATGGATGAATGCGGCCCAGGATGTTAGATTAATTGATTCTTAAGAAAAGTCAGAAAACTGGGACTTTTAAGTGAATAATCCCACTCTGCAAAACGTGGGCCGAACAAAACAGAGGCACCAAATTTACCACCTGGCCAGATGAGCTCCTGCTGGAAGGCAGCTTGCTGAGCACTTTTAAGGTGTCAGCATTTATGCACGTCACCTCCTATAACCCTAACACAGCCCTATGTGAAGGGCTCCTGTGACTCCACTGTCACACACGAGGGTCAGAGAAGGAGTGACCATGGTGAGGACCAACAGCCAGCAAGTGGTGCCAGAAATGCAATTCGACCCCAGTGCTTGGTGCCTCCAAAGCTTTGTTCTTAATCGCTCTAATCCTGAGAGGTTCCTGCCGGCTCCTATCACAGGTCCCCTGGGAGTCTCACTTGACTGAGCTGGTTTGGCTCAATCTGGAATTCCTGGGCAGGGTAAGAACCTGGACTGTCCTCTAGACAGCTCCAGGGTGATTCATAGCAGCTCTGACAGCCCCATTCCACACGCAGCCTTGGTGGCTCAGAGATTCGGAGGCTGGTCTGCTCATGGAAGCAAGGCCAGGGCTGGGCCTGGGGGAAGATTAAAAAGGGTCTCACTGAGCTCTGCAGCTCACAGCTGGGGCCAAGGGCAGGGCTTTCTAGAACCTGGCAAAATGTCAAACATCAATGCATTATTTTGGGGCACAAAAATCTGAAGTTTAGGACCCATGGAAAGACCTAGATCTGTGACTTAAAATGCTAGAGGCACATTGGCTATGAAAACACTTCACACTGGAACCATGCTTATGGTTTTCAAGGTACCTGCATAATTTCTTCCATCATATGTTCAAAATCACCCTGCAAGAGAGGCCCCATCTTGTAGATGCAGAAACTAAGGCTTGGAGAGGTTCTGTGACTTTCTTGAGGTCACGTAACTGGTATGCTACGGAGCTCATTCCCAGGGGTCTGACCCCCAGACCCAGGTTTTTCCAACTCTGGGTCCAAAGAACATAAATACACGACAGGCTGGGGAGTCACCAGCCTTCATTCACTCTCAGCTTAGACCTTGAAGCTCACAGCTTCAGCTTTACTGGCTTTCAAAGATGCTAAGTCTTCCTTTGAGGCTTCCTTATTTCCAAGTCAAAAAGAGCTTTCTCAAAAGTTGCAGGTATGCCTAGGCGAGGGTTAGCCTAGAAGCGAGGCTGCTGGAGGGGGCGGGAAAGGCTTGGCCCCAGGCTGCAGCCCTGCTGCCTAGAGGAAAGCTGATTTTTTTGGAGGCGTATCATGAACTCAAGGGTGGCAGCAAACAGGCTATTGTTAGAATTTTTGAGAGGAATCTTAAAATAATTTACTCTAACAAGTCTTTGTGTATTTATAAATACTCTTGTCTCAGGTTTTTCCACATAGCTGAAAAATTCAAATTCCTTATTACAGTGGTTCTGGATCCTGCCTGGGGGCCACCGTCCAGCTCACTACTCCTTGCACATGGCTGCCCTTGCTCTGTCCCCACCCTCTGCTAACCTCCAGCACACCTTCCTCCCTTCCCAGGACTCATCCTAACCTCTACTGCCGGCCTGCTGCCCTCACCAGTCTCAGTCCCACGGTGGCAGGAGCCGTACATCTATGCTGTTCAACCACTGCCTCCAACACAGTGCCTGGGACATAAACATCTGTTAGATAAAAATATGAAATAATGGCTGGGTGCAGTGGCTCACGCCTGTAATCCCAGCACTTTGGGAGGCCGAGATGGACAGATCACAAGGTCAGGAGATCGAGACCATCCTGGCTAATACGGTGAAACCCAGTCTCTACTAAAAATAAAAAAAATCAGCCGGGCGTAGTGGCAGGTGCCTGTAGTCCCAGCTACCCAGGAGGCTGAGACAGGAGAATCGCTTGAACCTGGGAGGCAGAGGTTGCAGTGAGCCGAGATGGTGCCACTGCACTCCAGCCTGGGCAACAGAGCAAGACTCCGTCTCAAAAAAAAAAAAAAGAAAAAAAAGAAAGAAATAATATACTGTTAAAATAAAGGACTGTCATTTAAAAATACATCTTAAAAACACCCAAAAGAACAGGGAATAACAGAATAATTACGTATTTCCACCACAATGAAACAGGACTATTTTTAATGAGGACTATCCATTTTTAAAAGTTCACTTAAGCTTTTAACTGGCTGCTCAAACACTTTCTGGGAAGAAGACAAGGTAAATAATTGACTAGGCTATCCCAGTAATGTATTAAGCATTTTATAACTGTTGACACGTACTATTAATTGGGAGCCATATGTATTAACTTAGGATCTAAATTAAACAAAGCAGCTCCCTTGACTGTCTCCCATTTGACAGCTATGGGAAAAGCTGCCTCTCCACCTGGGTGCAAGTCCAACAGCGTGGTGTGGCCCTGTCCCCCTCCTCCCCAGGAGGCAGCAGCAGGGCCGTGAAGGCCAGAGCTCAGCTCTCCCCTTTGCATGGGGAATGGGGTTGAGCTGCTTTTTGCCATGGTGTGGGGAAGATCCCCCAATCCAGGTGGAACACTCCAGGATGCCTTTCATGGGTCAATCTTCCCCTTCTCCTGTTAAGAAACCAGGGTGGGTCCCAGGAGAGGGGCAAGGGCTGGGCACTGGGGCCAGCTGCTAGAAAAGCCTGAAGGATAACAATCTCCACAGAGCCCTCCATGCCAGCTTCCACTCTGGTTACTCCATAGCTGTTTCAGCACGAGCTGAGCCCGGGGTTTAGAAAAGGAGGACCAGGCAGAGAGAATGAAAAAGAACCCAACTCCAGGGTGGGATGAAGGGTAAGACCTCCTGGAGGAGGGCTGGGGAAAATCCAAGACCTTCTCACCCAAGAACGGAAAAGGATTGGGGTAGGGGGGTGGTTGATCAGAGACCTGGGTTCAGTCCACCTCTGGCCGCTGGGCTTGGGCAAGGTGCAAGCCTAGGTGACTTGTCATCCCCTGTGATTCGAATGGGAAGGGACCTTGGGGCTCCACACCTCAGGGGCCTTTGGTGGGAAAAGCAAAAGCAGGAGCCTCACAACTGTGCTGGGTTCTCCCACCAGCGGAGCAATTGTGACGAAGTTATTGAGTCTTTCTAAGCCTTGGTTGTTGCAGCTCTACAACGGGGATAGTTATAAGGTTGTTTAAGAAATTAAGTGAGAAAGCCCATGGAAGCCAAGCAGCCTCAGAGCTGGCACACAGTAAGCTCTTGACATTGGTCATTCCTAATTCAGCATCTCTTTAATGCACTTTGAATAAATGGCACCATAGCCCAGGAGAGTGTACTTAGCATCTATAGGGGCAAAAGCAGAGAATGTTATCTTTCTAATCATGTGAAATACAAAAGAACCAGAACAAAATGATCTAAAAACCATGCGGCTCTCAACATTTAAAGGAGGAAAGACAGGCTCACTGAAGAGAATCTTACCCATAAATGTCCAAAACACCAATAAAAGTGTGCTGCTTGCCTGAAAACTGCAACGCTTGGTTAATTCTCTCCACAATGAAGTCGAACAGGTGAGCATAGATCTTTTTGGCCAGTGCATCCCTGGCGTTGACAGCCTGAGGCCTGGTCATGGGTTTTACCACCGTCTCAGAGCTTGTGACGATTTTGCGATTGCACAGCCACTGAGCAACTCTGCCACTCTCCAGGCCCAGGAGCTCACAGAACACCTTCAGGTGACTGTCATCCTCCTTCAAAAACAAGCACAAGCCCCGTCAGGTGGCCCAGCCATCCAAAGACACACAATCCCACCCGGCCAAGGCCCCCGTGCCCACACTCAGGCCTGTGCAAGAGCTGAGTAGTAGCTGGCACAAGGACGCCCAGCCTCAGGAGGTGGAGATAGACCTGGGAGTAGAGCAAGGGGGCTACAGCAGCACGGGTCCTGCACCTGGCCCTTGGCAGACCACCCCTGCAGCAATGCCAGGGAGTCCAGGGCTGCGTCCCACGCTGATTTTTCATTTTAACCAAAGAATGTCAGCGGTGACTAAGGCCATAGAGGCCACCCTCTCTAGACCCTGCCCTGTTCCTGTGGATGTGGATGCAGCCCTCTCTCTTCCCTTTGAACCATCCTGGGCCACTTGTCAGAGTGTGCACTCACCCTGCCCCACCTCGTGTGGCCAGGGGTTTGCCTGGATGGTTGGTCCAGGAGGTACCCAGGTGTTGCTGCCAGGCAGAAGCTGGTGGGAGTCCCATGGCTGAGCTAGTGCCTCAGCTGACACGAGGGCTGGGGTGGGACTTTTCCTGAATACACAAAGTGAAATCTTGCTTCTCCCCCAAGCCAGGGCATGAGAGCTGCCCCGCTGGTCAGCAGATGAAAAAAGGGAAGAGGTGCTCCCATTTCCCTTCAGCCAGTGTGGACAAAGGGCTCCTGTCCTCAGGCAAGGATGTGACTCCCAGCTCCTCTCTCAGGCAGGAGAACTCCCAAGGCAGGCTCCCCTGCCGGCACCATTCCAGCCCACCAGGAAATCTACATGATTGCACTAAAAAGCCTCAGGACACAGTGTAGGAAGCCATGGAAACAGTCCTGCCCCTCCCTGCGCTCTACCCACACCCCCTGCTGACCAATATCACAGTAACACAGAGCTGGCTTTGACGTGCCTGACCTTATAAGGGAAGGGACTGGCAGTGGCATTTGGTTTCCTTCCTTCTAAGAAAGAATGAAACCTTCTGAGTCAAAAACAATTCAGCTGCAGGTGCTGCTATGGGAAAAAAATGCAAAGGGGCGGCAGCTTTTCAAAAAGTCAGATGGCTTTGTCCAAATTTAACGTGTCCAACATTTCAAGTTCCTGATACAAATGGGTGGAGATGGATCCCAAATCTAGGACCAATAATTATAGGACTGGGAATTTTCTACAAATATTCTTAGAAGCCTTTCCAAAGGATTTTCAGTCAATCAATTTTAATTCCTCCTCCAAAATGCTACCTTAATAAGAAGCTTCACGGGAGAGGGCTCAGTGTGATGGCATTTGTTGGGTAGAAATCACATTTTTAATCTATGGGGGTTTGGGGAAAAAAGGGCAGAAGCCCAGCTTCTCTGAGGTAACTGAGCAAGGCAACAGAGGGGGATCTGCCACTTCAGACACACCACACTCTCCCCCAGGCCTCTCGTCACCTCTCTCCCTGCTTTCCCACTTGGGGAATTGACTCATTCTGGGAGGTCTGGACACTGCAGGCAGGATGGGATGGACGCTGAGGTGAAAGCTGGAGGAGAGGAAGGAGAATTACTTCCTGGTCATGGCAAAAGGCCTAAAACGCTAAGCCCAGGAGCTCATGCTCCACTCAGCTCTGCTCTCTCCCCAAACCGTTGGTAGCAGACAGCCAAGAACTCACCGGTTACACAAAATGATCAACTATTCCCATCAGTTATTTGAGGGACATGAAAACAGACATTATTACAGACTGAACATTTGTGTCCCTCCAAAACTCATATGTTGAAGTCCTAACCCCCAATGTGACCGTATTTGGAGATGGGGCCTTTGGGAGGTAATCAGGGTTGGCTAAAGTTGAGAAGGTGAGGCCTGCCATGATGGGATTAGTGTTCTCGTAAGAGGCATCACAGTGTCTGCTCTCTCTCCACCATGAGGACACAATGAGAAGGTGGCTATCTAGGAGCCAGGCAGAAAGTCCTCACCAGAACCGACCAGGCTGACACTCTGTTCTCAGACTTCCAGCCTCTAGAACGGTGAGGAAACAAATGTCTATTGTTTAAGCCACTCAGCCTGTGGCATTTTGATATGGCAGTCTGAGTTGACTAGGACAGACATGTTATTGTTAATGCAAAGCTTTACAGGTGTGCAGATTCTGTGTTTCATAGAAACATTTTTTACTTGTGTTTGTTTTCTTCTTTACATGGACATTGATGAGACTAATTAAACACATACCCCTCCCCCAAGAATCACTACTCATAGTATATGTCATAGAAGAAACACACATCAAATTAACTTGTGTCCATTAAATAAAGAAATCTTTCACAAAACTTACAATACATTCCCAGGAAGCCAGCACCACTGATGTCTGATTCAAGCAGGTGTAAGGAGGTAGTGGGTGTCCTTCTGCTGAAAACTACCCAGTGCCCTTAAGGTCCTATGTGGTCTGCAATCCCCCTCCCCTCTCTGGCCTCATCCACACCCTCCCTGTCACTCACCCTCTGGATACATGGACCTTCGTGCTGTTTTTCAAATGACATCTCCTGCCTGCGGGTTTCTGCACTTGCTGTTCTTCCCCCATCCACAGGCACAACCTGCTTCTTCATCCCCTGCAGGCTGCCACCCACCACCTTCTCAGAAAGTCTTTCTCTGACCACCCCACATGAAAGACACAGCACCTCTGCATGCCCCCTCTGCTTTACTTTCCTCTGTGCCAGCCGTCAGCTGCCAGAGCCCATATTTGCTTGTTGTGTCTCCTCCCTACCCTTGATCATAAGCTCCCTGAAGGGCTTCTTGCTTTGTTTTGTTCACTGCTGTTTCCCCAGATGCTATGACAGTCCGTGGCACTTAGTAGGTGCTTCATACATACTTTTTGAATAAAAGAAAAGCACACAGGAGATCCATTTCCCCTCCTCTACTGTTGCAAGGGGAGGAGGCTTTACTCTTTGAAGGCAAGCCCTGGAAACCCTTGCCGCCTGCCTCCTGTTAAACCAGTCTACCCAGGAGGCCGACTATATCTGGTGCTAAAAAGCAAAGGCAGGTCAGCTGCGAGCCAGTTCCACTATGACCCTTAGACAAAGGAAAAGTAAAACAAATGAGCATCTCACACTAACTGAGGACCTCTCGTTGCCCACCGCGGTGATCTGCACATTGCCCAGATGTAGGATGGCTGCCAGGATTTTAAAAACGTCCATCTGAAAATCCTCCTTGAAACCTAAAAACAAACATTTTCCCAGATTAGAATACTGCATCTCTTCTCTGACTAGTAAGATGGGCACCTGGATTCATTCAAGATATGCAGGTAGCATCAGTGCCAAGCTCTGGGACAGGAACGTGAAGTGGACCCCAGGGGCATCTGGGGCACTGTTCCTTCTAGTCGACCTCTGTAGACATATACCACATGTGTCTATACACAGGTTTCCCCTCTGCCATGGCTGCTAGGAAGTTCAACACAAAAATTAATATCCCAGTAATCATTTCACATTAGGTTCCTCGGAGAGTCATCTTGCCTTGATTCTGTGCTTGATTTTGAATGTTTTTCATTTTTCTTTTTGCTCACAAGCTCTCTGAATCCCTGAATTATTTTTTAGGTGGGATTGCTGGAGGGATTCCGTTTGCCCCTCCAGATTCTCTGCTCTCTGCCCCAGGGGACTTGGTATAAACCAAGGCGATGGCCTTTCATGCCCTCTGGCCTTTGGTTGGGTTTGATTCATGGGGAGCCCTAGCAGGAGAGCAGAGAGAGGAGCGGAGAAGGTTCCGAGTGCGTCCTCCCCAGCCCCCTTCCCTGCAAAGCTGCCTCCAACTGGCTGCATGGCCTGACTGACAGAAGGTCACTGCTCCTCTGGGGCTGACTTTACCCAACTCTCCTTCTAGGCTCCAGAAACACTTGGATGCCCACATGGGAAAGAGCAGTGAACAGTTCTGCTGCTGCCCCCCAGGTGCCCACTGCCCCTTGTATTAATAGCTCCCCTAGACTCCACTCACACCTCTGCAGTTGTAAATAATAAATAACCCCTCCCTCTTGTATTCTGTTGTGAGCCTGCCCCATGTTCCCCATTGGGACTTTGATTGCAGTAAGTAGAATATAAATTATGACTACATACCATATTCAGTCACCGTGAGGGGATTAGCACATTTCCTGGAGCCAAAAAGAAAGAAAACCAGCTGCTAGAAAGGACTGTGTTCAAACCCTGTAAATCACAGTGTAGACCCACACGCTGTGAGCCCGGTTTTGCCAGGTCGGGATCCCCCCAGTGTGTGTTAATGACACTGTGGTGACTTAAGCAGCTGAGAGATGCGCTCGGGCTGGCAGGCAGGCTCATTCACACCAGGCAGGCTGCCTGGTCCACCCTGGAATGGACACTGGAATGGAAGCCAATGACCCCTCACTTGAGGATACCTGGAGTTTCCATTAGCAGGTAGGTCATGTTCTTTAACAATTTCAAAACCTACAGTTTTTTGTTTTTTTTTTTTTGAGACAAGGTCTCACTCTGTTGTCCAGGCTGGAGAGCAGTGGTGTGATCATGGCTCACTGCAGCCTCGACCTCCTAGGCTCAAGTAATCCTCCCACCTCCGCCTCCTGAGTAGCTGGGACTATAAATGTGCGCCACCACGCCCAGCTAATTTTTTGTAGAGATGGGGTTTTGCCATGTTGCCCAGGCTGGTCTTGAATGCCTGGGCTCAAGTGGTCCACCCTCCTTGGCCTCCCAAAGTGCTGCGATTATAGGAATGAGCCACTGCACCTGGCCCAGAGTCTCCTCTACTACAAAGATTAAATAAAATCAGTCTCAAAAGATTTCAATCCAAGAACACAGGGAAGACTCCAGCTCCAGCTGAGTCCAGGCACTTGCTGCCTTTCCATTTGGAGGTAACTCCTCCATCCGAAGGACAGATGTGTCCAACAGAAATATACCCCAGGCCTCCACCACAGTAATGACAGGTAAGTGATCATGAGCAGCAACTAAAAATGCCAAGTGCAGGAGCCTCCATTCTGGCACTCCTCCCTGCTTTCTGTGATCCATAACTAAACCCCTTAAACTACTCCAGGCCTTCCAGAAACACAAAAGGGAGATAACAACTCCAAAACATTAATACAAAAGAAAGAACTCAAGACCTGCGTTAAGTAATCATCCTTAGTGAGCCTGTCACACAAAAGCAATGCCAGCCTGAATCAGATTTCCAGGGGGAGCTCACTGGTCAAGTTCCTAGAGCCTGAGGTCCCAGGGACAGCCTGATTCCAAGGTGTTCGTCCCATCAGAGGGCAAGGATCATAGCAACACTCAAATGGCAGGGGTCAGTGGATGAATCACATGAGAAAGACACAGCAGAAGAGCAGAAGAAAGGGACTTTTTAATCAAAATGCCTCCCCTCGCGCTTCTCCAGGGGTAATCTCACTGCTAACTGAGGGATCTCAGCAGCAGAAATGGAGGGGAAGGCGAAGGGAACACTGCCTCAGGCACCGTCCTTGGTATTTTCCACGCATCAGCTCCTCTCATGCTCACTACAACCACCCGAAGGAATCCTAGTATTGTTCCCATCTCACAGAGGAGGAAACTAAGGCATAGGAAGGTTAGGGAACTCACCCGAGGTCACACTGGGTAAGGTATATCTAAGCAGTTTAACACCAGTGCCCACCGCAATATGAGAAAAGACCCACAGCGTTCATGAGGCCATCTAGCTTCGCCCTAGCATGTCTAAACAGAGAAGTCCCTGATGACCTCGTGCAAGGTGAAGGAAAAGTTTGAGCTGAGGTACCCTCTCTTGAAGGGAGAGTTGCAGGGAAGAGGTGCAGTGGCCCCAATCTCTTACCACCTGCCCACTTCACACAGCACAGCAGGCAGCCATCACCATTAATGCCTTGAGAGGACACGGTACTCTACCTCTCCACAAAACTCCAGAGGGCTTTGTCTAAAACTTCTAAGTCTGTGCACAGGCTAAGTGTCCAGGGCCAACCCGGCACATGCAGGGCCCTGAGAGTGAGTGCCTCTCTCGTCTCGTCCCAGTCTTGGCCCTGGGACTGAGGAACGTGATGTGGAAATCTGTAAACATAACCTAAGTTGTGTGAAACATGGGGGCAAATGGCTGCAAATTGCTGATCTCCAACAATTAGAAAAGGTTTCATGGAAGAAGAGATGGTTTTACTCAAAGTATGGTGAGGCTTTGGACAATTGGGAATGTAGAGAGCTAGCAGGCAGGGAGTAGCAGTTACTATGCACCTGCTATGTGCTTGGCCTGGTGCTGGGGACTTTTACATATGCTTCCTCACGAGTTGTCATGAAAGATAAGGTGCGTTGCCACTCACAGATCAAGACACTAAGTCTTGGCTGGACATGGTGGCTTATGCCTGTAATCCCAGCACTTTGGGAGACAGAGGCGGGCGGATCACCTGAGGTGAGGAGTTCAAGATTGGCCTGGGCAACATGGTGAAACCCCATCTCTACTAAAAATACAAAAATTAGCTGGGGGCGGTGGCATGTGCCTGTAATCCCAGCTGCTCGGGAGGCTGAGGCAGGAGAATTGCTTGAGTCCCGGAGGCAGAGGTTGCAGTGAGCCGAGACTGCACCATTGTACCCCAGCCTGGGCGACAGAGCGAGACTCCATCTCAAAAAAAGACACCAAGTCTCAGAGTGGGTAACCTTAGATTCATACCAATTAGGATTTGAATTCACATTCATTTGATCCCAAAGCCTACTCTATTTGCCCTACATTATCTTGCTGTGAGGAGGAGGACATAATAGAGGTGGGAGAGAGTAGAAGGATCAGGGAGATGAGGGTGGGCAGGGCAGGGCATATCCTTCAGCCCAGCCAGAGCTTGGCCACCTGTCCCCTCCTCACGCACCAAGCCCCCTCTCCATGGAGTACATTATACAAAGATTGAAATGACGACCATAATTATTTTCAGCAAATGTAAGTCAGTGCCGAAAGTGTTTATCTTATTATTATAAAATGTTTAAACTGCCTTTCTCCTCGAAGCAGGTTTGAGGGAACAGTCTGATGGTGATTTTGCTTAGAAAACCATCTTGTTTTCATTCTCCATTATCCAGCTGTGATCGTCTTGCCTATTCCTTGGATATGTTTAACCTGAAACTCTTAGTTTTTTACATTCAGATACAGTCAACCAGGCCACAAGAATGAAAGCACTTAGTATGAATCGGCGGGACATTTCAGCAAGAGAGATTTCAGCAAGACGTAGAAATGGCTGGCCGGGCGCGGTGGCTCATGCCTGTAATCCCAGCATTTTGGGAAGCCAAGGCGGGCAGATCACGAGGTCAGGAGATTGAGACCATCTTGGCCAACACGGTGAAACCCTGTATCTACTAAAATACAAAAAATTAGCCAGGTGTGGTGGCGTGTGCTTGTAATCCCAGCTACTTGGGAAGCTGAGGCAGGGGAACCGCTTGAATCGGGGAGGCAGAGGTTGCGCCACTGCACTCCAGGCCAGCCTGGCGACAGTGTAAGATTCTGTCTCAAAAAAAAGAAAAGAAAAAAAAAAAGAAAGAAATGGCCGATGGCCTCACCCTGATCAGAAGCTTTGACTGGCAGCTTCATGTGGATGTCTAGACTCATACAGAATGAGAGAGTGAATGCCTGTTTTTATAAACACCATCTGGTAGACAGCCTTTCTGAACATGAGCTCTGTGTGGGAAAAGTAAGGCGAGAAGGATTGGGAACAACTGGCTGTGCTGTGACAGTCGTGCCTGCTCCACCTGTGCCGGCATCTGAGCAATAGAAGATGGGGTTTTCTGTACCAAATGAGATGCTTGAAGACCCTGGAGTGCAAAAGCCAGTTCCACTCTGAATCAGTTGCCTAATGTTGGGTAAATCACTTCCCATCTCTGTGCCTTAGTTTCCCTCTTGTAAAATGGGAGAAACAGCAGCACTGACTTCCTAGGGTGGTTGTAGGGATTGAATGAGTTCACACAGAGTTATAAAGTGCTTAGGATGGTGCCCAGCACATTGCAAGCTCCAGATGAGTGCTCACTATTTTACTGTCATCATCAGGAGACCTATGAAGGCCACAGAGGGCCAACGTTCCACTTCTGAACCGAATTGGACCTTGGCTTTACCAGTCATTCTTGTACTCAGCCTAGAAGAGCTTACGGCAGTCACAGGGCTTGCAGCCCATGCCTCTCACAGCCGAGCCAGGAAGGCTGAGGAAAAAAACAAATTAATTTCTAGCTCTTTTAAGGGAAAAGCATAGTCTTGACCACTTAGTCTCCAAATATGTTCTGATGTTTTGTCCTAAAATTAGAATTGATTAGGAGCCTTCAGAATACACATTTGCTGGGAATCCCCACCTTTTAATTTTTTTTTTTTTTTTTTTTTTTTAAGAGAGAGTCTTGATCTGTTGCCAGGCTGGAGTGCAGTGGTGTGATCTCGGCTCGATGCAACCCTCTGCCTCCTGAGTTCAAGGGATTCCTCTGCCTCAGCCTCCTGAGTAGCTGGGACTACAGGCACCCGCCACCACGCCTGGCTAATTTTTCGTATTTTTAGTGGAGACAGGTTTCACCATGTTGGCCAGAATGGTCTCAATCTCCTGACCTTGTGATCCGCCCACCTCAGCCTCCCAAAGTGTTGGGATTACAGGTGTGAGCCACCACGCCTGGCCTTAATTTTTTTTTTTTTTTAAGAGAAAATGGCTACATACTTGGATGGGATATTTTCCCTTACCCAGAAGCGTGAAGGTCTTTTGAGTCTCTACCATTTCAGCTCGATCATTCACACCCTCAATGACAGTATTGCCTCCCATTCTTGTATAATTAAATTCTTCGGCACTCCCTGAAATCAAAAAGTAAGATTTGTTATGTCTGTAACACAGAAATTTGGACATACACATTTATCAGAAGAAGGGAAGTTCATACTCAAAGAACTGTGTCATGCACTTTACACAGTTTATTCCATTTATTCCTTAGAACTCTGCATTACAGCCAGGTGTGGAGGCTCATGCCTGTAATCCCAGCACTTTGGGAGCCTGAGGCAGGGGGCTTGCTTGAACCCAGGAGTTCAAGACTAGCCTGGGCAAAAGGGCAAAACCAAATCTCTATAAAAAATTAGCTGGACATGGTGGCACATGCCTATGGTCCCAGCTATTCAGGAGGCTGACGTGGGAGGATCACTTGAGCCCAGGAGTTCGAGGCTGCAGTGAGCCGTGCTGGCGCTACTGCACCCCAGCCTCAGTGACCCTGTCTCAAAAAAACAAAAACAAAACAACAACAAAAAAAATCCTACATAACAGACACAGAAGCTGAGACTCAGGAAAGTGAAGTGACTTTCTCAAGTTCCAATAGCTGATGGCACACAAGAATTTAAATGCAGGCCTAACTCTAAAGCTCATGGTTTTTGTTCCTGCACCTAACATTTTTATATAGCTTTACTGAGCTTTACTGAATGTACAATAAACTGCATATGTTTAACACGTACGATTTGATGAATTTTTGACATACATATACTCTTATAAAACCATTAGCACAATCCGGATAATGACTCTCTCTCTCTCTACATATATATGTATATATACACACACATTTATATATGTATATATAAATGTATGTGTATATATATATATACACACATTTATATATGTATATATATGTATGTATGTATACACATGTATGTGTATATATATACACATACATCTAATGTTTAAATAGTAGAGGATCTTTCAGAAAGCCCTTCTGCAGGTTCACTATTCACATTCTGTTTGGTAGACAAGGCCAAGGATATTACCTTCATGTGAAATCTGGAGAAACTTAGATTCTAAGAGTACAAGCAACTTCTCCAAAATTAGAGAGTGTGAGTTCAACTCCAACATACTAGAAGTTATCTCCAACAATTCTCATCTACCAGCATAGCACAAATGGCTAAGGCAGGAGAGCTGTGACAGCACGGGGCTCGGGGCCTTTTGTACTGAAGGACAAACAGCCCTATGTTTTAGCCATCTCTGGAATATAATTAATTATGACTACAAGTAATGAATGACCTTGAGCCATCAAGGAAGGTCAAATTATGATACAGGTGGTTTGTTTTAATAAGTGGGTTAACATGTCATGTTCAAATAAAATGGAAAGTTTGGTGACATCATATGTTCCAGCTGTCAGGAGGTCTTATTCAGGTGGTTCTAGCTGGAGGACCATAAATACCCAATGAGCTATTTTTTTTTTTTTTGAGACGGAGTCTTGCTCTGTTGCCCAGGCTGGAGTGCAGTGGCGTGATCTCGGCTCACTGCAACCTCCATCTCCCGGGTTCAAGCAATTCTTCTGCCTCAGCCTCCCAAGTAGCTGGGACTACAGGTGCGTGCCACCACACCCGGTTAATTTTTGTATTTTTAGTAGAGACAGGGTTTTGCCATGTTGGCCAGGCTGGTCTCTAACTCCTGACCTCAGGTGATCCACCCTCCTCAGCCTCCCAAAGTGCTGGGATTACAGGTGTGAGCCATCACGCCAGGCCCAATGAGCTTTAAAAATAACCCTCAGTCTTACAAGTGCCCCCTCTCTCTAAACTCATCCCCCCGGCCCTAATCCATCCCCTTAATTAGATGCACCAATTCTGTCCCTGAAACCAAAGAATCTTGTATCTTTGGGCAAATACTTAAAACAAATATATTACTATAAGAAGAAAGTTAACCTAGAATTTAAGCCCTCCATAAAAGAGAGACCCTTTCATACACGATCCATCACATACCCAATTTAAGATGTTTAAATTCCGACTGCTGTGCAGATGCACAAAGCTGATAGAAAATGTGGTAATTTCGTTCATTTTCCGACTGTAAGATAAAGAAATGTCCTCAAAATTACACCAAATCCTTACAAGCAAAAATGCCAGGTTTTTAACTAGAGGGTCCTAGATATCTAATCCGCATGGATAATTCTCTGTCTGGGATGTGATCTGGCCAGTTCACAAGCAGGCCCTTCCTCTCAGCTGAGAACTGGGTGGCCTGAGATGGCCTTCCAAGTAATGAGCAACCCAGAGAAAGTGTTATTAAATGAAAACGTCCTATGAAATGGGAATGGCGTAACTCATCCTAGTGAAATTTTTACAAACTTCCTGCAATACAAGGCTTTCTGTTGCTCTCCTCCTGGGCCAAAACGATGAGAAATTTCTCCATTTACTGGCAGAAAAGCCTTTCTTTTAAAACCCCCTCAATAGCTCTGATCCCATTCCCTTCCTGATAGGAAAGCCAGTCTGTCAGCTTAGCCTATTTCAAACAGTTTTCGTACTCTAGAAAGAGATACTTGCTTTTTAAACTATAAGGATTTTGTAAATCCCCCAAATTAAAAAGTCATTAACCTTTTCCTGCAGACATACAACTCACCTGATATTACACCTATTCATCCATCAATTTTTAATAAACAGAAAAAAGAATCCAAACTGCAAATGAAAGACAAGAAAACCCTACTCTTCAACTCACAGCATAGTGTAGCTTGCCTGAGTATGTATAATAAGTATGTAAATGTAAATAATGCTCAAAAAGTTGGGGAAAAGGAAATTTAATACTTACTTGAAAGACAACTCTGGATTTCTCCAGGAGGTAAGTGCTCATGTTGGCTCCTATAATTTGATTTTGTTCATCAAAACTGATTTCTGTGTATTTCCCAAACCGACTACTATTGTCATTGCGGGTGGTCTTGGCATTTCCAACGGCCTAAAAAAAATAAGACTCTATTGAAATAACAACATTAAAAGATTTTTGCCTCAAAATTATTGGAGGGGTTTTTAGTAAAAGGCAATCCTGTACCCTAGGGGAAGGTCTGATTGGCAGAGGGAAGTCTGGGGAAAGAAAGCAACCCCACGCTGGCAGGGAACATGACAAATCAGAACATGAGCCTGCTGCTCAAGGTTCTCCTTGGTCCCACTGGCAGATACTGGGGAGGACCAGAAAGAGCACAGGTTCTGATGTTTCAGGGTCCTGGGTTCTATCTTTGCTATCTGTGTAATGTCTTAAAAGTTAATTCACTGGCTAGGTGCAGCGGCTCACGCCTGTAATCCCAGCACTTCAGGAGGCTGAGGCAAGAAATTCACTTGAGGCCAGGAGTTTGAGACCAGATGAGGCAACACAGTGAGACCCCCGTCTCTACAAAACATAAAAAAAAAATTAGACAGGCATGGTGGTGTGTGCCTGTAGTCCTAGCTACTCAGAAAGCTGAGATGGGAGGATTGCTGGAGCCCAGGAGTTGGAGGCTGCAGTGAGCTATGATTGCACCACCGCACTCCAGCCTGGGTAACTTAGCGAGACCCTGTCTCAAAAACAGACAAACAAAAAAGTTAATTCATCTTTCCAGGTCTTAATTTCCCTATCTGTAATATGAGAATCATAAGCAACTCACTGTTATGGACTGAATGTTTGTGTCCTCTCAAAATCTTCATGCTGAAATCCTAACCCTATGTATTGGTATCATAAGGTGGGCCTTTGGGAAGTAATGATGTCACGAGGGTGGAGCCCCTGGGAGTGGGATTTTAATGCCTACATAATAGGGATCCCAGAGACCTCTCTTGCTCTCTTTCTGCCATGTAAGGGTACCGTGAGAAGACAGCAGTCTGCAACCCAGAAGAGAAGCCTCTCTAGAACCTGACCCCTGCTAGCCCCCTGATCTTGGACTTCCAGCCTCCAGAATTGCGAGAAATAAATTTCTGTTGTTTATAAGCCACCTGGTCAATGACACTAAAGTATATTATACTAAAGTACATTATATTTATTATTATAATAGCAGCCCAGACTGACCAGAACACTTACAGAGTAGGGAGGATTAAATGAGAGAATATGAGGTGCCTCAACTCATTCAGGCCCCAAATACCTATGATGCTCAACTAGAAGTTCACATCTTTCATCCAACCTTTATTCCAATCCCTACTCCTTACTGCTTCCCTACTCAACCTTTCCACTCAACCAAAAAACTGCTCCTTCCCATCCCTCACACTCTCTGGGCAGGATTTTTGCTTTTTACTTCTGTTCTTCAATTTCATCTCTCCTCTGCCCCTCCCCACCCTCTCCTGAGCACCCTGTTTCTAGATGACCCAGGTCATCATGCTGCCTGCCAACATGTCTTTACTGAGCACCTACTATGTGCCATGCGCTCGGTAAACAAAGGTAAACCAAATAGATACAGTCCCGCCTTCATGGAGTGTGCAGTCTAGTAGAGGAGACAAACCCTAAATATTTACACAAAATTATCCACTGGGCATTTAACTTGGCACTGGCTCTTGATAACTTTTATTTTGAGATGGGGTCCTGCTCTGTCATCCAGGCTGGAGTGCAGTGGTGCAATCTTGGCTCACTGCAACCTCCACCTCCTGACTCAAGCAATCTTCCTACCTCAGCCTCTTGAGTAGCTGGGACTACAGACATGTGCCACTATACCTGGCTAATTTTTTGTATTTTTGGTAGAGATGGGGTTTCATCATGTTGCCCAGGCTGGTCTGGAACTTCTGAGCTCAAGCAATCCACCCACCTCAGCCTCCCAAAGTGCAGGATTATAGATGTGAGCCACCGCACCCAGCCTTGATAACTTTTCTATTGGTATCTTGGATTGTAATTTATGTTTCTAAGTAAGCCTATGCCTCTGAATTATGAGCTTTGCAGTGTTTCTTAGTACCCCCCCCCCGACATATGTTTCTATTTAATTTTAAAATATTCTTACATTAGGTTAGAAGAATCTTACACTTGGAGATTGGGTCTTATTCTTTTCCATCACTTCCCACATTAGCTAAGCAGTGACTTCAACAGAGTAGATTGTCTGATAAATATTCATTGAGGATTTTGATTTGAGAAAACAGGGAGAAGAGGTCTAGTAGTCTAATATTCTTAATTTTTTGCTTTGCTTCCAAATAAATTCAAATCAATCCTCTTCCCATTTTGCGGGGCAGCTGGAGTTGGCTTGCAGGACCCTCCTCTGTGCCTTTTGGGTGCCTCTTCTTCCTTGAGGGCTGTCTCCTCACCCCCCTGGGCACCGTCACGGTTGGCCTTGCCCACTCTCTGTCCCAGTCAGTAGTGTGCTGATGAACTGGCTCTTGGGGAGGGCAGGAGGAAGAGTCTTGACATGTGGCCTCTGCCAAGGCAGAAGGTATAAATACTTCTCCCCTGACTGATGTCAAACTACCAAAGGTTTATCAATCAGCTTGCAAAATTCCTGAATATTTTAACAATCAGCTCATGAATGCTGATGCCAGCTGGGTGGAGAACACCAGTGATTTCAGTGTACCAGTGATGTTTGGTTTCCCCTGGGATGTAAATGTAAACAGAGGACTCCTGGAGTCTGATGGTAGATTTCCAGCCCAGCAGGTAGAGCAGAAGAGAGCCTTGAAAGTAACAATTCTGCCCCCATCTCCTTCAAATCCCACCAGCAAATAGGCTTCCCGGGTCTTTCCTGCCCTCACTTCTTTAGTCTTTAAAGGGTGGGAACTTGAATTAGCCAGGAGAGCACACAAACCAACCAACCCCCATTTCCATCACCAACACCCAGCTGCCTTCCGCAGTGGTACGCACCTCGGTGATGGGATTGGATGCCAGGACCTTGTCTTCCACGTGAGCGTTGCTGCCCGATTTGCTGACGGTGGCAAAGTACCTCATGGCATAGCGAGCCGACACTGTCTTTCCAGCACCTGACTCCCCACTTACAATTATGGACTGGTTTCTGTTGTTTCTAAAGCAAATAAAAGTTTTCAAATATTAGTTTCTTCCCATTAAAGAGGCAACATGTGCTAATTAAGACAAATGTGGACAAGACAAAAGAGGGAAACTGTTTTGTCACTCTACTATTTTTAAATCTCAATCAATTTCCTTCTAGATTTTTTTTTCTATGTGATCGTGCAGAACACACAATTTTAAAAGTTCACATCTTTCATCCAACCTTATTCAAATCCTTACTCCTTACTGCTTCCCTACTCAACCTTTCCACTCAACCAAAAAACTGCTCCTTCCCATCCTTCCCACTCTCTGGGCAGGATTTTTGCTTTTAAACTCTGTTCTTGAATTTCACCTCTCATTTCATCTCTCCTCTGCCTTCCCCACCCTCTCCTGAGCACCCTCTTTCTAGATGGACCCTGTGTAGGTCATCATGCTGCCTGTCAACATGTATTTATTGAGTACCATGTTGAGGGGCCCCAAGACCAACCTCAGGTTCAATGACCCAGTAAGAGGACTCTCAGGACTCAGCATATAGTCATCCTCACAGCTAAGACTGATTGCAGCAAGAGGATACACAGCAAAAGCAGCACGGGGAAAAGGCACACGGGGCAAGGTCCAGTGGAACACGGGTGCAAACTTCCAGGGGTCCTCTCCCAGTCGGGTCACACAGGACACATTCAATTCTTCCAGCAAGGAATTTGACAGCACATGTGAAATGCTGGCTGCCAGGGAAGCTCATTAGAGATGCAGTGCCCACCTTCTGCCTAGCATATGCCAATATTCCAGACTCCCAGAAGGAAAGCACGTATTCAGCATAAAGCACATTATTTACACAAACAGCTTGAGTTTAGGTAAAATGAGCCACTTTTTCAACCAAGAAATGTCAGGAACCGTCATGAAATCAGAGGCTAGCCATGGGCCACCTTGCAAGCAGGCCTCTAAAGATAGCAGCCTCAGGCCTTATGTCAACTCCTTTCTGCACATCCCACTTAAATATAAAAACATTTCAAGGACATTATTTTGAGAGCAATTATTCAAAAGATGCTTGGGAACATATGCGCTCTCTAAGCCAACATGCTCTGTTATATAATTTAGAGATTTTTTAAAAATGCATTAAACTTTTCATGTCATAAGACTGTGATGGTGGAAGCTTCTAACATGGCTCTGTGGATGTGGCACCGCTCACATGCCAGGTGCTGGGTGAATACAGATTCTCATTTAAGCTTCACAAAAATCCTACGACATAGATATCTCTTTTACAGAAGAGTAAAATGGTGACTCAGGGGTGGAGTGACTTGACCCAGAGCACAGAGCCACAGCCTCCCATGTAAATGCTAGAGGAGACTTTGGATACAGAGCCCCGGTCCAATATTTTCATTTCAAAGAGAGAAGATGAAGACTCTGAGAAGTGAAATGACATGCTCAGTGTCCCTCAGGGCATAGAACAGGGCTTTAGTAATCCCAGCCCTGTTCTACAGCCCTGAGGGACACTACCTGTCTAGCATCAAACAAGGCCAACACGAGCCTGCTTTGGGCTCCGTTCTGTTATGGCAGTTACACAGACAGACCTCCAAGGAGAAACTGGCTCTTTAGGGCTGAAGTGAGCACAGCCCTACAGTGCCAAAGAGCTCATCCCACCCATACCCAGTCCCTAATCACCACGATACCTGGGAGACCTACAGGGAGCCAGGGAAAAATCTCAGAACCACAGGGGTTTTAGGGTTAGAAGGAATCTTGGTGCAGCGGAAGCTGCTAATTCTCTACCCAGTATGCATTTGCATTCTCCTCTTCCTTCTTAGGGACTAGGCCCCAGTGGCCAGGCAGTGCCCCTCTGTGCATTTGAAAGACTGCACATCCCAGCCTCCCTATGTGAGTGAGGTCTGCCTGACGAGCTGTTAGAAGTGCTTTGTGGGGCTTCCAGAGAGTCTCCTTAACCTGGAGGGCCATACCCTTCCCCTCATATGCCTTGTTACCTAGAATATGGAAGACAGAGGTGAGAACTGGCTTGTCCCTGAGGATGACGGCCCCACCCCAGGGACAGGGAGCTGCACGGCACCGGGTCTCTGATGACTCTGAAGAAGCTCGGTCTAGCCCCAGACTGCCCATCAGACATCTGTGCAGGAAAGCAGCACGTGTTCTACCTCATGTAAGCACCACCTGCTCCCTCATTATAAGCATCAGAACCAGGAATGGGTGCCCTCTGAGAGTCCAGCTCACAGACGAAGACATAAAGCGGAGGGAGCTCAGGAGCTGCGGCTGGGGTTATGCAGTAAAGATTTAGGTAAAGAGTCAGCAGGTCCAGGTCCTGTGCCTCAGATTTCCCATCTGTGAAATGAGGGCAATGAAGTCAGTCAACTTCACAGGAGTGCTGTAAGACTCAAGGGAGACCACTGTATGTGAAAGTTCTTTTGCAAACTGTAAAGGCAGCTACAAAGATAGGGTGGTGTTTCTATTCTCCATACTTTACAGATGAAGACACTGAAGCCAAAAGTGATAGTTATGGGAAAAATAAACTAGAGTTTAAAAATCTGAGCACAAATCCCAGATCTGCCTTTTACTTGCTGCCTACCCTGGGTTGGTTATTCCCTGAAGCTGTTTACTGCCCAGACATTTGCATCGTGGGCTATTCTGAGGCCATCCCAGATGACACATGGGAATGTGTGCACGGTGCCTCATTCACAGGAGGCTTTTCATACATGTGCACTAGTGAAACGAGAACTCCACAGGGCCCTACAAACACCTAGCAGTGAAATTAGGATAAAATTCCATGTCTCCTGCACCTAAAACCTCCTGCAGCTAAAAACCCTGTCATCAGATCCTACTTCCTGCAATGGGTAAAAAAAAAAAAAGCTTAAACGTCTCATAGCAGAGAATAAATCAACACTCCTCCAACCAAACACACTGCAAGAAAAGCATCTGCTATTCCCAGACTGGTAGGACTGACTTGACTACCTTGAAGGAACAAAACCCAGGAAACTCCAGTCTTGACAGGTCAGGTACATGGAACAGTCGTTTGCTATTCATTCCAGGTAGTCGGCTCAACAAAGCACCACCTCTGGCCTATCTCTTTTAATGAGCCCAACCTAGATATCTCCCCTCCACTGTGATGGTCTGGCAAATGCAGGGAGCATTGGCAGAGCAAGGGGAAGTCCAGCTTGGCAGGAAGCTACCTGGCCATCTGCTTGTATGCCTCTTCTGCCACGGCAAATATGTGTGGGTCCATATCGCCCATGTTCTGCCCGCTGTAGGCGTGGATGATGGCATCTCCGTATATTGGCAACTGCTTGTAAGGATTCATGGCCACCAAAATGATTCCTGGGGAAAGATGTTAGATGCAGTTAAAATACTCTTACTGCCACCTGCATCTCCAGTTTTTTTTTTTTTAAGAAACCCCAGCTCTGTCGCTTATTAAACCTTCTGTGTGACTTTGGGCAAGTCACTTCACGCACTGAATTAATTCCCTGCCAGTCACCTACACCCTCGGGCTGTTCTGACGGTTGGTTGACAGGACAGGTGGAAATGCTCGCAAATGGAGAGGTTTTTGCAATTTGCAGTGTAAGTAATATCATTGCCCAAAATAAGTAATAAATGTATGAAATCTGATGAGAAACTCAAACACGAGCTTTGTTACATCTCTTTTTCTAGGTAGTCCAGTCTTAGTTCTTGTTGAAGATTCTCCCCACCCAGACACTTCTTTTTACAACAAACTCTGGGTGCTCAGTATAAACATAAAACAACCAGGAGGCTCTAGACAGCAAGCTTACATTCCAGTGCCATTCCTTACTTCCTAGAATTGCTCTCCTTACCACTGTAGGTGTAAATGAGTTTGGATTCTGCAAAGCGGATTCTGAGGTTGTGGAGCACCGCGGGCTCGTGAAGATAGCTGAGAGCCGTGAGGTCATTCTCGCCCACGAGGATGTCAGGATTCCGAAGTGGAGGCAGAGATTCTGGATTGACAGAATAATCCAGCTCCTATGGACAAAGATAAAAATTAAAGCTCTGGAAATAAAAGATTTTTGGTGTTTCTGTTGAAGCACTGTCCTTTGTCCTATCCACCCCTCCATCAGAGTCATCACTGACATTAAAAAGCAAATGTACTTATAGCAACAAGAAAATCTTCACAGCTGACTCCTGGAATAATGAAAAGTAGGAGCAGGGGACTAGGGCACTGGCTATGTGCACTGGGGCAAGTCACTCACCCTCTCTGGGCCTCACTTCTCTCATCTGCGAAGAGGAGCTAGAGCAGGGGTCCTTAGATCTACAGAGGCCTCAATAAGGAGTGTTGGGGAAGCTACAAGGGCAGAGATCCAGGTGCCCCATTCCTGAATCTCCCACCAGGGCTCTACCTATATGTGGTTTAAATGTTGAGGCCATGCAAGTTTTCATTTGAAAACAAGATGCTGCAGCTAAAATGACACAGTGACCTACGGTCTCTTTAACTCTAAGGTTGTTGAGTCTCTGCTCAAAGTTGACACACTTGGTGGTGACAGATACCTAAAGGAGTCCATGCAGGTGGTGGTCTCTCCGTGAAAGGCCCCTGGTGCAGGTGTCTCCTGTCTGCAGTTGCCCACATGCCCGAGGGCTCACAGCTCCCCCAGCAGGGCTGTCTATTCCTATCAGTCTCAGCCCTGGGCCAAGGAATTTTCCCAGGCTTGCTCCTCTTCTGCTAGATTTAACCTAGTATTCCTAAAGCAGCTGCCTTAGCAGAACGAAGGTGAGGCGAGCATGCCCCGTGGCATCTGTGCCACAGATGACTGGGCCTTTCCAATGTCAGAGTATTCTAATTCCTACACTCCCATTTCACCGCTGGGGGAAGTGAAGCCCAACTAAAGCGACTTGAGCAGGTTACCCAGCATGCTTGTTTCTCTTCCACCTTCCTAGGCCGCCTTCCAGGTATTCAGTCAGTATCTCTGGATTCCTTCTGATCTCTGGTCCTGGACCAGCTCCACAAGGTGGCCCAGCTGCCTTTCATCAAGTGCCACTGTGCAGACCCCATGCCAAGCACTCAGCATGGATTGTTTCATTTAATCCTCAAAACTGCCTTCCAGGGAGGACATGACTACCCCAACCAAGAAAGTCAACGAGACAGGTTCAGAAAGTTGGAGTTTGTTGTCCAAGGTCACACAGTTAATCTGAGCCTCACTCTGAAGCCTGTGCTCTCTCACTAGCACAGTGCTTCCTTGTCCATGGCGGGGGTTTTGCTGGCTGGTTGGTCTGTTCTGCATAAAGCGAGCAGCTCAGGGCAATCCACAACTGGACACGGATGCTCAGGCCAGCTCCTGCTCCCCTGTTACCAATGCAATTGTATTGTGACCTAACCCCGACCAGAATATTCTCAACCTAAACATTTTTGAAAATAAAATCAGGAAAAATGCTTCTCATACATACTGACTTTCCTTGTCTCTGTTTTTCTGTTGTAAATCCACAACCCCCACTTCTGGTTTGGCCTCTGTGTGTGTTATGTGTGAAAGCAACAGGGAGACAGAAAGGACAGACAGTCTTTGGGGGAGGGGAGAAAATGTAATGAACATTATGTTGACAGGTGGAGGCAGAGGTGACATTTTCCTACAGCACACAGGCCTTGTCTCTTACAGTACTGACAAAGGGTTGAGCTAAAGAGAGGTCTGGCTGCCCGCCATCCTACTCACCTCTGCAGCCGGGTCAAGGCCGGGAATGTAGCCACCTGAAGCCCTGCAGATATTACCAAAGCAGCAAACTGCCACTGCAGCTGCTGCCTTGAGATTTTCCTTCCCAAACAAAGCCATCTGATCCCTAATCAGAACCTTGTGCACAGGAGACACTCAATAAAAACTGCGAGGAGCTCCTGTTGGAAAGGGAAGCCCCGGGGAGCAGGAGCCTCTTCCCAGAGCTCCTGCCTTCAAACATGCACACAGGATTGTCTCATCGCACTTCAGCAACCCTGGGACGGTGCACAGTCATTACCTCCTTTGTACATATGGGGAAACTGGGGGCCTGGGCCAAAGACTTAACAAGGGGCCATGCCAGGATCTGACGCCAGACCATCTGATTCTAGAGGGTGTGTCTTTAACCGCTGTGTTCATCTGCCTTCCCAGGATCTCAGGAAATGTCTCCCAAATCCAGGACAGTCTGATTAGAAGTAGTGTGTCCTGTGTCTGCAGAACCCATTTACATGCTTTGTCAATTAATCCTCACATGATGTTCCCCAGACCCACCTCTGGGATCTAGATGGAGCACAAATCCCCTGCCCAGTTCTCTACCCAGATACTTGATTCTAAACCCGTCCAGTCACCCTAGGCTACTAATCCAGTGGGATGTCACTACAGCAATGGTGGGCAAGGACAACTCATGAGGGACACTTAGAGCAAATGCAAAGTCTTCAGAAGCTGCGTCATCAGAAGGCACATGCAGCCTTGCAGGGAAGCTCCTCAATAGCTCATCCTACCACAGGAGCAACTGCTAAAGTTCATCCTCACCTCCCCCTCACCACACCAGCACCAACAGAGGCACCTCATAATGTCACACAAAGCTGGGTGTCCATGTCTTCTTGTCCCTGCCACACTCCCTCCCTTACACATTTCTATATATCTGTGGACCGACTCCCTCCAGTCTCCTCCCACTCCTCCCTCTCCCTGCCTGTTTTCTATCTCCCTCTTCTCATTTTCCTCCCCTTCACATCTTGATGTTTTTCTCTACCAGCGTATGCCTTGGGCTCAAACGACTTCTCACCAAGTTTTTCATCTCTGCCCAATCTCTGGGCTGAGACTCAGGAAGCCAAAATGGCGAATCACTTTTCAGCATTCTCCCAGTAATGCTGGGTGCCTGGAAATGCAGTGCCGTGGCACAGACCTGGCTCCTGCAGCTGGGCCCTCATTACAGAGAGAGGCCCGGTGGATGCAGGGCAGCACAGGGGCGGGAGGGAAGGAGTACAGACACATCAGTGAGTCCCGGCACCAGGAGGCCATTTGGGAATGGTGCTGGTGCCCACTCGTGCGCCCTCCCCTGGGTGCCTCCCACGGGGTCCACGTGCTCCCATCCTTACACACACCCCAGCTACCGCTTTACACATCGACGTAGCTGTGAACAGCAAGGACCCTCACCGTTCCATCCTCCAGCAGGAGTCGCAGGACCTTGTCACCAACTCTGTAGTCCTTGG
This sequence comes from Homo sapiens, assembly GCF_000001405.40. NCBI lineage: Eukaryota > Metazoa > Chordata > Mammalia > Primates > Hominidae > Homo > Homo sapiens. The sequence goes on from NC_000015.10 coordinate 52,282,838, forward strand.
CTATTTCAGCAGACTTCCAAACTTCTTCAGGATCGGGAATCCAGACCCTGTTGTACTGACCAACAGGATGAGAAAAGCTGAATTTCAGGACTTCCAAAATTATGGATCAATGCATGGTTAGACACAGGAAGGTTTCTTTCTGTGCACTAGGTCAGCTCCTTCATGAGGAATACGTCTACCTAATTTTGCTTATGAGGTGATCTTTCGTGCATCTGTGATGCACCAGGCCTGGCTGCCTCAGTTTACAGGCAACAGAACTCCCAAAGCCTCCTAGATAAACCTTGAACGCTGAAAGCCTGTACGTGGGAAAGAAATCCGCGAGTCCCTTAATGGAAACATCTCACGGCTGTCTACAGGGTTAGAGGAGAGGGATTTCTTTCACCACTGATTTGACTATGGAACTCTGGGCCAGACACTTAACTTCTAGTGCCTCATTTTACTCATCCATAGAATTGGCACAACAATACCTATTTTCACCAGTTCCCTGGGAGGTTAAATTAGACTTTGTACTTGAAAGAACTTTGTAAAATGCTACGAAAGTATTGTTACAGCAATGTCATCATAATCTTATCACACTGGTGGGCTGCCAAGGACTCCCACAGTGGGAAATGCAGAAGTCCAGACACAGCCACCCAGCTCAATTCCCAGCAGGCAATGGCACGCCTGGCTCAGCGCCGATGTACAAGTCTTTAGGTAGAACCACGTTGCTGTGGGCTGAACTGTGTGTCCCCCAAATTCATATGTTGAAGCCCTAACCCCCAATTGACTATATCTGAGAAGGATCTTCAGAAGGTAATTAAGGTTCAGTGAGGTCATGAGGGTAAGGCGCTGACCCAATAGGATTTTTTTTTTTTTGAGATGGATTTTCATTCTTGTTGCCCAGGCTGTAGTGCAACAGCACGATCTTGGCTCACTGCAACCTCCACCTCCCGGGTTCAAGTGATTCTCCTGCCTCAGCCTCCCGAGTAGCTAGGATTACAGGCACCCGCCACCATGCCTGGCTAATTTTGTATTTTTAGTAGAGTCAGGGTCTCACCATGTTGGTCAGGCTGGTCTCAAACTCCTGACCTCAGGCGATCCACCTGCCTCAGCCTCCCAAAGTACTGGGATTACAGGCATGAGCCACCACGCCTGGCAGGATTTAAAAATTAGTGTCCTTATAAGAGACACCTGAGAGTTTGATGTATTTTTCTACAATATGCATCTATTACTTTTACAATCAGAACAATAAATATTAATCTTTAAAGGCAAATATCAAAATATAAGCCCCCCCCTCAAAGAATGGTACATAAATTCTGTGATATGGGACATAGTAACTTTATTTATAGTGGCCAAAAATTGGAAACAGACTAAATGCCCATTAATGAGAATTAAAAAAAAAAAACACCTGCAGAATACCCATACAATGAAATACAACTTACCCATAAAAGGAATGAACTACTGATGTAAGCAAAAGCATGGGTGAGTCACCAAAGCACGCTGAGTTAAAGAAGCCTTACACAAATGAGTACCTCCTATGTGAGTCCCTTCAAATCAAGTTCTGGAACAGCTAAAACTAAAGCATGCTGGGAAAAAATTCACAGCAGTAGTTGCCTCTGAGGGTGGGTGGGGCCAGGGAGTGACTCCGAAGGTGTATGAGGGGATCTTCTGGGAGTGATGGTAACATTCTGTATCTTGATGGGGCTCGGGTTACATAGGGGCTAAGCACTTTTCAAACCTCAGACAATGCAGACTTAAGATTTGTGCATTTCATTTTCTGTAAATTTTACACAAAAAATTAAACAAATATGGAACTCTAGTTAATATGCATACTAAAATATTTAGAAGGTGTATTGATATATGGCTTACTCAAAGATGCTTCAAAAAAGTGAGATGAATTGAAGGTCAGATAGAAGGACAGAAAGATGGATAGACATGGGATACAATGAATATGGTAGAATGTCCACACCAGAATCCAGGTGGTAAAACAGGTGTTCACTATAAAATTCTTTTTCTTTCTTTCTTTTTTTTTTTTTTTTAAGAGACAGGATCTAGTTTTGTGGCCCAGGCTGGAGTGCAGTGACGTGATCACAGCTCACTGGAGCCTCGAACTCCTGGGTTCAAGTGATCCTCCTATGTCAGCCTCCCAAAGTGCTAAGATTACAGGTATAAGCCATCATGCCTGACCTGTAAAGTTCTTTCAACATTGCATTATGCTTAACATGTTCATATAAAAATGCTGGAGGAAATAAAGAATAAGAATAAAACAGGCTGGGCACAGTGGCTCACACCTGTAATCCCAGCACTTTGGGAGACCCAGGTGGGTGGATCACCTGAGGTCAGGAGTTGGAGACCAGCTTGGCCAACATGGTGAAACCCTGTCTCTACTAAAAACACAAAAATTAGCTGGGCGTGGTGGTGCATGCCTGTAATCCCAACTACTCAGGAGGCTGAGGCAGGATAATCGCTTGAACCCAGGAGGTGGAGGTTGCAGTGAGCCGAGATCGCACCACTGCACTCCAGCCTGGGAGACAAGAGTGAAACTCTGTCTCAAATGAAAAAAAAACAAACAGGCTCTCGCTCTCCCTCTCCCTCCTCTCCCTCCTCTCCCTCTCCCTCTCCCTCTCCCTCCTCTCCCTCTCCCGTCTCCCTCCTCTCCCTCCTCTCCCTCCTCTCCGTCCTCTCCCTCTCTTTCCACGGTCTCCCTCTGATGCAGAGCTGAAGCTGGACTGTACTGCTGCCATCTCGGCTCACTGCAACCTCCCTGCCTGATTCTCCTGCCTCAGCCTGCCGAGTGGCGCGCCGCCACGCCTGACTGGTTTTCATATTATTTTGGTGGAGACGGAGTTTCGCTGTGTTGGCCGGGCTGGTCTCCAGCTCCGAACCACGAGTGATCCGCCAGCCTCGGCTTCCCGAGTTGCTGGGATTGCAGACGGAGTGTCGTTCACTCAGTGCTCAATGGTGCCCAGGCTGGAGTGCAGTGGCGTGATCTCGGCTCGCTACAACCTCCACCTCCCAGCCGCCTGCCTTGGCCTCCCAAAGTGCCGAGATTGCAGCCTCTGCCCGGCCGCCACCCCATCTGGGAAGTGAGGAGCATCTCTGTCTGGCCGCCATCCCATCTAGGAAGTGAGGAGCGCCTCTTCCCGGCCGCCATCCCATCTGGGAAGTAAGGAGCGTCTCTGCCCAGCCGCCCATCGTCTGAGATGTGGGGAGCGCCTCTGCCCTGCCGCCCCGTCTGGGATGTGAGGAGCGTCTCTGCCCGGCCGCCCCGTCTGAGAAGTGAGGAGCCCCTCCGCCCGGCAGCCGCACCCTCTGAGAAGTGAGGAGTCCCTCCGCCCGGCAGCCACCCCGTCTGGGAGGAGAAGAGTGTCTCCGCCCGGCAGCCGCCCCGTCCGGGAGGGAGGTGGGGGGTCAGCCCCCGCCAGGCCAGCCGCCTCGTCTGGGAGGGAGGTGGGGGTCAGCCCCCCGCCCGGCCAGCCGCCCCGTCCGGGAGGGAGGTGGGGGGGGTCAGCCCCCCGCCCGGCCAGCCGCCCCGTCCGGGAGGTGAGGGGCGCCTCTGCCCGGCCGCCCCTACTGGGAAGTGAGGAGCCCCTCTGCCCGGCCACCACCCCGTCTGGGAGGTGTGCCCAACAGCTCATTGAGAACGGGCCATGATGACAATGGCAGTTTTGTGGAATAGAAAGGGGGGAAAGGTGGGGAAAAGATTGAGAAATCGGATGGTTGCCGTGTCTGTGTAGAAAGAGGTAGACATGGGAGACTTTTCATTTTGTGCTGTACTAAGAAAAATTCTTCTTCCTTGGGATCCTGTTGATCTGTGACCTTGCCCCCAACCCTGTGCTCTCTGAAACATGTGCTGTGTCCACTCAGGGTTAAATGGATTAAGGGCGGTGCAAGATGTGCTTTGTTAAACAAATGCTTGAAGGCAGCATGCTCGTTGAGAGTCATCACCACTCCCTAATCTCAAGTACCCAGGGACACAAACACTGAGGAAGGCCGCAGGGTCCTCTGCCTAGGAAAACCAGAGACCTCTGTTCACTTGTTTATCTGCTGACCTTCCCTCCACTATTGTCCTGTGACCCTGCCAAATCCCCCTCTGCGAGAAACACCCAAGAATGATCAATAAAAAAAAAAAAGAAAAAAGAAAAAAAAAAAAGAAAAACTAACAAACAAACAAACAAACAAACAAAGTTCACAGTTACAAGTACTAGACTAGGACAATGCTGGATGAGGAACCTATCTATTAGTTAATATAAATCGCCTTACTTAATCAATAAAACAGAAAAGTCACTGGATGGATATCAATCATGACTACCCCTAAATCATTTGAGTTGCTTTAATCCTTAACAGCTAGCAAAAAGCAGAAGCTTGCCGAAACGTGACATGGATGTGTAAGTTTTGAGAGAACGAGAATGGAAGAATGACCTGGCAGGCAGTGACACACACTCTTGTGCAGATAGGACGATGGAGGCCTCATAAAGAAACACACAGACACGCCTGTCTCAGGCACACACACCCACACCCATCCTTGTTGCCACGGGCTACACAGCTCCTACCCCAGGTCTGCTATTGAAAATATTTATTACTAACGTCATGAAGCTTACTTCATTAAAATGGATTAGGAATGGGATCCTCATAAGAGACACCTGAGAGTTGGATGTATTTTCTACAATATGTACCTATTACTTTCATAATCAGAACAATGAATGTTAATCTTTAAAGGCAAATATCAAAATATATGCCCCCCAAAAGAATTGTACATGAATTACCAAATTTATCAAGAATTGGCCACTACAGAGTCTCAGAACTGATTATCTACTCCAAGTTGTTTGTCAAACTCCTTTTTAGAGCTGCAGAAAGCCTACTTCAAAAGGAAGTTCTGGCCAGGCGCGGTGGCTCACGTGTGTAATCCCAGCACTTTGGGAGGCCGAGGTGGGTGGATCACCTGAGATTGGGAGATTGAGAATAGCCTGACCAACATGGAGAAACCCCGTCTCTACTAAAAATACAAAAGTAGCTGGGCGTGGTGGCGCATGCCTCTAACCCCAGCTACTTGGGAGGCTGAGGCAGGAGAATCGCTTGAACCCGAGAGGCGGAGGTTTCTGTGAGGCAAGATCTTGCCATTGCACTGCAGCCTGGGTGACATGCGTGAAACTCCGTCTCAAAAAAAAAAAAAAATTAAGTTGTAACAGCTGGCTAAGCGAAGCTGGTGAAAGTGGAGGTGTTCTGATGGGAGCTGGAGCTGAGAGCCCTGGGGGCCTTCCAAGGAAGCCTGGGCTCTGAGAAGTAATGTGAAAGTCACTAGGCCAATCAATCCTTTTGTTTAACAGAGCCCCTAACTGAAGCCCAGAGAGAAATAACTCACCAAACAGCAGACAGAGTCTCAAAGGACCAGGACTCCAGCAGAGCTAGGGCCTGTGACTCCTAGTTTGAACTCCGTATTAGTTAAGCGAATCTGGCCCTGAAAGTAATCCTGAACTCTGAACTGCAACCATCTACTTGAGAGTCCATGTGCTCTCCTAACTATAATTTAGGATTGGTTTCAGCTAAAAGTGGTATTAAATGGCAGGCAGTATTAGGACATACGTAACCACTGACGGCTTCTCTTCTGAAGACCAGTGACTCCTCAGCCCAGTACCCCAGGCCGCCCACACCCTGCGATCCTGGTGCTTCTGCTGGCATTGAGTGCCCTGCAGCTGAAACCCAGCCTGGTAAGTAAACAACGGTGAGTTTACTCAGCTCCGGGTAAGTTCCACCCATTCATTCCTGTCCCCTCCTCCCTCACATTCCTCTACCCACAAAGCAATGCTTCAAACTGGAGGAAGAGTTAACTTTACAGCATTCATCCAAACAGATGCAGTCCGCAGTTCATGCAAACAATGTAACCAGCTGTCAACTGACCTCCAGAATATGGGGCCTTCCCATGAGGCAGGAGTCTGTGGACTGGGATGGAACAGCTCGCCAAGCCCTTCAGCGGAGCCAGGAAAGAGAGGGCCACCTCCCAACTTCCCTGAGTGCCCTCCCCATGCCAAGGCGCCAAGCTGAGGCAGAGGCTCGGGACCACTGAACCTTATGAGCTCAAGACCATGCCAGCCACCCCCCCAAGGCACACAGGTGAGATGAGAACAGCATCTTCTCACGCCGCCTGCTTTTCTGAGGGATCTTCTGGCATGAGCCACAGAAATGACTTGAAGACTTATATGGAAGATGGGACAAGATGGGACGACATGTGTTTCCCTCCTAGAACCGCTTTCTGGACTGGGAGTGTCCACACTCCAGGTCAGCCAGGCCAGATTGTCACACCATGCCCCTCTCTTCCTCCTCCTCTTCATTCGCTCCTCATGGGCCCCTCCCCTGGCTCCCCTGCCCCTCCCACTGCCCCCCATGTCCGTGTCTCCCAAGGTCCTTCCCAGCCTCTTCTCATGATAGGCTGTTTCTGGAGAGTTCCACCCAATTCCACAGCTTCTGCAACTGCCTGGCACCTGTGCATCTGAGACCTCCCACCCAGATCGTGCACTGGAGCTCTACACCACATTTCCAATTGCCTCCAAGATGTCAGCCCCTAAATGTCCTCATAGACTCATAAATTCCAAACTCCAGTGATGCCGACGCTCCTCCTTCCTAGCTCTCTTGCCCCTCATGTCAGAAGCCTGGGACAGTGCTGGGCACCCCTCTGTGTCTCCACCCCAACAGCCCAACAGTCACCAGGTGCTAGAAAAGACTGCCTTTTAAAAGCCCTCTCCTGTCCGCCCCTGCCTACCAGCCCCCTTGCCATGGCCATAAGTCAGCCCCCAACCCTACCCCCACCAATCCTCTCTTGACTGGTGCAGCAGCCCCCGGAGGCTTCCTCAGCCAGGCTGAGCACGAGGTTTCTTTGGGCAGACAGACTCTCTCATCCGTACTTGATTGGAATTCCTGTGGGTGGGGCCCGGCAAGAGAAAAGCTTTGAAAATCAACCCCCACATGGGTTTTGAGGAAGAGCCAGGCCTGGGCAACCAGCATTCTGGCCAATTTCCTGCTCAGGCCTCACCCTCTTTTCAATCCACCCTCTGCCTGTGGCCACCCAAAACCACTAGCACTTTCTGGAACATGGCAGGCCTTCTTTGGCTTTCTGCTGTGTACTTCTGTTCCTTCCACCCTAGCCCCACCCATCCTCTCCCCATCCAAGAGCAAACAGCTCTGAACAGTCTGGAGTAGCTGGAGACACTCCTCATCTTGGCACTCTCCTTGCCACTTGCCATCTAGCAGAGCTGGATGCTTCCCTTGAGCGCTCTCTGCTCCTCCCCCAGGTATCTAGGCTGCCTCCCATCTCCCCCACTGGCATTTGAACTTTAAGAGCCTGGTCTTTGTGCTTGGAATCCAATGCAAAGGCTTCCCATAACTAGCACTCCATAAACAACTTTTGAACAAAAATTCAAATTCCCAGTGGTTCAGTTGCACCAATTAAAGACTAAGTATTTCAGTCTTTTCATCCCTTTTTTTCTCTTTGAACTACCCATACATAATACAATGGATACATTTAATTTTCCAGAGTTGTTAATGGTATATAGAAGTCTAAAAACTATTTAGAATTAGCCAAATTAAAAAAAAAATCGTTACGCTGAACTTTGACCTCATTTTAGACAGGGGCCCTGGACTGCTAGTCAAGACACTTCTTTTGACCTTGCACATCTGAGTTTCAGCAGAACTTTGAAGATATTTGTGAGTTCCTCTTGCACAAGTGAAAGAAACAGATGGTGGAATGACTGTAGTGAACCTGTCACTACACAGTCATAACCTGAGTTCTAATTAATGAGCAAGAGCAACCTTTAGGAAAAAAAAAAAAAAAAGGTCTCCAGAGGCATGCCACAGAGCTCTACCGCCTCCCCTTTCATTCAACACTTTCACCAGTATCGTAGATGAAAAAACAAAACACATGTATCAAACAAGCAGATGAAATGATTGATTAGCTAAAGATGATCAAGATTCAAAAGGTTTTTACAAGCTACAGAAACGCTGGGCACTAAACAAAACAGAAAATTTTATAGGGATAAATGTAAAGTCTGTATTTAGGTAAAAAAAATCAACTGTATTATAATAGCATCAGTATTTGAGTAATCTTTATTAAGCATTATGTGTCAGGTGCTGTGCTAAGGATTTTACACGCCATTAATCCTCATAGTGACCTCCTCAGCTGGTAAGCATGATTCAGTCCATTATACTGGTGTGGAAACTCAGGTTAAGTAACTTGCCTGGTGTCACCCAGTTAGTAAGGGGCAGGACCAGGACTTGATTTGACCCACCAGGGGCAGAGCATGTACCAGCTCTGCTTAAAGCACTAACATAATGCCAGGATACACTGAGGGATGCTCACAAGAAGTTGCACCGTACTCATGGCTGAGCAGATCAAGGCTAGAGAATAGTGCCACTAAAATGGGCATCAAGGTGTGAAAATTCACCCAGAGGAAGGTGGCCTGGATGCTGAGGGTCTGGAATGATGCTGTCAGAGAAATGGTTGGTGGCACTGTCACTCTCCTCAAGCCGTCTGTCCTACCCACCCTTCCTGCTCAGCAGCTGTCAAGCTCTCTGGGCTTTCTTCCTTCTCTGTCAGTATCTCTGTGCCTTCAACTCCTGCCACTGTGGCCTCAGGCCCTCACTCCTTTCTGAGGTTAACCCATGCCTGGTGCCTTTCTTATGTCTTCAAACTGCAGTCCTCTGCTGGTTTCCTCCCTTTCACGGGTCATGTCAGACTTTCCCTTTCCCCTTCACAGTTCTACCCAAACAGAAACGACGCCAGGGACCAAAACTAGCGGCCAAACCTAACAACCCATCCCCAGCCTTCATCCTTGTTGACTTCTCTGCAGCTACTAGAAAGAAAGACCGTCCAATCTTTAGGCAGTGATATGTGTGGTCTTTTTTCTTTGTTTGCATATTTTATGTTTTTTTTTTTTTTTTTTTTTTTTTGAGACAGGGTCTCGCTCTGTCGCCCAGGCTGGAGTGCAGCGGCGCGATCTCGGCTCACTGCAAGCTTCGCCTCCCGGGTTCACGCCATTCTCCTGCCTCAGCCTCCTGAGTAGCTGGGACTACAGGCGCCTGCCACCACGCCTGGCTAATTTTTTTGTATTTTTAGTAGAGACGGGGTTTCACCGTGTTAGCCAGGATGGTCTCGACCTCCTGACCTCGTGATCCGCCCGCCTCGGCCTCCCAAAGTGCTGGGATTACAGGCGTGAGCCACCGCACCCGGCCGCATATTTTATATTTATCTTCATACAGTATATAAACTGTTGTGCCCCATTTTTCACATAACCATGTTTTCATGTTATGAACTCTTCAGAAATAGTACTTTTAATGGCTTCATGCTGTTTTACCATGTGAATCTTCCATAATTTACTTAACTTTACCCCTCTTGCTGGACACTGGGATTGGTTCCAATTTAGTTATTATAAGGAAAAATACAAATAAGCAGGTGTCAGGAGAGGTAGGTAGAAAGTGGATGAACTTCTCACAAGCCCACTGTGTGCGGGGAAAAGGTCAGATCCCTTGAAGAAGAGGAAGATAATAAAGGCGGTTGAACCAAGGTGGTGGTAGTGAGAGACACTAAGAACATAGGTTTTCAACTCCGGCTCCATCACTTGTATGTTACCTTAGCAACTTACCTGACCTGAGCCATTTCTAAAAGTGTGAGATCATCTAACACACAGAGTTGTTTATCCAGATTAAATGAGAGGCGGCACATGAAACTCTGAGGATGGCATCTAGCACATAGAGATAAAAATAACATCATCCATATCATCGTCTCCATGGTCCTAGCTATTTCTGTAAGCAAAAACGTTCAGTCATGCACACAGGTGCACATCAAACATTTATGAAGCTCCCACTGTCCCCTGCTCACTGAAAGCTCTTGGTCAATAGTGGAGACACAGAGTTCACGAGCTGTTACCAGGCAATATGGAAGGCACCGTGTGGAGGGGCTAGCTGCAGAGGCTTTCTCAGAAGAGGTCCTGCTCAAATTGAAGGTGGAAGGTGCAGGTGCCATGAGCAAAGGTGACAGACAGAGGCTCAGACAGGTGGAGTTCGTGTGCCAAGGCACGCAGTGGCAACGTGCAAGCAAGGCATTGAGGGAATGGCAAGGAGTCTGGCAGAGCATGAGCCAGGTAAGAGCAGGAAGGCAGGGAGAGAGGCAGGACCTCGTGGCTGGTCAGTGAGTCTGAAAGCAATGGGAGCCTCTAGAGGTGGTAGAGCAGAGAATGCCAGACCGGCTCTTCTTAAGAGAGATTTCAAATAGGGGAACTGCTGCTCTGAACATTTCTAAGGCATGGCACCTGTAGCTTTTCAAAAGAGATGGATGATTTTACACCTCACCTGGCAGCGATTGCTCCCCTCACCAAGACTTCTCCTGGAGTTCCCTCTTCCCTGTTCCCACAGGGTGGCTTCCAGCTCCCCTGTTAGCTCCTCCTCTGGATGGCTCCATCTCAGCCCTTCTGCTTCCTCTCACTCCTTGCACAGATGCATTCCCCGCTGGCCTGTCCCTCACCCTCTTCTCTGTCTGCCTTCTCCCACCTTGGTGAGACCCTCAGTGTCTTGTTGGCTTCAGTGACCACCTCTGGGCAGAAGACCCTCGGCAGGGCCCATCCCCTCCCTCTGACACCTCCCACCCTGCAAGGCACCTTCCCTTGGAAGCCCCCTCACCCCTTCAACCCCTGCAAATACAGAACTTGCCTGATGACTTTCTTAAGAAATATTTCCTCCTCATGCCACATCCTTAATTCACTCAAGGGCACCACCCTGCTGTCTCTCATACAGACTCTAACCTCAAATGTCATCCTTGGCTGGTCCCTTCAACCCCCACCCCACTCCCCAGTCCAGCCTCTCAGCCTCACCTGCCTCCACCCTCCATGGCCAACACTGCAGCTCTAATTCTTTTCCAACAGCTGGAATGACCTGAGAATTCAGCTACGTGACCCCGGCCTCTCTCCTCCACAGCCCAAGGGCGCTGCTGGCATACATAACAAATCTAACAGTCCTAACACACCACCCTTGATTCTGCCAGCCCCCACTCAAAACCCACACTGGGGAATAAAGCCCTGACCTCGCTCTCTGGCTGCCATGGCCCTCCCCTTCACACCTCCAGAACAGACAAAATGGGGGCTAACTGCCCACCAGGAAGGGAGGTGGCAGCCTAGGAACACAGGTGTCTACGTGGACACAAGGTCAGTGGGAATGGCCATCAGGCTGCGTCAGTCTCTGGGATTCTCAGATTCTCATTCCCTCCAAGCTTGTACCTTTAAACTCCTTCCTATCAGTTTTCTTACATTGTGCCTGGTACTTACTAGACATTTAATAAATATCTGAGGTTTGAGGCACCTAAAAATAGGGGTGCTTGCACCTGTGTGTTTCTGCTTCTGGAAATACTGTCACCTCAAATAGGTTCAGCAGCAGCATTTTTCTCTGTCCTCCAAAGTATCGTCGAAGACTAGTCCAAGACTTTTCTTTCACTTCCAGTAAACTGAAGGCTGAAGAAGCGCTGTTGGCTGTCTGAGGGCTCACAGTCTCACTGGTGAAAATATTCTAGAACAAAACTAGGGCAATTCAAACACTGTCCATTTAGAACTCCAGTTAATGGAGATGCAATAGAGGAGAAACTACAGTTCGGTTGCTTTGTGTCCGGACTGTTACTAAGTAATCAAAGTAGAAGAAAAACGTTTGCTTAAACCATTGAAACATGATTTTTTAAATAACTATCTTTTCTATCTACAGCAAAAGCATCTTTTAAAGTAGAAAGCTAGAGCATGTGTCCGGGGAAATGGATGGATTCTAGTTCCACTCGTCTGAATACTGAGGTCTCTAGATTTCCCCAACTGGTGTATAGGAGGATCAGGCTTTATGGCTATTCAAATGGATTTTTTTTTTCAAAAGTGCTAACACTGTCACACTCTTTATCCAAATAATTACCCAAGCCCATCTCAGAGGGTTTGGGACATATGTGGGAACGCTGCCCTTCCGAGGTAAGAGGTGGAGCCCCAGCCAGCAGAAAGGAAGCTTCTGAGGAATGCTCTAGTGTTTCCCAGAGTCAGGGTATATGAAAGGCGCTTTAGAAACTGTGGTGTTTGTACTGTTGCTAACAGTACAGATGTTAGGCAAAGAGCCTACGACTGCACCTCGTGGCCCCTGGGCTCCCCAAGCGCTTGGTGCCACTGCAGTGCCCTCAAGCCTGTGACCCAGGCTGCTTCAGCTTCTGATGAGCCTACATGCACGTTCACGCACTTTGAAGACACAGAATTCTAGAAAGCAGCCCGAACACTGCGGCCATAAGCTTCTATGCCAGCTCGTTCAAGGGGGTCCCAGGAGGGGCCAGGAGACTGGCCGGCGTCTCAGCTTCCTACGTCCGCATGGGCAACTCTGATTCCACCCGTGGTGTGGTAGGAAGGGACCGAGGCGCTCCAGTCCCGGGAGATGGGGACGCACGCGCGACCCCTGGGCACTGGGGATTCTAGGCCCCGAGGCCGGAGCGGCGGAGGGGGCGGCCCCTCCCACAGGGTCTTCCCACCCACAGGGCACCCAGGCGCAGCGGAGCCAGGAGGGGGCTTACCCGCGGGCAGGGACGGAGCACGCCGGGGCCCTGGAGGGGCGACGCTCGCTCGTGTCCCCGGTCCCCGTGGCCCCTCCGCGGCGCCTCCGCGGCCCCCAGCGCGCGCCCGCCCGCCCTGCCGTGTCAGGTGCGCAGGTGTGGCAGGTGTGGCCCGGGCGCCAGGTCGAGTCAGCGTTAGCAGGGCCGGCTCCCCCACAGCGCTCCCAGGAGCCCAGCGGACCCTCCTACCTGCGTGTACAGCTCGGCCACCGCCATGGGCAGGAGGGGCCGGGGCCAGGCCGGGGCTGCCGAACGTGCGAGGCTCGGGGGCTGGGCCTGCGCCGCAGAGGCCGGGCGCAGGAGAGACCGCCGCGGAAATCACCGCCGGGCCATCTTGCCCAAAGTTTTCCAACGGCCTCCTGTTCCCGTTCCCGAGTTGGCGGCGAGGGGAGGGGGCAGCGGCGGGATTGGTCCCTCCAAGCTTGGCCCGGCTAGTCGGCGCTGCCATTGGCCGGGGCCGGGCGGCTGCACCTGGCGGGAGCGCGGGTGGAGAAGGTTGGGGCCCGGGGCGCGCTGCCAGGCAGGAACAGATGCATCCGGAGGCTGCCCGGCCCGAGTGTTAGCTCCTCAAAGAGCAGAGGATACGACCATTTAAATGGAAGACCCAAGGGAATCAACGTACTGAACACAAAGAAATGTGTTAAGAGTCCAGCAAGGTCATCGTATTCAAAATCAAATACAAAAATAAGTAATGGTCCTTTATATGAGCATTGTCTATGCAATACAAGATATTTACAATATTAGTGAAAATATAAAGTATCCAGAGATTACACTCGCAAAAATGCCCTTGGCCTTTGTGGAGAAAATGTTTAAAATTCTCTTAAAGAGCTTAAAAGAAGGCCCAGGTAAACGGGAGACATGCCATTTTCCTGGCTGGGAATATTTAATATGGTCAAGGTGTCACTTCTACCCAAATCAATATATATGCCTAATATATTGGCGTCAGAATCCTACAGAACTTTTGGAGAATTGTACAATGATTCTATATTTCATATAGAATAAAAGCCCTGTATAACTAAGACAATTCTCAAAGAGGAGAGATTTGTCCTGCCATATATTTAGGGACATAACAAAGCAGTAGTCATTAAAACAGTGTGACACTTGCGTGAGAACGGATACGTGAGTAATGGAACATGCTGGAGCCCCCCAGCAGGGCCCTACATTATACGGTAGCCTTAAGGACCAGATAGGGAAATAAAATAATATTTATTAGATGGGCCCGTTATATGGAAAAACAATAAAAGCAGATCCGTGGCAAACACTGCATCCAAAAATAAGCTCCAGATGGATTCACGATTAAAACTTAAAACCGGGAAATTATTAGGAATAAAAGAGGGATAATATCTTTAAAATGTTGGGTTATAGTAGTTTCCATATAGAAGAATTGTTAATCGGTTAAAGAAAAGAAATCCAATTTTTAAAACTGACAAAAATTAATAGGCAATTCACAGATGGGGACACTTAAATGGCTTGTTAGCATACAAGGAGATGTCAACTTTAGCAGTAATCAGATAAATACAAATGAAAACAACAATGAGATATTGCTTTTTACCCATCATATTGGCAAAAACATTTAGGTTAGACAATCTCAGATACTGCCTAGGATGTGAGAAAATAAAAACTTGGCCGGGCGCGGTGGCTCACGCCTGTAATCCCAGCACTTTGGGAGGCCGAGGCGGGCGGATCACGAGGTCAGGAGATCGAGACCATCCTGGCTAACACGGTGAAACCCCGTCTCTACTAAAAATACAAAAAATTAGCCGGGCGAGGTGGCGGGCGCCTGTAGTCCCAGCTACTCGGGAGGCTGAGGCAGGAGAATGGCGTGAACCCCAGGGGGCGGAGCCTGCAGTGAGCCGAGATTGCGCCACTGCACTCCAGCCTGGGCGACAGAGCGAGACTCCGTCTCAAAAAAAAAAAAAAAATAAATAAAAAAAATAAAAACTTTTTTTGCTTACATAACTGGTGGGAATATACTGCCATCCTGGAGAGCAATTTGAGAATAGTTATGAAAATAAATGTAGGCAGAAAAATTCTCACAGTCACCCAAAGAGACAGTTAAGTAGATGTTCATCACAACATAGTTATTTATCAAAGAGTTGGAAGCATCTAAATATCAATAGGGGAATAAATAAAATAGTATATACATGGCAGACAGCAGAGAAAAATAAAAAAAGAAATAGTATATACATGTAAAACTCTACAGCTGTTAGTAGGAATAGACATGATCTACTTGACTCAGAAATAAAAAACAATGTTGAATAGATGTCTAGCCCAAGTCTTTAATATTTAAAAACTCACAAAAACTGCAATACTGAATATTGTTCATGGGTACAAGTATGTGTGAATAGAGGTAAGGAGGATAAATTACAAAGTCATTCATTAAATATGCAAGAGTGGATACCTATGAGGGAGAGAAATGGAATCGGAGATTTCAAAAAGGGGATCAAAAAATATAAAGAGAGGCCTGGCATGGATCAATAATGATAAATGCCACAAAGAGAGGATCATGGTAAATTTAATTTTGCATTTATTTATATACAAAATTATTTATATTATTGCCCAAATAATTCTATTTTGTATAAAGAAAAAGAAAATCTATAAGGTGAGTAGTGACAGCTGCCTGATTGCTCAGAGTTAAAAAGAGAATCTAGCTGCCTTTTTTATTTAAAGAAAATTTTTATTGAAGAATAAAATTATATACAGAAAAGTGTGCAAATAATAAGTGTACAGCTCAATATATTCTTATTCATGGAACACATCAACACACCAAAGTAACCACCGCCCAGATCCAGACGTAGAACATTACCGATATCCCAAAACTTTCTCTGTTTCTTCAAATCATTTTCTCTCAAAGATAACCACTGTTCTGATTTGTATCACCATAGATGCGTTTTACCTGTTTTGGATGTTTTTAATAAATGGAATCACATGTGTAACTCTTGCATTTGGCTTTTTACATGGTATTTATTCATCTTGTTGCATGTAGCTGCGGTTTGAGGTCTTTCATTCCTGTCTAGTAGTATTCCATTGTATAAATATTCTACAATTTATTCATTCTCCTATTGATAAATATTTCGGTTGCTTCAGTTTACACCCACTATGAATAATGCTGCTATGAACATTTTATATGTGTCTTTTGATGCACAAATATATGTATTTTTGTTGGGCACATAAACAGAGCAGAATTGCTGGATCACAGGTATGTAATGCTCAACTTTAACGGATAATGCTAAAGAGATTTGTAAAAAATTGTTATATCAATGTATACTTCTACCAGCAGTGTGTGAGACTTTTAGTTGCTTAATATCCTCACCACTTGATGTGGTCAGTTTAAAAAATAGCCTTTCTGATGAGTGTGTTATGATGTCTCACTGTGGGTCCAAGTTGCATTTATTTCTATGATGACTATTGACCACTTTGGTATTCTCTTTTGTGAAATGTCTGTTCAAGTCCACTTGAACTGCTATTTAAACAGATTTTCAACCAATTCCTGTGTTTTCAGCTGCATGCCACTTTCAGTGTTACCTGCTGCCTCTGAACCTAATTCCTGAGCTTTTCGGAATTATGTAGTGCAAACTGGATTGCTTCTGGGCTTCTGCCTGTCCCGGGTTAGGTTTCAGTTTTCTTTGCTTGTGAAAATAAAAGACATTTATCCATCTGTTTTTCATCTTCCAAGCTGTTGCTGTCATTCCTCATTCATTCTGTTTTCCTTTGTGAGTTTATTGTTACTTACCGGAGTTTCAGGAGGAAGGTTGAGTAAATACAGGTATTGAATCTACCATCTTTAAACATTTTGATCACAAACCCTTTACCGATATATGGTTTGCAAATATTTTCTCCCACTATATGGATTGTCTTTTCATTTTCTTCATGGTGTCTTAGGCAGCACAAAAACTTTAAATTTGGGGGAAGTCCAATTTATCATTTTTTAATTTTGTGGATCATGCTTTTGGTGTTGTTATCTAATAAATTTTTGCCTAGCTTAAGCTCATAAAGATTCTCTTCTAGATGTGTTATAGTTAGAACTCTGACATTTAGGATATGGAATTTTTTTTTTTTTTTTTTTTGAGACAGAGTTTAGCTCTTGTTGCCCAGGCTGGAGTGCAATGGCGTGATCTCGCCTCGGCCTCCCAAAGTGCTGGGATTACAGGCGTGAGCCACCACACCTGACACCTGGCCATTTTATTTATTTCTTTTTCTTTTTTTTTTTTTTTTTTTTTTTTTTTAGAGATGGAGTCTTGCTATGTTGCTGTGGAGGAAAAGTTAAATATCAAATTGAACATGGACACAAACAATGGTCACCAAGTCCCAGAATAGGTTGTGTGAGCCCCTTAAGGCATTCATCCAGCACTTTTTTGGAGAAATCCCCATTTCAATCTATTCCTATACGTTAGTTATTGAAAAACAACAATTGCAAAAAAAAAAGTTGACTTTTTGGGTTCCTTGAGCCCAGTCGCAAAGGGCCTCCTGATTGGGCCTCATGCCAAACAACTTGTTACAAAAAGAGCTTGGGTCCCAGACTGCACTGAAGCTTCATGAGACCTCTCCTCATCTACACCAGTGAGTGGCCGACTCTGGAGCCCAGGCTGTTGCTTACGGGTCTGGTGGTGAATTCTCCATAGTCTGGTGAGTGTAAATATATATATATATCTTATCCTTTCTCCCCTTCCCATTGCAATTTGCTTATTATATCAATTTGCTTATTATATCATCTGCTTATTATTATCTGCATTGCCATTTACATGGGATAAAGTTGTTTACCCTTAAAAGTATTGTGTGTGCCTTCTCCCCTCGCAGGTCTCCCACACAGAACAGTTGCCCAGGTTGGTCTTGAACCCCTGGACTCTAGTGATCTTCCTTCCTCAGCTTCTCAAGTAGCTGGGATTACAGGCATGCACCACTGTGCCTGTTTTTGTTGTTGTTGTTGTTTGTTTTTGTTTTTCTTAAATCCAGTCTGATAATCTCTGCCTTTTTATTGGGGTGTGTAATCCATTCACATTTCTTGTAGTCTTTGATATGGTTGGATTTATGTCTGCCATTTGTTGTTTTCTATATGGCACATGTATTTTTCTCCCTCTGTTTCCCCTTTCTTGAATTTTTTGGTGATAGTTTTTATTAAGTGCATAATTTAAATTTCCCCCCTAAAAAGAACTCTATTTCTTGAGTTAACTTTTCAGTGATTCTTTAGGGATTAAGTAACATTCCATTATATTAATCAATTAATGAATATTTGGGTTGTTCCCACCTTTTGGCTATTAGGAGTAATGTTGCTATAAACATTTATGTACAAGTTTTTGTATGAACATATATGTCTTCATTTCTCTTGGGTATTTCCAGGAGTGGAATTGCTGGGTCATAGGGTAACTCTGTTCTTTAACTGTTGGGGGAACTACTAGATTGTTTTCCAGAGTGGCTGCACCATTTTACATTTCTACCAGCAGTGCCTGAGAGTTCTGATTTCTCCACATCCTTGCCAATTCATGTTATTACCTGACTTTTTGGTTCTAGGCATTTTGGTGGGTGTGAAGTAGTATCTCACTGTGGCTTTCATATGCATTTCCCTCATGCCAGGCATCTGCATCTTTTCATGTGCTTTTGTGTATCTTCTTTGGAGAAATGTCTATTTAGATCCTTTGTTCATTTTAAAATTGTCTTTTTATTATTAAGTAATAAGAGTTCTTTATATATTCTAGATACGACTCCATTATCAGATATATGATTTGCAAATATTTCTACCTATTATACAGGTTGCCTTTTCATTTTCTCGACAGTGTTCACTGAAGCACAAAAGTTTTCAATTGTGATGAAGTTCGGTTTATTTTTTCTTTTGTTATTTGTGCTTTTGGTGTCATATCTAAGAATCCCTTTGTCAATCGAAAGTCAAGAAGATTTATCCTTTTGTTTTCTTCTAAGTTTTATAGTTTTAGCTCTTACATTTAGGCCTGTGACCCATTTTGAGTTTTTGTTTGTTTTGTTTGTTTGAGACAAGGTCTCTCTCTGTTACCCAGGCTGGAGCACAGTGGTATGATCATAGCTCACTGCAGCCTCAAATTCCTGGGCTCAAGTGATTCTTCTCTTTGGCCTCTGTAGTATCTAGAACTTCAGGTGCATGCCACCATGCCTAGATAAATTTTTTTTGTAGAAATGGGGTCACTACATTGCCAAGGCTAGTTTTAAACTCCTGGCCTCAAGTGATCCTTGTACCTTGGCCTCCCAAAACACTAGGATTATAGATGTGAGCCACTGCATCCAGCAGAGTTTTGTTTGTTTTTTGTATATGGTATGAGATAAAGGCCTAACTTTATTATTTTGCATTAGCTATTCAGTTGTGTCAACATTATTTGTTGAAAAGACTATTCTTTCCCCATCGAATGGTTATGGCACTCTTGTTGAAATCAATTGATCATAAACACATAGGTTTATTTCCCTACTCTAAATTATATTCCACTGATGTCTATGTCTATCTTTACTTTCAGTGCCAGATGGTCTAGTTTGCTGTTGCTTTGTAGTAAGCCTTGAAATTAGAGTCATCCAACTTTGCTATTGTTTTTCAAGAGTGTTCTGGCTATTTGGTGTCCCTTGCAATTCCACCTGAATTTTAGAATCACCTTGTAGACAACATATAGTTGGGTCTTGTGTTTTGATCCACTCTGACAATCTGTCTTTTAATTTGTGTACTTAGACCATGGACATTTACACAGACTACTGATAGATTTGGATTAATATCTACCATATTTGTTACTGTTCTATTTGTTGCCCTTGGTCTTGTTTCTATTTTTTGTCTTCCACTCTTTTTTCTGCCATTTGTGGTTTTAATTGAGCATTTAATGTGATTCAGTTTTTTCTCTTTTCTTAGCATATTAATTACACTTCTATTTTTACTTTTTATAGTGGTTGCCCTGGAGTTTGCAATACACATTGATAACGAATCCATGCCCATCTTCACAGAACATGATATCACTTTACAGTGTATAAGGTACAGTACAAGTACCTTATAATATCAAAAGGTTCCTATTCCTCCCTCCTGTTCTTTGTATTGTTGTTGTCATTCATCAAATGTATTCTTTAATCATAGTTTCCTTTAGTTCTTTGAATATATTTATAATGGCTGATCTGAAATCTTTGTTAATCTAACACCTTGTTATTCTTATAAGCAGTTTCTGTTGCCTGATTTTTTTTTCTGCTTATAAGTCATACTTTCCTGTTTCTTTGCATGTCTTGTAATTTTTTGGTTATAATCAAGATATTTCTGATAATGTAGTAGCTCTGCATACTGGTCCTTGTTTTTGTAAATAAACTGGGCTTATTTATGTTTTAGTGACCAGCTGGCTTATTTCAATAAGATCTATTTGGCCCTCCTCCACTACTCCATAGTGGGAAGCCTCTGATGCTGCTTCTCAGGCAGTGTAGCCTGCTAAACCTGGGATGACAGTGGTTTTGGCTAGCTTCACTTTGACTGTGTTAACATTCAGCTGTTAAACTCCACCAATTACGATTTTCAACAATGCTATAAGGAACACATTGTTTCACAGACAGTATCTGATCAATTTTGGGCTCCTTTGAAAGGATAGTTCTTGAGGTCAATGTTTGAGACTTGTTCTGATCCTGCAAGGACTCCTCCTGGCTGTCTCTTCTCCCAGTTCTCTCCAGGAAAGTTATAGCCTAAAGTTCAGCCGATAACTCTAATGAATCTACCAATCCCCTCCCAATCCCCAGTCACTGCAACCTTCACTGTTTTTGAAACGCCCTTAGGCTTGAACTTCTCCACACTCTTTTGCAAATGAAGTCAGTTCCTTTAGGAAGTAATTTGGAGCTTTCTGTTTTACAGCCTGCTTCTGCTCCTGGTGAAAATCTCTGAGCCATTGTTCTGGAGCTGGGGATGAGGACAATGGCTTGCATCTCTTTGAGTGATGGGAGCCAAATGCTCGGTGGATGGGGGATAGTGGCCTTAGGTCTTTTTGGTTGGCCTTTCCCAGGATGAGAGCACCACCTTAAAAGCCTGAACAAGATGCACTGGGGTCCCAGTATTTTCAGCAGTGATGTCCCCAAGGTAGAGCCTGTGAGCCATGAGTAGGGGCTGGGTAGAAGGGACCCCCCCCACCTGTTGACTGCATTTATTTGAAACTTAGCTTAAGCAAGAGGTGGCTGGGAGCAGGATGAGAAGTGCTGACATCCTGCCCCTCCCAGGAAGACAGCCCTCCAACTGTGAGCTGGCAGAGAGGAAGCCCTGAGTTCTTGGCTATACCAGTCTAGAGTGGAGTTTTTGTCTCATTGACCTGGAAGATGGAAGGAGGGAGGAATCTTGGTTCAGATACAACAAGCTCATTCTCTTTATCAAGCTTTAGTATGTTTTCTTGAATAAGCACTTCTTCATTTGGTGTATGCCCTTAGGAC
The DNA here is from genome assembly GCF_000001405.40 of Homo sapiens. Lineage (NCBI taxonomy): Eukaryota > Metazoa > Chordata > Mammalia > Primates > Hominidae > Homo > Homo sapiens. Next base: position 52,303,815 of record NC_000015.10, read on the forward strand.
CATTTCTAGAGACTTTAAAGAATTGGGGGTTTGGTTTGTTTTTAAAATAATTCTCACTGGTTTCACTGGTTTCCCTTGGGAGTTGTCTGCAAAGCTCCTCATGCTATCATGTCAGAAGTGGAATTCCTAAAAGCTACTTTTGAAATGTGAGAAATATTTCTCCTGTTGTATTTAATGTCAACTCAAGAATGGTTTTCCATGGGCTTTTGGCCTGTCTTTCTTTGCCCATCTCACTTCTGTTGACCAACCCCATTCCTACCTGTATTTTCCTCCCTCCCTTCTGTTTTCATGAGGTTGTTTTTAACAGCTTCTTACTTCCCTCCAAAAGGAGCCCCATTCTTTTGCACAGTAATCACCATCCTAGCTAGGGTCATCCTAGACACAGGCCATTCAGCCCGGAGACCTATTTTTCGCAGACCATGGGTGTACATGTGAAAAGAAACCATTTGTCTTCCTAGATTATAACCTGAAGATTTGATACAACCCAGATCTTCTCAGTAGAAATTTTTTTTGGTCACAAGTAGCATTGACCAAACTCTCTTCAAATTCATTTAGCTTTCTTGATAATATAGACTCTTAGGAAATGAGCTTCAGATATACATGGTTGACAACATAAACTAGTATTTTCTTTCTTTTCCAGTAACTGCTGAAGTTTCAAAATGTCTGTTTACCATATTTAAGTTTTGGTAAGTAGTTCATGTTTTCCTTATCTGTGCCAAGCATAATTTTTTTTTCTTTTATTTTGAGATGGAGTCTCACTCTGTTGCCCAGGCTGGAGTGCAGTGGCGCAATCTCGGCTCACTGCAAGCTCCGCCTCCCAGGTTCATGCCATTCTCCTGCCTCAGCCTCCTGAGTAGCTGGGACTACAGGCGCCCGCCACCACGCCCGGCTAATTTTTTGTATTATTTAGTAGAGACGGGGTTTCACCATGTTAGCCAGGATGGTTTTGATCTCCTGACCTCATGATCTGCCCGCCTCGGCCTCCCAAAGTGCTGGGATTACAGGTGTGAACCACTGCACCTGGCCCAACCAAGCATAATTTTTTAGCACTTGCCCACATTCTTACCTTCTTGGCATTCATTTCTCTAGGCCCAATTGTCTCAGGACTTTCAAACCATTCTTATGAGTAGTATCCTTTTCCTTCAGTTATCTCTTATTCTCTTCTGAACCTCTTATATTCCCTTGTGTTTTGTTTGAAACCCAATGACCAGAACTGCCCATAGCTGGCCAACATGGTGCTAACGAGGTCTGTATGGCAGGTTTTATTTCTCTCCTTTTGAATAATGTCCATCATATTTTGGTTTCAGTAGCAAGGTGATCAATGTGAACAAATCACATGTCTTCCCAGGTCCCTTTCCGGGGTGGTAAATGTGATTTCAAAATTCTTGTTGTGTAACACTTTGCTTACTTCTTTGTGCACTTATGCTGACTGCTAAGACCCAGGAAACCCACCCAGCAGCTCCACACTTTCACATGGATGGCACACTCCCAGTGCTGCACACAATTCGTGTCCCTTTCTTTCCCATTCAGGAGAATGCATTACTGTAGACATGCATTGCTTTCATTTCCTCTGTGAACTATACTCTGTCTTTCCTCTGGTGAACTCCCACTACCACCTAATCAATCCTATGTTTTCTGTGAATTACCCAATTTTTAGTTTCAGTGGGGGGTATGTCAGGCTAGGACAGTCAGAGCACTCATCTGGACACAGTGATTATTCTGAGGATGGAAGTAGGACTTAAGCCACTGAGACTCCATCCTGAAATGCCTTACTGAGAATTACTGAAGGCAGAGCCATAGAATGAAGCCAAACACTACTGAGGGCCATCTTTGTCACTTGAGGGAGAACATGACTAAGAATGAAGCCAAAAGTAAGGAAAGAAAAGGAGATCCCTGATGTCAATGTTTGGGCACCTGGATATATCTCTGAACTTTAATTGTGTTAGGTAATACATTTCCTTCTTGGTTGGGTCAGTTTGAGTTTGATTTTTGTCATATGCCCCAGAAAGAATCCTAATGATCATACCAAAATGCAACTGGATGAGCGTGATTTTATTATTGGGAAATAATCTTGCCTTGGTTCCAATTAATTTAGAAAAAGAAACTGTTGGCTGAGCACGGTGGCTCACACCTGTAATCCCAGCACTTTGGGGGGCCAAGGCGGGCGGATCACGAGGTCAAGAGATCGGGACCATCCTGGCCAATATGGTGAAACCCCGTCTCTATTAAAAATACAAAAATTAGCTGGGCGTGGTGGCGGGTGCCTGTAGCAGCTACTCGGGAGGCTGTGGCAGAATCACTTGAACCCAGGAGGCGGAGGTTGCAGTGAGCTGAGATCACGCCACTCCACTCCAGCCTGGCGACAGAGCGAGACTTTGTCTCAAAAATAAAAAAGAAAAAAAGAAACTGTTTGCAAATTTTGACATTTTATTACTTGTAACATATTGGTGTTCTGCTGTAGTTCATGGGGCCAGTGATTGAATTTAATTTGGAAGATGCTATATTTCAAGGGCCTGTTGCGGTGCCCAGAAAAGTACTTAATAAATGAGTTGAATGAATGTGTCATGGAAGTAGGAAGTGTATAATCTACATGAAAACCATGTACAGTCATAGTCATGCATTACTAACAAAGGGGATATGTCCTGAGAAATGCATCATCAGGCAATTTCATCATTGTGCAAATATCAGAGTGTTCTTACACAAACCTAGATGGTATAGCCTACTATACACCCTGGCTATATGGAATAGCTTATTGCTCCCAGGCTATAAACCTGTATAGCACATTACTGTACTGCAAATTGCAGGCAATGGTAAGTACCTGTTTCTCTAAACATAGAGAAGGTAACAGTAAAAATACAGTATTATAAACTTATGGGACCACTGTCATATATGCGGTGCATTGTTGACCCAAAATGTTATGTGGTACATGATGATATTAATTTCTCCTTATCATAAATAAAGATGAGACTAATTCCACCACAGATCTGAATAACTGCTCTGTTTCCTTACCCAAAAAAGCACATCTGCATACTTCTTTGATCTATGTCTTATGCCAAAAAATGTCTACTGTCCCACTATATTAAAAGTAGAACTTTTGACACAAATGACACCCTCAATCTTTTGAAAATCTAAGTAGATTATGCATATCAAATTTCCCTTGGTTATGTCTATTTCTCTGTCAGAGAATTCCAATATATTTAGGCATGACTTTCCCTTGAAGAAAAGACACTACCTCTTCTTCAGCTGTTTCTGTTTGCTTAAGTGTTTGGCAGTTCTCTTCTTTATCATATATATTACTAGGGTGTCCAGTATAGGAGGGGAACTCGTCAACTTTTAAATTTCCAAGACTTCTTAGAATATTCTCATGGGGAGGGATTATATTTACATTCACTAGTCTTCAGGAAAACAACTTGTTTTGTTGTTTTAAAATGTGCAGTGGATTTGCTTATAAGACACTGACAAAAACTCTTTATATCCATATCTTTATTTAAACAAGTTTCCATAATAGCTAGGAGAATACAGCATTAATGACACACATTTACTAAGCACAACAATGGACAACTACAAATTTAGAGCATAAATGTAATTCTGATATTGTTTTGGTTTTTATCTTAGCACTAGGTGATATCTAGTGAAAACCCATGTTTCAAAGGCTTTTGTTGATATGAGATGAATTATTAACTTATTTTTAAAAATTGCACGTGAGATATGCTAGAATGGGTTCTAGAGTCTAGAGTTAGTTGATAATGCCTTTCATGTCTCAGTATTTCTGCTTCCTTTTTAATGGGTAAATGTTTCACCTAAGAACTTTCAAAAAATTGTATCAAAATTTTCTATGCAGATCAAAGTAGAATTCCTTTTCCAGACCCAACAAGGAAAAATATTTGAAAACTGCAATGTTCAATTCCATTTTAGTTAAAAGGATGTCCATTTCATAGTAAATTAATACAGTTAATAATTAAAATACAATATGTTAAATGGCATGAACTCATTTTTGCGCAACACTGTTAGCGCAATTTAAATCTCCCAAAGACACAAAAAAGTCAATTTTACTGCAGGATCCCACAAAAATACATAACCAGGAATCATAAATTACAACATATATATCCACATTTAAAGAAAAAATTCACCATTTGTTGGGAAAAAATAATGGCTCAAATGATTTACGGAGCCTGAAATGTGGGCTAAAATTTTATAACATGATAACAATAAGATTTGAAACTGCTGACTCTGAAAAATGCATAAAAATATACTAACCTGCCAAGCACTGAATTATATATACCAGTTTCAACTAAAAAACAACATTTTTTCTTTCAAATATTTCAAGCATTACAATACTGAGGAAACGTTAGTCATATGAATCCAATAACGCCCATTAAGTTAAGCTAACGAACATTTTAGATAGACCAAATTACAAATAAAAAAAGTATAAAAAGCATTTTGGAAGATATTTTACATAGTATTTTTCAGTTCCTCATCTATTGAGAAATCTACTATAATTCAGGTTGGTTTATCTAATTTAGGGTAATACAACAGATTTGAACTTATAGCACGCTTTCCTGTTTTTACTCAACCTTTTATAGTACAGGGTTCTTAAAAAATTTTGAAAAGAATGTCCACAAAAAGTTTGAGTTATACCCTTTACCTTTAGTAACAAAAGGTTAGTAGAAAGCAAGACATTTAAGTATTACCAAGAATCTAACTTATCTCCATAATTTCTTTCATATATTCATTTGCTTACTTGTGACACAGAGTCCCACTAACTCAGAAGCATTCTCTAAGCTGGCCTCTCACTGGCTCTGAGACTGTTGCTGCCCCACAGTTCTAATTCCCATTTGGAAAGGAAAGAGGAAGTACAGGAGAAGGAGGGTCATGCAGGGCCACATCCAGTCAAAACTCTCACAAAACCTTGAGAAACAGGGCAAGATATCCCTTCCAGGCAAGATATCCTTTACAGAAGAAAAGTTCTGGAGAACTTAAGGCAGCTCTAGAAGGGAAGGGAGCAAGGGTTAAGGCGGCCCTCACAGCACAGCCTGAGAACAAATTACAATGCACTCATCCATGAACAGAGGTCACGGCAATACAGATCCTCTTCAACGCGCATGCACACGACACCCCTCCTAGCACCCATCAACACCTACGGCATGCACACACTGCAGTGCCCACGCACACACTGACTTGTATATGGCCTGCCCAGTGACAGCCCTCGGAAGGCACCCAGTGACTTGGGCTCCCCTGTGCTGAGGACCTAAACTGGGAAGGTGGCCTATAGCTGCAGGCCTGTCCAGGCTGCACAGCTCACCTGGTGGCTCCAATAAAGACTCTGATGGGTGTGGGGAGAGTAACTTTCCTCTTAATTTCAGAGAGGCTTTTGCTGTTTCCTGTCTTTTTGGTTGAGACAACCTGCTACCAATTAATGCCCAAACAGAGTATTGCATCCTCCCAGAGAGCACTGATTCATGACAGAAGTCAAGCTGAGTTATAGCAAGTAACTATGACAAAAAAGAAAACCACCTGGCGCTGAGCACTTGGTCTCCTTAAAACAAGTAACTTGGTACGCAGCACTTGCTCGGTTCCCACATGCCAGCTGCCAACTCTGATAAAAAAGCACCCCTTGCTGGCCAGGGGCATTCCACACGTACCAGGAGGGGCAGCACGTGACCTCACGACATTTTTAAAGTCTCCTGCATCACAGGTGCCCACACCACCACTGCTCCATATGGGAAAGCAGGACAGCCAGAGGGCTGTGCGACATCAGGCAAGTCACTGCCCCTATCTCTATTCCCAAGCTATCATCAGAAATGATTGTAGAAGCGACCCCACCTACCGTCCATGCTGCTGTGAGGATGAAACGAGGTAACAGAGGAAAGCGCCGCAGGAAAGCATATCTGGACCCAGGTACTGTTTCTGCATTACTTTCAACAGGATGCACTAGTTTTGGCTCTGTTTTATCACTAAGCAGCTGACATTACCCAGAGGATCCTTGACTATGCCTGCTAAGGAACTCTATGAATTAGTGACGGGGGTGTGTGTGTGTGTATGTGTGTGTGTGTGTGTGTAAGAGAGAAAGGGCATTGTGTGAGGACTTCTCAGGATGGTGGCAGGTGCCCATTTTCCTAGGGTTACCATGAAAGTTATTTCTCACAACAATCACTGCACTGAAATTATAATAATATAGTATTTTCATAGCCTCCCCTAACATGTAGCTGTAACCTTAGTAAAAGATTTGATCTATATTACACATAATTACTCACCCAGAAAGAGCCAACTATGAGCTATCCATGGAAATGAAGAAATAACACAGCAAATTCTCCAAACTGACAATAATCCCCAAATTCCCTATCAGTTGGCTTCGGAATATGTTTTTGTGCTTCTGCACCTGACAAAAGAAGCATCAGATATGTGGAAATTTTTTAAACTTCCAAAGGAATTAGAAGCTACACTTTGTGGATTTTATCCCATATTTATCTTCCCTCCTTTTAGAGTTACTCTCAGGCAGATCAAAGCCTTAACCTGAGGAAAAGCTGCAAAAAGGGAAATTACTTTTAAATTTTCAGCTTCAAGTTGTAAGGGTGTGAGGTGAGTCTGCATGTAGTAAGGTGAATGGGGAGGGGATTATTAAGATAAAGAACTGTTGTGACTTTTAAGATCTCTTCCTTTGAATTCCCATTGTGTGTCACAGAGGAATTAAGAAAAAGTTGATGACTGATCTTCTGAAGGAATGCATGCAGAGAAGTAAGAACAACAAGGACTGTGCAAAGATTGGGCTGATGGTAAGCACCAGGAAGGCCAGCAGGGGCAACTGAGGACTGACTCCATCCACCTGCCTTCAGTGCACAGTCAAACAGCAGGCAACGGGATAGACGATTAAGTTGAGGGAAGGGGAAGAGTGAATGAGTAGGGGAAAGGCTGGCAGGGTGTGTCTGAAGTTGGGTGAGAAAGTGTGGCTGACAGAGAGAAAGAACCTCAGAGGGAAAGCAATCCTCAAACTGGCCCAAAGATCCCCATAGTCGGCAGAATCTTCTTGTACCTTCAAGAAAATGGTATACAGAATCATTTACTGGGCCTTGGGGTTCCCTGGTTACAAGGTATTCTTGTCAATGACTAAAAATCTCCAGGCCACCAAGAGAGGTTAATTCAGACCCCCATCTGGAGCTCTGGGTAGACCTGGGAGGAAGCTGGAGCCCTGGAATAGCAGAACCTTTGTGCCACCATCGCTGAACAGGAGAAACCACCAAGGGCAGCTGTAGGAGCTCTGGCTCCAGCACTTGACAGGACAAAGACAGGAGATGGGAGAGAAGGGCTCAGACCACAGCCTTTCTTTCATGACGCTTCAGTACATGAGCTGTCCGGAGTAAAAAAAAGGGCTGCATGGCAGTGACAGCTACAGCATGACCTGGAAGACCTGAGAAGATTCAGGGTGCACGTTGAGTCGTGCTACACAGGATGAAGCTGGGGGAGGTCTGGGAGATTTCCAGGGCTGAGGCGGACAGCCTGTACCACGTTGCATTTTCTTAGCAACTCCCCAACTTACAGCCTATCGGATGCTGTTAGATTCTGACACATTTGGTACGAACCAAATGGCTATGACTTAATTGTGCATTGAAAACCGCATTGACAACCAGGAAAAACTGGGAGAATTTGATGCAATTGGTAGTGTTTCTGGTTGATACTGCAAATAAATAAATAAATGTATTCAAACTGAATAAAGCAATACATGATGTAATAAAAATTACTTAAACTAATTATAATACAAATATAGTAGGACCTTCTAAAAGCATGTACATAAATCATGTACATTTAAGAAAGGTTACAGCTACACAAACTTGTGATTTTACATTTGATTAATCCTAAGGAATTGACAGGCACTACACACTGGTCTTTCCATCAGAGAATGGACTTACTGAGTAACTGCAGCTTTTTCTCTCTAGAATCTAAGGGCTGAGAAGAGAGAATTTTAAATGTGGAGGAGATGTTAAGAATCAGTGTCCAACTCTCTTATTTTATAAACGAGGAACTTGAGGCCCATGTAAATTAACAGACAGTATTTATCTTTTAATAACAATCTTTATCACTGATATGAAGCTGTTTGACTTCCATAAATATTGCACATATTTTAATAAGATTTATAGACCATCTAACAGTTAAATTTATATAACCTATGATTGTAATTCAGAACCAGAGTTTCTAATGAAAACTAATAATTTGCTTTTGTGCAACCTGAAGGATTTATTGTATAAGATTCCTAAGAAAAATGGTGAATATGTTTAACTAGAATTTCAGAATGAAAACTTACAGAATCTGGGTCTTAATGAACCAAATCCTCTGTAAAATTCAACAATCTTCTATTTCTTATATAAGTCTTCTTAAAGTATTTCTAATATGATGCTTTTAAAATTATCTAGTGGCATCTGAGAACACTTATAGAAGCTGCAAAGCCTTAAAAACTGAATCATAATGAAATATTTATTATATACCTTCTTTTGCATAATCAAAGTTTCAAGACCTGAATCGTGAATATTCTGACAATCCTCTCTAGATAGTGAGTGAGATTCTTTTTTTTTCCAAGGCAGTGTCTCTCTCTGTCACCCAGGCTGGAGTGCAGTGGTTCGATCTCATTGCAATCTCCGCCTCCCAGGTTTAATCGATTCTCGTGCCTCAGCCTCCCGAGTAGCTGGGATTACAGGCAAGTGCCACCACGCCCGGCTAATTTTTGTATTTTTAGTAGAGACAGGGTTTCGCCATGTTGGCCAGGCTGGTCTCCAACTCCTAACCTGAAGTGATCCGCCCACCTTGGCTTCCCAAAGTGCTGGGATTACAGGCGTGAGCCACCGCGCCCAGCCGAGATTAATTCTTAATAAATTAAGAAGAGAGAAAACCTGTCAAGGTTGAAAATATGCACTGAAGGAATCAGATCTGGTAGTTAAAAATAAGTCACTTCACAGAACACTGTACCCTGACGCAATATCCACCCAGGGAAAATTAATGAGCACATCAATGTAATACATCCTGAATAAATAATGACATCAACAATAGCCACTTTGTCTAATCCTACCCCTAAATGTCAAGCATTTTGTCATATTACTACATGACTTTCCAGTGTCTGCTACTTGTGCAGGTGAATCTGTAGGTATTTGCATATAATCCAGTTAAAACTGTGATCTGATTGAATTGTAAACAGAATTGACAAGAGAAACTTATTGTAGTGCCTAATATCACTTACATTTTAAGAAGACAGTATGTAGCAGCAATTTAAAATGCTCAGTAAACTATAGTACAAATGGACATCTATACTATTTAGCAAACCAACATTCCTTTAATATCTCTATATCATAGTGACACAAATGAGGAATTACTTTACATATTGCCAGTTTATTTCTTTGAACCAGTTTAACAATATCAACATAATTGATTACTAAACTGACATGATATGTACTCAATGGAGACTTTTCTTTCCATTCTCCTGTTTAGTGCAGAGGAGGTTCTTTGGTGCCTTCCTAACAACAGCTCATCTATGGAAGTTATACTTTTTATACCATTCAAACTCAGTGCTAAGGATTTAAAATAAATGCTGCCAGCTGAAGACACATTTTTCTCCTCCTTTCCTTCCTCCCTTCCTTCCATCATTCTCCTGTATGTAAACTCACGGTACCTAGTTGGTTAAGGATGAGTGTTGCTATAAAGATAACACAGCACGAAAGAGCCTATCTTTGTTTCCAAAGTGATGAAAGTATTCTAGGGAGATTTCCAGTTAATGACTTCTCATTTGGGAGATAATCAGTACTTTCTCTTTAAAAATGTATTTTCAGTAACTCACTGGAAATAATGGGTTCTTATTTCGGGCAAGAAATGTATTGTCAATTTTTGCCTGGACATCACTTTCAGACCCGTGAAATGAAGCCCAGGCCGAGGCTGGCTGGAATCTGGATGGTTTCTAGTGCGAGGGAAGATGGGTTGAAAGGAAAGGTGACAGGAAAGATGTGTTTAGCATCCATGAGCAGCTGGGGAGAGTCTTTCCTGTCTCGTAAACGCATCTGAGAAGATTAGGAAAAAAAATAAACAGAGCATCAGTTCTTTGAATCTAAAAGACTTTTTTCTACTAAAATTTCTACCCTCAAATTCTCAACTAATGAAGAATGTTTACTTTTGTTTTAAACTCACTTCATTTTCCCAATTAACTATTATCAAAAAAGTTAGTGCATTGTAAAATAAGATAATAAAAGATAACACATTATCCTTCAATAAATTACAAAATGTCCATTCAAAAGACTGTGTTGGTGAATCAAAGAAGAAGATGGGAGCTCTTACCTGTATAGTACGAATGAACGACACAGAGACTCTTTCTTCAAACTCATTAACTGGAGTATACAAATTCAACACTTTCACAATCTGTGAGAAATGAAATGATCAAAGTTTTTGGCATATTATCAAATACACACTGGGTACCTATAATCTGGAAAATTAAAAGGATCTGTGCGTACAGATTTCAGTTCTACTCAGGGGTGGGCTGGGACCAGAAGGAAGGAGGAGCTGGTCTGCACATTTACCTTTATCTGAATTTTTACAAGAGAATGTATCAATGTAATGTTTGTGTAATATTGTAAGAAGCTGTGTAAATTTCGAAGATATTCAAATAGCACAAGAGAATAAAACATGAAAAATAAATGTCCGCACTTCCATCCTTCCAGTCTCCCAAAGTGGCAATTGTTAACCATGTCCTGAACACCCCCTCTAGCTGCTATAAATATTCTAGTTCATTTTATTTTTATACAAATGGGATTCATTCTATTAATACTATTCTGCAACTTTTCTCCATATAAAAATGTTAGCCGTATTAATACAATTATCTCTTTTGAATGTTTTTTAAATCATATTTTTATAAAAGATCATAAATAACATGAATAACAAAAGCCCCTAAAGAAATTAATCAATTAGAGAGTATGAAGTTCTTTTTTAAAAAGTTCAATAATTTTTTTTTGTAAAATGGTCATGTCTCTTTTCTAATGAAAATAAATCATCGTCTATATAAGGTAGATATTTCCATTTTCAAGGTATTGTCTAAACCTGTGCTGTCCAATACAACAGTAGTAGTCACTAGCCACATGTGGCTATTAACACAAAATGAAAATAAAAGTTGAATGCAGGACAGTGCTGATCTATAGGAAAATAAATTAAGCACCAGAGAACTAGAAAGTGGGCATGTTGTTATCAGGTCTGTGGGTGACAAACTGAATTAGGGATCAGTCTCTCGGAGGCAAGTATTTGAATTTTAAAAAGTGGGACCACTTTGTTAACTAATATTTGCTAAATAAATAAACTGCAGGTCTGCCTCACTCTGTGAAATATGCTTAAAGTATATTTAAGTATTAAAGTATATTCTTTAGAAGTTGAATGGCAGCCAACTTCTATAAAGTTGGGCTTCCTCCAGGGTATTCTTACTTTCCACACTTGCAGAAACTGGGAGGAAATCTCAGGACCATTGTTCTGTCAGATAGTTCTGCTTTATTCTTAGTAAGAAGTTATGCAAACATGAATTCAACATTAAGAAGCTGCAAGTCTTGATTCTGATTGTCTACTGATTGACTTTTTTTTTTTTTGAGATGAAGTCTCTGTGCAGTGGCACAATCTTGGCTCACTGCCACTTCTGCCTCCCAGGTTCAAGTCATTCTCCTGCCTCAGCCTCCCAAGTAGCTGGGATTACAGGCACCCGCCACAATGCCTGGCTAATTTTTGTATTTTTGTAGAGATGGGGTTTCACCATGTTGGCCTGGCTGGTCTTGAACTCCTGACCTCAGGTGATCTGTCTGCCTCAGCCTCCCAAAGTGCTGGGATTACAGGTGTGAGCCAGCACGCCTGGCCTACTGATTTTTTCTGTTGCCCAGGCTGGAGTGCAGTGGTGCAATCTTGGCTCACTGCAACCTCCGTCTCCCAGGTTCCAGCAATTCTCCTGCCTCAGCCTCCAGAGTAGCTGGGATTACAGGTGCCTGCCACCATGCCCGGCTAATTTTTGTATTTTTAGTAGAGATGGGGTTTCACCATGTTGGTCAGGCTGGTCTCAAACTGATTGAGTTTTAATTGTATTGGGCAAAACTGAAAATTTCATATGTTGTAGGATATATGATGAACATTAAGAAAGTTGGCTGGGCACTGTGGCTCACGCCTGTAATCCCAACACTTTGGGAGGCTGAGGCGGGTGGATCATGAGGTCAGGAGATCGAGACCATCCTGGTTAACATGGTGAAACCCCATCTTTACTAAAAATACAAAAAATTAGCCAGGCGTGGTGGCAGGTGCCTGTAGTCCCAGCTACTCCAGAGGCTGAGGCAGGAGAATGGCGTGAACCTGGGAGGGGGAGCTTGCAGTGAGTGGAGATCATACCACTGCACTCCAACCTGGGCGACACAGCGAGACTCCGTCACAAAAAAAAAAAAAAAAAAAAAAAAAGAAAGAAAGTCTAAGAGTCAGCACAGAAAATAACCGGGCAAAAGAAAATTGGGCATGTTCATGCCTGTGCCTTGCTTCATGCTGTCACTATAATCCTCAAATGCCCTTCTCATTCTTCCACTTCCTTAAATTCAATGCCCAGATTAATGGGACCTTCCCTGAATACTGCTATCTTCCCTCAGTACTTCCTTTAGGCATCTTACTACAGAATTTGCTAGAACCTCTACGGTAGAGTCAGTTGGATACGACTCTGTCTTCCCTACTGAACTGTAAGCTCCTTGAAGGCAGGAATTTTTCCTTATTTATTGAAGCATCTTCCCCAGCAATAAATATGGTGCCTTGAGATGGAGGCTTAATTAATCATCTGTTGAAGTAACAAGAATTATCTGTCTCTAAAAACAAAGTCACTATTTGATAATCCACTCAATTATCAAATAAGATAGAAAGCTATTTTATGGAATATAAGCTGCATAGACTGTATACTCCATGAGAGCAGAGACTTTGTTTTGCCTATGGGTGTATCCCAGTGCCTTCAATGTTATATAGAACACTGTAAGTACTCAATAAATATTTGCTGAATATTAAATATATTTATACTGTAATTAGCACTGAAATGTATTAATTTCTGGCAAAATCTCCTTGCTTTAAGATTGGTAGAGGCATATATCTTCTTGAACACAGATGAAGTCAGCTCAGAGATACAAGCAATAAGTAGAGGACTTCTTTACTTCCCTAAAGATCATCTTTGATGAATGTTAAATTATTTTGTAACAGGGAAAGTTGCTCTACCTGGGCAGTAGTTAAAGCATTGCACATAGAACAAATGGCTTCTGCATCATCATCTGTTTTCTTTTTCACTTGCAAAAGTTGAGCAGCCTGAATGAGAGGTTCCAGGGTTTCTTTAGCCCCACTATTCATCAGATTCTTGTCACGCAGCCATTCTTCCAGTTGACTGACATTGTACCTATGAAAAAAAAGAGATACAGAGAATGCAAATTTGCTGAATTTTGTCAAAAATGTCTTAATTTTTTTGTGTGCGGCCTTGTCAGGATTTATGTTAAAATGACAGGCAGTATTTTTGTTCAATTTTCTTAAATCTCATCAGCTGTGCTTAAAAATTTATTATAGTCATGAGGATTATAATCACCATTATATAAGACTAAATGACAAGATAATGTAATTCTCTTTAATGGAAGATGGAAATGAAGTCATTATGGCAAAAGTTATTAGACTTGCTAATAAACAAAATAGAATAACATAATGTAGCTCTGTCTTTATTGGGGAGCTGGCCAGAAAACACTTTGTAGCTTCTCTTACAATTTCAGAGCTGGGTTGCTGTTGCAGGGTGAGACTTGATAATCCTTGAAGCACTCTCTCTTAAGGCAAACTCCAAATCAGGTAACTGAATAACCAAAAGCCCCACATATACCTGTGCTGAAGCCTTAAGGGAAGAGCCTAGGAGATGAAGATGGTGGCCTGAGAAAGCTCCGGGATGAAAGGAGAGAGAGGCAAGGGAGGGCCACTGGAAGAGACAAAGACTCCAAATGGTGACAGAGACAAACTACAAAGACATTGTAGGTTTCACAAAATAGCCAACCAAGTGGCAGCAGTCCTAAGACTGAGGTCAATAGACACACAATCAGCACTTAGCAACCAGGCAAATAGGGGCCAGCATAATATTGCGACAGGTGGCTCCACATTTCCATGCAGAGCTTATAGAGAAATATGCTCCACTATCTGAGAGGAAGGCATTATTGTCTTAAAATTCACTACACTTCAATGTAAGTCAGGATGGAAAATTTGAAAAGAACACTAACAGTTCCTGAGATTGAGTAACTACTAAGACTTTGATAGGAGAAATCATTTTTCCCTCCTCTTGGTGAATATTCTAGCTGTTTTAAAATAAAAAATTTGTGGCCCAGCACGGTGGCTCACACCTGTAATCCCAGCATTTTGGGAGGCCGAGACAGGTGGATCACCTGAGGTCAGGAGTTTGAGACCATCCTGGCCAACATGGTGAAACCCTGTCTCTACAAAAAATACAAAAATTAGCTGGGTGTGGTGGTGCATGCCTGTAATCCCAGCTACTTGGGAGGCTGAGGCAGGAGAATTGCTTCAACCCAGGAGGCAGAGGTTGCAGTGAGCCGAGATGGCGCCATTGCACTCCAGCCTGGGCAACAAGAGCAAAACTCCATCTCAAAAAAAAAAAAAAAAAAAAAAATTTGCAAAAAAATTATGTTACAATAATGAGGTTATGCTGAGGAGTATTGGGCATAAAATTAAGTGCAGCTTTTCTTAAAATATAGAGGGGGGATATTTTAAGAATTAGTAAAAGATCTATCAGACCTGTTCTTGTTGCCATAGGTACAAAAAGGTATTTTTCCAAAAATATATTTCTAAGAGCAATCAAACATTAGAAATCTTCATTATTATAATTTAATAATTTCTTATTGTATAATTAAAACACACACATAAGGAGAGGAAGCAGCTATCTCATCTTTGTGTATTTTTGCATCATCTCTTCACTCCCCCAAATAAGCAAGCTTCACAGTGGAAAAGGGTTTCCTATCAAGAATGTGAAGAACCTGTTGGCAGGGTACAGACAGGGAGCAATAATGAGATGTGGTGAAATCCAGCCAGGCAAGGGAAAGTGGCTCCGTGCCAGTTTCTCCCTTGCTGCTTGGCCACATGGCACCAGACATGAGATGCAAGAACTGAAAACAAGTCATCAGCTCTCCACAACCCTGGCAGGCCAGCTGGGCAGCAAAAAGACACTGTCGCAGGTGTTGGCATTTGCTCACCTGATCTGCATGCCTTTACTCCAGGAGCACATGTCCTTCCGCAGGAGAAGGTTGTTCAGGGTGATGGCCCCTATGATGTAGAACATCTGCTTGACCACCTGCTTGATCAGTTCAGGGTCCATGCCATGCTGACACATGACCGAGTGGAAGGAGTTGAGCTGCCGGAGGATGGAGTCCAGTGTGTAGGTGCCCTCATCGGCGATACTGGAGGTTCGCTTTCTCAACCCTGTGGGCTTCACCCCAGACACGCCCTGAATCGTTTCATGTTCCAGCATGCCTGAGACTGCAGGAGTATTTCAATTGTTAGAGGAGATGATGTGGAAGGGAACCTTTCATGTGCACATATCCATGTGCACAAACACATGCACATTCAACTTAGGAAAATTAGCTGGGCACGGTGGCTCACATCTGTAATCCCAGCACTTTGGGAGGCCGCCGAGGTGGGTGGATCACTGGAGGCCAGGAGTTCAAGACCAGCCTGGCCAACATAAGGAAACCCCGTCTCTATTGAAAATACAAAAATTAGCCAGGCGTGGTAGCGTGTGCCTGTAATCCCAGCTACTCAGAAGGCTGAGGCAGGACAATCACTTGAACTTGGGAGGCAAAGGCTGCAGTGAGCTGAGACCACATATCTGGGCTCCAGGCTGGGTGACAGAGAGAGACTCCATTTCAAAAAAGAAAAAAATGATCTGGGTGCCAAAATAGAGGGAAAAGGAACTTCACTACAAAAGGGCTTCCGGATTTTAAACTTTACTGAAGGAATAATTCTTAATTGCAAAAATTTACTATGAATCTAAGTAAACTTAATGGTGTCTTTTCTAAAATAAGAAGCGTTAAGAAGCAGTAGCCTTGTGATAGAACAAGTGTGTGTGTCTTGGGTGGGCTTTTGAGAGTGGTAGGTAGCAGTTCGGGTTAAGATAAGCATTCTCCATGTTATCTGAGCCCCAGAGGCAAAAACAGTAAGAAAAGCAGGGCACTGACAACCATCTTGGAGAAAACGTGGGAGAGGGGAGTGGTATGGGTCTGGAGAGCTGGGCCCTTCCTTATTCTGGGTTTCCCACAACAGCAGTGGGCCCTTGGGCTGACCTCCATCTCCCAGAATTCGTCTTCTCACCTGTGGCCCGGCTGCTTCCCTGTTGTGCTCTCTTAGCATTTGGCTTATGCCTCCCTTAGAATGTTTCTGAGATGTCCACTCCCTGACAGCAAGCCCCTTGAGAGCAAAGGCCACGTCTGGTTCATCTTGCTATTTAATTGTGCTAAACACAGATTCCCTAGAACCGGCATGTTTGTTGTTGCTGTTAAATGACTGGGAGATGGGGGTAAGGATTTAGATTGGGGCTTCTTTGAGGCGAACTTCTTATTCAGCCAATAGAAACAGGCAAAGCAATAGAAAAACTGGCTGAAGTTGACCTTGGTATCTGTGTTACCTCCTAAATTTTTGCCAACCTAGGGTGCTTTAATGACGTTTTAAGGGACATCTGAAGAAAACATTGCCATCTCCCATGGCTTCTTCAGCTTTTGATGTCTCAAATAGCTAGTTAACTGTGGCCTATGAAAGCAAAGGGAACACTATGAGCCCACAGAAGGGAAATGAAGAAGTTGTGGAAACATGGAAAATGCATGCATGGGGAAAGAAAGTGTAGCTGGAAGTAGCCTTAAGAGCCTGCTGATAGGCTGGGTGCAGGGGCTCACACCTGTAATCCCAGCACTTTGGGAGGCCGAGGTGAGTGGCTCACAAGGTCAGGAGATTGAGACCATCCTGGCTAACACGGTGAAACCCCGTCTCTACTAAAAATGCAAAAAATTAACTGGGCGTGGTGGCAGGCACCTGTAGTCCCAGCTACACGGGAGGCTGAGGCAGGAGAATGGCGTGAACCCGGGAGGCAGAGCTTGCAGTGAGCTGAGATCGCGCCACTGCACTCCAGCCTGGGCGACAGAGCGAGACTCTGTCTCAAAAAAAAAAAAAAGGGAGCCTGCTGATAATTTGCTGGAAGATAACAATGTTTGGTAACTTAAGACAATTTTTTAAAATTCAATGCATTCAACTGAATTTAAACAGTAAACATTAGGGAAGGAAACCATATACTACTGTTTCAGTCTTGTGGAAACAGTGATTTCGATGTATCCCAGTTAACTATGGCTGGGTTTCTGGGATTCCTCGGCTAATTTTAGCCCTGTATCTTACTACTTTATGCTCCCCAAATGAATACCTGCCCTGAAACATGTGCCACTGGTGGCTACTTATCGATGGGCATGAATGATAGGCAGGCTGCAATGCCCAGTGGGGCCCTGGCCTTACCAATCATTGGCTGAAGGATGTTCTCTAACACCCGCACGAGCTGCTGGTAGATCTGAATGGCCAAGTCACTCAGCACCTGCCGATACTCAGCCAGGTCAAAATTGGTGAGGCAGTGTTCATTCTGGCGAGATGTGTTGTGCTTCATAAAGCCCTAGAGTCATAAGGCAAAGTTAATGATACACATGAAGTAACCTGTCTCTTCAGTTTAACTATCTCCAATTTGATCAGCATCTTCATGCTCTTTTCTGCTCTGTCCAAGGAGCTTCCCCACTAATGCCAGGACTGACATTCTCAAATGCTGATGTGTGTTTGTTTGCTTCCATCATAACCCCCTCCAGTTCTTACTAGCTTTTGAACAATACCTTAACTTGGCAACCTAGCATTTAAGTCTTCCCAATAGCAATGTCAATGAAGCAAATTGGAGGAACTTAACTAAAAAAAAAAAAAAAAAAAAAAAATAGAGTGTTTCACTTCTGAAACAGCAGGTTTACTGTCAAACACTAAATTATCTAAATTATCTCTTAACTTCAGTTCTTTATAGTCCTATTCTTAAAAACTACACCCAAAGGACATATATAATCTTGAAATAGACCGATTTCTACAGAGACTAGTGAATACATACAAAAAGTTCTCTTTACTCTATTTCGTAGTACCCACACCATGGTTTTCAGTCAGAGGTTAGAAGGGAATCTTTGGTGGTATCTGTTAAAATGGAACTGAATGGGCGGCACTTCTTCCAGTCACTTTGCAGTTTAACACGTTGTTTGCCTGATGCTACGTGATAAAGGCAAGTGCTTACTCTGAGGATTCTCCCTACAGCCAAGCATCTGCCTCCTTACCACCTACTTAATGACTGGTCCGAAAGTGGGGACTGATAGGATGCAGTCAACGACCCCTCTGAGGGATTCTGGTCTGTTGGCCCCATCTTCTCAGGGACTAGGCCTTGCTCATCTCTGTGTTTCCCATCATCTGCCTGTCAGTGCTCAGGAAGTGCCGCTGGGCACCTTCTCTGCTGCCCTCCTGGCAAAGGGATGGGAGGCATGGAGGGCAGTTGGCTAGGGTCATGGGCCCTCAGCGGTGCCAGACCCAGGATCCCAGCTCTGCTCCTTGTGGCCAAGAGAACTTGGGTAAATCAATGAGCCCCAGTGAGCCTTGGCTTCCTCATCTGTAAAACTGGACTATAATTCCTACCTCACAGAGATGCTGTAAGAATTAATGATCATAAATAACACCATATACAGTAAGTGCTGTCTGACACATACTAAAGCAGCCCTTAATAGTCATTATTAATATTCTACATAGTTTTGAAATATTTGAAGTCTATCAAACAACTAATGAACATATCCCCACAAACAAAAACAATAGAGTTTTTTTGGACAAATCGAAAGACATGATTTTTGATCACCCTTTTTTTTTTTAGAGTTAAAGGATTTTAAGGTCCTCTTATTGTCCAAGAGTATTAATATTAAAATTTTCTTTTTTTTTTTTAAACTTTAAGTTTTAGGGTACATGTGCACAATGTGCAGGTTAGTTACATATGCATACATGTGCCATGTTGGTGTGCTGCATCCATTAACTCATCATTTAACATTAGGTATATCTCCCAATGCCATCCCTCCCCCCGATTTTTGATCACCTTTTAATGTATTGTGGCAAGCCAAAATTGATTAATTTCTTTAAATAGTTCACTATTCTGATATTAGCTCTTGAAATGCCCACTAAAACATACTGACAAAAAGTTTTACTTCTGGTAACTATTCACTGACCAATGCTTATTTTATTTTTCTCTATGCTTTCTCACAATGTAAAGAAGAAACTGTCATTCTCCAAATCACTGCTTCATAGATAGTGAACATCAAACAAAGCAAGAACTTCCAAGCCACCTCTGAATTTGGGTTCCTAAATAAATGGTTAAACATTTTGTGCTTTTACATTTTTTCCTTAAAAAGGTCAGAGAAAGTATAGCATGCTGGTTTTGTAATCAAGGTTTTCTCACCTCTTCTCCACTGTACTGTTTCAAGCAGTGCAAAAATCGGCATGTGTTAGAGAGCCAGAAGGAGACGGTTTCAAAATCATCACCTCTTTTCTGAAAGAGAGAATAAGTCTAAACTTGCCTTTTCCTTAGGGAAATAACAACCTAAAAAAAATTGAACAGATACCAAAAGACCCATTTCTTTCAGTTACCATTATAAACAATTATAAAAATAAATCACATTACAGTTGTGAAGTCTTATGTCATTGCTAGCAGAATGTCAGCGACCAGGTTCATCAGTTTGTTGCTTTGCTTGCCATTCACTTTTTTGGCATAGAAAATTAAACTGATGCGAATTTAGCTGCTCCTTTAAGCAGAAAAAAATTCACCCGGCTGGGCGCGGTGGCTCACACCTGTAATCCCAGCACTTTGGGAGGCCGAGGCAGATGGATTGCCTGGGGTCAGGAGTTGGAGACCAGCCTGGCCAACATGGCGAAACCCCGTCTCTACTAAAAATACAAAAATTAGCTGGGTGTGGTGGCATATGCCTGTAATCCCAGCAACTTGGGATGCTGAGGTAGGAGAATCACTTAAATCCAGGAGGCGGAGATTGTAGTGAGCCAGGATTGCACCACTGCACTCCAGCCTAGAGACAGAACGAGACTCTGTCTCAAAAAAAAAAAAAAAAAAAAAAAAAAAAAAAAAAAAATCACCCAGCTACAGCTAGCCCAAATTCATGTCCCCCGTGGGGTTAATGATGGGAATCAGAACTAAAAGCAGAAAGAGGAATAACAAATATTGTGATAAAGAATATGAAAAAGAATTTGAAGCACTTAAACCCAGACTAGATTAAAAATCTTGTTAAGGGTAAGATAAAATTTCTGAGCTGTGAATCCAGAAATGAGAAGAAGGAAGTCCTGAGCTGGGCAGTACAGTCAGGGGAAAGCTGGTTGGCTCTTCACCAGGACTGGGCCACCGTGGCAGGAAGAAGAGAGACTCATTGTGCCTGAAAAAGATGTGAGGGCTGGGAATACTTCCCAGGGGCTTCATGGCAGACATACTTGGAAGGACTATGCATTTGTAAACTAAACCATTTGGATGAACTAATCCCAGTTTGTATATGGGAAGTCACAAAAATATCAATGTTTGCCTGCACTTTTTCTCAGAAAACCTTGCAAAGGAAAACCAGAATAGTTTACCTAGGACAGATGCCTAGCATCAAATGGTCTTAGAAGCTAATTTTTTTTTGCATGAAATCATTTATTCCAATAACTCTACTACTATATCACAACAAAATCCAGGTTCTTAGAAGCTGTATGAGAATATCTGCCTTTGGTTTCTTAGTAGCGGCTTTATGCAGTAAAAGTGCACAGGATATATCATGGGGAAAGATGGGTTTCTCATTATATCATTTTTTTTTAAGTAAATAAAATCACCTTTTTAAGAAAGTACAAAACGCCCTTAAATTTTGTAGAATATTCCCCTAAAAAGACTTTAAGAAAAAAAATCCTAGAGGATATCAAACCTAACTAAGTCTTTTCAGCTGAGACAGAATTACTGAGTTCAGGTCCTGACTTTACCACTAAGTAAATATCTGAAAGACCTAGGTATATAGTCTTCCAATGTAGGAGGATTGTGAATAAAATAAATTAAATAAATTATTTACTGCCAGTAAATACAATTTTATTACTTTCCCAAACACAGAAAATCATCCTATAGCTTAAGTGTAGATTTGACTAAAAATAACTCTGCCTCTTCCAAAAATCTGGATTACAACTGTTCCTAGTGGATGCTCTGGGCTAAGCTGACAAAGACAATGAATGCAGATTGGGAAACTGTGCTGGTCACTGTCGGGCTATGGGAGAGTGTCACTAAAGCACCAATCTAGACTGTCTTCACTGACGTCTACACAAGTCAAACTGCAGAGATCCTCAGAATAGTCCCAGCTGGATGTAACGGCACCTATACTGAAGAGTTACCAGATAAAGGTGATTAAAACCTAAGGAGAAGACTTCATTCTAGAAATAATCCAGCATCTGTTTTCATTAGTGGGCTCTAGGCTTTGCTAAGCCCCCCACTTTTTTTTTTTTTTTTTGAGACAGAGACTCTTGCCCAGGCTGGAGTGCAGTGGCGTGATCATGGCTCACTGCAGCTTTGACCTCACAGGCTCGAGCGATCCTCCTACCTCACCTTCCCAAGTAGCTGGGACTAAAGGAACATGCCACCATGCTTGGCTAATTTTTTTATGTTTTATAGAGACAGGGTCTCGCAATGTTGTCAGGGTTGGTCTCAAACTCCTGGGCTCAAGCAATCCTCCCACCTCTGCCTCCCAAAGTGCTGGGATTACAGGTGTGAGCCACAGCACCCAGCCCACTTTTAAACAAAATAACTCAACAAATACAATTTGAACACTAAGGGTATCCTCTGTCCACATGAAAATGAGATACTCTATATTACTTCAAAATAAAAGAACATTTGCTTCTTTGGAAATTAAAAAAAAATTAAAATAGAATGCCAACTCTTTACCTAAGAGGTTACTAGATTGAGTTTGCCGAAGTAGTATTTTTTGCAATAAACAAGCTGTATTTGATCAAAATTAATAAATCCATGTTAGTTCCTACTCTATCCCATAGAGAAAACAAGTTGAACTCAAAGCTATTTGCAGTTTTTGATTTATTAGAAATGATCATAAGCTAAAAACTGTATGGATTCTCTGCATATCTTTGGCTAGTTATGCTGCTTAGGGCCGATGGCAAAAAACCAGTTGCCAAAGTTGAAACAGGTATGCAACACAAACATACGATTCAAAACTGGGATGTGAGACAAATGCACATTAATTTTAAATGGTATTAAAGAGTGTTGTGTTCTAGTGCCCATCATTTTTAATCTTTACAGAATTTGGTACAATAGTCAAACCAGATAAGTATCTTCTTGCAATTATTATGAGAGAAAGAAAACTTTATGATTTAGTTTTTTCTCTCTCTAGGAGTTGGCCTAAGAAGTAGCAAAACTTATAGTTTATCTAAGTACAATATTGCATCAACACACTAAAAATAAAATGAATTATGTTGGGAAGACATTCATCAATTTTTAAATGTTAAATCTTTAGAAACTCCATGCTTTAGTAACCACTGTAGAATGTTAACTACAGAAAGTACCTGCACAATAGGGACCAACAGAGAACCAGCATTTATCAAAAGTTCGCTCCCCAGGGCTGAGGGAGGGAGGAATGGGGAGTTAGTGTTTAATGGGTACTGTGTTTCAGTTGGGGAGAATGAAAAAGCTCTGGAGATGGATGATGGTGATGGCTGTGCAACAATGTGAACACACTTAATGCCACGTAACTGTACACTTAAAAATGGTGAATATGGCAAATTTTATGTTATGTATGTTTTACCTAATTTTTTTTTAAGTTCATAAAAGAAGTCTTAGATTTGAAAGAGTCCACTGGCATGTTGACTATCCACTTATCTTTACCCTAAAAGCTCTCGTTAAGTTTGATAATCCGAAAGCAAAGTACCTGGAACATATGATCTTAGCTCCTCACAGCAACACTGAGTTAAAACTAAGCCTGTGCTCACTGTTTCTCTGGAGTCAAGAGGGGGATTATGCAAGATGACTCAGTGACTACTGAGTTGTGTAGGCTTTCTGCTCAGTTATATAACTTGGCTGTCTTTTCCAAGTCTTTCCTCTCTGATTAGCATCTGTGTGTTGCTTCCCACATGGAACCAGGCATTTTAGGTAACAGGGAAAATTATGGGGTGAGGTGGAGAAAAAGTTGGAAGAAAAATTGTAATGTTTTATCAGACATCTTTTTATATGAATGAGCCATATCTTAAACTTATTTAACATCTATTTTAATTTCAGCATCACGTTCCCTGTATATATGAACTCTACTAAATATTGTTTAGTTCTAAGTAAAACCTCAAACTATATCTGTCCATGAATAAAGTTAGTTTACTGCACAATTAAAATGCAGTTATGTCAAGTTAATTTTGATTACTGTTCAACTTGAGCCCTGTTTTGAAAGAAGCCAGATAGACATGTTCAAGGAAGAATGTTTCTTCCAGTGGAAGTTTTCACTCAAGACTGAGTGGCTGGGTGCAGTGGCTCACACCTGTAATCTCAGTATTTTGGGAAGTTGAAGGGGGAGGATCACTTGAGCCTAGGAACTGGAGACCAGCCTGGGCAACATAGTGAGACCCTGTCTCTACAAAACATAAAAAATTAGCTGGGCATGGTGGTGTGCAACTGTGGGCTCAGATACTTGGGAGGCTGAGCTGAGAGGATTGCTTGAGCCTGGGATTGCACTGGGGCTGCAGTCAGCTGAGATTGCACTACTGTACTTCAGCCTAGGTGACACAGCAAAACCCTGTCTCAAAATAGATAGGTAAGTAAATAAAAATTGGAAAGTTTTAATAACAAGCAACTTAGCTAAACTCTAAGGAAGGAAGATCAATCAGTGCAGATTCTGTCATCATTAACAATTCATGATGAGAATTTTGTTGAACAGGAACTGACCTTCAATACTTTTTTGATGCTGTTAATTGTTGATGTTAGCAACGACCTTACTTTCTGATCATCATTCAGGTAGTCAGCATGTCGAACACACATGAACAGGATATATGCCGGTAATCCTGGAATCAAATTGACTGCTACACCACGTGGCTTCAGTTCTAAAAAAGAAAAAATAATAATTTTATATAACATGGAAAATTTTCACGAGGCATGCATTGTGAGATATAAAAACACAGTTGTCATGTAAGAGTTCAATCATTCAAGGTAAGTAGGTAATATAAAAAGTGTATTTTAATAGCTCTTTAAGTAGAAAAATTCTGGAATGTGGAGCATGTCCATATAATGACAACTCCCAAACTGATATCTCCTGCGCTGACTTTTCCCTTGAATTCCAGTCTCACTATCAACTACCTTCTTGACAACTCTGCTCAGGCACATGAAACTAAGCCTCTCCCAAACCAAATTCTTGCTTCTCTAAGGAACCTACTTTTTTGGAAGTTGTCCCCATCTTAGTAAATAAATAGCAGGTCTAGTCTTCCAGTATCCTAGATTACAAACCTCATCCTCATTTTTGACTCCTTTCTTTTCTCATACCACATATCCAATCCATCAACAAACCCTGTTGGCTCTATCTACAAAATACATCCAAAATCCAGCTACTTCTCACTGCTTCTACCAGCTACAGATGTCCCATGGAGGCCACCATCATCTCCTGCTGGGCTGCTGCAATAGCTCCCTAACTGGCCTCCCTAATTCATCTCTTGCTCCCCAGTACTGCATTTTCCATACAACAATCAGGGCCATTCTTTCGGAAAATGTTGGTCAGATCATGTCACTCTCGTTCTGAGAATCCTCCAAGCAGCTTCTCATGTCAAGCATTTATAAAAGCCAAAATCCTCACCATAGCATAGGATCTGGCCCTATTCCCCTTCCCCACTCCAGCTCACTCTGCTCCAAATGGGTCTCCTTGCTGTTGGTTAAACATGCCAGGTATGCTCCCTGCCCTGGGCCTACGTGCTTACTGTTTTTCTGCCTTGAATGTTCTTTCCTCAGATATTAGCATGACTTGTTAGCTTACTTCCTTTGGTGTCTGTCCAAAGATCACCTTACCAAAGAGTGTTTCCTGACAATTTTACACAAACCAGTATACCTGCCTTCACTCTTTATTCTTTTTACTCCATCATATATTTGTTTATTTTATTTTCTTTATTTCTCCCCTGGAATGTAAACTCTGTAAGACTGGGTACTTCACTTTGCTCATTACCTAGAAAATGCTTGGCACATGATAAGAGTTCATTAAACATTTGCTGAATTGATAAATCTGTTAATTCTTTGCTGAATTGATAAATCTGTTAATTCTATGCTTAAAAACCAGTGGCTCCTTAACATTTTTGCTAAATGAAATTCATGTTGAAACTTAAGCACCTGTGCAACTATATATAGTACTAAGTTTAATGCCAGGAACATTCCATCAGGTATAAGTGCCAATCACACTGCTGTCACCCTGGCACCTGGCGGGAGGAATGCTGTGCAAAGGCTGAAAGGAGAGGTTTTTAGGATTTTCACTTCACAACTTACGGTGTGTACACTCTAATCATTTACCACCACCCTCTAAAAAGTTTTCTTGCAAAGCCAGCAGGCTCAGACCCAATCTTAAAGGCAGTGTGCTGCCCTGAAATGCTTCTTCCACTCTCATCTCATTTATTCTGTCCATTCCTTCCTTTGTTAGAATCTTTTCCTTTTTTTGTTTCTTCCCTATTATTACACTGCCGTCCTTGACCTATTTAGTTGCAAACCTTTCTAGGGGAGTAAGGAAAAACTGAAATTCAGGAACCTAAACGGCCTAGAGCAGTTGTGCTCAACTGTGGTTACACTTGAGAATCCCTTAAGAAGCTTTTTATTATTTTTGAGAAAGACTCTTGCTGTGTAGCCCAGGGTGGAGTGCAGTGGTATAATCACAGCTCACTGTAGTCTTGAACTCCTGGGCTTACATGATCCTCCCATCTCAGCCTTTTGAGCAGCTAGGACTACAGGCATGTACCACCTCGCCTGGGTAATTTTTTTTTTTTTTTTTTTTTTTTTTGGAGAGATGCGGTCTTGCTATTTTCCCGAGGCTGGCCTTGAGGGTTTTTTCTTTTTCTTTTTTTTTTTTTTAAAGTACTAGACATTGCCAGGCTCTTCTCTCTAGAGATTTTGATTTAACTGGGCAAGAGGGAGAGAGATACATCAGTATGGTTCAAAGCTTCCAGGTGATTCTAATGTGCAGCCAGGGCTGAGAAGACCTGATCTTGAGCAATCCTTGTAGGTGGGTCTGAGGCATGTGTCCCTGCAGTTGGACTGAAAGTGCTTGGTGTGGTCAGAACACTACTGCAGCACTAGAATACATGGTATCTGATGATGACTAATGAAACCTACGCTGAATATCTCAAAAATTAGTGACTAGTTTTTCCCACCATTAACCCATGTGCCAGAAGGAACTTTTATCCAATGCAGAAAATACTTGCCCAGAATCAGGTTCTTAACAAGTTTTTGCTCATCCTCCTTCTTGTATTCCAGCATCCCTTGGAAATCCTTTTCTTTCCTGGGAATGTTGACTGGTCGGATGGGTTCATCAATGATCTGTCCTGGGGATATGTTCTCCATCTGGCCCACTTTATGAGAAGTAAGAAAGGAGGAGAAAATGTTTTCCATATAAAAAACATGAGAGGTCTCCAAGTTCCTATAATTTTGAATGCATTCTACAACAACCGAAACTTGCCATATTTGCCACTTAATTGCCTTCTCTTAAAATAATTTTTTTCTGTTAAAATTGGGTGAACAGATGGCAAAATTATATGGTCATCTTACTCTGAAAGCCACTCCTGCCTAACTGTAAATTAACATCAAATAACCTTACATGACTCAAAACTTTTTTTTATGTAATAAGGCTTACTTTTTAATAAGATTAAATGTCCAAAAAGTAAGTGGTTTAACAGATTTGTTAATTAATTGATACTAATCAGAAATGGTTAAACATATTTTGACTTTAATTCACAGGAGGAACAATCAATATCCTACAAAGGGGCAGAAGGAGCAGAAACAATTCCCCCTTGCTCTTGGCTCAATGACTTTAGCCATTAAAAGCAAAAGAACATTTACTTTAAATGTATCATTACAATCAATTCAAAACACATACAGATAGCTGGTAGAAGAGTGTTTCTTCATACCACTTGGTCCAAAATGTATTATTTTTCACAAAGGCCTCATATGGCAAAGACCTAATTTTCTCCTGCCATCCTCATTCCCAGAGAAATCATGAACAGATAAACTATCTCTATGTAGTATGATTTCCTAAATGTTATTATTTTTTATTTCTTTTTAATATAATGTTAAAAATTCTACTTATAAAGTTGCAATCAATGAAGTACAACCACTGGTTTACAATGCTTTCAGATGTTAAAAATAGTCACTATTGTCAAGGGCAGCAGCTAGAGAATTATGCTAAAGGTTAAAAAAAAAAGTCTCCAATTTCATCTCAAAATTGAGACTTGAGTGGGAAATCCAACAAAAAGTAAAGGGACATATGAGTTACCACAGCCACTGTGGAGATACACGCTAGTAACCAGGTTTTTTATCCTTTTATCTACAGGGAGGGAGAGTGGTTAAGAGATTTGTTTAAGGGCAGATTAAGTTTGAGTTCTGAGATTGCTGTCAAACAAAATGCAGATCAGATGCAAAAACATTAGAAAGCTTAATATTGCTGACTCCACGAGGTGTCAGTAGTGCTTCTTGTGTCACTCTGGGTAATTTCCTGGGTTAGTTCTGAGAAGCCAGTCCCACAGGAAGAGGTTATCACAGAGAACATCAGTACCTGCCAGTGCTCTTGCTTATGTGGCATGGAGCCTGGTGACACACCGTCCACCTCATGCTGCAGCAGCACACACTGGGACTATCAGCGCTGAAAATCTGGTTTAGGTGAAGTCACCACCATCCAGCAACACTATGATATCTAAAGAGTGGTCAGATTGTGATTGGACAGATCAGGGCTACGGCCATCTCCCATAATCTAGTTTTTCATATGCATGATCCAGTATGAAAGCCACGGGACTAACTCTAAAGTATATTCTTCCATGCAAGAGAAAAGGAGACTCAAACTGTTTGGTTTTACATAATTTCTGGTGTCAGTTTAAACACAACACCACAAGGACCTCTGAAGCAGCACACAGTGGCCTCTACAGATCATAAACCTGCAGCTGCATGTAAAAAACAAAATTATAAAACCCCTGCCATCTATGCCACTAGTAACTTTTAAGCCGCATGTACAATTCCAAAAGGGGAAACTGGGAGAAAACAAGTTCAACATACTAGGTTTATCAATAAATGCACATATTTGGACTCCATGTAACCCAAAGAGCATATTTTAAACCCACTGATTTATCAAATCTATGATGCTATCGGTTATGAAATACAGTATTTTATGTAACACTAAAAAAATTGCCAACTAAACTATAACCCATCAACAATTGTAAGATACACCCCAATTTCAGAGATGTTGAAATGGGAAACACTGCATCTCAGAATTTGTGAAATACAATGGATATTTTTACTAAGAAAGTTTATGTTTTAAAAGGAAGCTTCACCTTCCTTTTGCAAAATCTCTAACCAGGATATTTTTGGTACTGTATAAAAATGTCAGATAGAATGTGCCATACTCTCACTAAAAACTTTCTCTCTGCCTCTGAATTCTCCCTAGGGACTTAAGTCTTTGCAAAGCTCACAAATGAAATTTAGATGTCAGTTCAACATAACCTTGATTGATTTTGCAATATTATCTACTAATTAAAATAAAATGTTGGCCGGGCACAGTGACTCACACCTATAATCAGAGCACTTTGGGAGGCCAAGGCAGGCAGATCACCTGAGTTCAGGAGTTCAAGACCACCCTGACCAACATGGAGAAACCCCATCTCTACTAAAAATACAAAAAATTAGCCGGGCATGGTGGTACATGCCTGTAATCCCAGCTACTTGGGAGGCTGAGGCAGGAGAATCGCTTGAACCTGGGAGGCAGAGGTTGCAGTGAGCCGAGATCACGCCACTGCACTGCAGCCTGAGTGATGAAAGCCAAACTCCATCTCAATAAATAAATAAATAAAGAGGCAACTAGCTAAGCCTTTTGCCCTTCCACCTTCTGCCATGTAAGAACACAGAGTTCGTCCCCTTCAGAGGATCCAGCAACAAGGCACCTGCCATCTCGGAAGCAGAAACCAGACCCTCTGAACTTGCCAGTGTCTTGACCCTTCAGAACTGTGAGAAATAAATTTCTGTTCTTTATAAATCACCCAGTCTCAAGTACTTTGTTATAGCAGCACAAAGGGACTGAGGAGCCCAATGATCCATTCTTCTAGGAAGACCTGAAAAAAGACTCTAGTTTCATTTTCTAGATTCTTTATAAACTTGAGGGAACCTTTCTGTCTTCAAAAAGGAAAGAAAATTGGAAAGTTTTAAAAAAATTTACTTTTGGCACCAGGAAGATCTTGATCTCAAGTTTGAGACAATCAGATGAATTCCTAATA
The DNA here is from genome assembly GCF_000001405.40 of Homo sapiens. Taxonomy (NCBI): domain Eukaryota; kingdom Metazoa; phylum Chordata; class Mammalia; order Primates; family Hominidae; genus Homo; species Homo sapiens. Next base: position 52,333,404 of record NC_000015.10, read on the forward strand.
AGTAGAAGATTTCTGTGGGAAAATTTGACACAAAGGAGAGAAATCAGTGGCCCTTAGAAGGTATGTGTTCTAGTCCTGCCATCTCACCTGCTGCAACCATGGGTCACTTACAGGCCTTAGTTTTTTCCTCTTATGAAATAACTAATTGATTTCTAGAATCCTTTCAGGTCTTAATTTCTTGATTCCATGAAAATTAAGATGGGTGAAAATATAGCACAAAGCAGATCAAATTTTGAAACACTCTCCATTTAGCTATATAGTTTCTGCCAAAAATTATATATGCTAGCATTTTTTTTAAAAGTCTGTTGGCTTTTTAAAAAGCCTCCTTAATTAAATGTAGCTTGTAGGAGGAGGCAAGAGTTGTGCTATTTTAAACCAAAAGGATTTAAGTGTGTTGCAATACATTTAAAGAAAAGTATAAGACAACGTTTAGTTATTAGAAGGTGCCTGTATTTTCTGTGTAACAGGCAGATACGAGGATGAAAAGTGTCACCTTGATTCTCTTTATTTGGGGTAGAAGCAGGTACACTGCACTCAGCAAGTGCCCAAGTCACATAAATCTATTTCATTTCATCCTCTAGATATGTATCACTTAACTCAAAATGTAACTCTTCTTAAGAACTATTATAATGCCTTTTTTGTTTGATCTATGAATTGCTATTCTCAAATGCTACTTATGGCTTTACAGCTGTCTGGATAGTTTAAATGATGAGGTTGATTTCTGATTGACAATGGCTTAAGATTAGTAATATCTTAAAATAGTCTAACCCATCTCTTCAACTAAAAAATATACATATCAAAGAAAACTAATAAAAATTATGTAAAATAATGAATGGCTTTTCTGTTTATCAAAATTTACTAAAGTATGGCAAAGGAATCATTAGGAGTTGAACAAAAAAAGAATCTCACATGTTAATACACTTAAAATCTGTTTTTTTCAAACAAATACTCTGCTGTCTGATTATCATCTCATGATATAATTGGTGCAAAGTGCAAAAAGTTCTCTGAATAAAGATTTTTAAGTTCTGCTAATAGACATTATAGCTCATGTGTGTGTGAGTGTGTGATGTGGAGGCTCAAATTTTAATGTAATATATGACTCATGTAATGCTAAAGGATTATATATAAAGTGTGACTATAAAATAATCTTTCTGATTTCTAAACAAATATTTCAGTATTTGTACATCCAACAGAGTAATATCCTTTACAAAGTAAATGTCCATGTTGCCATGTTATAAATATTTCTGAAACTTACTCATTCACTCAACAAACATTTATGGAATGATTATGAGATAGGTCAGACACTATGCTAGGTGCTGTGAAAGCAAAGGGAAACAGAGATGTTTTCTATGCTCAGGAAGCTCAGAGTCTATTATGGAAGCCAGTAATTCAAACAGAAAAATTGCTAAAAATATGACATAGTGAAGACCATAAAAGATGTCGGCCAAATTGTGGTACACAGAGAGCAGAACCATAACGTCTGTCTGGGTAATCAGGAAAGGCTACTCTTGAGGATGTGACATATGACTCTGGTCTCAAAGGCTGAGCAGGACTTAACCAGGAGAAGCAGGATGACCAAACAGAAGGAGCAGTTATGACAAGACCTGGCATGTTGGAGGAATGAAAACCACACTTGGAGTTAATCATGATAGATTCTTTTGAACATCCTCAGTGATGGGGAATCTTCACTGTTTGAACCAAGCAAGAATTAGATGCAGAATGACAATGAGAGAAAATGATTAACCGTTCACACAGGTTTGAAGGCTATTCCAAAGACTGTCTCAAAATCCCTTAAGCAGTGAGAACATTGAAATAAGCTTAAAATTTGGCTTTAGGCTGGAAGCGGTGGCTCACGCCTATACCCAGCACTTTGGGAGGCTGAGGCAGATGGATCACGAGCTCAGGAGTTCGAGATCAGCCTGGCCAACATGGTGAAACCCCGTCTCTACTAAAAATACAAAAATTAGCTGGACATGGTGGCATGCACCTGTAATCCCAGCTACTCAGGAGGCTGAGGCAGGAGAATTGCTTGAACCCGGGAAGCAGAGGTTGCAGTGAGCCGAGATTGCACCACTGCACTCCAGCCTCAGCGACAGAGCAAGACTCTGTCTCCAAAAAAAAAAAAAAAAAAAAAAAAAGGAGTTTGGCTTTAGCCTTGTTCACTGCTAGATCCCTGTACCTATAACTCTTAACAAATAAACACATAAACACACTAATAGAAAAGATAAGATCCATTTGTATATAAATAATAACAACAACTGATATTTGGTTATTTCTCAAGGAATTTTTTCATCATCATCATATAGAAATCATGAGATGTTTTTAAAAATCTTATTTCTTTATCATCATAATTCATATTTTTCTTTTTTACTTCTCTATTTTTCCTCCATTAGACTGTAAGTTCTTTGAGGACAGACTCTATCATACTCATCTTAGTATCCCTAATACTAAGAATAATGATAGTGACTAATAACTAAGTCGCATGAAGCATTTTTACTATGCGTCAGTAACTTTTCTAAGTGTAATATACTTATTAGGTTGATGCAAAGGCATTTGCAGTTCCTGCCATTAAAAGTAATTGCCTTTGGACCAACCTAATAGCTCATTCAATCCTTATAAACCATGTCAGATAGATGCTATTATCTTTCTAATTTAACAGATGGGAAAGCACAGGCATACAGAGGTTCAGAAACTTGCCCAATATCATATGATTAATAAGTAGAAGAGCTAAGATTTGAACCCAAGAAGCTTGACTCCAGAATCCACATTCTTAACTCCTATGCTATACTGCCTAGCACATTGTCTGGCATATAGAAGATATTCATTAGATGCTTACAGAGTAAAATCTGTAAATTATTACTACCCATGAAAAGAACATTTTTCCTCATTTAAAAATGTAAATTTCTACTCAAAAGAGGTTAGGTTTGCCAAAAGTCATATTTTGTTATTATCCCTAATATTTGCATGCAAACCTCTATTAGGCCACTTATATAGCCTAGTCTTTAAGCCAAGACTCAAACCAAGACTCAGTGACCGTCTTGAAAAAAAGGTTTAAATACCTTCTAGTTCGCCAATTTTTTTGGCAAATACTTTCAGTTGTTTTTTCAGTTTACGGACCGTCTTATCCTGTTTTTCAAGTTGTTCCATCAAATCCTAAAGATCAAAAAGAGAAATATATTAGAAAAATCGAAACAGGCCTTCTAAAATGCATCAAAGGAAAATAGACACAATATCACAGAAACAACACGTTAGTTTTACATAAGAGCTCATTGGTGGAGCCACCACCTGGCTAAAATTGGCAGGCATGGGAAATGCAGCTACAATAAAAGCCATATGTTAAAATATACAACGCAGTAAACTCCTTTACAGCGTGATGGACAGCAGGCTCACTGCAGAGTCTTTCCAGTAGACTCCATGTGGGAAAATCAACTGAATGCTTTGTAGAATGTATTGGTATTCCAGTAGAATGCTTTCTTTTAAAGGAGGACTGACTAGGCAAAAATAAATTTTGATGAATGCACAAAAAGGTTTGTGGAAAGAATGGTTGAACTTAGGTAGGAACTGACACTCCCCATGTGTGAAGCACTGTCTCTATGAGAGCCACCCTATGAAATTCTAAAATTAGCCCTGAAACTTAAGAATAGTTCAGAAGTTTTGGGAATTAAAAGATAAGTTGAAAAAAATAATCACAAAGAACAGGATAAAGAGTGGTCTGCTTACCTAGGACCAAAGTGGCAAGTGGCATAAGGCATCTATAAAATCTTGCAGGTGATATAATTTTGCTTATACAGAAGAAAGGGGTATTTATGAATGCTTTATGCAAAAACAGAAACAAAAGCAGTACACTTAAGGAGGAAGGTAAAAAAAAGTCCATGATTATTGGCTATTTAATAAAGAATTTGCTCAAATGACAGACATGGTTAAAAACTCAATCAAAAAGAAAGTGGACAACAGTAGGCTCAGTAACAGCTTAGAAGGGCTATGAGTCAGCAATGTGTGTGGTCTGTTATTCAGGTTATGGAGAAGAAAGGCATTCCAAATACAAATATTCATTTTCCAGTTTAGACAGGAGTAGATTTAGCTACTAGGCCAACCATTAAAGGGAACAGTTGCTATCTCTTCAAAGTGTTAAGTTGTACTTCTTGGATTTTACGTGACCTTTCAAATCACATTTTGCTTCCATCACACTGTAAGCCTAGTGTTAATAACAAACCAAACGTGACAATGGACTCAGGACACTGACAGAGGTGACACCACTGGCTAAAAGACAGCTGTGGGGAGAAACAGGTTTCGTGAAAATTTTGAAGAGACTTCCTGGGAGGGGGCAGGCAGCAGTGTGCTCTTCAGTTACAGAGGGCTATAAGTAGCAAGGGAAGACAGCAGAAAAGCACTATGGTTTTACATACAATCATCCGTTTGTAAAGGGAAATCCGATATGATTGATACTTCTTAGGGTCATCTGCATATAATTCCTCAAAATACTGAAAAAACAGGCACAATGGATATTTGTTTTTGTCTGTGTGTTTGAGGGAAATGCTATCTTTCAGCAAAATCAATTTTAAAATATTTTAAAATACAAATAGTGAAACTATATATACTTGAAAGGCTCTGATTTGTCACCTTCCATTACCCTTTTATCTTTCTAGTATAGATTATTCTAATTACATATGTACAGATGTTTCTTGTGTGAACAAAGGAAAGAGGCTGTGGCCAGGATGCCATCACTTAGCAGGCCCAGATAAGGCTGTCATTTCCCTCCTCCAACCTCCTGCCTTTTTACTCCCAGCCTCCCCAACACATGATGCTCACAACTTGCTGCACTTTTTTTTTTTTTTTTTTGCCGCCAGCAGCAGTGGCAAGAATAGGGGAGGTAAATATAATAAAAGTGAGAATAATAGCAATGTTAGCTTGTGAAGCTGGAGAGGCTGGTGGGAAGCTGTGCATCTTCCTTCGCTGAAAGACAGCACGGGGGAGGCCTGTGAAGCCTGTTCACTAGATGAGGTAGAAAAATCATTTTTGTGTTTTGTGTTGGTGGTAGGTAGGTGGGCAAGGTAGAGTTTCAAGAGCACTAAGCCCAGGTCTCCTGCTGGGCTTTAATATCCTACTCAAGTGTTTCTTATAGAAATGCACAATTAAGATTGAGAAAACAATGATTTTGAAAAAGTCTATCATTTCCTGTACTTATGTTTGAATCCATCCTCCTGAATTAGTAGTCAGTGTGATGGCAGGAGAAGCAGCTGACCTACAAAAGGTTTTCCCCAAACTCAAATTCATTAACTGGGCTCTATTAGCTTAGAATATAGGGGCTTAGTCTATTTTTTGTATTAGCTATGAAAAATTGCCAAAAAAATTAATATTGCAAACAAGGTTGCAAGAGAAATGTCTGACCAACTTAGTGAAAAAACCCTGGAAATCTGCCACCCAGAAGCATCTTTATTTCACGATTTCACCTTGTATTTTAAAACAATAATTTAAAGCACAGAACTTGTATGCCAATCAATCAACTTATTATATTATTCAGTATATTTGGTAATACTTAGTCATCAAAGCATTGTTAGTTTAATTTAAGCAACAGTATACTTGAGCTTTGTAAAATAACACTTCAAAAAATATTTCATGATTCAGAAAATTTTCCCCACAAATTAGTGAGATGTCAATCACTTTGGAAAGAGCCCACACACTGCCCCCACCCTCCTCCCTCATTCCCATGGTGGAGCCTCATACAGACAGACTGTGAAAAAGAATACCTTTGCGTTTTGCTTCTAATTCATATAAAAGATGGTTGAATAAATGACACTAGAAAACTGTTTGTAATGTAAATTATCACAAATGGAGTAATGGAGGGATAATTCAGATTGTTAAATCTTCAGAGAAAATTCATACTATTTTATTATAGGTCATTAAAAATGTTAATTTAAAAAAGACACAAATCACCACCAATCCTAAACAATTTTTCTCAAAATCGGGCTAGCACTACAATATAGACTTTATATAGAAATATGAAATTATCACTTTTTAAGGATTTTTAATATAGTAAATATATTTGTCAAAAAACTGTAAATCAGTAATAAAAGTTATTATGTGACTGAGAAATATTTTAGAAAATTTTTTTGGCAAAAGAAAAAAAAAAAGGAACAAGGCAAAAAAAAGAAAAGAAAACAGTCAGACTCCATGCCAGGGTTTAGAATCTGACAAGGAAAAAGACAATTTCCTCACTTGTTATACAAGTTCTGTTTAAAAGAACAGAAAATATGTAAACCTGAATCCTAACACACACCTCCCTGACCTGGGAGCTCCATCCAACATCAACCAAAAACCCCGGCTTAGTTTTGCCAACCGCCTTTCTCAACCTCAACTCTAACCCTACTTGTCTGCTAGAGGTGGAGCCTGGGATGGCCTCAGTGGCTGCTTGGGGACCAAAGGTAAAGGAAGCCTGTCCCCAGTCTCAGTTGTGACAATCACATAATAAACCTAGGATGGCAGAGGATCTGCAGCTGAAATGGAGGAAGCAGATCACCTGCCATCAAAAGCCCAGCCTGCACCCAGGTGGTTGTCTGCCTCCAGGGCAGGTCTAAGAGCACGCAGCCCTCCGTGATAAAGAGAACCTGTGCCTTCTTCCTTCCTACCAAAATATTTGTATTTTCCTTACTCTGTCTCTGCTGGAGTAAGAGGGGTAACAAGTACAGAGGGGTGAGTTTTTCCCAGCAAGAAAAACCCGTGTTTGATCAAAAAGAAACTAGACTGTCGGGCAGGCTAGGTTAAGAAGCATGTGGACCCGGCAGCTCTCCTTACCAAGTTTTCGTTGGTCAGCCGGGTGATCTCGTGCTGCAGGCTGGCCTCAATGCGGGCCTCTGGGGGCAGCTGCAGGTTCTGGGCCAGCAGCTGCTGCTGTCGGTTGTTCTCCTCCTTCAGGCTCTGGATCTCCCCACGGAGGGCCTCGGCCTCATTCTCATGGCTCCTCTTCTGTGACTGCAGCTGGGATTCCAGGAGCCTGCGGAGAGGACACATGGGTCGGAAGGGGAGACGACACCCCGAGTTGCTGCCTAACGGGTGTAAGGCATCGTGTTCACTTGCAAGAGTAGGAAAAGCAGATATTCTTTAGTATCTGTGTTATCTTCTGACTTGATTAAAGTCAAGAAACTAAAACAAGAAGCAGAAATAGAAACGGGTGCTCTCACATTTGTGTCTTTCTGCATTATATAAAGTTCTCAGAGGCCCTAAGAAACAGGAGAGTTTTAGTTCTCTTGAAAGGTTCATAGGAGGCCGGGTGTGGTGGCTCACGCCTGTAATCTCAGCACTTTGGGAGGCTGAGGCAGGCGGATCACCTGAGATGAGGAGTTTAAGACCAGCCTGGCCAACATAGCGAAACCCCATCTCTACTAAAAATACAAAAAATTAGTCAGGCGTGTTGGGGCATGCCTTTTGTCCCAGCTACTCAGGAGGCTGAGGCAGGAGAACTGGTTGAACCCAGGAGGCAAAGGTTGCAGTGAGCTGAGATTGCACCATTGCACTCCAGCCTGGGCAACAAACAAGAGCAAAACTTCGTCTCAAAAAAAAAAAAAGAGGGTCATAGGAAATGAGGATGTAAAAAAAAAAATCAATTGAAAAAAACAGCTTTAATTTGCCTTGCATTTGCATTTATAAATTAGCATTTAAATTGGCAAAGACAGTACACCTTTGCCACAAAACAACTCTGCACTATAAAGGCCAACATTATAAACTTCCAAATTAACTAAATGTGCCTTCAGAACTACAGTTACTAATTCCAGGCAGAGGGAATTATATTCTACTCCTATTCTGAAAGACAGAAAGGCTGGAACACCACTCCAGCCTTATATATACAGATTTACCCGAATCCACACAAATAGTTCTGAAATTTCCTATATATATTTTAGATCTGTCATCTTCTCTCTCCGCATAAACTTACATATCAGAAACAGAATCCTAACAAGATGTGGTTTTAGAACACAAATATTAATAGGACCAAAAAAGTGGTTATTGCTTTTCCAAGCAAACATACAGCCAGCTGTGCCCACAGAGCAGACCAGGCATTGGCAGTGAGAACACCAGAGTCAGAGCATCCTCCCTTTGCCACGCACCCCTGCTTCTACAGTCACTCTCTTCCAAATGCAAAGTTATGGTTAAGAACTAACTAATGTGAAGAAAGAAAAGACATTCTTTTATTCCAGTCCCTTGGTTGCCAACTGCTGGGTAAAACTTAATGATGCCATTGCAAGCAAACTGTTAACAGTGGACTAAAAATATTTAGTGATTAAAACATTTCAAAAAGATCTGCAGCAATAACACCCCAAAGTTAATGACAAGCGTTAATGATGAGAACAAAGCAGAATAAGCAGAAGCCCCTTGAACAAACATTTGAGTGTTTTAAAAATTTAATCACTAAAATAGAATTTTAATGAGATTTTAAAGACAAATATCACTAGAGCAGATGAATGTCTGTGTTAGAAAGGTGCTGCTGTTTCAATTTTATTTTCTCTCCTCTGAACATATTTAACGGGTTGAATTTGGGTAATTATTCTGAGCTATAGCAATGCAGAAAACTCTCCTGATTTGCTGTTTCACAAATGTGAATTTCATAATAACCACACAGAGTGCCAAATCATGCATTTCATCTTGCTTTTAGACAGCATGATAATAATATATAAGAAGGTAGGCTGGGCGCAGTACCTCAAATCTGTAATCCCAACACTTTGGGAGGCCGAGGCAGGATTGTTTGAGCCCAGGAGTTTGACACCAGCCTGGGCAACCAAGTGAAACCCTGTCTCTACAAAAAATAAAAAAATTAGCTGAGTGTGGTGGCACATGCTTGTGACAGTCCCAGTTACTCAGGAGGCTGAGGCAGGAGGATCGTTTGAGCCCAGGAGGTCAAGGCTGAATTAAGCCGTGATCATGCTACTGCACTCAAGCCTGGGTGACAGAGCAAGACCCTGTGTCAAAAAAAAGAAAAGAAAAATGTAGCCACATTGCCATAGACACATATATCCTGTAGATCTATCTATAGGATATGAGAAGCCACTGTCTCAGTAATAAATCTTAATCTCTCCCCCAATAGTTTGTGCCCTAATTGAAAGATTATGTTTTTCTTTTAACTCCTGGGAGAGAGAGATTCACAAATTTTAGTGTCTGAAGGGAAGTGTCTTATATTCACCACCATTCAATTTTAGCTTTAATAGTATCTTGTAGTGAAGGTTTTTAAAGAAGGTGTTTGGACCGGGTGTGGTGGCTGACGCCTGTAATCCCAATACTTTGAGAGGCTCAGGTGGGCGCATCACCTGAGGTCAGGAGTTCGAGACCAGCCTGGCCAACATGGTGAAACCCCGTCTCTACTAAAAATACAGAAAATTAGTCAGGCATGTTGGTGCACGCCTGTAATCCCAGCTACTCAGGAGGCTGAGGCAGGACAATTGCTTGAACCCAGGAGGCAGAGGTTGCAGTGAGCTGAGATCGCACCACTGCACTCCAGCCTAGGCAACAGAGTGAGACTCCGTCTAAAAAAGAAAAAAAAAAAAGGTGTTTGGCTGAATGTTCTCAGTTTTACTGAAAAGCTTTGAACAAATAACACAATTACTAACACTAATTTACCCAAGAAGACAATCAATGCACAAGAAATACAGGGGTGAAAGTCAGGAGGTCACTGTTAGTAAGAAAAACAACAAATTAATAACATTCCATTTTGAGGAGACAAATATAACCTGTTGGCTTGTTTTAACCCTTCATAAACCAGCCACAGCTCTCCATCCTCATTCAACTCATGGTAATCCAGAGCAGATGATCTTCCATGCAAAAGGAACAACAATGCAAAACACAAAAGGATACAGGATGCTGATGAGGTGACGATGGTCAACAGCAGCATGCAGTATTTCAACATTTTATAAGTTTGTTTTTATTCATTATGACAACTTTAAGACATTACCACAAAAATTATTTTTGGTTAATTTTTAAAAATGAGTAACATGTAGCATCACATGTAAATGGATAGAAATTAAAGCAAAATAATCAAGGATGTAGAGCTACTTTACCTGCAAAATAAGAAATGACTGGAAGGTGAGAAAGAGGTTCTGTTTTTGATGTTTTATTCAGCTAGCAAAGTGATCTAATACATCACATATTGTATTAGAGGTTATGACACATATAGAACAAAAACTTCAGCTACTGTCTTTGTGTGGCAAACTTCATAATATTTTTCAAGATGAATTTTTAAGTCCTCTAGGTAGGAACGTTTTTAGCTTAATAAAACCTAATTTCCCACATTAAAAAACCAGTTTTAAAAATTCTTATAGCAGTAACATAAATCAGAACATGTCCAAGGTTCTCAGCTTTTATGACATGATTTTTAAAAGCTTTTTTGTGTCAAAAATTAATTGTATGCCTGGAAAAACTGCTATATTAGAGATGTATCACATCTTATTAAAAACGTATAATTAGTAATGATAATGTTAGTAATCATTTATTTTCCACTTAGAATATAAAAATAATATTTTTTGAGTGTTTGCTCAGTGTCAGATGCTGTTCTACATTCTTTCCACATGTACTAATTCAGTTTCCCCAGTAACCCAACAAGTCATTTGCCACATTGCAGAGGAAGACGCAGAGGCTTGGAAGTAAGATACCCATAGAGGTTACACAGCTGGTAAGTAGTGGATCCCAGCACTGACTCTGGAGTCCAGGTTCTTACTCCTGCTATATTGTTGTTATGTTTACATAACCCAAATTCCAGGCATTGTCTTCTACTTTACATCTAGAGAGTTCATATCTCTCTAGAGAATTCACCTATTTACACGGTTTCCATTGTATTATTATACTCTGATGACTTCAAAATTTCTATCTCAGTACACACATCTCTCCTGTCTACAGATTTATATACTCAACTGCCTAATAGATTTCTTTCTCTGGATGTTTTCCTGGCTCCTTAAATCCATATGTATAAATCTACTGATCATCTTCACTGTGCATTTCCCCACACTCCAGTCCCACGATCACAAAACGGTATCACCACACCTAACCAAGATAGCAGAAACCACGGAGTCACCTTCAGGCTTCTCCATCCCTCGCCCACACATTCAATAAACCAAACAGCTTTCTGACTTCGTCTTCTTATGTATCTTTCAAAACGTCCCATTTCTGTCAATCCTAACTGCCACCAGCCAAGCCCAAGTCACCATAATCACTGGGTTACAGGAATACTCTCTGGCCTTTATGCTTCCAATTTTGTTCTACTGCAGTCTATTCTCTAACATAACAGCCAGGGCTAGCTTTCCAAAAATCAAATCTCATCACACCATTCTCCTACTTAACACCTTTCAGAGGATTCCATTATCTTTGGAATAAAGTCCAAACCCTCTCAGCTGTCTCCCCAGCAGCCTATAATCTCAGTGAGAGTAGGAACCGCATTTATCTTGCTTATTACTGTATTCCCAGTATGTGGCACAAGGCCTGGCATGAAGTAGGCACACTGGTGATAGAATAGCTAAGTGGATGGAAGAACATTGTGATACAATACAGTTCTTTCTATATTAACACATTCTTAGATATAACATATGTTTATAATTTAAACTGATAAATTAAAATTTAAGTATAACCAAATACTTTTATAAGCATTCTCCACCCTTGTCCATAAAAGAAGATAAGAAGCACAGTCATCCTTCAATATCCATTGGGTTCCAGGTCCTCCCTTGGATAGCAAGATCCACAGACGTTCGAATCCCTTATATAAAATTTGCATACTATTTGCATATAACCATGTACATCCTCCGTACACTTTAAATCATCTCTAGATTACTTATAATACCTAAAAACTTGTAATATGTAATCTCTAGACTACTTATAATACTCTGTAAATAACTGTTACACTGTATTGTTTAAGAAATAATGATAGGGCCGGGCGCAGTGGCTCATGCCTGTAATCCTAGCACGTTGGGAGGCCGAAGCGGGTGGATCACCTGAGGCCTGGAGCTCGGGACGACCCTGGCCAACATGGTGAAACCCCATCTCTACTAAAAAAAATACAAAAATTAGTCGGGTGTGGTGGTGGGCACCTATAATCCCAGCTACTCGAGAGGCTGAGGCAGGAGAATCGCTTGAACCTGGGGGGCGGAGGTTGCAGTGAGCTGAGATTGCTCCACTTCACTCCAGCCTAGGCGAAAGAGGGAAACTCCATTTCAAAAAAAAAAAAAAGAAAGATAAAGAAAAGAAATAAGAAAAAAGTCTGTACATGTTCAGTACAAATGTAATTTAAAAAATATTTTCCATCCTCCATTGGTTGACTCCACAGATAGGGATCCAATGGATATTGAGGGCTGACTGCACCTTTCTTTTTGTATGGCAATATTCTTCAGTTTATAAAGTATGTATGTTTACCAATCCTGAAACTATCCATCAAGAGCCCCAGACCAATAGACTTTGCTGGGAAGGAGGGTGGTAGTAAGGCCAAGGGGAATTCCAGATATGAGCCTTCATTCTTCTATCCTAGAAGTCATGGTGCCCTTTTAGAGTTACATGGCCAACACTGAGTGATTCCAGATACCTCATCACTTCTTTTCACTCTTAAGTTTCAAATATTGAAAACTGCAGTTGCCCCTACAAACCTTCACAAATAACCATCCTGAATAACAAATGAAAGTGACTACCTAAGATTGTATGACCTGAGCAGGTAGTTTTCTTCTCAAGGCAGCCCCTTAAAGCTAAGACATTAAATATTTTTAAAATCTTGCTTTGATTTAAAGCACATTTTCCCTGACACCTTTTGTCAATACTATTACCTTATATTATAATGAAGATCTTAACTAGAAATACACTGGAAACCTTGGATTCCCTTTGAAGGCCAGTTAATGTCTAATATAAAGGAATGTATGAACACTTTTACTGTACAAGAGGCTGGCTTGAAGGCTAAAGATCAATATAATTAAACCAAAATGAATAAAAGAAGGATCAACTTACCTATTTGTTTCTTTCAAACCAATGTATGCTTGTGCTATTTCACCTTTATCTTTCATTTTTTGTACATCTTCCAAAAGTATTGTGGAATCTGTCATTGTATTCTGAGAGGGAAATAACACATTTACGCATTAAGATTCAACTCAAAAGCTTTGGACATAAAACACATTTATTTGGTATAACTGGGGGGCAGTGGTTATGTGCTCCACCATACCTGTGACCCACCAAAGCATCAGCCCCAACCTCATGTAACTGCAGAGGGGAGTTTGGCCCAGGTAGTTGAGAAGAGGTACCTTCAGTTTTTCTCCTGAGAAACACTAGCACTCTGCTACAAAGGTGGGAAGATTCTACAATGTCACGGCCCTGTAAATAAAATCACTGATGGGCCATATATGTGTTTTACATTATGTGAAAAAAAATATATATATATTTTATAAAGTATATAATATAGTATATACAGCATTAGAAAAATAACCAGGCACCTATTTAATGGAATGTACAAAGCCATTCTTTCTACTACTTCATGACTAGTTACAATGAGCAGATGCCCCAAAACACTGAAAGTCTGACATAAAGTTCACTTTTTCATTAAAAACTCAGAAAAAGAAGGTAGTATTCAGATTATATGCTTCAGCAAAATTAAGTTTTTTTTCTCACATTCAGTTCTCTTTTCCTCTAGTATAACATAACATAGTACTTAAGCTTTTGAAATAAACATCTGGCAGGTCAGAATTATTAATTATTTTATATAAGAATAACTTTTTTCCAACATTTTAATTTTCTTTTTAATTTTCTCCGTTTAGTCAAATCTGTCTGACAAGCAATGTAATTTCAAAATCTTCTCCTATTCAGCTACTCTATCTTTCTAGACAAGAGTAAGAGATAAGAATCACTGCTGGCAAACCACAATGGAACATAGTTCCACACATGGAACTATGTAACAAACCTGTATATTCAGTACATGTATCCCAAAACTTAAAGCAAAAAAAGAAACCCTGCTGTGTAGCCTCTAAAAAACAATATACTTCAGAACCCAGTGGCTTTGTCTAAATGGAAACATTTCCACATAAAATTCAACTCAAAAGCTTTTGGACCACATATTTGTCTAAATAGTATATGTCTGATTCTTTAGTAAACATGATCTAAGCTCAGGCCTTGCAATGAAACAGACTTAATAAAATACACTTCAAATACCATGATCTTAAAGACAAGTTCCAAGATAACTTTAATGCCAATCAGAGACTTACAAATGCTTGTTTCTGAATTTCAATGTGTATTTTAAAAATCCTTAAAAAAAATACCACTTTTCTCTTAATGCTATCCTTTTGTAAGTTTATAAATGCTTCCTCTGAGAAGACCAACTATAATCTCATGAAATATACTAATAAATAGTTTACATTTTATTGAATTTTAAAAATCTTTCCCATTAAAACCACAGAGTATTTTTTTTAGCTATGTTTTGTAAATATTTTAGTACCTGTTTTACAAAGAGGTTCTTTTTTCTCTTTCTCTGAAAGGAATAAAATCTTTCTGTTTTATAAAGGGCCATACTCAGATTTTTAAAACCCATAAGTAATAACTTTCAAAGACCCAAGTGTTTACATCAAATAATGCTATCTGTGTGCTCTGGTATCTCAGGACTTACATGGTATGGTTGTGAACTTTTAGCAAATGAGGTAACTTGATCAAATTAACTAATCCAAGAGAAGAAAGGCTTCTTAGTATGCTTCTCTCCTGGGTGGTAAGTCACCAGTTCTTCCCTCATTCTGACTACCTTAGCTAAAAAGTGGCACTTGGGGAATGGGATCAGATTTGGGCCACCAGCATTCAGGAAGTTCCTGATTCACTGCTCAAACTTTGTCTCTCTTAAGCCTGTGACCAGAAGTTCTAAAAGGGTTGTGCTATATAGGAAAATTCCAGCAATATCTGTCACTCAGTACATAGAGAAACAGGGATATGGTAGAGAAATTTGACTTTGCAACCTCGTCAACGAGCCACATTTCATTCTAGCTGTGGACTCTACACTCAGGGAGATGAAAATGGCAGCAAAGAACAGTGTGCTCAGCTCCTCAGGCTCCCCTTCACCCTTAACCAACAAGCCCGCCACTGGTAGATATGAGAGCTCAGGAGAGCCTGTGCTTTTGAGTGTACTCCAAGTTAAGGGCTTCCCTCCCCAGCCTGTGGACAGCCTACCAGAACTACGGCAGTGAGTCATAGAGCTGCCTATGAATTAGAAGTCATGGAGTCCCCTCTATAATCTAGACTGGAGCCTACTATAACCACTGTTTCCCTACTGACTTCCCAAATCAGAAGGAGTCAAATCGGAAATTCACTTACAAATTCAAAATATCAAAATAGACTTGGTCAGAAAGCATCAATTGCCTTTATTGGGGGATACTTGTAAACTAAAGTTAGGATTAAATAGAAGTATTTACTAAAAAAAAAAAAAGGTATAATTACCTTGTCATCCTGAGAATCACAAGTCAGCAAGCACAAAAAACAGAGAAAACAATAAACCCTTAGTTCCATAAATAAATTTCATCAATGAGTTCCTATTATAACAGATAAAAGCTAATTTAAAAACAGCCATGAGTTGTTTCTCTAAAATTAACTCTATATATACATTAACATTCCTGGAACTGTCATAAAACAGAGACTAATATATATTTATATGTTGACAACTTCTATTTCCAGGAACAAATGCTTGAAATTCTTTTAAAATTGTTTTGATTTTTCTGGTTATAAAATATCTTTGAGTATGTGAGAGAATGACCCTCCTGTTATTTGTGGGTGAAATTCTTATCGTAGGTCTGTGGAGTTAAAGTTATGTCTCTCACAGAAGTCGTTTGTCCAAGGGAAGATTCCCAGAATACTCTAGAGGTGGAGCCAATACACAAGACCTGCCTGGGCTGGATCATTCCCTAGCTCACAGGGTGTTGCTCACCACTGCCCTGCAATGGAGTGGTGACATGATGTGTCTCTCAGACTAGAAACTGAGTGAGACAAACAGCCCTGGGGAGTCTGGAAGATCTTAATTAGTGTCAAGGGCATTTCTCCTAGGATGGGACACGAGTGCTACCATGTTTAGGCTGGGAGCTGAGGAACTTAGGTACCTCAGTTGGACCGGGTCAGCCCATTAGGGTCAGGAGAGCAGCTGTCACATGGGGTACGTGAGCCGGGCAAGGGAGAATGTGTGATAGCAGAACTATGTGCTCTGTTAGCTGGACTGTTTTTATGTCCTTTGCTTCATTTTTCTTTTCCTTTCTCTTGATTTTTACTAAAATTTCTTGTGAGATTACCACATTGCAACCCCATAAATATATACAATTATTATTTGTCAATTAACATTTTTTTAAGAAAGAATACTAATTTGTCTCAAGAAAACTAGAGAAAGGAATCTTGATTTTGGACTCTGCTCAAGCTAGATTGCAAGCCTTGTTTCTTGAGGCCCAGCCACAGTGGTAGCCAAGGGAACCAACTGTGACAGCCCTGGGGTAAGGTGCAACCTATACGGCAAGCCAAAATGGGGGTTCTTCTCATTTCTGGCTTAAGGGGTTTATGATTATGATTATGATTATGATTATGATTAGTTTGAGACGGAGTCTCACTCTATCGCCCAGGCGGGAGCGCAGTGGCACGATCTCGGCTCACTGCAAGCTCCGCCTCCCAGGTTCACGCCATTCTCCTGCCTCAGCCTCCCAAGTAGCTGGGACTACAGGCGCCTGCCACCACACCCGGTTGATTTTTTGTATTTTTAGTAGAGATGGGGTTTCACTGTGTTAGCCAGGATGGTCTCGATCTCCTGACCTCGTGATCTGCCCGCCTCGGCCTCCCAAAGTGTTGAGATTACAGGCGTGAGCCACCACACCTGGCCTGTGATTTATTTTAAAGTAAGAAAGCCCATTTCTCTATATAACTCCACTATTACAGGAATTTTATTCCCCCAAATTAGTCAAACATCTTGTTTTTAGAATTTGATATTTTTTGGACCAGTGTTGATCTCAGGTGTGAGTTGCCTTCATCAAGTCCGATTATACGTGCCAGGCACAGTATCTAAACTGCATGCAGAAATATCATTTCTAAGAGGAGTACTCTCAGATTTTCAGGCATCCAGCTCATTATATATCATGGATTTTTTTATATGACACACCACACAGTTGGGATGCTTGACTGCCTTGAGTCCTGTGATGCTCTGCTGTGTGCACAAGGGCAGGGAGGCAGGCCAGGTTTTCAAGGTGATCACTCAGATTCCCTCTGGTGGCAAATGACAGAAAGGCCCATCTCTCTTCAGCATACGGCAGCACTGGGTCTCAAATGAAGGCAGGGAAGGACTTCAAAGGGCCATCTATATCCTCAGTGCAGGAGTCCTCTCTGTTGAATCCTTAAACAGCCCCTCCCACTGGGACATCACCCCGCTACTAAACAGAACTGCCTAAAGTGAGCAGAAATCATCTCCATGTAACTTCCACTCACTGATGTCACTTCTAACCGGTTCATCTGTTACTTCTCCAATTAAACCAGCTATTTTTGACAAATGATTTTAAAGTTGTATTTAATGCCTTCCCGCAGTAAGAAAATTTAGAGATTTTTGTATTTAATAAAATTTTATTTTAGATTAAAATTTATTGTGGCCAGATTACTACAAAAAGATTAATTTTAAAACTCATGAGAGATGAAACTTTGTGATCATTTGGGATTCCCCTGGCTTTTTGCTCATTCCAATTTATACTTACAATAGTTTTAAACAACACTGGGATTTTTTTAAAAAAATAATGAATCCTCAATTAGATTAAAAATGCTCTTAAGTGTTTGCTGCATTATAAACTGGAGGGAAGGGATAAGAAGATATTGAGGCCAGTCCCCGAACACCCAGTTTAATTGTGTGCTTGCGCTTACCTTGGGTTGGATGGCCTCTTTCTGGCTCACCAGTTGAGACCTTAAGATGAGGACTTCCTCCTTGCGGACATCAAGCTCCTCGCTCACAGAGGTCAGCTGCTCCATGAGGACACGGTAGGCAGGTGCACCTGGGGCGGTCACCTCTGGGGCACTTTTCTCACTGAGGGCCTTGCGCAACTCATTTAGCTCATTCTTCAGTTTTTTGTTTTCTGATTCTAGTTCTTGACGCTGTATGAAAAGACAAAGAAAAGTTCATTGCTGTCATCCTCAACTTTACGTTGGATGCTCAAACTTCTCCCAAGCTGGTAGAAGAATTCTGCTGAAAAAGTTCATCAGAGTTACCCTAGTGAATGGCTTCCTAGGTTCTGCCAGGAGCCCTGCTTTGCAAATTAAGGAAGTCTGACATCAAGTAGAATTGAGCAAGGTCAATGGAAGTTTGCTTCATCAGCCCAAATTCCAGAGTCAAATGTAGTATTCTGGCCTGCCCAGGGTGTGTTCACTGGCATGGAGAGATTGCTGAGTCCCAAGGGGTGAGTTTAGCCAGTGCTATGGAGCCTAGCTTTTGTTTGCAGATAAATATATGGGAAATCTGAGGGTCCAGCTGGCCAGGATATTTCCAATGAATGATTCAGATGGGTGGATCCCTGAAGTCTTTAGTAGTCTCCTCTTACTTCCTTTATAAAGCAGAATGGAAAGACTATTGAAATGTTAGGCTTTTAACTTCTAATTTAAAAAGTTTACCATCTCATTCAAACTGGTAAAACTCCCTTTTGTGTCTAAATGACAACAAATAGTGTATTTTTCAAACTTCTTTTCTGTGTGACGCACTTGTGACATTGTGGGCAGAGCCTTGGGAGGCAGGAGGCAAGGCTGAAGGCCTTCCTCCAGCCATCCAGAAGGATATGCACATCCTCATCCCTCCAATAGTTCATGTCTTACCAGCCAGCCCCTGCCACCAGTTAGTGCTGCCCACTCCATGCTCTGTTCAAACAATGGCAACAGGAACCCAGAATAGAGTGCCACCGACACTAGCACACAAGTGTCACAAGATACTGGTTGGGAAACACAGATGCAGACAGGCACTTAAAAGCACCATGGTGCCTCATTTAGCACAGGACACAAGGCCTGATGATACTGAAACACTTGTGTATAAACATTGAATATTTTATTGTTTCTTCCCAGAGACAAAACCTTAGGTTTGTAGCACTATATCAGTCCTTTCAATGTGTTATATTAAAACTATTTAGGCTGGGCACTGTGGCTCACGCCTGTAATCCCAGCACTTTGGGAGGCCGAGACAGTTGGATCACGAGGTCAGGAGATCGAGACCATCCTGGCTAACATGGTGAAACCCCGTCTCTACTAAAAAAATACAAAAAATCAGCCGGGCGTGGTGGCGGGCACCTGTAGTCCCAGCTACTCGGGAGG
This sequence comes from Homo sapiens, assembly GCF_000001405.40. Classification (NCBI taxonomy): domain Eukaryota; kingdom Metazoa; phylum Chordata; class Mammalia; order Primates; family Hominidae; genus Homo; species Homo sapiens. The sequence goes on from NC_000015.10 coordinate 52,352,682, forward strand.
CTGAGGCAGGAGAATGGCATGAACCTGGGAGGCGGTGCTTGCAGTGAGCCAAGATCACACCACTGCACTCCAATCTGGGTGACAGAGCGAGACTCCATTTCAAAAAGAAAAAAGAAAAAAGAAAAAAAAACTATTTAAAGTCCTTCTTTTTTCTAGTTTAAGAATATATAACCCTTTCTTTCATGAATTAATCTATTCTTTTGTAAAAATGAATGCTCTCTCCCTTCCCCATTCTCCCACCAACTGGTAATCAGATTCTTATTGCTCATTTCTGTAACAGAAGACACATAAATGTCATTACTTTGATGTGTAAACTACAAATGTTTCCCAAATTTACTGTGTATCAGAATCACCCAGAGGTCTTGTTCAAACACAGATTGCTGGGGCGCACCCTCAGAGATTCTGATTCAATAAGTCTAGTAGTGTGAGGCCTGAAAATTTGCACTTCCAACAAGCTACCAGGTGACATTGATCCTGCTGGTCCAGGGACCATATTTTGAGAGCCACTAATCTAATACTTTGTGAATCCAGGCTTCATTCACACTACAGAGAATGTTTTTATTCATTCATTATTGTGTGAAGCAGGAGAAGTCTGGAGAGCAGATTCCTACTCCTATGTCTGGTCTGCCCCATCATACCCAATTGGATTTTTATAGTGGCAGATGCTAGAGTCCACGTCCTTTACTACCACAGCCTCGAACAGCAGCTACTTCTCCTGTTCCTGTTAAGACTAAAGTCTAGCTTATATGAAATGGAATTTATAAAAAGAAACAACACAAGAAGTAATGCTGAATAAGGCTGAAGCTAGGACCTCTGGTGCAATCTCCAACCCTTAAGGATGTTCTCTGAGAAAAAGAGAGGCTCTGAATGGGCCTCTTGCCAAAACAAAATATTCAAAGTCTTGAGCAGAAACTCCCCATTACCTTGAGTGACTCATATTCCAGTTCTGCACCTCTAATTTGTGGTCTTTCTTCTTCCTAGGGAAAAGTTAAAGTTTTATATTTTAATTGTCACATTTTTACTCTTAAAATATTTACTTGCTCTACCGAAAACAGTGAAGAGAGTTTAGCCCTCACTACTTTAACCAAGTGGTGCTTGGATAGGCTGGGCTGAGTCTCCACTAAGGAAGAGACTGCTGAAATGGACATAAAGCCCAGCTTCAGCTCTGCGGATGGGCTGTGCTGCGCACCTTGGCCTTGCTGCGGAGCACCTGCTCCTCCTTGCGGTCCAGCTCATCCTGCATCACCTGCTTCTCCTGCTCCAGCTCTGTGACCCGCTTCTGGAGCTTAAGGAACAATGACATGTCCAGAGGTACCTTCTTCTCACTTGGTTCCTAAACCCCAGGAATCACAAAGATGGTCAAGACAAGCCAGAAGACATAAAAGCCAATGAGAAAATGACAAACAGCTCAATGGAAAAATAGGCAAACTTACAGAATAAGAAATACAAACATCTAGAGAATATATTTTTAAAATGCTCAACCTAGCTAACAATGAGAGAAATGCAAATTAAACAACAATGAGCTGCTACTTCTCCCCTATCAGACTGGCAAAGACTAAAAAGATTCATAATGCTCTGCATTAGCCACAGTGTCTCATATGATATTGGTGGAAGTAAAAGTAGGCCTTTGAAACGGGCAATTTTGCCGAACTTACTAAAATTTAAATGTGCATACCTTTAACCTAGCAAATCTACATTTAGGAATTAATCCTACAGAAATACTTACACAAGTATATAAAAATATATGGAAAAAGATGTTCATTGAAGCATTTTTTTTGTAATTGCGAAAAACTGACAATAATCTGAATGTCAGTCAATAGGACAGTTGCTTAAGTAAATTATGGTATAGCCAAACTGTGAAATATTTTTTAGCTGTTAAAAAGAATGAAGTAGGCCGGGCACGGTGGCTCATGCCTGTAATCCCAGCACTTTGGGAGGCCAAGGCGGGTGGATCACAAGGTCAGGAGTTCAAGACCAGCCTGACCAACACGGTGAAACCCCATCTCTGCTAAAAATATAAAAATTAGCCGGGCCTGGTGGCACACATCAGTAATCCCATCTACTCAGGAGGCAGAGGGAGGAGAATTGCTTGAACCCAGGAGGTGGAGGTTGCAGTGAGCTGAGATTGCGCCACTGCACTCCAGCTGGGGCAGCAGAGTGAGACTCCATCTCACAAAAAAAAAAAAAAAGAATGAAGTATATCAACATGAGCAGATAAATATATCTTAAAGTATTACATGATCACACAAACTGTAGGACAGAAAATATATCTTGTTTTTGTTAATAAAACACAAACATATGTGACTTTTAAATGTATACCTAGCACATGCATATAAAAATTTGGAAGGCCATCAGTGGTTATCTCAGAAGACGGAATGTACTATGGGAAGGTTTCATTTTTTACATTGTACATTCCCATATTTAAATTGTTTACAATGGGCAGATTCTACATTTACAATCAGGAAGAATGATTTTTGAAAATATGAAATGCCAGCATAAATATATTGAGATCACACAGAGAAAACTGAAATCTGATAAACCAAACATATACAGTCAGCCCTCCATATCCTTGGGTTCTGTATCTGTGGGTTCCACATCCTCTCAGATTCAACCAACTGTGGATCAAAAATATTCCCCCCCAAAAAAACTCCCAAACAATAAAAATGAAAATGATTATCACATTTTTACTGTTAGAATATTTACTGCCTCTTCAGAAAACAGTGAAGAGAGTTTAGCCCTCACTACTTTAACAAAACGCTGCTTGGTTAGGCTTGGCTGTGTCCCCACTAAGAAGAGACTGCTGAAATAGACATAAAGCCCAGCCTTGGCTCTGCAGATAGACCTGTGCTGCGCAACTTGGCTTTTTATTACAAATAAATAGTTATTATACTGTATTGTTTACATAGCATTTATATTGTCTTGGGTATTACAATATTCTATATTTGTCTTAGGTACTAAATAATGTTTTATTTAATTATATATTGTCTTAGGTATTAAATAATGCTATATTTACATAGCTTGTCTTAGGTATTATAAGTAATGTAGAGATGATTTAAAGAATATGGAAGGATGTGCATAGGTTATATGTAAATACTACTGCATTTTATATAAGAGACTTGAGCATCCTTAGATTTTGGTATTCATGAAAGTCCTGGAACCAATCCCCTGTGGAAACCGAGGGACGACTGTATAGTTCTTAATAAACTGAAGGATAACCTAATAACATTTTAAAAATGTGTCAACTGGTTCCAAAACAGAATCACAATGAGACCTACTAGGATAAATAAAGGTACACTAATTAAAGCTAAAAAGAATGGAAACAACTAACCATCATAATGGAAGTTGTGGATGCCATAATTGTTTTAACATGTTTACCTAAGGTTTTAATTTTTAATGAGGTAAGAAGAGAAATAATTGTACTATTAGAATTAATGTGGAAGATAAAGAGTCCCTTTGTTAGAGAGAGACAAGTGGGGCTGGAGGAGCAAGAGAATGGCAACAATCATTTATTTAACTAAATGGTCAAAGTATAATTCTTAAATGATTGGTAAATCTACCCAATTGTTTAAAAAGAGAATGTTTACTTTTGCTTTTCTGATATGAGAACAGAATAAGCTTTTACAGAAAATTTAGGAAATAAGAAAAGTTCAAAGAAGAAAAACACAGCCATAATCCTATCGCCACAGAAAAACTACAATTTTTTCTTAGTCTTTTTCTCTATGCATCTATAGATTTAAAGAATTAGAATAATAATGTCATTATAATTTTATATGGTCTTTTAAACTTGGCATTGCATTGTTTCCCAAATTTATAATATGATATTTCAATATATAGACAGGTGTGTCACCATTTGCTTAGCTATTATTTTACTGATGGGTGTTGAAGTTGTTTCTAATTTTTTGCTATTGGAATATTACTAAAATAAACACCCCAGTATATAAATATCTAAACATTAACTTCTTAAAAGTCCATTAAATTGGGCCAATTTAAACTTCTATCAGCAACCATCACCTTGCCTTCAACAGTAGTAACCGTTATAATTAAAAAAAAAAAAAAATTAGCTCAGTTAATAGACCAAAAGTGGCACTTCGCTGTTGATTTAATTTGCATTTCTTTGACTTTTTTTTTTTTTTTTTTATTTTCAGGAATTGTATATTAATTAGCTACCTTTGGTCTTTCATGAATTCAGAGTAGTGTTAAGTGTTATTCCAATTCAAAAACAACCTGAGAAGAATCAACTGAACAAAAAAGTAGGCATTTATAGGCTGTCAAAGTCATTTGTCCACAAATTAATTACACCTGAACTTTTTCTTTCTGCCTACTTTGTAATACTTAACAATTAGAAAAAGTTTTAGGTATATAATCTTTATAATAAAGTCTGTCCTGACTTAGCAGAACAGATATAACATCTTGCCTCAACACGAAATCACCACAGAATTTCATTCATATAAAAATTCTTCTCTATACGTCCCCCATAAAAATTAAGCGTAAAATACTTATATTGAAGCTTATTTACAATGTAAACATTCCATATTATATATTTTAATGTTTGTTCATTTATGAATGATGTACATGTCCCTGAAATTTTAAATTATTTAATCTTTTCTTACACTGTCATAGAACCTTTCATTCTAGAAATGAATATAATACTTCATTCATTATACCTAAAATATCACTTGGAAATCATTCCTTTGAGCCTTGAATGGGCACTTTTTGTTTAAAAGGAATCCTCTTATTAAAATGGGATGGTGTTTTGATAACTAGAACTAGCAAAAAAAAAAAAAAAAGAAAAAATGTGATGGGTTAACTCTTTAGACATTGGCTAATACTATATAAACAACTAGTTGATTGCTGGACAAGAGCAAAATTCTGTGGATAAGAATATTAAAATAGAAGGTGGAAGATCACAAAAGATTACATTTGAAAAATGCAAAATGACTCGAGGCATAAAGAGTGGTAATTATTTAAGAGTGCTCCCGATGGTACCCATTCTGAGCCCGGATGACACATCTAATTAAAGAGATGCTATCAAATTAAAGAGCTGTCCTCACTATACCCCATGAGCAAGAAGGAAGATTGGGCCATCTGTCACAGAGAAGTTTCTGAGGTTTTGTTTCGCTTTTTGCCTTAGTAAGGACTTTGTCACCCAGGGCTTTTCTAAGACAGCGAAGCTTTTTAACTGACCTAAAAAATAACACTAGTCTCTCATCTGAGGAAAATCAAAATAACTGAATTTATTCACAAAATTACCACCACTACAGGCCTGGCAGTCATTCTGAAATAACTCCTAATGATAGCTGAGAAAGTTCTGGTGACCCTTCCCAGAGGTGAAAGGTGTGAGAAAGCTTGACAGCAGAAGCAGAACAGGGATCATCAGTCAAGGGCTCCTAGAAGAGGTGCACACCAAGCAGGAGGAGCACTGGTTCCAAAGCAATGTCATCCCAGCCCATGAAGATCGGCAAGCGTGGGAGGGCTGCAAAACAAGTGGGACTGGCAGGCGAATTCTCCACAGAGCTACAGACTGGTTTCCGGCAAGCACACCCTTTTTATCATGGCTTCCCCCTACCAGCAGAGCTGCTAAAGTGGTACTACACTGGAATGGGCAGCTTGTAAATGTACTTCCCTCCGACTATTGCAAGTGAGTACTCCCACTGAGATCAACAGGATGTAATCCTAAAACCTTCCTATCTACTGAAGGCTCAGAAGTCCTAATTTTTAAATCTTCAAAGTCTAACTTTGTGGTATTCTCCAAAGATGGCACCAATGATTCTTCTCAACATACAAGTATTTCCTCCCAACAAGAGATGGAATCTATCCCCTTTGCCTTGAATCTGGGCTGACCTTGTGATTTTCTTTGATCAGAATGCAGCAGAACTAACACTGGGCCAGTTCTGGGCCTAGCTCTAAGAGGCCTGGCATCTTTTAGTCTGTCACTCTTAGAACCCACCTACCTGCTGCTGAACAGAGGCTACATGGAGAGGCCCAGGGAAGAGAAGCAAGCACTCTACAGAATGCAGCTACATGAGGCACTCCGACCACCACCACATGGAACAGAAGAACTCCCCAGTCAAATCCCACAGAATTATGAGTAATAATAAATTACTGTTTTTTAAAAAAAAAACACTAAAACTTGAGATCATTTATTACATAGCAATAGATAACTGGAAAAACCTCTATCCTGCTATATCCTGGCCATACTGTTATATCCATGGGCCCCAGCCAATGTTAGCTATAGATAGAAAAGGGATTGGAGAGTTGCAGTACAGAATCCCTGGATGGAAGTCAGTAGAATATAATGGCTTAAGAACATGAATTCTAAAGAGACAAGCCTCAGTTAGTATGCTGGATCTACCATTTATAAGCTGTGAACCTGGACAAATTACTTAGCCTTCTTGTATGTATGATTCCAATGATATGACATTCCAACTATGTAACATTTTTCTTCAAAATTAACAGAATGAGATGGCAGAAACTTCATTCTTAAGTAGAACTAAGACAAGAAAGGAAAGAATCACTCAATTTCTCTAGCTATTCTACCAGAAGCAGTCTATTTCTGATTTGGCCATTTTCAAAAAATATAATATAAAAATAGGACAGTTGTGCCTGAATTACCCATTATTGAAACTATATCATATTTTAAAAGATCTTAGAATTGGTTGGGAATAATCTAACTAAAAGTCACTATACTCTTGGAGTTACAGTAATACATCATTTTGGTTTCATACCACAAAACACAAAACATTAAAGCAGATTTCTAAACTATTTTCCATGCATTTTGTAGAAGAAAGTTACATTGGTAAAAACTGGCATAAAATAGAGGCATCAGTTTTGCTAAACTCTGGGGCACTGGTGTTTATAATATTCAAGGACAAAGGGCTTACTTTAAAAATAATTTACCTCTGTCTACAGCGGTGGTCCACAGATATAAAGTAAATAAATAATAAGTAAAAATAAAATAATTTACCTCAGTCTGAAATAAATTCCTGTAAACATATCATGTTAGGGGTAAAGAGAATTATAAAAATAAAATCTCACCATCAAAATTGCATTAAAAATTAAAATTAAAATTTGTATTGACAAAAAAATGCAATAGGTATGTATGTACACAGCACTTAAGTATACAAAAATGTAAATAAGTTTGTATCTACAAGTCACTTATGAAGAATAAATGATTCAAACAAATACTATGTTTATGGCCAATTGGAGTCTGCTTTGCAATGGAAATGTTCCTTGTTAACAACAGCATGCTCATATCCTACTTTCAGTGACAGATGTCTAAACTGTACCTCTGTCCTTGATGGAATGTCTTCCATTTCTGCAATTTCAGAGCTAAAGATATATTCAGACTCGTTGCTGCTGTGGGTGGAGTCTGTTCTCTTGTGTCCAGGCTTAGGCACATGCTGCAAGGCAAATAACCCAGGTATAATTAATGCAACATAATTAGTCTAGGCATAGTTAAGACAGCATCCACCTTGACTTGGTTCTTATCCCTACTTCCTGACTTGTATTGGTGCCCAAGTGATTTGTTCCATATTGTTTTGACCAAATAATTACAAAAAGGTCACCGCTTCAAAGAAAAAGGTACACTGGCATGACAGGACAAGAACAGTTGCAAAACCAAATGCCCAAATGAAAACCACTTCTGATTATTAGTCGAGTCCCCTTTGGGTGTTGAAAGCTTTGAGCGGTCAGTCACACTGGGTGAAGCAGTGCTCAGTGAAGCACTGGGTGAAGCTTCCAAGCACTGACTTTTAGTGCCATAATCAAATAAAACTTACAAAAACCTCATAAAATATATTGAAATGGCATGCACAATCATTTTACTGCATGGTAACTAGGCATAAATGGTTTAAAAGAAAGATGAAGGAGTTCACACAGGCAGCTCTAACTTCTGTCACTTTAATACGTGAAGTTAAATCTTTGGAGTGAGCAGTGGGCAGGATGGACAGTACACGGGAGGTAAGAAAGCTGCTCTAGTAATCCTCTGAAGAGCCCTCGGTTATTACCTCAGGGCATCCAGGTGGCATTTTTATGACATGTAATACCTAGGAAATTAGTGTTGAGAAAGTTCAAGAGGAATAGAAAAGTTTAGCAACGACACACCCTTCCCTCCTGTAGGAGAAGGGGTTAGAGAATAACTTGAGGGAAGAAGGAATTAAAAGGCTGGGCTCTTAGCATGTCCCCAGCAGGAGAGGTGGAAAAGATCCAGTGGCTTAATCTTGCAGTGTTACAGTCCTGAGGGCTTCACAAAGGCCTCTGAGAGCTTTCTCATCTGTCCAGTTTTCTTTGTACCTTTCCCCAGCTGCTGGAAAAGAGCTAGAAGCCACAAAGAGCTTCTTTGTCTCTTCCCTTCCAACACCCAGGCTTATGGAGAGCAGACTCATCCAGAGGCACGTAAAAGTCTCCCAGGCCAACCCAACCTGTACTGCAATGTGAAGGGAAGATCCAAGAACACCAGCACCTCTGAAACGATCCAGAAGCTGGGGTGCACACTAAAGGGGACAATCATCACACATGAAGTCAAAGGCACTCAAATTCACTGTCTGTTTACAGACACAGGCACTCTTGCTTAAAGTTTCCAGCCCAAGCCCACAGTTGTAGGAATGGCATTTATTTAATAAACTGGTTGTATCACTAAGAAAACCAGGTAGTCCAGATAAACACCAGGACAAAGATTTTTAATAAGCTTATTAAAAATGAGAGAGATCCCTGTCTTCCCACATATGTCTATCATTATACAAGGAATACCTTAAGGCATTAATAGAAGCAACATTGCTTTTTGCTATTTAATGTAACTTTTGGATACAGGGCAGTGATTAAGTGCTCTGGATCTGAAACGAGAGAGAGTTAGGCAGGAATACCAGCTCTTCCACTAGCTGGTATTTTCATCATCAGGAAAAAAAGGGTACTAATTTCTATCTCATAGGGTCTGTGTGAGGATTAAATAAGAGTGTGGAAGTAAAGAGTTTGGCTTGGCATAACAAGCATTCAATGAATGTTAACTTCTGCTGCTGTGATTGTTAGGAGATTGCAGTGATTCAGCAACTTCCTTGTTGGTAACTTTTCAGTTCTCTGTTTTTAGGATTTTGTTCCCCCGTTTATACGTTTTTCAATTACAAGGATATATATTTGACTGGATCATCACGTTCTCCTTCAAGATCTGCACCTCCCTCCTCTTCTGCTCCTGATTTCTCCCATGATTCCTTCTTTTCCAGAACATGTTTTATCCCTTTGTCAAGACTAACGACCCCATGATTGACATGCTGGTTTCCCTCCCCTCTCTGGAATTAATTTATCTTTAAACACTTCATAAACCTGGATGCCCATGCCTCATGATCTTTTCATCATTGGCTTGAAACTCCTTAGCCCTGGATTGGTCCTTCCTCTTTGCCTCTGCCCCTATATTCCCTGGACAACCGAATGTTCTTGGAGAAAAATGCTACAGTACTTCTTGTACTAGGGCCAACAACTCTAGAGGCTGGCAATGAGTGACACTATTAGTGTTCTTTGGCCCATGTATCACATAGGTTATGGGAAGCGCTGGAGGCAGTGTATCAAGTCCCCTCCCTAGAGTTTCCTCCATTCATATGACGACTCTGTTTACAACCAAATGCTTCATTAGCTCTGGATTGAAGCAGTGAGAGTGTCATTTACAGAACAGCGTCAGTCTAATATTAGTCAAGTACTCATCTGTTAGCTGTTTAGTTGTACCTAAACATTAAAATAAGATATTGTCACTAATATTTTAATTGTCATGGGTTAAAAGATCAAGTTTTTTATTCTCTGCAATTCTGGGCAAATATTTTCTGCAAAAACTGTCATCTTGATTATATCTGGAGCTAGGAAAAGGAGATCTAGTGAAGAAATGAGTGGGAAGCAAGTGAGCTCTGATCTCCCTTCCTCTGCTTTCTCCTTTTCCCTTCCTCTGACCATTTTGTCTCCCAAGAGGAATGACTGAGTCACAGGCATACAATGGAGAGGACACATGACTGAGAAATAAGAAATTGAGCAACTAAAACTACCTCTAGAGCACTGCTGGGAACAGATGGAGAGCAGGCAGACTTGCTTAGCAGGAAGGAGGAGCCGTGTCAAGCTGCTGGAGGAGGCGTCACTGGAGGACCTTTCTAGAAATGGCCACCTCCTCGACTAAAGAGACCCATGACCTCCTCACAGATGGATATCTCTGGAATATGCTCAGAGAGGGATACATGTATGGCACCTGCTTCTCTCATTTTATTTTCTGAAATTCATATTGCATGCACCATTAAAGAATCCAAGAAATTCTCCAGAAAAGACATTTGTTTATCTCTGTTTAACCTAGTAGATTACCACATTTATTTTACCTAAGAATTTCTTTTCCAATCCCACTTATTAACATCCCAAATAACTAGGGGGTCTCAGAAACACCTACTGGGTTATAAAGCTTAGCTCTAACCATAACTGAAACAGAGATTAACCATAAATGTTGGCATTGTCATCTAATAAATAGAGTGAACAAAAACACACCAAAGAATGGAACTGGGGAACATGAACACTGAAAAAGAAGAAAAGGATTCAAGAGAAAGCTAAGAATTACAGAATGTGAAGGAAGAAAGGTTTCAATGGGACCAACGGTAGCACGGTGATCTAGGAAGATGAAGCTTAACAAGGGTCTTTAGATTTGTCAATTATAAGAACAGTTATAATGGTGACTTGCATCTACTTCTAATTTCTCTTTGTCACACATAAATCAGAGTAGTGAGGGTTGAAATAATGGTCCAATGTGGGATTTATATTAGCTTTTTGGTCTCTTTTAGACAGGATTTTCTCATCTGCAAGGTGATGAGAGCCTATCTTTTGTATTACACAATCTCTTTTATTTTGACTTTTAAGTGTCATATTGTAATGAACTTTGTCAGTAGGTCCAGATAGAAGCAAAATTTGAAGAAAATACTCTGCTCCACAGATACTGAATTATCTGGCTTTTTATGAGATATTTCAGGGCATTTCTGGTCATTTGTATAATTAGGTTACCTTTAAGGCTGGTACTTGTAGGGATGCTTGGGAACTCTTTGTTTCCTGATAGCAGGATACATGGAATGGGGAGGATGTGCAGAATTATTACAAGTATGAAAGGTACATTGGCAAATGCAGAAGAGTCCTTGAAATAGATAATTCATTACAAATGGAGTCTGAATTTTCTTTTCATAGGAATATATCTTCAAAATTATAATCAAAACCAGTCTACATGTAAATTTTACATTAGGCCATTCAATATATAAAACAAAGTCCAACTGGCCGGGCGCAATGGCTCATGCCTGTAATCCCAGCACTTTGGGAGGCCAAGGTGGGTAGATCATGAGGTCAAGAGATCGAGACCATCCTGGCCAACATGGTGAAACCCCATTTCTACTAAAAATACAAAAAATTAGCTGGGCATGGTGGTGGGCACCTGTAGTCCCAGCTACTCGGGAGGCTGAGGCAGGAGAATCACTTGAACCTGGGAGGCGGAGGTTGCAGTGAGCCGAGATTGTGCCACTACACTCCAGCCTGGTGACACAGGGAGACTCCATCTCAAAAAAAAAAACAAAAACAAAAACAAAAATCCAACTTTACTGACTTTATACTATCACATAGCCCAGTCTTTAAACTGTTTGACTTTACCGAAGTACTTGTGAATAAAATTATATGATTTCTAAGATTTGCTTTAAAATAATCCAATCCATTGGATGGAGTGGGTTGGGGAGATGGAATGGGAGGTGAATATGTGTTGAACATTCTGGAACTGGGTGGTAGGTACACAGAAGATATGGAGGTTCATTCTACTATTCTATTTACTTTTGTATATGTTTAAAATTTTTCATTAAAAAAAAAACAAAAGTGTTTGACTCACCACCATAAGGGTCATCTCTTCCTTGAGGTCATCATATCTTTCTTCCAGGCGACTGAACTCATTCAGAAGGTTCTGATATCTCAGCCTTTCATCATTAAGGTCGAGTTCCAGTTGTTTCGTTTCTTCTACTAACTTCTTCTCCATAGTTTCTGAAATTAAAAAAAGGATATGCATACTAAAGATGGCCCCTTGAGAATGCAATTGTGTAAACATGTATACTGATTTCCAGTTTCTCTGTAGGCAATTTTACTTTTAGTATCACTGTGATCCATGAAGAGTGTCTTAGTAAAATTTAGGAAAAGAAAAAATGACCAAAAAATGAAATAATTTATTAATAATAACAATCATCTACTGAGTTATTCCATGTACTCTGGCCTTAGTACCACTAATTGATACACTGGTTACAGCACATCCTTGAAAAACTTCCACTAGTCAGTCACTGTCTAGTAACTAAAGTGTACATATTTTTATTCCAATGGTATTCTATTCATAAAATTATTTTGCCCAAAGTAGTGTACTCTCTCAAAATGACCTCCTCACAGATATTTCTCAAGAGAGATATTTCTCAAGAGAATGGCAACTTTTCAGTGGACCCGGTTGTCCTACTCTACAGAGTCTCTCTTAATTTACCATCTCACAGTTCTGTCTTACGTTTTCTACGACTTTAACCTCCCCTGCTGTCCTATTACTTCCCAGCTTCTAACCAGATAAAATGCTCGGGCCTGGCCAGCTGTGTTGTGTGCTTGTTGGTCATCCCCACGCGCTGCTGAGGAAACCTTGCCTTCTCCATTTACCTACACCCTCAGCCCTCTTTGTGGCTGTGGTTTGCTTTTGGCTAGGACATGATCTGGAGATTGGAGATTAGCCCTTGACTGCAGATGAAGTAAAGTAACAAAACCTCAAATCTCAGCTGTATGTCTTAACTCAATCAGCCAACCAGTCACATTTATAATATTAAGCTTCTACCACTTTGCTCCATGTTACCCATATATTTTGAGGCTAAATCTTAATCTGCCCTGCCTGCTTCTATTGCTTCACCACTGCTTTCTCTGTGAGCACGATGAGGCAAGGGCTACAAGTGTCTTGTCACAGCTGCTTTCCTGGTGCCCACCACAGTGCTTCCCTAGAGTAGGGCTTTAATAATTTGTAAATGAATGAATGAAAGAATTTCTTCTCTCTAAAACATTCTACAAGTTGCCTTTTATTCTCACCAGTTTGCAGAAGCTGCTCTGAGCCTACCAAAAAATTTTCCCTTGGCAAACTCACTGTCATTTCTTTGTTCTTACAGTTCACTTTCAAATAACATTTTATATTTTCCTAGAAGATTCTCATCATTCTGGATCCTTCTGTTACATGCTGCCTCCCAGCAGCCTTCTTTCCAGGGCTCTGTTTTCTCCTTCACCTCTTAATTTTATTTTCTGGCTCCTTTTCTTTACCTCATCCCTTAGTATGGTCATTAATTCCAGGTTTTCTTCTCTTTCCTCAGTATTAGCCCCTTCAGCTAGGAGAGGTGAGGCAGTCTCTCTTACCACCACAGTTTTAATGGGTATCTTTAGGCTCCCTTCTTATTTTTTCTCTACTCTTTAATCTGGATTTGCTTTCTGAATACCTCCATGTTGAGGTCCTAGCTGACATATCAAACTTAACACTCCAACAACTGGCCTCATTAATTTGCCTCATAAATGTATACTTTTTTCTCAATATCCGTATTACTAATAACATATCTTTATTGTTTTGTTATCTCATTGTAAAATCTTAGAACATTTTTGCCTTTTTTGAATACCAGTGTAATCAACAGAATGTATATGAAAATGTATTATTTTCATATAATATATCCCCATTCCAAACCATCTTTTCTCTTCCATTTCCACCACTAATTACTGTATAGATCTGTATCTTCTTACCCCATATTTATATATATGTGGATTCCTTATAAACTTATCACCATTCTAACCTACCCCACAAACAGAAAATAGAATAAATGTCCATATCTAGTTAGTTCTCTATTTTAAAAATTAGTGTTTTTTTAGACTAGCAAAGAGTGGTGAATCTTAGAATAACATCCATTGATTTAGCAAAAAAAAAAAAAAAAAAAAAAGACAATACACACACACACAGAAATATACACATATCAGCTCAAAAATTCTTACTAAATCATTAGGAATCCTATAAGCCTTAACTAGTAAATCACACATGCAGAACAAATTAATTTTAAAAAAAAATTACATATGACACTGACTGAACCGGAGTTCACATTTGTACCTAGAGATACCAGATTTACAAGTTTATCAAGCAACGAATTCAACCAAAATATCTGATCTGTTGCCTCTTGGAACTTTATAAATTTGCTGATGACAGCCTCAACTTTTAAAAATATTTAAATTCTAAATAATGTTGTGTAACTCATCAAATGACATTGTAACTTACATAACTTTGGTGTGAGGTTGGTTGGCGTGTAGTACGCATATAAGCTTTACCTGTCATCTCCTTAGCCTGCTGCACGATGCGGTGATTGAGGGCTTCTTTTTCTTGCTTCAGCAAAGTATTTTCTTCCTTCAGATTTGATACCAGCTACGAAATGAAACAATAAACTGAGATGGTTGCAATGGACAGAGGAAGCCTGATGACCAAGGATAAAGACCATAAGCAGTCATTCCTTACTTCCACCACCTCTGTGCTCCCTGTCTTTGCCTGGTTATGTCTAGTCACCTTACAAACTTGCTCAAGCATTACTCCCTCCCAAGAGCCTTCCTGAAACCCCCTTCAATTAGCTGTCTTTTCCCTGTGCTACTACAAGACCCTGTATATGCTCTTTATATCCGTTATAAATGATTTACTTTCCTCTTTTCCAGAATAGACTAGAATTTCTTGAAGGATAAGGATGGTGATGGTTTTTTACTTTACATTAAACATTAAAACATTAAAGTTTTACTTTACATTAAACATTAAAAAATTGCCTGGCACTAAGTCAGCATTTGCTCTCAAAGGTAATTGATATTACCTTCTCCTCTGAATGCTTTCACACAAAGCTTATGTGTACCCATGATTCAAGTGGGGAGATTAAGGAGGTTAAGAAGGATATGAGGATGTTTAGTTTGGGAAATTCACTGAAGAGCTTTTGATTCTCCCATCTGATGTCAAGAAAGAGAATTTCTCTTTCATCTCCCTTTAAGAGTTTTACAAGGCTGAGAACTAGTCCTTTTATTCCATGTTTAAATAAGCATTGACATTACAACAATGTCAATGTACTTAATGCCACAGAACTGTCCACTTAAAAATGGTGAAAATGGTAAATTTTATGTCATGTATATTTTAAAACACACACACACACACACACACACACACACACACACACACACACAAGTTGACTCTTAACTTTCTAGTTCTTTGCTGGATAAGGATTCCCAGGAAGGAAAAGTTAAAACCAAAGGTAATTTTGCAAAGTACATAATTTACTCAGCTCATCTTTGGAATAAAGTGTGTGCTTATGATGAGTAAAATCTGAATTCCTTTTTCTAAGCTAAAGTTTAAGGAACTCTGAAAACAAGAGCTTTAATAATAGGGAGAGAACTGGCAGGCAAATCTCTTGTCATGTCAGGGGGTTTAGGACAGGAAAAGAGGGCTCCAGGGAGCAGGAAAGTTGGATAACTACACTGTGCCACACACAGCAGACATCAGTCCAGTAGGTATCCCTTCCGAGGGCTCAGTCTTTTCCCTCTGGACTGACCTTGCCTTAACATCCACTCTCAGTAAAAAAAGCCCCAGCTCTCTGTGGGCTTTCAGGAGAGGCTCTTGTTTGGTAGGGGTGCACAACCAATCACCTATGGTACTTTTTCAAAATAATGTGCCTAGCCCACACTCCCAGAGTCTGGATAGCTCCCTTTTTATATAAAAACTCCCCAGCAGTTTTGATAAATGCTCTTGGTTAGGAACCATACATAACTCTACTGTAACTTCTGGGCTCCTTGATCAGACTGAGAATGTCATTTTCCTGACCATGAAGCTGACTGTCACAGTGAAATGTTTTCATTCTTCCCCTATCACTACATTCCATCAAAAGAACTAATGGGGCCAGGCGCAGTGGCTCACACCTGTAAACCCAGCGCTTTGTGAGACCAATGTGGGAAAACAGCTTGAGGCCAGGAGTTCAAGACCAGCCTACACAACATAGGAAACACCGTCTGAACTAAAGTTAGTGCCTACAGCTATCTCTGTGAGAAGTGGGAGAAAATGAAATGAAATGAAAGAAAAAATCTGAATCTGCTTGTGTGTTTATTCTATCAGACTAGAAAGGCAAGAACTTGGCTTTGAAAAGGAAAGGAGAATCTTCCCACCACACTTAACTACTGTACAGATTCTGAGGAATCCGAAGCTGGAAAGCTTCCGTGGTTTGGGGAGACTTAAAGGGAAGAAAAGAGATCTTAAACATTCAAGAGTATCTTTTTGAGTGCACGTCTTAATTCTGAGAGAACAAGCTTGCTGTATCAAAACAACATTATATAAAACAGAAAAGAATCTCACCTTTTGGCACTGCTGTTTCTATATATAGAGTACAGATCTAGAGATATAGGAGGAATTACTTTACTGGAACCTGTAATGCCATGGAAGGACTGCAATTTTACCAGCCACCCTATCCTAACCGACCTGCATCTAAGTTCCTGCTGTAGTTCTCACTGCATGTGCTGATATTAACATTTAGAAGTCAGTACAGACAAACCATATCAGGATTCTTGCCAGCAGTTACAGCTGACACAGGCAACTCTGTTTTCATTTAAAGATGGTAATACCAGCGGAATCTCTGAAAATCGATTACTTTTTTCCAGGAAGCCTAATGTTGAGGTACTTTTACAAATGTTTCAGCAGTACATCTCATTACTACTTGACAATCTTAATGTCTTCTATACTTAATAAAGTTTTGATATGTTAATACAAATTTGAAGCGTGCAAGTACTGGTCAATCTGAAAGCATTTTGTGGGGAGGGTTCCATCTGCGTAAAGCTGTTGGTTGCAATCACTGTGCAGACATTTAGACTTCTCCTGCTTGGACTTCTTAATACAGCCTTAATGCAGGCTTCAACAAGGATCCCTACCATCAGGTACTAAATATTATGTCTAATGTTCCATTATTAGAACACTAAGCATGTGGGAGTTATTTATATTCTACTGCTCAAGGTCATTGCCAAAGACTGATTTTGCAATTCAAAAAATTGCAACCTTAGGCATAAATGGGTTAATCACATTAACCCTACTGAAGAAAAAGGAGTCTACGCCCCAGACTGACTTTTTTTTTAAAAGGAGTCTATGCCCCAGACTGACTTTTTTTTTTTTTTTTTTTTTTTAATATACAAGTGTTAGTAGGTACTTGGCCATTCTCTCCTAAAAATACAGCTTTGCCTCTGTTCTTATTAGAGTAGAAAGTTCTACTAAAAGACCTACAGCCTACTCATTGATAATGAGAAATAAATGCTTGGGAAACAGTAATAATGAACAGTAATTCAACTAAAATTTGTACTGCATTTCTAATAAAACCAACAGTGAGTCACACGGACCAAGTCATGATGACAGCACCTCTCTTTTGTGTACGGAGTAGATGGGGATATGGACATTATTCCTACCTGCTCTGTTTCTTGTTTGTATCGATCTGCATGTTCCTCAATGCATTTTTTCTCTGAACGAGTTTGCTCCAGGTCTTTCCGGAGCTTGGCAATTTCTTCCTGCAGACTAAGGACCCGCCCAGTGGCAACTTTCGCTTCCTCTTCACTTAGTTGAAGACGTTCTAAGTCACTTCGTAGTTTCTCAGTCTCAGAGTTGTATATTCCTTCCAGATTGGTTAGTTTCTCCACAAGGCATTTGTAGTCTTTGTTCTTTAAACATACACATAAGTAACAATAAGTAAATACACATATCATC
This sequence comes from Homo sapiens, assembly GCF_000001405.40. Taxonomy (NCBI): domain Eukaryota; kingdom Metazoa; phylum Chordata; class Mammalia; order Primates; family Hominidae; genus Homo; species Homo sapiens. Next base: position 52,370,464 of record NC_000015.10, read on the forward strand.
AAATGTATTTAGTAAGAAAACCATGTTTATTCATCATATTCATGCTATATCATCATAACATTGATATAGTATCCAACCAAAATACTACAACATTTGCAATAGCACAACCAATACCTTCTAGGTGACACAAACAGAGAAGAAAACAGGCACAATTAATTCAATTCTGTTTGATGTGGTAAGCAAGATGGATGTGATTTTCTCATAGTCACAGGGTGAGTTACATAGTAAATTCTTAATTTCCTGATTCTTAATTCAGAAATAGGAGGATCTATACTTGTTTTTGAAAACAGATCAAAATGTTGCTAAAAACCATTTACTAGCTTAGTGATGCGTACGAATGATTAAAACAGCCTCAAAATCCCAAGTTGGCCAGGTGTAGTGGCTCACACCTATAGTCTCAACACTTTGGGAGGCCAAGGCAGGAGGATCACAAGAGGCCAGGAGTTCAAGACTAGCCTGGGCACATAATGAGACCCCGTCTTTACAAAAAAATTTAAAAATTAGCTAGACATGGTGGTGTGTACCTGTAGTCCTAGCTACTTGGGAGGCTGAGGCAGGAGGATCACTTGAGCCCAGGAGTTTGAGGCTGTAGTGAGCCGTGATTGCACTGCTGTACTTTAGCCTGGGTGACAGGGTGAGAATCTGTCCTAAAACAAAAAACAAAAAAAAAAAACCCTCTCCCTACACACACACACGTTTCTCACAAATCTTTATGTTTACTACCTCAAAATTTCTCCCTCCCACTCAGAAAATCTTCCATCCCATTTCATTCTGATCCCTGTTTTGCTTTGCTCTCCTTAGCATTTTTATATTCTTAATTACCTTTATATCATTTACATGTGCTAAAATATTAGTAACTATCTTTAATCAAACAAACTTTTATCTCTGCAACAGATTGCAAGTTCATCAGAAGCATCAACATTTTCCTGATGCTTTTGCTATTTCAATGCTAAACCAACTCATCTGTAAAATGAACATGATACCACATGAAAATAAATGATAATTTTGATAGAGCATTGCCAAGTACAAAATACAGTATGCCTGGTTCAAGCTGGTGTTTGAAAAATAAGTAACATACAATATGACTCTTGGTCATAAAGGTTTGAAGCATTAGTAGATCTCTGTTCTCAAAAATAATTTCCTGCCAGGCATGGTAGCTCATGCTTGTAATCCCAGTACTTTGGGAGGCTGAGGCAGGAGGATTGCTTGAGGCAACAGCCTGGCAACATGAGACCCTGTTTCTACAAAATAAAAAAATTAGCTGGGTGTGGTAGTACGTGCCTGTAGTCCCATATACTCAGAAGGCTGTGGTGGGAAGATCACTTGAGCCCAGCAGGTTGAGGCTGCAGTGAGCTGTGACCATGCCACTGAACTCTAGCCTGGGCGACAGAGTGAGACCCTGTCTCAAATAATAGTAATAATAATAATAATAATAATAATAATAATAATAATAATAATAACTTCCTGCCTTAGTTTTTGCAATTGTGATCCACCTTATGAGTTCATAAGTACTTCCATGCCCATTATGGAAATAAATACGGTCATAATTTTACTTTTTACTAAGACCGAAGGGTAAAGTCAAAGAAAAACAATATTGAAAATAATCCTGGTGGATTTCTTCAGGCATACTCCACTCTCAGGGCCCCTTTGTGAAACACACCTGCTCATCAACTTTGCGCTGCAGCTGCATGATCTTGTTCTCCATGCCGATGTGCAGCTTCTTATAGCGCTCCACTGAGCGAGCCTCGATTTTGAGCTTCTTTAGCTCACGCTTGGCCATCATCCGCCTGAAGCAGCACTGAAGGTAGATGATGGCATGCATGCTCCTCTTGTAGTGTGTGCGGGCCAGCCAGCCCCGGACTCGCTTCTGAATGATGACTGCTTTGTGCTCACGGAGTATCTGCAGAAAAGGATAAGGGCAAGCAATGTCAAGACCCTGGACTACACTCATGATTATCAATCTATGTCGGGCTGAAAATCCACACATTACCTAGAGGAAAAGACATAAAAGTTGAATTGACAATGTACTATGTAGATTATACTTATCACAGATATATGGAGGCTACAAAATTATTTTTAAAAGTGATTTGAAAAGTAGACTTTAGAAGGTGATTTCAGAAACATACATAAAAATGTGTCATATGCACATATTATGTGTATAATTCTAAGCAGAATATAGAGTTGGAAGCTGTCTAAATAAAAAGCACCAGATTACCAAAAGAAAAACAACTATAAAAAGAAAGAAAAAATACATTAGGTTTCTTATTAGTATATGATTTCTGTTGGCAACAGATGATCCTCTATAAAATTAACAGAACCAGGCATCCTGTAAACTATGTGCTACTAAAATAAGAGATATCCCCACCACCCTGACTGCTGATACCACCTCACTATGCATTATTAGGCCCGTGCATGAGGACACGGGGTATGGGCAGCAAACTGTCTGTAGAGGCCAACACTTGGGGTACTAAAAAGTTTGTACTGATTTATTGATTTTTTTTTTTTTTAGAAACTAAAAGATGACACTCTTGTTTACCACATTTGAGGAATACCATTCTAGTGAGGATTTTCCATTGCTATTTCAAATGTAGCAAGGATCCACTTTTGGGATTCAAAGGTAGGAGGGATGGGGCTTTAAAATGAAAGGTAAAAGTAAAAAGATGTGAAACAAACTAATCTTACTTTTGATTTTATGTTACATTTCCTAAAAAAAAATGATATTTCCCTAAACTTATAAACAAACAAAAGTTTGCCTTATTAGATGAATTTGTTGTCGCTAAAGAGCACCAAAAAGACACCGTGTAAACATTTTCTAGGAAAGATGGAGAAGAAATTCTTGAATTTTAAGAAGAGGTAGCCAGGCACAGTGACTGGATAAATAAAACTATTAATGCCAATTTTCCTGTTCCATTTGCTTCTCCCATGTAACTTTGGACATGGGTCCATTTTTGTAATTTTAGTCAAATGGAAACAGCATTTAATCAGAGCTTCCATTTTCAATCTCACTTTCATCATGAGTGAGAGAAATTAATCAACACCTGTACTCTCTTTAAGACCCCCCCACTCCAAATCTCATGAAGGGGAACCTTGGACCTGAAATACAGCTAGAAGGAGCACTAATGTGATGGCTGTTGGCTTACATGTGAGCAAGCCTCTACGCTACCACCTTCCACCCTGTCCAGTCACAGTGGGAGCCTGAGCTGGCCGGAGGCTGCCACTGCTAAACCAGTGACCTCAAAACCCAGCTCAGATGTTCCTAAGGAAAGTAGTGAGGAACACAGGAAGGTAACTAGTTTGGTGTATCTGAAAAGCAACTTCAAACCTCTTTCCTCCCTAAAATCTCACGCTTATATAGAAAGAGCATGAGACTACATAAAGGAGGGGTGAGCAGAAAGATCTGGAGTAGCTATCTTCAAAACACAGCTATTAAATACACTCATTCAAGCCTCACCAGTTTCGAATTTTTTGTTGTCTAAAATCACTTCAAATAAAAATAAATAAATAAATAAATAAATAAATAAATAGGGCCTAGGTCACACCCATATACTGTCTGTGCTTAGAGACCCAAATCACCCCATTAATGCTCCTTCTAATGGTGATGTCCATAGAGCTCTAATATCCAGGCTTGTATTTCTCACTGATTTGAAATATAGCCTGTAGGATAGACTCCAAACCTTGCCAAAATGAAAGAGATAAAAATCGTTCATCAATGGTCACAGGTGATAATTAAGACTACTCTGGTGACCCCATTAATTATTGCTAGATGTAAGATTATTTGTCAAAAACTTTTGGAGCATTGTATCTGTCAATACAATTTTAACCACATTAATGTTATAATTTGCCTCCTCTTCACCATGGTAAATTCTTCCAAGGTTGTCTCATTCTTGGAATAACCTTTAACCTGTTTGTCATATATTCTATCTATTCAAAGTTCTCTGTAGTCATCTGAATAGGGGGCCCCAAGGAAATTAGGTGCTAATCCCTGGAACCTGCAAATGCTATTTATTCAGAAAAAGGGCCTTTGCAGATGTGATTAGGTTAAGGGTCTTCAGATGGGAGGATTATCCTGGATCACATGGGTGGAACCAAATGCTATCATAATTATTCTTATAAGAGGCAGATAGGAGAAGTCAAGTCAGATACACAGAAGAGAAAATGCTGTGAAAACAGAGGCTGAGACTGGACTGATGTGGCTACAAGCACAGGAATGCTGGCAGCCACCAGAAGCTGCAAGAGGCAAGGAATGGATTCTCCCCTGGAGCTTCTGGAAGGAGAGCAGCCTGCTGACAACTTGATTTTGTCCCATTGATAATGATTTTGGACTTCTGGTCTCCAGAACTCTGAGAGAATTAATTTTGGCTGTTTTAAGGTAACAAGTTTGTGATAATTTATTATAGCAGCCACAGTAAACTAACATACTTTTTTTTTCAAATTATATAAACAAAGAGAAAGAAGGAGGTAAAAGTTTTTTTCCCATTGTTTTGTTAATAACTGTATGTGATTATTTAGTATTTTAAAATGCATTTCAGGCTGGGCATGTGCACAATGGCTCATACCTATAATCTCAGCACTTTGGGAAGCCACAGTGGGAAGACTGCTTGAGGCCAGGAGTTTGAGGCTGCAGTGTACTATGACTGCACCACTGCACCCCAGCCAGGGTGACAGAGCGAGATCCTATTTCTAAAAAAGAATTTTTTAAAATAAATAAATATGCATTTCAATAGCTGGTTGTCCCCATACAGTTCCTACCTTCATTGTAGCCCCTGTGGTACTCTGTATAGATGTGAAATTTGGTTAATGCTAATAGAATGAATAAACAAAGTTGAAAATAATGCCTCACCTTGCGATACCTATTTCTGGCCAAGAAGCCTCGCAAGTAAGACTGAAGAACGATAGTGGCAGCTCGTCTAATCTTGTACCTCCTGCGGACCACATACATGCGCCAGTACTTTTGAATGATGGTTGCTGCCTTGGTTCTGCGCAGAAACTTAGCATAGCTGGCCAAAGAAAATAACATTATGTTGTCAGTAATCAGAAAAAAATGCAGGAATACATATTAGAGAAACTTAAAGAGTGTCACTGTTTTAGGCATAAATAGTACCTCCATTGTATTATTCTAATAATGTGCATGCTAAGTCAACATTTATATTTACTTACATTTGTATAGCAATTTATAGTTTCCCAAAGTATTTTTGCATTTATTATCTCATTTGAGCCCTCCCTAACTCTGGAAAGTAGGATGGCCCACATTGCCAGATTTTACAAGAAAGCAAAATTCACAAAAATTCATTCTTTCTACAACAGGATCCATTTACCCCAGGCCATGCCTCTTTATAGAACAGACAGACATACACAGTAATCTCATACTTAGTTATCACCAGCTTTCTTGGATCTAGCCATTATTCATCTACCATATTTTTCCTGATTTTGTTAGGCTATAAGCTCATGATTAATTCAGTTCTACTTATACTTCTCAATTAAAATTAAACTAATAAGTAATCACACTAAAGTGTAATTCTCTTCCAGACCCTCTCAGTTAATTGCTCCCAAAAATTATACAATGAAGTCATTATTACCTAGCTCATATTCACGACTGTTTTAATTGATACATGATTTCCTCAAGCCCAATATAAAAGTATCAAAAATAAAAATTTTGAGGACATAAGTAAGCAGCAGTTTGTAAATGTTTTGAAGATAAATCTGAATCATTCATAAGGCTGAGTGAAATTTTATTCTATTTAGCTGTCCTATGAGTTAATTTGTTGTCCCTTGGAACTAAGAAAAGGTGAGGTGTTATCTTTTCAGCTATGGTGACCAGTCAAAACTGTCCTTGGTTGGACAGTGAATTAGATGGGCACTCTACTCTGTCCCCAGGAGACCTACCATCGGGCCTGGTAGCCCCGCACGTATCTCTGCATGGTGATGGCTGCCTTCCGCATGCGTAGGTACTTCTTTCTCAGCAGCCACCCTCGGATGGTCTTCTGGATCCGGATGCAGGCAGCTCTCAGTTTGTCAGCTCTCAATTTTTCTAGATAGGCCACTTGACCGGCACGGAAAAAGATCTTTGTCTTACCAAACTGGTATTTGTCCTTGTCCTATTTTTGGAAGAAATTGTATATTCAGAAATAATAATCATATAAGTGAAATTTAAAAGAAAAAATGTCTAAAAGCAGAATCAGTAAAGGAATGACTCTATTAGCTAAAACTTGGGCTACATCACAATTAACTAATGGAGCCAGATTTTTAATCCTATGCAAGTTGAGCAAATAGAAGGGATTTTAAGAAAAACTGCAGTTTAAGAGTTATTTTCCAGAATTATTCTACCTGGAATTATTATCTGAGGCCCAAAACTTGGTTGTGGGTTATAGGCAGTTATTATTTGCTTGTTTGTGTTTTAAACATCTCAAGGAAATGGAGATGCTGACTCTCTCTGACTGACCCAGGTTGTAAGGATTACAGCGGGCTGTATATTCCATGAGAAGCTGAAGGGACAAAAACACCAGTGTGAAGAATAAGGCAGGAAGAAACGTTTATGAAATAAAATTCAAAAACCAAAAACCAAAATCCTTGGGTATTCATATTGAGTTATGTTTCTAAACAGTTAGCTCTTGGCTTTATCAATAATATCTGAAAACAAACTAACAAAACCCCATAAATATGTTTAAAATCCTACAAATTGGCCGGGTGTAGTGGCTCACGTGTGTAATCCTAGCACTTCGGGAGGTCAAGGCTGGCGGATCATGAGGTCAGGAGATCGAGAACATCCTGGCCAACATGGTGAAACCCTGTCTCTATTAAAATACAAAAAATTAGCCGGGCATGGTGGCATGCACCTGTATTCCCAACTACTTGGGAGGCTGAGGCAGGGGAATTGCTTGAACCCAGGAGGTGGAGGTTGCAGTGAGCCAAGATCGCGCCACTGCACTCCAGCCTAGCAACAGAGCAAGAATCCGTCTCAAAAAAAAAAAATCCTTTCAAACTCCTTTTACAAAAACATAATAATTTATATTACATTGTGATTCACCTTATCTAGAAGTATGCAAATCATTAATCATTCTTGCATCAAAGAATGGAATTTATATGTAAGAATCATTACTGTGACCTGGAATTCTTTTTTTTTTTTTTTGAGATGAGTCTCGCTCTGTCTCCCAAGCTGGAGTACAGTGCTGTAATCTCGGCTCACTGCAGCCTCCGCCTTCTGGGTTCAAGCGACACTCCTGCCTCAGCCCCCTGAGTAGCTGGGATTACAGGTAAACACCACTACGTCCAGCTAATTTTTGTATTTTTAGTGGAGACAGGGTTTCACCATATTGGCCAGGGTGGCCTCAAACGCTGGGCCTCAAGCAGTCCGCCCGCCACGGCCTCCAAAAGTGCTGGGATTAAGGGCGTGAGCCACCATGCTTGGCCATGTGATCTGAAAGTCTAAGGGAAAACAGAGAAAATCATTTTTCCCTATGAGTAGATATCTCATATTATCTCATATATGAAACCAAAAAATCTGACACATCCACATATATCTAAAAAATCTACAATTATTTCAATTTAAATCAATAAAGTTTACATTGGAAACCTAGCTAGAAAAGTGGTCCTTACCCGCATCCCGCTTCACACCTCACACCAACCCTGCCTCCATCTTTCAGCCTCCTCTGCCTAACTAAATTCCCACAAAGCCCTGATCCAGGCCTGAAATGGCCTGGGTGAGAGGACCAGGAATAGGCCTGTTCCTACTTTCTGCTCTACATTCCCACCTGAACACAGGTTAGAAGGGGATTGGGCAGGCTGGGCGCAGTGGCTCACACCTGTAATCCCAGCACTTTGGGAGGCCGAGGCGGGCAGATCACGAGGTCAGGAGTTCAAGACCAGCCTGGCCAACATGGTAAAACCCTGTTTCTACTAAAAATACAAAAATTAGCTGGGTGTGGTGGTGTGCACCTATAATCCCAGCTACTGGGGGGGCTGAGGTAGGAGAATGGCTTGAACCCACGAGGCGGAGGTTGCAGTGAGCCGAGATGCCACTGTACTCCAGCCTGGGTGAAAGAGCAAGACTGTCTCAAAAAAAAAAAAAAAAGAAGGGAATTGGGGCAAACTCAAAAAGCCCCAGTTAAAAAAAAAAAAAAAGCATTGCTGAGGAAGTGGCCTTAGCTCTTTCAAGGAAAAAATATTATTAACAAAAAAAAGGCATCACATTTAGTTCACAGCTAGTAATTATGATCAATTAGCTCAAAGTGAGGTACTCCATCTAGGATAGTGTTAACCAAGTGAAAATATTATTTTAAAAACTTTTCATGAATCTTTAATTCTCTAAGACCAAGATCAGTAGTTCTCAAAATATAGTCCTCAGACAGCATCGGCATCACCCGGGAAATACAAATTCTTGGGCCCAACCTCAGACCTACTGAATCAGAAATTCTGATGGCGGGGCCCAGCAATCTGTATTTTAACAAGCATTCCAGGTCACAGTAAAGTTGGAGAACTCTTTAGCCTGGTCTGCAAGACTCTCTGTAACACCAACCTACATTTCCTAACCATTTCTCTACTGTCCCATACACAAATCTCACACTGCAAAAAACTGTTTTCTGAGCAAACCCTATGCTTACCCTGCTCTTACTCCCTCTTATAATAGTCTCCTTCCATTTTTGCATAACCTTACCCATTCTCAGGGCCTGACTCAAAACACACCTCTTTGATGAAATCTCTCCTTCCCATAGCTGGACGTCGCTTTGTCATCCCCTGATTTCTTGTTCCATTCATTCAGCATTTGATATAGACACTACAGTTAAATATTATACTCGTCTTTAAAAAGTATTACTTTCCAAGTAAGACTATATTACCTGAGAACAAGCTTTATTTTTTCTTAATCACACAGCATTTGGCCTGGTGTCTTCTAGATGTAAGTACTAGGTACACTTTTATCAATAATAATCAAGCTGTCTAAGAAGAATGTGTTTCAAATGTGGGTCCAGGCCTCACAGCTCTGCCTCCTGACGGTGGACTATCATCCTCGCTAGTTCCAGCATCCTAAACACAGTAGTGTGCCCCTCTCTGATCCCACCCCGAAATGATCTGGACTAGTAAAATGTTATACAAAAGTTCCCGGGGCTTTCCAAGGTCAGAACCACAAGGCCTTCTGCTCAGATGACGGTAAGCGAAATCATTCTCACCAGTATCAGTTTCTCTAACACATTCTTGCATGTTTGCTTTCTGTCACTCAGCACATCTTTCTGCTTCATTAGGACACGGTAGCGGCTGAAAAATTCTTGGTAAGTCCACCTATTAAAAGAAAACCATCTGAGTTTACTTAAAGAACTAGGATCTTCTCCCATTAGGATCCCTTACATCTGAAAAATGCCAGGCTCACCGTGAGGGGAAACCGGCCGCACTGATTCGGATGGTTTCCAGGACACCACATGCTCTCAGCTGCTGCACTGCCCTCTTCTCATCAAACCTACAAATAAAAATCAAAGCTGTTAGTCCACAAAGAACCTGGCTGGTGGCCACAAATTACTCTCCTCAGTCAGGGTGTAAATTCTTTCGTAAGAGCAAAATGGATAAATCAGAAAAGAAAGCTTTCAGAAGTCGGAGCAGTGATCAAAATGGAAAACTATGAGAGAATGGGGAGGAGATGATAAGCAGTAAAAATAAAGAGCTGTAAACATTACCTGCAACTCAAACCACAAACTCATAAGAGTGTGCTGGGCGAGGTAGCTCACACCTATAATCCCAGAATTTTGGGAGGCCCAGGAGGGTAGATCACCTGAGGTCAGGAGTTCAAGACCAGTCTGGCCAACATGGTGAAACCCCGTCTCTACTAAAAACAGAAAAATTAGCCGAGCATGGTGGCATACACCTGTAATCCCAGCTACTTGGGAGGCTGAGGCAGGAGAATCACTTGAACCTGGGAGGTAGAGGTTGCAGTGAGCCAAGATCGCACCACTGCACTCCAGCCTGGGTGACAGAATGAGATTTTGTCTCAACAACAACAAAAAGAAAGTCCACTGAGCACATTTAAAACAACACAACATGGCTGGGCGCAGTGGCTCACGCCTGTAATCCCAGCACTTTAGGAGGCCAAGGGCAGGCGGATCACGAGGTCAGCAGTTTGAGACCAGCCTGGCCAACATGGTGAAACCCCGTCTCTACAAAAAATACAAAAATTAGCCAGGCATGGTGGCAGGCGCCTGTAATCCCAGCTACTCCAGAGGCTGAGGCAGGAGAATCGCTTGAACCCGGGAGGCAGAGGTTGCAGTGAGCCGAGACCACGCCATTGCATTCCAGCCTGGGTGACAGGGCGAGACTCCGTCTAAAAAACAACAGCAACAACACAGCACTCCTTTGCACTTTGCCCATACTCATTTCATGGCATGGCCTGACAAGAAGCTCTCAGAAGTCATTAGCTCAGTATACAGAGCTCCCCTGGAATAAAGACTGGTCAACCCTGGAGATTTCTCTAACAGGAAGCACAAATTAAATATGCCCCATACGGTTATATTTTTTTAAAAATTACTACTGTTCTAAACATAGTGTCTACATCAATGAACAAGATTTTTGTTTTGTATTACATTTTGTATTTATTTTACTCTAGGCAAATGACATCTTCAAGTTAAACTGGCACTGAAGAGGAAGTAGAAAGGTTTCCCTTCGGCCAAATGATTGCTCCTGTGACTCCCATAGTTAAGTTCTGAGCGATCCATCCGGGCCTCCCCTGTGCTATCTTCTCAGGTGTCTGTTGGTGGTGGAAGAGCGGGTTGGTTGATAAAAGGTCATGGTCCTGAGGGCTGTCCAGGACAGAGGCCAAAGTGTAGCAGCTTCTTCCTGCTTCCCACTTCTTCCAGAAAGGACTTCTTGGTGATGAAGCAGAGAGAAAGACAGCAGTCCTTCAGAACTGTGCTCCAGTCTAAGGCAGAATCTCCAGACAGCAGGACTGGCACGGGGGTAGGGAAAAGGGCACTCATACACTGTGGAGGGGGTGAGGGGTGGGAGCTATTACAACCTTTGTTAAGTGTGCCTGGTCTTTGACCTATAAATTCCACTTCTAGAGTCACATTATCCCAATGAGATAATCAGACAAATATACAAAAATGTTTGGCACAGGATGTTTATTATAGCATTGTTGGAACAACTTAAATGGCCATCAGTAGGAACTAATTTAAATAAATATACTATGTCTACACAATGGGATACTCTGTAGCCATTATATGATTATGTGACTTTTTACTTACCAAAAGGGAAAGTGTTCACAATCTGTCAAGTTAAAAGTAAAGACTAAACAGCAATCATAGCACAAGGCCCCTCCTTTTGTGTCTCTCTCTCTCTCTCTCTCACACACACACACACACACACACACACGGAGCATGGAGGGAAGGGAAGGTGGTTAATCAAGAACAATGTATGACAGTTAATACCAGTTATCTCTCTGGGTATGATGGATGCTTTTTCTTTTCCTTTTTTCTTTTTTTGAGACGAAGTCTCACTCTTGTCCCGCAGGCTAGAGTGCAGTGGAGTGATCTCGGCTCACTGCAACTGCAGCCTCCCAGGTTCAAGTGATTCTCCTGCCTCAGCCTCCCGAGTAGCTGGGATTACAGGCGCCCGCCACTACACCCGGCTAATTTTTGTACTTTTAGTAGAGACAGGGTTTGACCATGTTGGCCAGGTTGGTCTCAAGCTCCTGACCTCAGGTGATCCACCCACCCTGGCCTCCCAAGTGCTGGGATTACAGGTGTGAGCCACTGCACCCGGCTGACGGATGCTTTTTCATTTATTTTTATACTATTCTGTATTTCCTGAAAACTGTCTTTACAATGTACATGTATTACTTTTAAAATTAGAAAAATAGGCTGGGCATGGTGGCTCGCGCCTGTAATCCCACTGGGAGGCCGAGTGGGGACGGATCACGAAGTCAGGAGTTCAAGACCAGCCTGGCCAAGATGATGAAACCCTGTCTCTACTAAAAATAGAAAATTAGTTGGGCATGATGGTGCATGCCTGTAATCCCAGCTACTCGGGAGGCTGAGGCAGGAGAATCACTTGAACCTGGGAGGCAGAGGTTGCGGTAAGCCGAGATCGCGTTATTGCACTCCAGCCAGGGCAAGAAGAGTGAAACTCTATCTCAAAATAAATAAATACATACATAAAATTAGAAAAATATTTCTGTTTTGTAAAAAAAACTCCAGAAAAATTGATTCTCCCTTCATGCATGGTATCTGAAGCAGGAGGAGGTGCTGGTGAAAACAGACACCCTCTGATGATTTCAGCAGTGGAGAAGCAGCAGGTAAGCATTCGCCAAACAGCCTTATCCCAGCCAGTGCTGGTTCCACCTAATGCCCAAATGAACAAAAATCCCAGAGAGATCAATTGAAGTAAATTCAAAACAGAAAACAGAACCAGAATGCTTGGTTGACCTCAAGTTTTCAAATCTTCAGATGGCTGCTAATTTACTCTCACATTCTCAAAAGGGACAAAAACTGAAAAAATAATCTACTGACTAGTGGTTTCCCTCTACAAGGCATGAAGACTTACCCAAATATTTTTTTCCTTATAAAAATGTAAGGAAAATATTAGTTTGCTTGGCTGGTTTGGCACTTCTTATAAGATATGTACTTTTTCACTGGGTGGTTCAGAAATACTTACGTGAATGGGAACTTGAAGTCATTAGGCTTGATACAGCGCACATAGTGAGGGGTAGTGGCATTGAGTGTCTCCATAAGCAGGTGCAGGGAGTTTCTGAACTGCATGAAAAAGGGCAGAAGAGGGTATCAAGGCTTTGTCCAAAGTCAAAGGTGAGGTAAAACAATGGGAAATTCCCTTCCTATGACACTAATGGAGAAAACTTTGCCACTTATAAACTTGACCCATCTTCAGAAGAGGAGCTGCCACAAAACAAGAATGCTAGGGCTTTTGGTTAAAATTTGCCTAAATTCTACCATTTTCATGCTTACTCTGCTAAATATAGATTCCTATACTCCCACTCCTTTTCCCCACAGGAAGCTACAGAAACCTGTTATGAGCTTAGTCATATGTAACTAACAATATAACCTTGCTTTAAGGCTATTTAATCACATAAAGTGGGAATTTTGATGGAAGATACTGGAAAACGTAGCAGATGACTTAAAAGAGTATAGGTAATGAATGAGAGAATGACAAAGGATAGGCAGAGAGGAGTTAAAATTAGGGACCTAGGATCAGGACTGGAGGCTGTGGACCTGGGTCAGGCCCTGTTTCTGTCTACACCAGGCACAGGGTCCCATGCACAGGACAGCAAGCTGAGGAGCGCTCAGCCTCCATTCAAAGCCCTACTCCCTGTTCAGGCACTAAGCATGTATGTAACATTTCCCACTCTCAGAGAACATAAGACATCAAAGAAAGGCGAGGGCCCTGTTCTGAAGGAGCTGACCGAGGCACTGTACAAATATAGAGACAAAACAAACAGAAAACTAAGCAAAGATGGGGTGGTCTGAGAGACGATATGCACGAGAGAATTAAGCTGTAGAGAAAATTATTTCGGGAAAGGCTTATGCAGAGTCACAGGTCTAAAACTGGGTGGAGAAGAGTTTTAGTGGATGGTGTCGTATGATCTCACAGTGAAAGCTCTAGGCTCTCCTCACCTGAGGATCCCACCTGGGAGGCTGAAGAGGGAAGATCTGAGGTTTCAGATGAGCCAGAAAGGAAGGAGCGTGGCAGCGGCAGCTCCCTGAACTCACCTGATGCCCCACTGTTTTCTTGTGCTCTTTGGCCATTTGGCCTGGTCTGCCTTTGGTGGGCTTTGCAGGAGTTCGTGTGAGGGGTGTGCGCCCTGAGGAGGTGGCTGAAGTTGGACTGATGGCCTTCTCATCATCTTGAAATAGTTCTGGTAGCATCTTAAACTAAGTCAGAAACAATATAAAGAAATTACATTCTAAACCAAACTTGAACGCAAACCTTCACAAAAGAAATATTACAGAGATTCCCTTCCTTAAGTAATCACTGTCAGAGTCACACTCCAGAAAGAGTCAGTATCTGTGCTAAGAGCCAAGAATATGAGAGGAAGGTGAGGTAAGTGCTATACAAAAATAACACGGAAAAATGCAATAATTCTACAACCATGTCTGGGGGAAAGCAAAGTCAAAACTACTGCACCCGGACTTGAAAACCTAATCCACAGGAAGTGACAAATCTAAACATATTAATGGGCTTGAACTATAATTATTTTACGAGAAAAACAGTAATTGAAAGTCTTATTACCTCAGTTCCACAAACTGTTTTAGCATCAGGTGGAGAAAAACACTAGTCCAAGTTTGCAAGTTATTTATCAAGTGTCTACTCACCTGCTTTATTTGTCTACCTACTAACTTAAGTGCTGAGCACTAACTGAAAAACATCACCGAAAATCTCAGCAGGAAAGGGTCATAAACAAATTCTACAATATTAGAAGGTTTTAAAAGTTATGAATAATAATTTTTGGAAGATAATTCGGGTTACAGAAAAAAAAGTTTAAAACCCTACCCATATCCTGTACATTTGATATTTGTTTTCAAGGGATTTATAACTTCAACAAATAATTCCTGTAATCAATTTTGTGTTCTATCAGGTTAGCAATGTGAAAGATTATTAAAAGATCTGGTACTCAATAAGTAGGTAGATGATATTAGTCAATATGGTTGGGAGAAATTTTATGGAAAAAAAGAGACTTCAAATGAATCCAAAGGAACATCTTGATGTATGTACATATCTTTACAACAGTGCCACATCCCATATAAATAAAACCAGTTCTTCTAATTAGTCAAGCTATATTTGCAACTATAATTATATATCTATTAACCTTAATACAACCTATTTAATCTTCATAACAATTCCATAAATTAGATGCTATCATGATTCTATTTTATAGATGAGAGATCTGAGGCATAAACTCAGTAGATGAACTGTGCTTCCCCTTATTAATCAGCTATACAGAAAGTAGAGGGTTAAAACTCATTTTAATGGTATTTGGTAGAACTGAAATTCAGTGGTATTTAGTCAAGTTGCAATTTATTTATATGCTTCCTGATATTAGATGTGGCCACAGAAGATTTCTTTATGGTGGAAAAATATCAAATAAAGCACCTTCTGATAAGTTTATAATTCCATATATATATATATTTTTTTAAACTCCTTTTCAAATTGTAAGCTAGAGGCTGCAGGAAAAAAAAAGACAAAACACATAAATACACAAACATACTCCACACTGTATTACTACAAAAATAATTCTACTCAAAACACATAACACAGATATTAATCTTCTAAAATTAGTACTTCCAAGAGAACACATTTACACTATGTGATACTGGCTTCTATCAGATGCAGTGAAATTATGAAGTTGATACTCCTAGATTGGGTTTCAGCAAAGACCAGCAGCAGAGGAAGCCTCCAAGCTATGTTAGGTAAATCACACACTGTCCCCACTTCAATGGAAACAATGTTACACAGACTGGCAGTCACTGCAAATGATTTGTCAGAATGCATACCCACCTTATGATGACTAAGGACTCAAAAGCCAATTAGAAAACTAAATCAGAATAAAGATAACTGATCAAAGATGCCTCAAGAATGAGAACCTGGCCAGGTGTGGTGGCTCACACCTGTAATCCCAGCACTTTGGGAGGCCGAGGTGGGTGGATCCCTTGAGACCAGGAGTTCAAGACCAGCCTGGACAACATGGTGAAACCCCATCTCAACAAAAAATTAGACAGGCATGGTGGCATGCATCTGTAGTCCCAGCTACTTGGGAGGCTGATGTGGAAGGATCACCTGAGCCAGGGAGGTCGAGGCTGCAGTGAGCCCTATGATCATCACATCACTGCACTCTAGCCTGGGTGACAGTGAGACACTGTCTCAAAACAACAACAACAACAACAACAACAGCAAGAATCAGATGAAAACCTGTGAATGTTCTGTTTCAGCTAAATTACTTTGACAAAGTAATAAAACTAGAATTTTATCATTACTTATAAATCAAACCAATAAAGATCTTTAACTGAATAATACTTAGAGATTGGCATTGTGGGAATTTTCTCTTACATATCAATCCTGTAAACTATAAACAGTTAATGCCCAGTGCCTGTTAGACACTTTAACTCTTTTTTTTTTTTGGAGACAGAGTCTCGCTGTCTCCGAGGCTGGAGTACAGTGGCACAATTACGGCTCACTGCAGCCTCAACCTCCCAGGCTCAAGTGATCCTCCCACTCAGCTTCCCAAGTACCTGAAACTATAGCCATGCACCACCATGCCCAGCAAATTTCTGTATTTTTTTGTAGACATGGGGTTTTGCCATGTTGCTCAGGCTGATCTTAAACTCCTGGGCTCAAGCAGTCTGCCTGCCTCGGCCTCCCAAAGTGCTGGGATTACAGGCATGAGCTACAACACCTGGTCTCGACTTATTTTCTGAAGGTTAAAACTGGGATTTGGTCTTCATGTAATCTTTATATTATCAAAATAATTGATAGTAAAGGTTTTTATTCTAAAAACAACAGTCAAAATATTCATATACTATTCCACTGAAGTTAAAAAGATTCTCTGAGAATAAAATAGAAAAACAAAGACTGCCAGTCAGTAATCTAGAAGAATTCACATGAAAATTTTTAATTTTTAGCTGAATACCTGAATATTCATTTTGCTGACCTAAGAAACTGGCTTCCTGCTCTGCTCTCTGTGGGATGAACATGAGCCATGTTCCCCTCCCCATTCTTTCCAGATGGAAGGTCAAGGGATGGAGGGGATCAACCTAATCATCAATACAATGTAGCCATCGTAGCTCTTACCATCTGGAATATTCTTTTCCCTCTAGAAAGCAGTGTCTCTAGTACCTATGCCTAAGAAAAATAATTTCAAAGTGCTTTGGGCCACACCTGGAACTGCACTCAGTGATGATCCAGAGATCAGTCTCCATCTGGATGGAGTGCGTAAGGCCACGTTTCTAGTACCTCCCTTCAAACTGACAGGGCAGAAAGACTGTTTTCTCTCATGGCCTCTCACCAAGGCACAATAGAGTCTAGAACCACTGTGGAGGCAATAATTTCACACAAAACTGAAAGAAACATTGCACAGGAGTTAAAAGCACAGACACAGCAAGACGGCCTGGATTTTAATTTGGCTTGAAAACTCGGTAGCCATGAAGTCTCTGTGTCTCAGGTGCCTCATCCATAAAATAAGAGTCATTAGATGAGTTAGCATTTTCAATACATTTAGAACAGGACCTGACATGCAGCTAAATTACTTTGACTAACATACTAAGTGTTATATATTTGGTAAATTAAAAACTGAAACAGATTTTTGTTAAAAAAATCATTTTTATTGTTAAAAAGCTAATGCTTTGCATACATCCTGGATTAGAGTAAGCCTATCCATAGTTACCTTGCTTGATTTAAGAACTTTAATTTGTTCTTCAAAAACGGTGTCTTTATTCTTTTCGAGAAATCCTTCACACTGGTATTCCACCTGAAAACACATGGAAAAATCTCCTTAACTGATAAAACTTTTGAATAGATATTATAATCATCAATAATAAGAATCTTTATTAGTCTCAGGCTATACGATCAACTCTCAGCAAACTGGTATTATCAGTCTTTTCCAAGAAACCAAGGCCATTCCTGGTAAGAAGTATGTTAACTTTAGAGTAAAACTCCTCAAATATCGTTTTTCCTAGGAAACAGTGGTAGCGCTGATTGTGATCTAAAAGATCCTCTCAGTTAGTGGGTGAGCAGATTAGATCCTCTTCTCCCATGCTGGCCAGAGAGCTCTTCCAAGGCTGACTCCTTGTATCTCCTTCCAACCTAGGTTACCATCAAGCAGTTGTGTTTCCTCTTAGAAGAGATTACAGCAGGAGTGAGAATCAGAAGGAACAAATGAGTGTCTGATGGGGACAGAGGTGAAAAGCTGCTGATGGATGAAGGTGAAGGCTGGGGAAATATTGTATGATTTGGTAAAGCAGGACTACTTGAGAATGGACTATTTCTTTTCCAAAACTCCAGCAACTTCAGTTGTCTGCCACTCAAGGGGGTCAAAGCTTGCATGACAAAACCTTTAGGTGGCCCTAGGGTCATCTCAAGGCTTCTAGATGGAATTAGGGCAGACTTAGAAAGTCCTCAATCCCTAAAGGAGACCCTGTGAAACTTACCCCAAAGCCTACATCACAGTCTCCTTGAAATATAAATTACTCTCATTGCTTGTGATTTTCTAAGTACACTATAGAACTTGTGAAGCAGTAAGACAGTATGCCTTATTAGAAGGGACCCAGTGAATCAATTGCAGAGGGTGACACAAGTCCACAATTGCTATTCTGAAACCCTTGAGATCAGCTATGCTTTAGGACTCAGAATTTTTGAGGCATTTAGAGATGTAGTATGTACATACACCATTTTTTCATATTTCCAGCAGAATGGAAGGCAATGATCTACAACAAAACATATTCATATTTCTATAGTGAAATATGAATATTTCCAGCCTAACTGGGATAAAGACAGACTATAAATAATCTCATGTTAATTCAGATCAGAGATCAGGTTTAGCTAAACGAGTTATTAAAAAAAAAACAGTTTACAGAGATTCCTGGATTTCAGAATTATAGAACCATACTTATTTCACAAATAACTCAATTTAGGTTAAAGGAAGAGAAAACCAACATGTCAACACTGAAGACTGCTGTCCCTTGAGCCCTAAAGAATGCAAACATCAGCAAAAGAAAAAAAAAGATACCTCCTGACTATTGGGTTTTTTCCACATTTAAGTATTCAAAAAGAAAAACTGATATAAAGCTTCCTTACTTTGTCAGCAAAATGTTGGATGATGAAAGCTTTGTTTGATAGACGAGGCTTTTCAAAGAGTGCACATTTGTTCAAATGTGTGTTGTACAATTTTTGGGCCCAGGTGTCATCTGTGCCTTTAGGCATCTATATTCATGGAAAAAAGGAAGAAAGAAAACAAGGTAAATACTGTGATTCCTCTAAAGCATCAGCTGTCAAAAGATCTTTTATTTTTTTTTTTTGGCTTTAACTAATAACTTTTACAATTCAATTTAGGAGTTCATTCCTTCCACATTTCATTGTTAGAGGCCAACAACCAATTACTAATGAATAGTATGACTGAGACCTTCTCATGGGCAACCCAGCCCAATCTTTGGGCAGTTCAATCTGCCTATATGAAAAATCATCAAATAAATTTGTTGTTGTTGTTGCTGTTTTTTAAAAAACAAAAGCTGGCCGGGCGTGGTGGCTCATGCCTGTAATCTCAGCACTTTGGGAAGCCAAGGCAGGTGGATCACCTGAGGTCAGGAGTTCGAGATTAGCCTGACCAGAATGGAGAAACCCTGTCTCTACTAAAATTAGAAAAAATTAGCCAGGCGAGGTGGTGGGCACCTGTAATCCCAGCTACTCAGGAGACTGAGGCAGGAGAATCCCTTGAACCTGGGAGGCGGATGTTGCAGTGAGCAGAGGTCACACCATTACACTCCAACCTGGGTGACAAAAGTGAAATTCCGTCTCAAAAAAAGAAAAACAAAAAAGCCTCCCAAGTTAAAGTTGAAATATCAGGGCTATTATGTACGTTTTTAAAATTCTGTTAAACAGAAAGACAAACATCACATGTTCTCATTTATTTGTGGGATCTAAAAATTAAAGCAATTGAACCTATGAAGATAAAGAATAGAAAGATGGTTACCAGAGGCTAGGAAGGGTAGCAGGAGGTTGTGGGGAGTGCAAATGGGGGATGGTTAATAGGTACCAAAAAATTAGAATGAATAAGCCCTAGTATTTGATAATAATTTAATTATACATTTAAGAATAAGAGTATAATTGGATTGTTTGTAACACAAAAGATAAATGCTTGAGGGGATGGATACCCAATTTTCCATGATGTGATTATTATACATCGCATGCCTATACCAAAATCTTATGTATCCCCATAAATATATACACCAACTAGTACCCACAAAAATTAAAAATTAAATTTAAAAAATTCTGTCAAATAAAGGTAACATCTGTAGTTACATAGTGAAGCATTTCTATAATTCAGAAAGATATAAAATGGAGAGTAGTCTCCTCTTGCCATTTCCTCCAACTTAATTATTTCTCCCTCTCTTTTTTTTTTTCTTTTTTTTTTTTTTTTGAGACAGGGTTTCACTCTTTTCACCCAGGCTGGAGTGCAATGGCACAATCTCGGCTCACTGCAAACTCTGCCTCCCAGGCTCAAGTGATTATCCTGCCTCAGCCTCCCAAGTAGCTGGGACTACAGGTGCACACCACCATGCCCAGCTAATTTTTTGTATTTTTTTGTAGACGGGGTTTCACCATATTGCCCAGGCTGGTCTCAAACTCCTGAACTCAAATATCCACCCACCTCAGCCTCTCAAAGTGCTGGGATTACAGATATAAGCCCATCATGCCCGGCCTTCTTTAACTCTCTTTGAAGGCATGTATGTGAATAGGATAATTCTACACACTCATTGCATTTTTTTCAGCTTTGCAACAGTAGTATTCTCTGCATTATTTATGGCTACTAGGTTGTTACTGATTTTTTTGTTATTACTATGACAACTGCCACAGTTTTCTTCTTATATGTATATACCTTGGATACTTTTGCAAGTATAATCAAAGGTGGAATTCCCAGCAGTTCCATTCCTGGGTCAAGGGTATGTAGTTAAAATTATGATAAATGTTGTCAAATATCCTATAAAGTATGTTGAATGAATTCATGCTTTTCATCATGAGTATATATGCAATATTCATTTAGTATTATCAAATGAAAATTATCGAGTTTAAATTTGCCTACTGGATGGGTCAAGAGCGGTGTACCATTTTTGCTTTGGTTTGCATTTTTTAAAATCTCAAGTGAGGCTGAGAACCTTTTCATCACATGCATCCTCAATGTTGTAGGAAGTCTGGATGCTTAGGAGGGTACACCTGTGCTAAAATGTAACTTACTGCATATAAACTAAAGAGAAATAAAGCGAAAGAATAGGTTTGCCTACGATCACTCAGTGGTAAAGCTGGGGATCTAATGCTTTTTTCCAACATGGTGCATCTTTAAATATTAAAGATACAACTCCATCCCTCTCAAATATGTCAGTAATAAGGAACAACTAGTTAGTTTTACAATTATAACTATTTAGAACTGTTATTCAAAATATCTTCTGCACAGTTTCTTGCATTTCTTTAAATTCTATCGCTGACCAAAAAGTACTAAACAAATTAATAACAAAAGTGGCTAAAATTGTTAGTATCTAACGTCAATTTTTCATGTAATTTAGAATCAGCTGAAAAGAGGAGGGAAATTCTCCTAGTTTCACTTGTAATTAGAACCCTTGGGGTCTAGTGTCCCTTTGGAATGAAAGCATAACCCCTACTTGTCACCACGACGGCATTCCATGATATACTAATGAATCTCTCCTTGAACCCACTTATCTTCTGACCTTGATACATCTATTTTGATAAACCAAGTACCCCAGGAAATCATACTTACCTTGCATTCCTCATCCAGTAAATCTAGAATGCCTAGTTTTGATTCTATAAGATTAATACAAGGCTGATTATCATAAAAATCTATGAGTGTCCATGGAATTTGTTCCTTCATATATTCTTCTTGCTCCAATTTGAAGACATGCTGAAATGAAAAAGAAAAAAAGCAGTCATTACTGGATCATTGTAACAAAGAATGTAGTCAAGATGATACCAACATAATTTGAGATAATCTGTGGCTTTCAACAACAACAACCTCACGGGAGAAGCATGATTTACACACAGAGAAAGCAAATAAAACAACAGGAAAACCTCAGCTACGTAGGATTCTTGGTAAACAAGTAAATCTAGGTATATAAATATTTTAAATAGCTGATCAATGTAGCAATCTTTGTGATCTTTTGATTATGTATATTTTCAAAACTGCACTATGTACTTTTGGCTTCTTAAGTTATCGTAGAGTGCTGCTAACAACATGGGACACAGGAATGCCTTAGCTGGCATTTAACAACTATGTTGATGCCCTCCAGGCTACTGAATCATGCTGGGCAATGCTTTCAGCATAACAAAGTACTTCTCCTAAGGGACTGTGGTGCTGAAGTTCACGTGGCTCAGAATTAGTTAATGACTGGTCTTTCTCCTGACTGCCCTGATTATCTGTGATAGTCATGGAGTCTACGACTCACTTTTCTGGTTTCCACATTAAATTCTGTTAGCAACTGCAACTGCTAGTCCATTGCTATTTCCGATGAAGCCTTCAGCCACTGTCCTCACCATTGCTTCTCATCTCCATTCACATAAAAATATGTATTAACTGTCTACCATGTGCCAGTCACTGCACATGGGCAACAACACCGATGTGGATGTTGCCCTCATGGAGCTTGGAGACAAGTGGAAGAAGCGGACAGAAACCAAATAACCATAAGGAATATAATCACAAGCTGTAGTAGTATTACAAAGGAAAATAACGTGAACTATAAGAGCAAGAGTCCTCATCTAGTTTGGACACAGGCTGGTCAGGGGAGGCTTCCCTGAGGAGGGCTGTGTGATTTAGTCTCTAAAGATGAATGGCAGCCAAGCTAGTCCGGGTGGGAAGGGCAATCCAATCACTGCCACAGCTCCTGTTTCAGGGTGCTGCCCAGCCACTGCCCAGCCAATGCAGCTGACACCACCACTTCTAGTCTCTACAGATGCTAATGACTGCTACTCATTCTTGGGGAGTTTCTGCCTTCCTTTACTTATCTCTTTTGTCTCCTTTGGTTCTTTCACAAATCTTGCTATTTTTGTGGGAAGAAAAGACTTTCGTGGTGATGATCAAATGACCCATATTTTCTAGGACCCCATGCCCTGTGAAACTTACGTGCCACAAGATTTCCAATGCATACTCTCCTCATGTGTCTGGAACTTTCCCACTGTATTCTGTACTTATTGTAATGCCACTCTTGGCTCATTTGCAGTGTTTTTTTTTTCTTTTCTTTTTTTTTTTGAGACAGAGTCTTGCTCTGTCACCCAGGCTGGAGTGCAGTGGCACAGTCTGGGCTCACTGCAACCTCCACCTCCCGGGTTCAAGCGATTCTCCTGATTCAGCCTCCTGAGTAGCTGGGACTACAGGCGTGTGCCACCATGCCCAGCTAAATTTTTATATTTTTAGTAGAGACGGGGTTTCACCGTGTTAGCCAGGACAGTCTCGATCTCCTGACCTCATGATCTGCCTGTCTCGGCCTCCCAAAGTGCCGGAATTACAGGCGTGAGCCACCGCGCCTGGCCTCATTTACAGTGTTTACAGTCTAACGAGCTATTATAAGCTTTAACAAAAAACAGTCATCCATATGAATATTTATGTCATGCTAACAAGAAAGCAAATTTCTTCTGTTCTTTTGATTAATGAGAAGGCAAATAGGGCACCATATGTCAGCAGGACACCCTGACTGATGGTACGAGTATCTTCCAAAACAATGTGCTCTGTTTTTAAAAATTTCATTAATTTATATGTAGTCTCAATATTGACAATAGAAACACTGCTCTAGACATTAAATAGAGCATATTACTCACACACATCTCCATGTCTAGTTTGGAAAAGCTCCTGGGGTCTTTAAAATTTGGGATGCTCAACTGTCAAAGAATATGGGCATGAAGTTCAATATGGCAAGAGATTCTTGGTCAATATAGTAATGCCTTCAAACACTAAGCATGCCAACCACGGGATTTCTCATGCTGACTGCCCCCACCTACATCCCCAGATCAGGTAACAGCCCTATGCAATCAAGTTATTTATACTGTGAGACCCCACGTTCCTAGTCACAGCTGACTAAACCAGTGTGGGTACATGAGGGCAGTCTCCTGCTAGAGACCTCTGATGAAAAAATGAACAGTGTTAATCAGATTCTCTCTCTCAGGTATTTGAACTGGGAAACAAGAAAATAATGAGGCAATTAGTAGTGGGAGTTGAAACTGAAAGAAGCCAAAATGAATGGGAGATAAGCAAGTTAAGAGGACGAGCAGAGCATTCCAACCACTGCTGGGTTCACAGGAAGTTTAAAGTGAGTGAGAAAGGAGAAAGCTTGAGGTGGAGAAGATGTATACAGACTAGAAGGAAAGAACCTGACATTGGATAGGAAGAGGGGGCAGAGCAGTTGTGCAGAATCGAAGATGCAGAATGTAAGGGGGTATGTGAAGAGAGAAGGAGAAACAGGTGGATAGAGACAGACAGCAGGAAAGAGGAAGAGACGCAAGAGACCAAAACACACATGCAGACAGGAGGCCCTTGAAAAACAGACAAACTAGCCAGTTCCTAAAGAGGCTGGCATTGCTTCCTTACATTCCAGTCACTCTGTGTGGAAACACAATGGGAAAGAGTGAAAGGCTGTGGCATTAACTAAAGTATTAAGAAACTCAGGAACACCTTGAGAAACAATAATGCTCAGTTTAGTTTCTGATAAGTTTTTATTAATGTTCTTTATGCAGAGATGCAAATCATATTAGTAGTCATCTTATTATGGAAATAGTCATAAGCCTAAAGTTTTAAGATCACTTCTACATTATTTCACTGTGGTAAGAAGCTTAATTTGCTAAATAAAGATGGTTCAAGTTTTTTCAAAGTATATGGAATATTTAATCAAACAGTCTAAAAGGTTTTATAATGACAAGTAGCAATTCCTTGTCCCATCTCTCCCCAACCCCAATCTCGCTCCCTGGAGGCAACCATTTTTAATTCCCTTAGGTATTTCTTCTGATATTTACCTACATATTTCTAAAGAGTATGCTTATCAACTACCTTCTGATTTATCACTATGAAACACCTAGTGATTTCGTTATGACACAAACAAGGCTAAATTCACATACAACACCTCCTTCCCGCTCTTCCACTATTCTCCCTATATTACTATTTTTAGATCCTCTTTTGTTTTTTAACCAAATTTGTAACTTGCAGTGTCTTTAAACATCTGGTTTGTGTGCATCAACTACAAACCATACCACTTGACCTCTCTCTTTACAAGATGAGGATTTATTAAGGGTGTCTTTCCTGCCCTTGAGCTCTATCTTCTAATTCCTATGGGCATCTCATTTTAATATCCTCTTTCATCAACACTAAGAATCACTCCCACTCTTGCACTTAGAACTGTGCCTGGCACATTATGGACCCTTTACATATTCCAACTCATTTAATCCATAAAACCACACACAGAAGGTACTATTATTATCTCCATTTTACAGATGAGGAAGCTAAGGCCCAGGGAGGTCAACTAACTTGCCCAAGGTCTCCTAGATAACTGACACAGGGTAGGATTCCAACTCACACAGTTCACCTCTGGGCTCTGTGTCCTTCACTATTACAATCTGCTGCCCCTGATTTTTAAGCATCTCTGAATCTCCCAAAACCACAATACTCCTCTAAGATATTTAATATTACTACTTCACAAGAGCCACTCAAAATATTCACATTGCCATTGTCCCAGTGAATGTCCCAGACTGCTGAAAAGAGAATATGTAAAATTCTGCTTTTTAGTTCTGACATCTTGCTAATATAGCAAGTAAGCATTAAGATGGTCATGATTCCACATACAATAAACTTCAAAATAACAAACTGAAAGATATCCTTGGGCTTAAAGCTTCATACTCCCAAGCAATTACCTAACACACTGCCTGCTTCTCTCAATCTATTTGTCCCAAATTTTCGTTATTATCAGACTGCAATCCAAGGATAACCTTGAATACCACCTGGCCCATAAAACATTTTTCTAATGTTGTACCATTCATTAATCGTCAGTTCTAAGTTCCATATAATAATTTTAATTCACAACTTCATTCCAGGGATAAGCTTTTAAACAAAGACTAGGAATTCAAGAGAATAATTTATAGCAGAGTATTATTCAAGGAAGAACATTCTTACCATATTGAATTGTTGCTGTAGTTTTTCATTTGCATAATTTATGCAAAACTGTTCAAAACTATTTATCTCAAATGTTTCAAATCTGTAACCACAAAAATAATATGAAAAGGGGAGAAAAGGAACAAAAAGCTTTTTAAAAATATTCAAAATATACACATTAGGAAGAAAGAAGTGGGACATTCCCCAACATTGTAAAACTTTCTTTCCATATCAGTGAAAATAAAGATTTCTAAGTCAGTAACAAGGAATATGTACCCAGCAGATGAGCATCAGCCATGCAGCAGAGAGGTTTTTTTTGTTTTTTTTTTCCAAAGGCCCCAGCATGCAGAGGTGTTCAACACTATGAGTTTTTGAGGGCTCATTCACCCCCAAGTGGGGAACATCAGAATTATAATAAAGCCATTGCTCTTGTCAATATACTGACTCACGGTGTTACACACATATAGGAGGGAAATAGGAACAGAGATCCTACAGGTTCTTTTGAAAAAGAGAACCAGAGAATGAAAAATTAAGTATGAAACAGGCACAAATATGAAGGAAGGATTTTAACAGCTAAAGACAGGTACCCAAATAAGGCAAACTAGCAAATAAAATTAGATTTTTAGAATTTCAGTGATAATTTACCACATGAGCATCTGAAAACCAATTAAGTCTATGCACTAGCTAAGTAAATTAGCTCTAGATGTGAACTATTTTTTTTTGTTTTAGTTAAATTTTAAGCAACACGCAATTGCATCACCATCATCAAGGTATTCTTGAATTGTCATAGGCAAAGTTTCCCTTCTCTTTACCAGTAGGAAACAGAATCAAATGCCCACTTAGAGTTACTAGATAAGTTCTAGAAAGAAATGTTCTCTGGCAGACCAATTAGCCAAATATACTCACCCGTAAATGTCTAGCACACCAATAAAAGAGTGCTGTTTGACAGCAGAATGGAGAGCCTGATTGACATTATCTACAATCCAGTTAAAGAGCTTGGCATAGATGTGCTTGGCCAAAGCATCGCGGGCATTCGTGGCCTGCAGCTTGGAGATGGGCTTGATGTATGTCTCTGTGGCAGTAGCCAGTTTCCGATGGCAGAGCCAGTGACACATCTCCTCATAGTCCACACCCATGAGTTCACAGAAGATGCAGAGAGGTTCATGCTTGGGCTGCCAAAAGATAATGAGTTATTTCCTATGACCAGATAAATCAAGTAAGAATCTCTCGGAAAATGTTAACAAAGAGTTAACAAATAAAATTCAGCAATTTCTTTGTTATAACAAACACCAAGATCACTCAAAGTTGATTAGTGATAATAATCACATTCATCCATTAAACTGGCATCCAGGCAGCATTTTGCAATCTCTTCTGGGGCTCACTTCAAAAATTCCCTCTTCCTTTGACTCTTCATAGTATTTGTTTGTATCTCTCTTAAAGCATCTTCATTCATTCAGTCAAAAAATCAGTCAGCTAGTCAACAATTATTTACTGAGTGCTACTATGCACCAGAAAACAAAAACAAACATGGTCCCTGCCCTCCTAGAACTTATAGTCACTTGGGGAAATGGGTATTAATCAAATGATTGCTCCCTAAAATGAAAAATACCACAAAGACCAAGGACACTATGCTGAGTCCATGTGAGAGGAATATGTTCTATTTTGGAAGGAGGAGACAGTTGCCTTGAGAAAAGGAAGGTGCTAACTGGGTGAAAGGAGGAGAAAAGGATTTTCCAAGCCAAGGAAACAGCTGGCAAAAACATTCTGTGGTGGGAAGGAAATCATCAATAGGAAGGATTGAAGCTGAATGAGGGAGAAAATGTGAGTTGAAATCACAGAAACAGACAGAGGCTATATCCTAGCTGGTCTTTATCCTTGAAGCAATGGTAGGCCACTGAAGGATTGTAAGCAGGTAACTTGATAGTTATTTGTGTGACTTTTTATATTAGAATGACTTCCATGATTTACATATCCCTGTACCCCCTAGAATATCTTCCATGAGACTTGCATGAGTAGATGTTTGATAAATACTTGTCTAATTTAATCCATGTTAGTACATTATATTTTTCAACATCTTCAATCACATGTATCAGTCAAATCTGACATTCCTGGGGCATAGGGAGGGTGAACATTGTCTCTGGTGGATAACTGAGGAAATAGGACCCAAGAGAACAAATAGCTTGTCAAAAATCAGCTGGCAATTGATGTCAGAGTTGGCATTAGAACCTGGGTCTCCTTGACACCTTCATCTCTAGACTCTTCACACTCAAGCACCCCTTCCTTCTTTCATCCCCCTTTCTCCCAAGTAATCACTTTAGATACAAATCAGCACCACTGCCTGCTCAACTCCCTTAAATAAGCAGCCATATATATGTATGTATTTAGAATTCGGCATCATTTAAAAGTGGGTCAGGCTGGGCGTGGTGGCTCACGCCTGTAATCCCAGCACTTCGGGAGGCTAAGGCAGGAGGATCACCTGAGGTTAGGAGTTTGAGACCAGCCTGGCCAACATGGTGAAACCCTGTCTCTACCAAAAATACAAAAATTAGCTGCTTGTAGTGGCAGACACCTGTAATCCCAGCTACTGGGGAGGCTGAGGCAAGAGAATTGCTTGAACCTGGGAGGTGGAGGTTGCAGTGAGCTGAGATAGTGCCACTGCACTCCAGCCTGGGTGACAGAGCGAGACTCCGTCTCAAAAAAAAAAATTTTTTTCTTAAAATTAAAAAAAAAAAAAGGTGGGTCAGCACTCTGTAAACATATTCTACTTGAATGTTGTTACCTTATTGTTCTATTACATCAAGATTGTTAACTGTTTGGTTTAAATTCTCCACAGCTTTACTCATTTTGGACTTCACCTATCAATAATTAAGAGAAGTCAATAATCTCCCACTCTGATAGCAAATTTGTCTCTTCTTGAGGTTTCTGTTGATTTTTGCTATATATCTTTCGAGGCTATGTCATTAAGTATATAGAAGTTTAGCACTATTTCATATTCCTGGTGAATAAAATCTGTTCTCTTCAGAGATGAGATTTCATTCTGTTGCCCAGGCTAGAGTGTGGTGGTACAATCGTACCTCACTGTAGCCTCAAACTCCTGGACTCAAGAGATCCTCCTGCCTCAGTCTCCTAGGATTACAGGCACACACCATGCACAGTGAATAAAATCTTTATCATTGCAAAGTCACTTTATTTCCCTCTAGCACTGCTTTTGGCCTCAAAGTCTATTTTGTTCAATACGTGCACAGTGTTGCCAGTTTTGTCCTAGCTAGCATGTCTTTTCTAAACTTTTTTTTTCAAACTTTCTGTATCTCTATATTTTAGGAATGCTTCTTTTAAAAGTATATACCTGAAACTTTTTTTTCTTTTTTTGACTTGTATTTTAGAATCAGGGGGCACATGTGCAGCTTTGTGCACATGTACACAATAAAGGAATATTGTGTGATGCTGAGATTTGGAGTATGAATGAATCCATCACTTAGGTAGTGTGCATAGCTGCCAATTGGTTGTTTTTTTCAACCATTACCCTCTCTTGTATTCCCCTGTGTCTATTGTTCCCATTTATGACCATGTGCACCCAACGTTTAGCTCCCACTTATAAGTGAGAATATGTTGTATTTGGTTTTCTGTTTTTGCATAACTTAGGATAATGTTTTCCAGCTGCATCCATGTTGCTGCAAAGGGCATGATTTCATTCTTTTTTATGACTGGGTAGTATTCCATGGTTATATCTGAATTTTTTTAACCAGTCTAACAATCTAAATCTTTTAGCTGGAGCACTTGGTCCATTTTTAATTATTTCTATCTTATTTTGTTCTTTTGGTTGTCCTACTTTTCAACATTTGTTTTTCTCCCTCTTTCTTGCTATATTTTGATTTTTTTCAATCCATTTTCCTCTCTACTAGTTTGAAAGGTTTACTTTGTTACTATTTTGTTTTATAATTAACATAATGTAATTAAGTAACACTAACTCCAAACATCCCATTCCAATTTATCCTCTGTTATCCAATACTTTAGTTCTACCTTTTGTGTGAGGGGGCAGGGTAGGGGACTGGAGATTCATTTTATATTTTAAACTTTTTATCTAATTTTAGACTAACAGAAAAGTTGCAAGAATAGTACAAAAAATTCCCTTCACTCAGATTCCCTAAATATTAACATTTTACCACATTCCCTTTGTTGGCCTAACAGTGCTCTCTACAAAAAATAATTAATTTTTATGGTCCAGGATTCAATCCAGGATCATGCATTGAATTTAGTTATCATGTTTCATTAGTCTCCTTTAACATGAACAGTTCTTCATTCTTCTTTGTCTTTTGTGACCTTGACTTTTTGAAGACTCCTTCAGTTTGGGTCTCTATGATGTTACCTCATGATTAGATTTGGGCAGAAATACCAGAGAAGTGGTGTTGCACTCTGCTCAGTGTGTCATATCCAAAGCTATGTGATATTGATTGGTCTAAATATTGGTACTATCAATTGTGATCACTTGGTTAAGGGAATGTCTGCCAGGTTTCTTGACTGTAATGATAACTATCTTTCCCTTTGTAATTAATACATGTCTTGTGGGAATTCTATCTTTTACCAGATCAATATACTATTATTATTCTAATTAATCAAATTTTATCTACATTTGCCCACATTTTGCTAACTTCTTAGTTCATTTCTTCTTGCATCTTAGATCTTCTAACTGGGATCACTTTCCTTCTGCCTAAACTATATCCTTTAATATTTAATATTTCCTTTAGTGAGGGCTCACTGGCAACAGCAGATTCTCATAAGCTTTTTTTTTTTTTTTTGAGACAGTCTTGCTCTATCCTCCAGGCTGGAGTGCAGTGGCGCGATCTTGGCTCACTGTAACCTCCACCACCCAGGTTCAAGCACTTCTCATGCCTCAGCCTCCCATGTAGCTGGGATTATAGGCATACGCATGATGTCCAGCTAATTTTTGTATCTTTAGTAGAGAGAGGGTTTTGCCATGTTGGCCAGGCTAGTCTCAAACTCTTAGCCTCAGGTGATCCACCCGCCTCAGCCTCCCAAAGTGCTGGGACTACAGGTGTGAGCTACCACGCCTGGCCTCTCATAAGTTTTTAATTGTCTGAAAATGCTTCCAATTTCAATTCATTCTAGAAAGATATTTTAACGGGATATATAATTCTAACTTAATAGTTTCCACTCTAAGCACACTGAAGATATTATTCCACTGTGTTCTGGCTTTTATAGCTGCAGCTGGGAAGTGAGCTATCAGATTAATTGCTATTTCTTCAAGGGCAGTCTCTTAATCTCTCTGTTTTAAGTTTCCTCTGTCTTTGATATCATTAT
Organism: Homo sapiens; assembly: GCF_000001405.40. Taxonomy (NCBI): domain Eukaryota; kingdom Metazoa; phylum Chordata; class Mammalia; order Primates; family Hominidae; genus Homo; species Homo sapiens. The sequence continues at coordinate 52,401,614 of NC_000015.10, forward strand.
GATGTTCTTAGGAATAGATTTCTTTTTATTTATCCTAACTGGGATTTTCTGGACTTTCTGAATATGTGGGTTAGTCATTTTCACAAGTTCTAAAAATTTTTTAGTAATGATCTCTTGGTATATTATGTCTGCTTCATTCTCTCTCTTCTCTCCTTTATGAATTTTCATTAGATTAAAATTAGACATTATTACTCTATCCTTCTTCTCTCTTAACTACTGTTTCAAGTGCTCTGTCTTTGGGTCCTATCTTGCATTTTGGACAATTTCTTCACATCTACCTTCTAGCTTATCAGTTTTCTCTTCAGTTGTACCAAATCTGCTGTTTATTAATTTTGGCATTCTTAGCAGGTATGACTCTGCTATCTGTCGTTTCTCCTAGCTCCTTCTATTTTGTTTCATTGGGGGACTTGTGATTTTTGACTGTGAGTCAATATTTCTTGTAACTTTTCTGATGGGACTCCACTGAGGCCTAGACTGAAGGTGGGTCCTCCAAAGTAGATTTGCAGTTGCTTCTGTCAGGCGCCTAGGCCACTACCAGCCCAGGATCAATTTAAGCTATATTTTCTGTATGTAGTTTTTTGAGACCTTCCAGGAACTATGAAATCAGTCTGGGAATGAATATGTGTGAGAGTCAGTTTGTTGTTATAAATTTTTAGGGAGCTAGTTTTCTGCCTCTACTTGGCACCAAAGTGTGGGTCAGGTTAAGTTTTCTTTATACTCTTGGAGTGGGTGGTGGGCAAATTGATTACTAGCTCCCCACTTAGGGTCTCAGCTTTAGGCAGGAGTCTTTGTGTTCCCCTGTTTATATGGGTCCTGTGTCTTTGCCTTCTGTAGCTCACTTGGCTATGAAACCCAAAGCTCAAGGTCACTGGGTTCAGCAAATGCCTTCAAGGTGGGGCAGAACTATCAAATAGAGATGTCTTACCAGTAACTTTTAAAGCTCATTTAAGGCCAGGCGCAGTGGCTCATGCCTGTAATCCCAGCACTTTAGGAGGCCAAGGCAGGCAGATCACCTGAGGTCAGGAGTTCGAGATCAGCCTGGCCAACATGGTGAAACCCTGTCTCTACTAAAAATACAAAAATTAGCCAGACACAGTGGCACACACCTGTAATCCCAGCTACTCGGGAGGCTGAGGCTGGAGAATAGCTTGAACCCAGGAGGTGGAGGTTGCAGTGAGCCAAGATCGCATCACTGCACTCCAGACCAGGCGACAGAGCAAGACTCCGTCTCAAAAAGAAAAAAACAAAAAAACAAAAAACAAAACAAAACAAAACAAAAACTAACTTAATCTCCACCTACCCCAAATAGTGAAATTGTAGTACTTATAGCTATCATCAAATCAACAAAGTTGACAAGCACCGGTTAGAAAATAAAAATCATAGAATTACAAGAACTGGATGGAAGGAACTTCTGGACATTATAAGTACTATTTCTCCAAGATGATATTAATAACTTCCAGACATCTCAAATAGGAAAACAGTACACTCAAATTTTAGGTAAGACTCATAATGAAGTGATATATGTGACATAACATTAGTCATGACTTTCTTGATTAGGAGAAGCTTGACATTTGGGGAAAGGTCACAAGGGCAAAGAGGAAAGATGGTGATGCAGAAATCAGAGTTCTTTTTAAAAAATCCAGTTTGTATACCAACATTCAGAGTAGTGTTATTCATAACAGCCAAAAGGTGAAACAACTCAAATATCCAACAATCAACCAGTGGATAAACAAAATATGGTATCTCCATATAATGGACTATTATTCAGCCGTAAAAAAGAATAAAGTATTGACACGTGCTACAACATGGATGGATTTTGAAAGAAGCCAGTCACGAAAAACCACATATTATATGATTCCATTTATATGAAATGTCCAGAACAGGCAAATCTATAGAGGCAGAAAACAGATTTATGGTTGCTTAGGGGTAGGGAAATAGACACATAGGTAACAATAAGTAAAGGGTACTGGGTTTCTTTTTGAGGTCACAGAAATATTTTAAACTGACTGTGGTGATGGTTGCACATATCTGTGAATGTACTAAAAGCCACTTAATGGTACACTTTAAATGAGTATGATATACGAATTATATCTCAACAAAGCTCTTTTTTAAAAGACTAGCAATGTTTCATTAGAAGAAATGAGGGTTTAAATTAGAATCATCATTTTGCCTTTTACAAAACCACCATTAGGAAAAGAGGCTGGGGGAGGGGAGGAGGAATCATGCATCTAAAATTAGGACCCATGGCTTAGGAAAATTACACCTCAAATATTCATAAAGAAAATCGTAAGGATCAAGCTTTCTGTAAACCAAACTGTCTGCCCATCTAGCTCTTGGCCCTTGGACTAATAAATAAGTTACAGGGCTGGATGTGGTGGCTCACACCTCACACCTATAATCCCAGCACTTTGGGAGGCCAAGGTGGGCGGATCATCTGAGGTCACGAGTTCAAGAGCAGCCTGGCCAACATGGCAAAACCCCATCTCTACTAAAAATAAAAAATTAGCTGGGCATGGTGGTGTACACCTGTGGTCCCAGCTACTCAGGAGGCTGAGGCAGAAGAATCGCCTGAACCCAGGAGGCGGAGGTTGCAGTGAGCCGAGATTGCATGCCTTTGCACTCCAGCCTGGGCGACAAGAGTGAAACTCCGTCTCAAAAAAAAAAAAAAAAAAAAAAAGTTATGGAACAAGTCTTCTCTTTAAATCATAAAGTCATTTATTTTATATTATATCATGTCTCACACATCTAATATAGTATCAAAGTACTATATCCAGAAAACACAAGAAATAGATTCTTTTCTTACAGGAGTAGAGAATCTGTTTTTACACAAGAGGCTATAGATCCAGAGAAAAAAGGCAACTAAGTGAGTTGAATAAACACCATTTAAATTAAGGCCTTAATTAAGAATACCACAATGAATAGCATGGCTCTATCCACAAGGACTTCAAATCCTAGTGGGTAAAGGCAAGCAGGAGAGACCTTTATAGAACAATGTGATTTGAGCTACAATAAAGGAAAGCAGAAGGGTGAGTGTGTATCTAAGAAGAGATGCTAGAGATCTGCCTGTGAGACGTGAGTAAGAGCTGGCTAGGGAAGAAGAGCAATGTATGTACCCCAGCAGGGAGAATCTGAGCAAAGCCAGGAGAGAGAAACAGCCTGGCATGGAAATGGCTGGATGTAGAGTGTGAGAAACAATGAGAAAGAAGCTCAATAGGAAGTCAGGGGTCAGTCATGAAGGCCCTTTCATGTCATATCATGCCAAGTAAGGTGTTGGGTCTGCTTCTGAAGGCAGTGGGGAGTCCTGAAACATTTCAGTAAGGGCATGATATGATCCCTAATAGCTTTAACTTCCATGAGTTTCTGATCTTGTGGGGCCACATCTGCGTTATAGTCACTAATCTCATCTATCCAACCCTCTCTCTTTCTCTCTCTCTCTGTCACACACACACACACACACACACACACACACACACACAATCACTATGCACCAGAGATTAGAATCCATATTTCTTTATTCTCAGTTTGAGATTCTCCTTTGGATAACATATGTCTTTGATAATTATGTTTCTGATAATATTGATAGAGAGACTTAAACTATATTGCTTCTTTAAACAATCTACAAATCTAAAACATAATTCAACTGCCATCCCACTAAAGCTTATTCTGAACTTACAGGTATTGTGCAGCTGTCTGCATCTCGGGATGTAAATCCAACATTGCCTAAGTGAAGGATGCCAGCAAGTATTCGGAAAATTCCCATTTGATGAGATTCACTAATTCCTGAAACAAGAGAGTGAATGAACAAGTGATTAATTTCAGAATAGAAACTAAACAATTACAGCAGACAATTTTAAGCCTATTGTTAATTCCTGAATATTGCCAGATGTTGTGCATATTATAATGTGTCATAGCTAACAACACTTTCATCTTTGTTGACATTAACACATTAGGCAGTTTAGCATCATGGATGGATAACATGGCTGCTGACTGTGGCTGATCTGGCTTGAGACCTGGCTCTGCTATGGACCTATCATCTCAAATGGACAGGTAGCTTCAGTATTCTATGCTTCCATTTTCTCATTTGAGATATGAAAATAATAGTGACTACTTCAAAGTATGTGAAGATTAAATGAGATTAAATGCACATAGCATACTTAATACACGACATGACACACAGTAAGTGCTAAACAAATTGTTGTCATCATTGTCACACACTGGGTTTAAAATTAATAGTATTACCATTTCTATTTATCTCTGCTCCAGATACAGCCCAATAAAGCTGTTACTTCTTAAGGCTGTTTAAAAAGTAATTATTTAATTACTTCTTTAAACTACAGACCAAGTATAAGTCAAAGAGACGCCAAGATTAGAAGCGTTTAGGCTGGTGCTATATCCCAGCCTGATGAGTATGCGTCCAAATACAGCATCAGAGCAGAACTTGAAGGATAAGGCAGGATGAGAAAGCTGGACAGCTTTCAGCTTTTATCAGATCTGGCTTCATTTTTAAATAACATAAGAATCTCCAGAAAATTAGCTATAATTACATGCAAATAGAAGCAGTGAAATTATTTCCAAATATGTAATCTTAGAAAGGGTAATTCAGTAATGACCCTATAATTAATGTTTTTTACCATCTCCTGCATTATGGCTTTTTCTTTTTTGTTTTTTTGACACACAGTCTCACTCTGTCACCCAGGCTGGAGTGCAGTGGTGTGATCTCAGCTCACTGCAAACTTTGTATGGCTTTTTCAAATTCACAAATTTACTATTTACAAACAGATTTAGCACGAGAAGAAATGCAGTGATTTTCAAACTTTTAATATGCATATGAATCACCAATAGATTTTGATAAAATGCAGATTATGTTTCAGTAGGTCTGAGAAGGGATTTGAGATTCTGCATTTCTAGCAAGGCCCACAATGGTCCTGGTCCACACTGTAATTAGCAGTGCTTTTAAATTAAGTTAACTCACCTGAGGGTACTACTCAAAATGCCATCATATGATTTTAGAGTTATCTATATTCTGAGGTTTTTTTTTTCTTTAAGTTGTAGATGACAAGTTCTAAAGATTAATTTATTCACATGAAGGCCCAACATTTTTTAAATCCCAGAAACAAGATAGTGACATCTGAGCTGCTTCAGAAATGTTGGAACAGAAAAAAAATGCTGGAATAAACTACATGTAATGGAATATTCTGTCATGATGCCAACTCAGCCACATTTCCCAGCCACAGAAAGATCCCCAAAACCAAACAAATAAACCAATAGCTCCTACAAAATGCGAGCTTGTAGAGGAGCCCGTTTCACTTAGCTTCAGGTTTCAGATTTTGTAAAAATTTAAGCAAAGAATTACAAGTAGCCCTCCCCTGATGCCCCAAATATATATTTTGAACAGTTTTATTGAAGGCTAATTTGCATACCATAAAATTCACCCATTCAATGATTTTTAGTAAATTTACAAAGTTGCACAACCATTACCACAATCTAATTCTAGAACAGTTCCATCATCCCAAAAAGAAATCTCCTGCCCATTTGCTGTCTAAATGTGTTCTATGTGGAATATTAAATCTTCTAGCAATACTTGCCACTTAATAAAAAGTCAAGCCAATATTCTAAACAAAGGTTGCTTGAGTAAAAAAGCTATTCCTCTTAAGAGCTCAAGAATAAAGTGACATTACCTAGCAAAGTGCAGGCCTGCCTAGTATGTGCCATCTCCTTTGCATCATCCACTCCTTCAATCACAGGACTGCCTCCTTGTTTTGTGTAATTAAAGTTATCTGCATTTCCTGTAATGAAGAAAAATAAAAATTTTCTGGTTTATGAAAAAGCCTTGCCTTCTAACCTTATGTCCACTCTGAATCAGAGGTGGTGATAGCACAGTTGAGTGTACAGCATCTAGAGTTTGACTGCCTGTGTTTTCAATTGTATTTTAATAAAAAATTAAAAATTAAATAAAATTTAATTAAATAAATGGGGTAAAATATTTATAGTTTATTTATGTTAATTGGTAAAATAAATAGTCCTTTCCTAAAGGTTTTATTCCAATCTACACACTAGAATAATTTCCTCAAATCCTTTACTCCCCTCATAAGAAACCCTACTGGCTTCTAACAAATCAACTCCTTTAATTTTTTTTTTCCTTTAATCAAAGCAAATATCAAACACATACAAAAGTAGAGAGACTAATAGAATGAGCCCCTAGGTACTCATTACTCATCTTAAACAGCCATCTAAAATCACCTCCAGGCCAATCCTGTTCCATTTATACAGCCACTTACTCCTCCTCTACCCCTATGGGTTATTTTGAAGCCAAGGGCTGACTTTTTATCATATTATCCATAAGTATTCCAACATGAGATAAGCTCCTTTTTAACAAGTAAATTTAGGAACTTGGAAATTAACAGAAAACAATACCAGAACAATAAATTTAATGCCATATTCATACCTAATCGTAGCATTTTAAATTCAGGTAACTTTGCTGAGGCACAAAGCTGATAGAAGATATGATAGTTTCTCTCCTCTTCTGCCTTCGAAATAAGAAGAGTTTTCAATTACAGCATTTTAATCTAAAATTCAGGGAATTCTATCATAAAATAAGATTTTAATATTTAATTATCTCAGTTGGTTAAATAAATTATACTTTCCTATATTTCCTAATACTTATTTCTGATTATTAAATCTTATGATTTATAGTCTATATGCATATGTATGAGTATGTGTGTGTTGCTCAAATTCAACATAAAGTATCGGATAGTAATGCTTTCTGAACTAGTGAACAGCTTGATATATGTCAACAATCATAAGATAATCAGTGCTTTTGGGGGAAACTAAAATCATTTTTTTTTTGCAATACTCAATACTATTTTCTAATGGTACCTCTTAGATTCACAGTCTTCCAAATGCTTTGAAAAAAGAATAATCCCATTCTTGCCATATTGTAGACTGGACCATCTACTGTGGTTATTTGTAGGAAAGTCACAAATGTACATCTTCTATATCATTTTAGTTTATACATTTTAAATCAATAACTGTTTTATAAAATAGAAAATAAATCACATATAAATTCTAAGATAATTTTTCAGTATTTCCTGAGAGTCTTTTCCACACATATATCTAAAAAATACAGTTGCAATAATATTGTTCATACACCTAATAGTTTATCACTATATCCTTCATTTTTACAGTATACTCAGTTGGCTAATGAATCGTATTAATAAGGCCAAGGTCAGGTTTGATGCCCACAGGGGGCTGATGTCTGGAAAAGAAAACCTATTATAGGGACAGAAGCCACTGAACAAATTACCAGTATACCAATGACCACAAGCATGATTAAACAGGAGACCAGGTGGTTCAGCACACAGAAACTAGAAAAGCCTGTGAGTCTGCAGAAATGCTTAGGTCCTCTTTGTACATAAAGGACAATACAAGTATGCCTTTTCTGATTGTGTGACTCATTTTGACAAGCCAAACATCCTTGACATTCTATATCACTGGAGACTGGGAAACTGCTAGAAATGGTTCAGTGTCTCTAAACAAGACAATAAGGATTGGGCTTTACCATTTTGTATTAAGCACTACTAGCCTTTGGTCACGTACTGACCAAGGACCATCTTTCCCCCCTGCTTACTCACTTACCTATCAATCAAACCTCTACTATTTGAACTCTAATATTTGAATCTTCCCTTAGATCTACCTCTGTTTCACCCATTCTTTCTTCTGGTTATCAAAGTAGACACTTTTCAAAAAAAACCTATAGAAATAGCCATCAGCATAGTAACACTGTTCTGTATGTACCTAGATATTAAATATAATACTTCATTTGTATTGCCTTACTATGCAAATCAAGTACTATATTTTAGGTGGCCACAAATCAGGCACAGCCCCAAAGTCAAAGCCAGAGCAACTTCAGACTGCTCAAATTCTCAGACACTTTCAAACCTATGACAGACCTGGGCTATGGAAATTGTGGACACTGTTACATGGCAGTGTCAAGGGTATTTGAACCTCAATGCAGTGGGCATGCAGTTGAGGCTAATGAAACCCAAATCTCACAGCATGAGGCAAGCAGTAGGTCTACAGAACTGACAGTGTGTGATAAACCCATACCTATAAATATATAAATGTATGCCTGCTAGTGATGGAAATATATAGTATCTCCCATATCTCCCACTTACCAATCAAAAGGGACCAAGAGCATATATGTGGATGTAAACCCTACCCAGATGCATCAACTGTTTTTTTGATAGTAGTTCACAATTGGGTTGTGAAGATTTTTTTTTAACCCTCACTATTCTATCTAAACAATAATATATTCTGAAAGAGGAGAAGAAGGAAGGAAAGAGGACAAGATAATTTTTTTTCTTGCACTGAGTTCAAACTAACTTATTGAGAGCATGGAACAATGCCTTCCCTATCATTTGGAAATATGAGAGACAAGACTAAACCAATAGCACCTGTTCTCAACTAAGCTTTCCCGCAAGCACCTGTAGGAAAAAGTCAAACCTAAAAGTGACCAGTCCCAAAAACTATTAGCATTTAAGTGGTACTCCCTTGCCTCTAACAGGCACCATTTTACAGGCTTCAGTCCAAGTGTGGTTGGAGGTAATATTGTCATAATATGCTCAAGAGTATCTTGAAATAAAATGCATACCAGCAAGCATGGACTCAACAATTATACAGCAATCTAACACAAGTGCATATGTGTATATGGCCAGCTTACCTGGAATACCACTCTGGATTTCTCTAAAAGATAAGTTCTCATATTGGCACCAATGATTCGATATCTCTTATCAAAACCAATCTCAATATACTTCCCAAAACGGCTGCTATTATCATTCCTGGTTGTTTTAGCATTTCCAATGGACTAAAAAGCAAGGGAGAAAATAAGATTTTAGAAGTGTAATTCATAACATGACATTTACAGAATCTGCTCAGAGAGAGAAAAGATGGAGTAGAACACAGGTCCTTAAAATTGATTTTTTTTTTTTTTTTTGAGACAGAGTCTTGCTCTGTCACTAGGCTGGAGTGCAGTGGCACAATCTCGGCTCCCTGCAACCTCCGCCTCCCAGGTTCAAGTGATTCTCCTGCCTCAGCCTCTGGGATTACAGGCACATGCCACCACGCCCAGCTAATTTTTGTATTTTTAGCAGAGACGGGGTTTCACCATGTTGGCCAGGCTAGTCTCGAGCTCCTGACCTTGTGATCCACCCACCTCTGCCTCCCAAAGTGCTGGGATTACAGGCGTGAGCCACCACACCTGGCCAAAACTGATTCTTTTAAGAACAGAACCACTTTTGCCACTGCAGGCACAGGTGTATGCTTTGCTCACTGCACAGTCACACAGATATATACTAATTGTTTTTATTTGTCTTGTTATTCTCACAAAAATGATTTTCAGAAACAGCAGACCTGAACTCAGAGGTTAGAATATTTTCATAAAACCTTTTGGGTTATCTGAACATTCATGCCAGCAAAGAAAGAGAACAAACGAGGATGGGAGCTGCCAAGGCATAGGCTTTGTTAGGTAAGCTTCAGGTTTTTATTTTTTTCCAAAAAACTTCACCTGCTTTACATAAATAAGATGGTTAAGACCAATGAATATTTCCTGGAAATGCTGCTCTGGTGTTCAGGGTCTCTTTAGCCTGATGTTTCTATCACCTTATCCTGTGGCAACAAAGGTCCAGTTAGACTATTTATTAGTAGAGTATTAGTATTACCCACTCAATTTAAAGGCCATTTTCAGAACCAGAAAAAGTAAAATTTGGCTTTGGATTTTGATAGTTAAATCTAGCTTACAAAATATCTGCTACAGAATACAGAGAATATAACTTGCTGCTAAATGTTTTATATAACCTTAAAAATTTTAATGACATATGTCTTTCTGATTTAGGTAACTCGCTTCTATAAATTTTTTTAAGGCAAAGCAAAAAAAAAAAAGATGTAGTTAGAAAACCAAGTGTTTACATAATGCATATATTAAATGTTTAATAAGCAAATTTCAAAAAAATTAATATCTTTCACTTGTGTAAAGCCTATGTCAGGATTAGTAAATTGAAACCACAGCAGACAGAAAGATGTGAAAATACAATGTAGTTTTAAGAGTGATACAAATGTAAGTAATGAAAACAATAGTAACACAGCCATACAAGTCAACACATTAGATTCTTTGATCAATCAAAGAAAATATATTTTCACTTTCTGAAATAGAGTGTAGACATCCTATTTTGTTTTGGCAGTGAGGACACTGCTATATTTTAGATTAACATTTTAAATGCTTTTCTAGAAAAATAAGAATATCTTCCTGGCAAAATTACAGAAGGATCTAATGTAGCCTCAGATAATTTATCTATTCATTTACTCAGATGTTACCCCTCTTGATATTACAAAACACCACAGCAAAAAGTCTGTATATGGTCTCACTATTTTATTTAGAAAAGCAGATTAATTATAAATGCAGACTTTTCTCTCAACACAATATATTCTTCCGAAGAGCAAATGAAAGATTACATGTAGTAGAAGTAGCAGCAGCTACTCAATAAACACTCAATAAATATTAGTAACTGTCCTAAGCACTTTCCTGCCAGTAACTAAGCAAGTGGAGGAAGGGTGGGCCACAGCTTCTCCTCCTTCCTCAACTCTTACCCCACCTTCCACATATCATCTCTCCCCACCTACTCAGACTGGGCGTCAGAGTGGCCCACCTGCCGAAACACCACCACACTGTGAGAAGAGGCAGGGATTGGCTAGAATTGAAGCAGATCCTTTTGTTTTCAAATAAAATGTATTTAAACATAGACAAACAATGGTAAAAAGAACAAATGAATTAGAAGCCCGAAGACCTATCAGACCAGGCCCTATTATCAACTTGTCATTATTTAATCTCTTTGAGGAGCATTAGTATCCTCAAATGTAAATTGACTAGGATAGTGGAGCTCTAGGGTTCTTTTTAAAAAATAAAATTATTTGATTCTAAGTTCTGAAACTGATAGGGAAAGAAATTTCTATACATAAACAGTATCTTTTGTCCACTCCCTCAATTGTTGCCTCTGCCATATAAGCACTGTATTCACAAGAGACTCCCTAATACTATATTCACTTTAATCAGCAAGAAGCCACTAAAGGAAAAAATAAATTTTGTGATCTTGGTAATCTTGGTTTTACTGTTTTAATGTAATGATGCATGAGTCACTCTTCTTTACTAAATGGAGATGAAAATCTTCAATTATGGTTATTGAAATTAAAAAAGAACAACTGGCTGGGTGCGGTGGCTCATGCCTGTAATCCCAGCACTTTGGGAGGCCAAGGCGGGTGGATCACCTGAGGTCAAGAGTTCAAGACCAGCCTGACCAACACGGTGAAACCCTATCTCTATTTAAAATACGACAGTAGCTGAGCGTGGTGGCATGTGCCTGTAATCCCAGCTACTCGGGAGGCTGAGGCAGGAGAATCGTTTGAATCCAGGAGGTGGAGGCTGCAGTGAGCTGAGATCATGCCATTGCACTGCAGCCTGGACAACAAGAGCGAAACTCTGTCTCAAAAAAAAAAAAAAAAAAAAAAATTAACATCCAGGCCTGGTAGAGTGGCTCACACCCATAATCCCAGCACTTTGGGAAGCTGAGGCAGGAGGATTGTTTGAGCCCAGTAGTTCATTTGAGATCAGCCTGGGACAGGCCGAGACAGAGCAAGACCCTGTCTCTTAAAAAAAAAAAAGTTTCAGTGTGCTATTCCCATCTTATGATGAAAATTTCCAGGAAAAAATGAAAACATGAAATGAAGCAAATAGAATAATTATCTGTACATCATTCACATTTTGCAAAAGAAGCCTATGTTGAGAATGAGGAGCTTCCTTTTTAAAGAATAATGTGCATATCTCTTTAGACCCTGGATTGTAATGTTAACCATGTAGGATGCTCATTATCCTATGAGGAGTTTCAGCAGATCACTGGAGACGCCGATATGCCTTTCCTGACATCTCAGCAAAGGGCTCTGATATAGGGACATAGTATTGAAGCGATTTAAAGCTACAAATTTTTCAGACTACATACTCAATATTTTACCTATGTTTTCTTCCAGTAACTGATCTTCAGCTCCATATCACATTTCCAACTTTCAAATTGAGATGCCCTTTTTTGTAGTTATTGAAAATTAGTTCAACTCTTTACCAAATTTTTCTTAATCCAAATTCTTATAGATGAACAATTTCAAATTATTTAGACAGACTAAATAATAGAGAAGGAAGCAGGTGAGCATAGCTGATCCCTTTATCTTTTATGTTCATCCCAGCAAGCAGGGCATATTCTTTATAATTGCATACTGTAAGTATTATCTTTGACTGCTGTGGTTTGGATATAACGTGTCCCCACCAAAATTCATGTTGAAATTTGATCCCCAATGTGAAGGTGCTGGGAGGTGGGGTCTAGTAGGAGGTGTTTTGGTCATGGGGACAAATCTATAGTGAAAGCCTTGGTAAAGTTCTCCTGTAGTGAGTTCTCCCTCTGTGAGACTGGATTAGTTCTCTCGGGACTGGATTCATTTCCACTGGAGTGGGTTGTTATGAAGTCGGGAGGCCCTCAGGTTTCCCGTTTGTGTGTGTCCACTTGCCCTGTGACATTCTCTGCCATGTTATGCAGCACGCCGGCCCTCACCAGAAGCCTAGCAGATGCCAGAGCCATGCTTACTGTACAGCCCACAGAACCATGAGCTAAATAAATCTCTTTCTTTATAAATTACCCAGCCTCAGGTATTCTGAGGCTATAGTTATAGCAACACTAAATGGACTAAGACAGTAGCTATTCCAAATTTTTAATATATTCCTACTAATACAATTCAAATCTGTGTTGCAGAAAAACCAATAAAGCTGGTTTTTTTTGAAAGAGGTCATAAAATAGTACACTCAACTCATGAAAAATTCTAGAAGGTTCATTCTAGACTTAAGTTATCTTCACAGACAACTTCAAATCCTAGTATTATATGGTCCAGGCCCGGAAGAAATGGGATTACCTAATGCCATCACATTCAAGACTTTGGGATATTCTAATGCTAGGGACTAAAATGGCTGGAACTGTTGTCAAATACCAAGAATTTGTCATGACCAAAACCAGTCAAAACAACAACAGCAAGAAAAGAAGCCCTGTTGTTTTCTGACCCCAAACCAAAAACTGGCTCCACAGATTCTATTTCCCCAGTATTAACACTAGTGACATCCAGCAGTGTATCTGTAGCTTACATTCTTTCAAAATCTTAACATTTGCTTAAAATTTTCACTACTCTCTTTCGGTGCAAACATCTGTTTCTTCCTGTTCATCCTATTTCAGAAAGTATTCCCAGTATTTTTTTCCATAGCACATCCAGCCCATGAAGCCTCTGAACTTCCCCATCATATCTTGTTTTTCAATCCCAAAAAGTAGAAGTCCTGCTGCTCTAGAGAGCAGCCCTACAGATAAGAGGTCACGGCATTCTGTTCTGAAGTGTCACACGCAGCACCGCAAACCAAGCACAATTACCTCTACATAGATTATCGCAAAAACCACTTGTACCACAGGTGCACCAGGCCGATTTTAACTCCATCTGTGTTTGGGTGACAAATAAAGCTTGACAAAGGAAAAAGACAGGAATAAAAAAATGCCGATTTGAATTTTTAACAAGGAAGGTTTGCTTCTGCATGTCCAAATTAATTTCTCTCCATTTAACAAAAGTAATTTTTCTCCATTTAATAAGTCTTCATATAAAACTATAACTTTCCAAAAATCTTATTAATAGACAGATAATTATCTACAAATCCTAAAACACTCAAATTCTCACACAATTAGTTCCATTTTCATTGGCACAGGCATTTCTACTTTGTATATGGTGTATTCAAGTTTTGAAAGCACATTTTTTCATAGTTCTTCCCCTGTCAAAACCTTACAGTTACTGTCTTTTATGAACCTATAGCTGTGTTATGTGCTTGACAGAACAACAACAACAACAAAAAGCTTATAAAGATCATAGTTTAAGTTTGTAGTTCAAATCTGGAAAAAAATTAAAACTTTAGCTATATTAAAATTTAAGCCAACTGAGGTCGGACTAAGTACAGAAAATGAAATATGGGCAAAGGAATAAGGAAACTCATTCATACTTGAGCATAACAAATCTTATGTTTTAGAAGGAGCATAAATAAGAACTCAGGACTTGGGGGAAATGAGTAACTTGTACTTCTGGTACAAGGAAAGGAACAATAGACATGAGTCAGTTAATGAGGAGAAGGAAACTTAATTGCTGCCTGGTATTTAGGGGCAACAATTTTGCTGGTAGGTCAAAAATTCAGGATTATAGACTAAAACAGATTCCGCTATAGCTGGGCTTTACTAAAAATGTCTACCTTACCAAGTTTTTACTTTCCCTAGATTTTTTATAAACATGTAGAAAAGCATTTTCTTAATTTTAGTGGCTGGAGACCCCAGGCTTTCTGAGACATGCTGTATCAATCAATTTTTTGAGCATGTTTCTTATCAAGAGAATATAGGAAGAAAGCCGAAGACTCGCTGTCTTACCTCCATGATGGGGTTGGAGGCCAAGACCTTTTCCTCCACATTGGCCTCACTGGCAGAACCACTCACAGTTGCAAAGTATCGCATGGCATACTTAGCTGAGACTGTTTTTCCTGCCCCAGACTCTCCACTTACGATGATGGACTGATTTCGTTCATCTCTGTAAAATAAAAATTTTTTAAAAAGTAACTGCCATTGCTGCCTATAGCAGGATTGATAAGGGAAACTATGGTCTCTATGGAAGTAGGGGGCTAATTAATGGATTTTTTGGTCGATACTGGTGCTTATAACACCAAGGTCTCAGGTTCAATCCCTATACTGGCCACCAGAAATGTTGCAGGATATATATATATTTTTTTTAAGGAATCAGAGAGACCGATGGGGTTGAGGAGGATATTTATTATTTAGGTGCACCAGCCCAGTCAGATTAACATCCAAAGGACCAAGCCCTGAACAAAGCGTTAAGTTACCTTTTAAACATTTCATGGGGTGTGGGGGAGATCTGTGCAGGGGGAAGCATATTACAGAAGTAAGAAACAAAGACAGTTATTCAATTAATTGAGACATGCATTACATCATTTCTTTTCAAGAAAAAACATGTTTTATGACTTGGGTTTATCTGTCTAGTGACTTTGCAGCTGCACAGCTAGAGAAACAGGGTCTTCACAATGCCTGGGAAAGGAGGAGAGATAAGGCTCACTAGCCAAAGAAAAACAGGCAGTTAATTTTTAAAGGACTCCAGCTCTTTCTCTTTCTCAGGGGGAAATGGATTTTCTTACATACAACTGAGTTTCTGCTTACACATTCTTTAATTTCTTTTAATTCCTGTTCCACTGCCCACTTGGCAATGTGATTAACATTATTTCTTCTGTGTTCTTCGTGATAAGGCACAGTGAGTTTTTGCTGGTTCATACATGCAACAGTGTGGAAAGGAACATAAGAATGATATTTCCTAAAAATAATATCTACTTATAAATTAAAAAATAACACAGAGGAAGAAGATATCAAGCATTAAATTAGAGAGCATCACAACTAAGGATGAATCTGCAATAGAGGGCCTCTGAATTCTTATGTGTACAAATCTCAAACATATTATTTTATTCCTAAAGAATTACTTCAATATCTTACAGTACTGTTGTCAACCACTTCAGGAGATACTCTTTGAAGCCACAGCAAAGAAATTTAAATTTACAAAGAAATTTAATTTGTTTAAAGTTACAAAACCATTTAAAATATTTTAAATTACCAGCTAACAATCCTCAAAATGGCATCTCCCACAAACTCTAGCTCCTATTAAAGTATCCTCATCACTAGAGAAGAAATAGTCCATTTGCTGGCTTGGCTTCATTCAACTAAAAGTTAAATAAGTCATGATCTGTATCCTCATGTGGTTGACGGATGTTGTGGTTTGAATGTTCTCTCCAAAATTCATGTTGAAATTTAATTGCCAACATGATGATATTGGGAGGTGGGGCCTTTAAGAGCTGATTAGGTCATGAGGCCCCTCCCCTCAGGAATGGATTAATGGCATGAATGCAGGAGTGAGCTAGTCATCACGGGAGTGGGCTCCTGATAAAAGGATGAGTTTAAGCTGATTTCCTCTCTGCCTCACATGCTCATGTGCCCTCCTACTACTGAATGACCTTTGCCAGATGCCAGCGCTGTGCTCTTGGACTTTTCAGCCTCCAGAACAGTGAGTCAAATAAACTTCTGCTCTTTATAAATCACCCAGTCTGTGGTATTCTGTTATAGCAGCAGAAACTGGACTAAGACAGTCATCTAATAGGAAAGACAGGCCAATAATTCAAGACTGTAATACATGTGATGGGGCCGTAAGAGGAAGAAGAGGTTATCAGGGAAGATTCCCTAGAGATGACAGCTGAACAAGGTCTACAAAAATGAGTAAGAGAAAGCAAGCAAGGACTACAGAAGTCAGGAAGGGTACATTCCAGGCAAAAGGGATAGCATAAATGAAGGCTCAGAATCAGAAGTTTGGAAAGAGCAGATAACTCAGCTTAGCTGGAAAATGGAGTAATGACAGATTTATGATTTCTGGTTTGGCCAGTCCTTTCAAGGGCCTCCACAATAATCCTAAATAGGCTGGGTACTGGGTGCTTTGGAGTGGAGGTGAGCTCTTCTGACCTGTTTCCAGAAGGTCTAATGTGAACTAAAAGCCCTCTTAAAAATACTGCTTCATTCGTTCATTTAACAAACACATAATAAGCAGCTACAATGTGCTAATCACTTTATGGAAATAAAAGACTCTAGGGTCATAGTCAATTGAGAGAGACTAGAAAGGACACAATTAAAATGCAGTTGGAAGTAACTGCTATAAAAAAGGTCTATCTAAGATACTATGAAAGTAGAAAGGAAGGGTATGGAACCAGTAGGAGATGTGAGGAGGAGATGTCAGGAAAGCCTTTCCAGAGAAGGTAATACCAGAATTGAGAGGGTAATACCAGAATTGACTCATATATATGATCATTAGGAGAAAACCAGGTTCTGTGAGAATAAGGAAATGGAGTTAAATTATGTAGAAGCACTCGAAACCCCAGGAAACAATTATTCAAGGATGAGCAAGAGAGAGATAGAGAAAGAGAGAAAGAGAGAGAGACAGAGAGAGAGAGAGCCGGGGTGGGGGAGGGTGTCTGTTAGCCTTTATTTTCCTCTTATGGTCATCAGTGACCTTATATCTATTTGGTCTGTCGGGTCTTTCCTTATAGTTTTCATTTTGTATGAAATGTATTATTTTATAGATTTTCCTTTCGAATTTTACCCTTTAAAATATGTAATCTCTCTAGTTTATCATGGTCATACCAAACACTATTCATATCTTCCAAGATCATCAACTTGTCCTCTGTAAACTTAATAAACATACTTTCAATTACATCTACGTCATCAACAAGGAAATTAAGCAATGCTTGCCTCAAACCTGAGTAATGTATAACACGATTTAATATCCCCATCTATGTTGATGTTAACTCTCTGATAACCACCCATTGAGTGTTGTCATGTACCTTGATGAAGTGTACATGCACCTGCACCTAGGTCTAACTTTTTAGCTTATAAACAAACATGGCCATGTGAAACAAAATCTAGAGCTTTACTTTTTTGCAGGCAACCAATCTAATTGTTTCTCCCTTTATCCGATCCCTTGTTAAAAAGAGAAAATATTAAGTTAGTGTAATAAAATGCTTTCTTTCAAAACTGTGTTTTTACCGTGGTGTCTTAAAGATGTGGCTTCACTGAGACTTTAATCTCTCTCTTGTTAGAGAGATGCTAAGTTTTTCTACATCATCACTCATCAAAATCAAGCTGCTCTGCTCTCTGTGTCTCTCTGATTCCTACTTTTAATTAGTCTCAATAAGAAAATGCTTAAACCCTAAAGTTAATACTAGACAATGAGTTTACAATTATAATATTAATTTTATTTTTGAAGCATAAATATTTACTATAAAAATGGTTGCTGGCACTGTTGAACGCTTTAGAGAGGCAGACAGACTTCTCAGGAAATGAAAACAAGTGTTTCCTAGAGATACTTGCTGAGGTCACTCAGTTCCTGGTGAGAAGCCTGTCACATGGCTATCAGATCCTCTCAAATCAACCTGAGTTTTCTGTTCCATCAGTACAGAGCCTATGCATTATATAAAGATGCTAGAGCAGAAATAGCCAACTATATTTGTTTATAACTTTTACATACTCTAGTTCTCTAATATATACTGTATTTTATTCCTGCTGCAACCTTCTGGGGTAGATAATATTCAGTAAGTCCCAAACTAGCAGTTTAATGTTATGGTTTGAATGTGTTCCTCAAAGTTCATATGTTGCAAACTGAATCCTCAATACAACAGCGTTGAGAGGTGAGACTTTAAAATGTGACTAGGCCAGGCATGGTGGCTCACGCCTGTAATCCCAGCACTTTGGGAAGGTGAGGCAGGAGGATCACTTGAGCTTAGGAATTTGAGACCAGCCTGGGCAACATAGTGAGATTCCATCTCTACAAGAAAGAAAAAATTAGCTGGGCATCACTGCATATGCCTGTAGTCCTAACTACTTGGGAGGCTGAGGTGGGAGGATCACTTGAGCCTGGGAGGTTGAGGCTGTAGTGAACCATGACTGTGCCACTACACCCTTGCCTGGGTGACATAGTGAGACCCTGTATTACAAAAAAAAAAAAAAAAGGTGACTAGGTCGTGAGGGCTCTGCCCTCATGGATGGATTTATGCAGTCATAATGGAAGTGGGTTAGTTACTGCAGTAATGGCATCCTGATGAAAGAATGAGCTTGGCCCCCTTCCTGTCTCTGTCTTACATGCTCTCTTCCCTTCCACCTTCCACCATAAGATGACGTAGCAAGAAGACCCTCAACTAGATGTAGCCTATCAACCTTGCTCTTTCTTGCATCCACAACAATGAGCCAAATAAATTTCTGTTCATTATAAATTACCCAGTCTGGTATTCTTATATACCAGTATAAAACAGACTAAGATACTCATATAATGGAGAATTCTAAAGAGAAATCATTTACTGTGAGCTGGGGTCATCTGAAAGTAAAATCTGAGTGGGATAATGAAGTATAAATATAAATCAGACAGATAAAAAAGCATGGAGCAAGATATTCTAGGCTAAATAAAAGATGTAGAAATAGAATTATGCCATCTTAACGTGAGGGAATAGATCTGTTAGAATAGGGCCAGGTAGTTGAAAGTAAGAAAACTAAATGACAAAGAAGAAAGGCTTCAGAGTCTCAAAGCTGGATTCAAATCTCAGCTCTTAGATACCATTTATTAGCATATGGCCTGGACAAGCTACTTTCCTCACCTGTAAAGCAGTGGTGATCTGCTCCAGGGATATAATGAGGATTACATGCCTGGCACCATGTTTGGTACACAGTAGACCTCAAATATGGTAGATATTTATTAATTTAAGTTAACCCACCTTTATATAACATATATAAAATTATCCTTATGAGGAACCATGTATTACTTAAAGCCTATTTGCATAAATAGGATACTTAGCATCACAGGGCAGCTGAGTTTCAGCTGAAACAGAAGAGATTTTGTCATCTCTAATAGTTTGCAGTTAGCCAGTGAACCGCTGGACCGTGGCACACCCTGAGACCACATAACCAAATGACGGAAGGGGCCACCCTAAGGAAGGGCCTGGTAATAAATTAATTCAGAAATAATAAAACCAGATGAGAGGCTCAAGTCAATGAAAAGAGAAATGTAGACATAAGGCCACATAATGATGATGACTATGATGATAAGAACAGCTTATATTGGAATAGAACTTAGTATTTTTCGAAGTGTTTTTGTGTGTATCACCTAATACAATTTTCACCTCCAAAGTAAGCAGGAGAGACATTATATTCTACTCTTTGGAGGAAATAGTAACACCAAGAGGTTAAAAGGCTTGTCCAAGCCTGATGACTGGCATAGAGTAGAGCTGGGTTGTTACACCCCACATCTCTTGATTTCCAGGGGAAAGTCTACACAATGCTTCTTCTGCTTTGTTACACAGCTCCCTACCATGGTCTCCCCTCAATTAAAATGTTTATGCATTAGTTCCCATCAAACATAAAGATAACAAATGCATACCACAGAAACCTGTACATGTAAAGCTAGATCATCAGTGACACTGTTCCGTTTTATAGATGATAAAACGGAGACTCAGGGAGACCAGGAGATTTGAGCTTATATGATTAGTTATTGGTAGATACGTGACTAGTACAGATGTCTTTTTCACTAGACCAAAGTTAATTGCATATAACTTATTTCAAGCAAATTTAAATAAATGAAACTTAGTCAATAAAACTGATTATCACTCACAGTGGAGAGAAAATATAGCAAATTAAAGCCATCAACACTACCTGGTTTTAAGGAAACAACACAAAACAAAACAAAAATCCTAGTTACAGCATGAGAAAAGACTGGCAAGAATGTCAAACAAGAATAAAATAAAAAAATAGGCATGGCAGTCCACTGAGTGTTTCTCCATGGTAAGTCAACAAGGACAATTAAAATTAAAAGGCTATTCTAGGAAGGTATTTTATGAGGGCATTGTACTCTCTAAGGAGCATGTTTAAAAAGAAGCCATGAGTCAAGGATCCAGCTCAAGGATCCTGGTTATTGCTGATGTCACTGGACATAGATCTGCTTGGAAAGAATTCCTAGTATGAGTTTTGCTTTTAGGATAGATGTCAAAAACATCTTTTCAACCTTAAAGATCTAAATTAGAACTCTGCTCCCTTCCCCCTACTCCCCACCCTACAACACACACAACCTGCTCTTCCTGCCATCTTCTACATCTCAATAAACAGCAACTCCAACCTTCTAGGTGCTCAGTCCAAATCCTTACTGCCATCCTTAACTCCTCTTTTTCTCAAATACCCCATATAAGCAAGGCTTTGCCAGTTCTGTCTTAAAAATATACCCAGAATCCATCTACTTTTTACCACCTCCACTAATTAAATGATCATCTTTTCCATGGATCAAGGCAATAACCTCCCAACTAGTCTCCTGGCCTCTACCCTTGCTCCAGCACAGTATGTTCTTCTA
This sequence comes from Homo sapiens, assembly GCF_000001405.40. NCBI lineage: Eukaryota > Metazoa > Chordata > Mammalia > Primates > Hominidae > Homo > Homo sapiens. Next base: position 52,422,701 of record NC_000015.10, read on the forward strand.
ATTTTTTTGTAACTTTACTTTTTTGTTGTTTTTGTAGATAGGGTCTTGCTCTGTCACCCAGGCAGGAATGCAGTGGCACCATCTTGGCCCACTGCAGCCTTCAACTCCTGGGCTCAAGCGATCCTCCCACCTCTGACTCCTGAGTAGCTGGGACTAAAGGCACAGGCCACCATGCCTGGCTAGTTTTTGTATTTTGTTTGTAAAGGCAGGGTCTCACTATGTTGCCCAGGCTGGAGTGTGGTAGCACAATCGTAGATCACTGTAATCCTGAACTCCGAGGCTTAAGTGATCGGCCTACAGACGTGCGCCACCATGCCCAGCTAATAGTTTTATTGTTAATCATGCCTGACTTCGTGGGGTAGGAATTCCTGTCTATTTAATTTGTATCCCCCATGCCCAGAACAGTGTCTGGCGTTTGGACGGTGTTCAATAAATCTCTATTACATGAATGATGAATTGTACCTTCCCTGAAGACATGAGGGATCCCTAGAAATGGTGATAATGTGAAACACCAGGATTTGCATCTAGAAAGATGACATCTTTGTTTGACAAGAAAACAATGGTAAGGCTGGCTGGGCGTGGTGGCTCATGCCTGTAATCCCAGCACTTTGGGAGGCCGAGGTGGGCGGATCACGAGGTCAGGAGATAGAGACCAACCTGGCTAACACAGTGAAACCCCGTCTCCACTAAAAATACAAAAAATTAGCTGGGCGTGGTGGCAGGTGCCTGTAGTCCCAGCTACTCGGGAGGCTGAGGCAGGAGAATGGCGTGAACCCGGGAGGCGGAGGTTGCAGTGAGCTGAGATTGCGCCACTGCACTCCAGCTTGGGTGACAGGGCAAGACTCCGTCTTAAAAAAAAAAAAAAAGAAAACAATGGCAAGAAATGATCCTGCAGCAGTTATTTCTGACTGTAAGCCTGAATAGATACACTCTATTTTACTGCTGTGGCAGATGTTATGGGTATAGATTTATTTATATAAATGGTAAATATAATACCATAACTAATTGAGGCATATTTTAAAGCTGTCTGAAAAAGAAAACCAAGCCAAAGGAAAAAAGACAAAACAACCCTTCAGTTAAGAAATTACCTTGAGTGACTGAGTCACAACAGATAATAATGAGAAGAGAAAATTACAGGAAACCAAGGTAAATCTAAAGGTAAAAAGCCATAAATATTCATATAAACCTAATACTATCTGTGAAAGACCAGTAACAAAGATGGTAAGAGCTATGCTTTTGTATTTAAGAATACTGTTTTCCAAAGAGTCATATAATTCTCTGAGCACTATATAATTTTCAGAGATTATTTTTAGAGTCTAGCCACCCATGTGATTTTTTCTCTGCCCAGTAGTTCTCAGGTTGTACTAAGTGGTGTCGAAACTGTACTGCAATGCTCTGATACTATACAAATCAACTACTGGTAGATTTTTCCAACTTAAGGGAAAAAAATCATACCAATAGATGGAATTTTCTCAATTTTAAGCTTAAAAAATAACTTTTCTTAAGCTTTGAACACTAATTACTATTTTATAGCAGAAGCTGGCATAATATGACATGCTTTGTAGTGCTAACCTATGTTTAGTCATTTTATATTTAATACATTAATATTTCATAATGTCAGACTAATTGAATTTGAAAACTGGTCTTCCTAGTTACGTGACCTTAGAAAAGTTACACAACTTCTCTGTGCTTCATTTTTCTCATTTGTAAAATGAAAATTAATAATACCAAACTCAGAAAGTTGCTATAAGAATAAAATTAGTTAAAAATGGAAAGCAATTAAATAATGCCCTTCACAGAGCACATAATGTTAGCTGCTATTAGAAGTATCCATATTAATATTATTTTATTATTAAAAGGGCATAATGATTTCTAGGGTTTTGTCCCTGAAATAATTCTAAAATTCTGTCACATGCTGGACCAATCATGTATACTCTCCCTGGCTGGAGAGGACAAAATAAAAACCTCTGCAGTATTAGTTTTCTTTCCACCTTATAAATTACTCGTGGGTTTCCCATATTATATTTATAATGTGTTCTGCTTTGTAGGCTGGAGAAATGAATTAAACTTAAACTATTCTTCTACACATTCACAGTTTTATATTTTATTATATTACTAAGAGCATAATCTAGTCCTGAAAGTAACATTTTTCTCCCATTTTCCACCCTCAAAATGTTAGGGTTCCATGGTTAATATAAGAGACATTTTGCAGATGCTGTTCAGGATAACTGATGCCCTATCATATAATACTAATGTTAAAATTCACACTTTCAGTTGGGCATGGTAGTGTATGCCTGCAGTACCAACTACTCAGGAGGCTGAAGAAGGAGGATCACTTGAGCCCAGGAGTTCAAGCCCAGCCTGGGCAACATAGCAAGACCCCATCTTGAAAGAAAAAAATTTCACACTTTCCTTTAGATTTAATTCCCTAGGATTCAGAAAGATTTTTTTTACAGCTCCTAGGCTTTTTAGTTCTAGTCTATTACTCATTCGCTGACTGACATTGGGTAGGTCATTTAATACCACTACACTAATCCTTTCATCTGTAAAACATAACATCTGCATCTGTCTTTTCCTAGTCACAGGATCATGATGAAATTTCAAAGGCAGTTTTTAAAAACTCTATGTCCCTTTATAAATGTGAGGGGTTTGTTTGTTTGTTTGTTTGTTTGTTTTTGAGACAGAGTCCTGCTCTGTGGCCCAGGTTGGAGTGCAGTGGCACAATCTCGGCTCACTGCAACCTCTGTCTCCCAGGTTCAAGCAATTCTCCTGTCTCAGCCTCCCAAGTAGCTGGGATTACAAGTGCGTGCCTCCACACCCGGCTAATTTTTGCATTTTTAGTAGAGGCGGGGTTTCGCCATGTTGGCCAGGCTAGTCTCGAACTCCTGACCTCAGGTAATTCGCCCACCTTGGCCTCCCAAAGTGCTGGGAATACAGACATGAGCCACTGCACCTGGCCCACTTTATTATTTAATAATAATCCAAGTCACCTGAGACAAACTTGTCAAGGCTGCTTATTTAGTAATTATTTACAAGGTTGCCATTCACTTTAAAATATATGTGACTTAGCAAGAAGAAATTATCATATCTAATAACTGCCATAAAATAACAATGAAAGCTTCTACCAACCTGGCCATTTGCTTGTAAGCTTCTTCAGCTACTGCAAAGATATGTGGATCCATATCACCCATGTTCTGACCACTGTATGCATTAATAATATCTTCTCCATAAATAGGCAGCTGTTCATAGGGATTTATAGCTACTAGGACTATACCTGGGAATAGGGTAGGGGACAAGAAAGAAAAAGAAGTCAATGATACCCTAATGGGCATATCAAACTTAGTAAAGTGAGACTCACAGTTAACACAATCCTTCATTTCAATTTAGTTAATATTAAACCAATAAATTGTTCAAGGATCAAAATGTATCATAGCCTTCGCCTCTGAACCCATTATACATAGTTCTGCCTAAAACACCATTTAAAAACTGGACTAGGTGGCTTAAAATAATGTGGCAATGTTATAAGAACTTTAAATATCTTCATATATTTAATCCAAAAATTCCACTTTACTTCTACAATTTATCCAAATGAAATAATCAGAAATTCATGCAAAGAGTTTTTTTTTTTTTTTTCACAAAGATGTTTATCATAATGTTATCTGTAACAGTGAAAATGGAAACAAAATATATAGGGCAAGGAGACTAGTTGAATGCATTCTGTTACATCCATATGATAGACTACTAAGCCACTACCACCAATCATGTTTGTTTGTTTAATTTGAGATAGGGTCTCACCCTGTCACCCAAGCTGGAGTGCAATGTTACTATCTTGGCTCACTACAGCCTAGACCTCCCAGGCTTACGAAATCCTCCCACTTCAGCCTCCCAGGTAGCTGGGACTATGGACACGCAACACCATGCCTGGCTAATTTTTGTATTTTTTTTGTAGAGACAGGATTTTGCCATGTTGCCCAGGCTTGAACTCCTGGGCTCAAGTGATCTGCCCACCTCAGCCTCCCAAGGTGCTGGGATTACAGGGTAAGCCACAGCACAGGTGAGTTACATATAATTGTTTTTCCTTTTTTATACTTTTCTGTATTTCCTAAGAATTTTTCTGTAGGTGTATATTAACTTAATGAAGTCGTCCATTCAATAAATCTCAGATTAAATTGTAATAAGGAAAAGAAGGCAAAAAATAATGCAGGGAAGAAAGACAGTAAGGAGGGGTTTCTGACTTGATAGGGTGGCCAGACAAGACTTCACTGAGAAGGTCCAAATCATGTTTTTGAAGGATATTAAATGTCATAGGAAAACATAATACAAAACTATATATAGACTGATTCCAATTTTCTATCAACTTATGCATACAAAGAGAAAGGATGTAAATCAATATTAATACTGGCTATTTTTCAGTGGTGAGTTACATATAATTGTTTTTCCTTTTTTTATACTTTTCTGTATTTCCTAAGAATTTTTCTGTAGGTGTATATTAACTTAATGAAGTCGTCCATTCAATAAATGTTTATTCAGCTCCAACTATGTGTAAAGTCATTTCTAAATGCTGAACTTACAACAGTAAACAAACAAACAAACAAAAAAGACTAATCTTTACCCTCATGGAACTTAAACTCTAGTGGGAAATTCAGACAATTAACAAGATAAGTAAGAAAATATATATATACATAATCTCAGATTAAATTGTAATAAGGAAAAGAAGGCAAAAAATAATGCAGGGAAGAAACACAGTAAGGAGGGGTTTCTGACTTGATAGGGTGGCTAGACAAGACTTCACTGAGAAGGTAACACATGTGCAAGGAAAAAAAATGGAAGAAAAATAACAATTGAGAAACAGAAATAGTTACCAGAAAGGAAAAGTTAGTATCAATGATATAAAGGATGTTAATTATTTTAAGAAGAAAAGGTGGCTGTTCCTGTCTAAAACAGGAGAGTAATGAAGAAATCATGAGCACTGAGTTGGATATACCACACGAATGAATGGAAATCCAGATTTGAGCTTCCGAGGACAGAGTGATTAGTGAAAGAATGGTAAGACGTCAGCGGAGAAAAAATAGCCAGAGAAAAGGGAGAAAATAAAAGATAAGAACAAACTGGGAAAGAGAGAAAAAAGAAGGAAAGCTGGAGAAGGGGGAAAGGAACACAAACACACACACATGCAGAGGCTTTATTTCTTGGAGAGATAAAAAGCACCATGAGCTGGGTGGCTGGCAGCTAACACTGCAATGAGCAGGGGCCCAGGCAAGCAGGAGTGAGCAAGACGAATCACCACGAGTCAAGTTAGTTCTGCATGGCTGAGTAATTGACCACAAGATAACACTAAATCTCTTGAACCTGCTCCAAAGATAAGTCCTTGGACATCTACTCTTCGTGTAGTAGTTTTTGGAAGAGAAGAAAACAACTGGTGAATTTGGCACTAAATCTGACATATGACTTCTGTAAGGGGAAAAAAATTCCAAAAGATGGGCCCAGTCTTTTTATTTTTAGCAAAATTATGTAAGGTCACAAATGAGTTTATTCAGCATAAATGCAACTTGGTAAATCTTTCTGATAACGCTCAAGTGATTTTGTCTCTTAGAGAAAATCCAACCACAGCCTGCTTTCCCCATGTACAATATTTCTATGGCTATGTCCATTAGAGGAAAGAGTCCACAGTCTATTCGGAAAGCAAAGCATACTTACCACAATACGTATAAATAAGTTTGGAATCAATAAAGCGGACTCTGAGATTATGGAGCACAGCAGGCTCATGAAGATAGCTGAGGGCTGTGAGGTCATTTTCACCAACAAGTATGTCAGGATTTCGTAAGTGAGGCAGCTCCTTGGTCTTTGGATCTAGATGGTATTCCAAATCCTGAAAATGCACAAGGCACAGCATCTGGATGAATTATGGCAAGGACTGTGAAAGAGGCCCATGCATTTTGCTTACTTCCTATTCCTGATTTGCTTCTCAGCTATTAAATGCATTATTTTCCTAGCACCTTCCAATATCACAGAAACTGGTGGAGATGGAAACAATATGAAGTGCGTTTTCATTAGACATACCAACCTGTATTAACAATTTTTGCTAATATACTTTGAAAGCCATAGCCTAGACCTTTTTCACCCACGTACTGAATCAGAAGTTTTAAACTTTTAAATATGTTTCTCTCCTCCAACCCCTTTTACCTATAAAAAAGTGGCGGACAATATAAAAGAGTGGTCGAGAGCTTGGCTCTAGGATCAGATTGCCCAGGATTCAAATCCTGATACTAATACTTACTTTTTATGTGGTCTTGAGTTACAGTATTTCACCCAAATCCTTCATTTGTAAAATGGGCTAACAGGGTTGTGGTAAAAAAGTAAATGAGGCAAGTCCGGCATGTGGTAAGTACTTAGGAATCCTTAAACCACTAGATACCCAAGAATCCCCTGAAATTACGTGCAACAACTCTGTGTGTATGTGCACATATGTGTACTTTTTTTGAGGCAAGACAATTCATAGTTTTCATGAGATTTTTGTTTTGTTTGCTTTTTGTTTTTTTCTGTGCATATGCTTATTCATTCATCAGATTTAGGCCGGACACAGTGGCTCACACCTGTAATCCCAGTACTTTGGGAAGCCAAGGCGGGCGGATTACCTGAGGTCAGGAGTTCGAGACCAGCCTGGCCAACATGGCAAGACTCCGTCTTTATTAAAAATACAAAAATTGGCCAGGCATGGTGGCTCATGCCTGTAATCCCAACACTTTGGGAGGCCGAGGTGGGTGGATCACCTGAGGTCAGGAGTTCGAGACCAGCCTGGCCAACATGGTGAAACCCCATCTCTACTAAAAACTCAAAAATTATCCAGGCGTGGTGGTGGGCACCTGTAATTCCAAATACTCGGGAGGCTGAGCCAGGAGAATCACTTGAACCCTGGAGGCAGAGGTTGCAGTGAGCCAAGATCACGCTACTGAACTCCAGCCTGGGCTACAGAGCGAGACTCCATCTCAAAAAAAAACAAAAAAACAAAACAAAACAAAACAAACGACATTTTAATAGGGTTCCTGGTCCCAAAAGTTAACAAGTACTATTCAGTTAATTTTTAATAGAGATGGGGGTCTCACTATGTTGCCCAGGCTGATCTCGAACTCCTGGCCTCAAGGGATCCTCCTGCATTGGCCTCCCAAATGCTGGGATTACAGGTGTGAGTGACCATTACTAGCCACTATTCACTTTAAAGTCACGGGAATACGGCTTCATGGCACAGCCAACCATGAATATTGTCACTTAACTATATAAAGGGGCAAATAACATAGGACAAGTGAATAGGAATAAAAATTCAATTTAGTTGTAGGGAGGGACAAGGTTTTGTAAAAAGCCAGTTATGGTAATACTAAAAATATATACAGAGGTCAAATATTCAAATCATATTTGAACGAATTATGCTAAAGGAGAGAAAAATTAACAATTTACCACTCAGCATTTCTTGCTGCCTGTTTATCAGAGAATATCACCCTTGCCTGGGGCTGACTGGTCCTTGCATTGGCCCTGTAAATACACAATTGTCTGTTCTGGTATTAGCCAGGAGACTCCAGAATGGCAGAAGGGCAACCCAGAGCTCTTTCCTCAGTCTTCATTACAGGGTGGGGTTGTTTGTGGCTAGTGTGGGGAGAAGCTGAAATTGAAATATTAGAGAAGACACTAATTTGAAAGGTAGAGAAGATCTGTAACATCTTCACAGAAATTTCCTTCTTGGAGTTAGGCTTTAAATGGACATAAACTGCTCCTCTGGAATCACTGGACATCATTAAATAAATATACTCTTCTACTATTACAAAAGCCATGCTTTCTCTATTTTATTCTAGGACCCTAAGTGACTATAGTTTCTAAAAAGAGAATGATTCTTGAATAGTTCAGGAATTTTATAATGTCTGTTCTTCTTGTTTGACCCCTGTCCCTAGTCTTGCTTTTATTAAAGGTATGTATCATTCTATTTCTAGATTTTTAAAAAATACTAAGGATTAATAAAATTAAACATAGACACTGTACTCTGGTTGGCAAATCTGCTTCTTATAATAGGGTATGGATTAGCAATTCTGAAATAACTTTATGTCTATAATGAATAAGTAATATAGCTAATGAAAACCAAAAAGAGAAGTTATAGTACACATAATCAAAGGAAGAATAATAGAATGAACCTGGTGGCATTGGACTGGAGAAAAAAGGATCCCTATTAACTCACGGGTTTTATTTTTTTTAAAAAAAGTCAAGGCTGGGTGCAGTGGCTCATGCCTGTAATCCCAGCACTTTGGGAGGCCGAGGTGGGTGGATCACTTGAGGTTGGGAGTTTGAGACCCGCCTGGCCAACATGGTAAAATCCTGTCTCTACTAAAAACACAAAAATTAGCCAGGCATGGTGGCATGCGCCTGTAATCCCAGCTACTCAGGAAGCTGAGGCACAAGAATCATTTGAACCCGGGAGGTGGAGGCTGCAGTGAGCCGAGATTGCACCACAATACTCCAGCCTGGGTGACAGAGCAAAATTCCGTCTCAAAAAAAAAAAAAAAGTCTAGTGCAGTAGCTGATGCCTTTAATCCCAGCACTTTGGGAGGACGAGGTAAAACGACTTCTTGAGCCCAGCAGTTCAAGACTAGCCTGGGCAACATAGCAAGACAACCATCTCTAAAAACACATTATATATATAAAATACATACATACAAACACATACATACATATGTAAACATAGACATAAAGTAAGTATAGATGGTTGAGTATACATTAGTATAGTATGCATACATATTAGTATCTATCTATCCATCCATGTATATATTTTTCTAGCTCTCTATGCTAAGAGGGCTGAGAAGTGGTGTCATCTCAATAGCAATGAGCACACCTAGTGCTCAGATCTTGGCTGTCAAATACTATCCTCCAATATAAGGTAACAGGGCTGGGAAAGGGGAAATACAGGGTAAGTATCTTAGGGTACCAGGAGAAGTGCTATATCTAAAAAAAAAAAAAAAAATAAGCCAGGCACAGTGGCTCATGCCTATAATCCCAGCACTTCAGGAGACCGAGGTGGGAGGACTGCTTGAGCTCAGGAGTTCGAGACTAGCCTGGGCAACATATTGAGACTCCATCTCTACTAAAAAAATTTAAAAATTAGCCAGGCATGGTGGCTCATGCCTGTGGTTCCAGCCACTAGGGAGGGAGGCTGAGCCTGGGAGGCATGATCAAGCCACTGCACTCTAGCCTGGGTGACAAAGTGAGACCCTGCCTCAAAAAAAAATAAAAAAGGATAGGGACCTGTCAAAAAAGTCAAAGGACCCAATCTAAGAGAGATCTCAATGACCAAAGCTGGAACAATTTAATTGATAAAATAAATAATGATAGTAATGAAGAATAAAAGAAATACCCATGAGCCCATAATAAATAAATGATTAAAGTAATAAATAAATGGGAGAGGAGAAACAATACTTCCTTCCCTATAGAAGAATTCTAGTTAATAAGTATAGAAGGAAGGAAAGAAATGGAGAATCACCACTAGAACACAACGATATTTGCTGCAGGCAAGACACAGTAATGAACACTGGGCAAATATTAGCAGGAAAAGTTTAAGGAGAAGCAGGATATATGAGTGGCCTCAAAGCATCTGCCCCAACACAATGACATTCATTAATTACAAAGGGAAAACAGTAACTTTACAGTGGATAACATGGCAGACATCACCTTAAGCAACTGGTCATGGCCAGCAATCTGCAAAAATCCAATATAGTCAAATAGTATAAGCACTCATCTTAGAGTCATCTGTGTTCAAATCTCACTTCAAATTCCAAAAGCCACTTCCTGGCTGTGTGACCTTGAGCAAAACTACTTAATGACTTTGAAGTTTGGCTTTCTTATTTGGAAAATAGTGATTATATCACCTGCCAACCCATAGGGTTGGTGTGAAATTTAACGTGAGAAAATTCACTCCAAAGTGCCGAACATTTTGCCTAACAAAGCAGATGACCAATAAATGTTAAATAAGTTAATTCCCTAGTTTGGTATTAAAAGCCCTCCTAATTGGCCTAATTCTTCCCCGCCTTCCTCCCAACTAGTATCTTCCCCTCAGTTTTGCTCTCCATGCTGCCACCAATGAGTCTCCTCTAAGACCTGGCACCATGCCTCTTTTTAAAAACACTACAAGCACTCCCCATAGCACACCAGTTAAATGCAAGAGTTTTAGGATTAGATGTGAATCTAAACCTGATAATCATAATAAATTCACAGGCCAAAATAGAAGCTTTTTAAAGTATCTGCTATTTTCACTAATCTATGCCATTAAAAACACTATCAGGATAGAAAACTGAGTTTGCCATTTTTACCAATTTAGTAAGTAAAAATTCTAGGTAAGTTCAAAATTTAACTTCCATTGGGAGTTTACTTCACAGTAAATTTACACTTTTGAACTCCCTTCACTTTATGCCAATGACAACAAATGAAAGTGAGATCTCACCTTTCCTTCCTCGAGGTGAAGCAGGAGGACTTTATCTCCTGGCTTATAATCTTTGAGCAGCTCTGCTGACTTCCAGACTTCCTCTGGATCAGGTATCCAAACCCTGGCAAACTAGAAGACAAAAAGAAAAAAATTTAAACTAGCAAATCAATTATTTTACAATCATATATAAACATATGATAACTATTTATAATTAAACAATTTATGAAAAAAGAAATCTTGGCCAACATGAAATTCACTTTTTTTTTTTTTTTTTTTTTTTTGAGACAGAGTTAAGCTCTTGTTGCCCAGGCTGGAGTACAGTGGCATGATCTCAGCTCACAGCAACCTCTGCCTCCTGGGTTCAAGCAATTCTCCTGCCTCAGCCTCCTGAGTAGCTGGAATTACAGGCGCCTGCCACCACACTCAGCTAATTTTTTTGTTTTTAATAAAGATGGAGTTTCGCCATATTGGCCAAGCTGGTCTCCAAACTCCTGACCTCAGGTGATCCACCCGCCTCAGCCTCCCAAAGTGCTGGGATTACAGGTGTGAGCCACCACGTCCAGCTGAAATTTACTTTTTAAATTAGTAAACAAAAAATATTTTAGCTCTCATAGCACCACCATTCCCAAATTATATAAAAAGTGTGCTCTGAAAAAACAGTTATGATCAAAGCTTGACTTTGCTTTACACAGTAAATGCCACCTGAAAGTATAATTTTAGGTTAAAATGTACACATAAGATCTATTTTTGAAGCTATGGTGTTGTGGTTCTGCCAGTTTCAACAGCACTGCCATCTTTTTATGGCTGGGTTTACAATTTGGATTTTTTTGTTCTTTCTTTTTCTTTTTTTTTTTTTTTTTTGAGATACAGTCTCGCTCTGTTGCCCAGGCTGGAGTGCAGTGGCACGATTTCGGCTCACTGCCACCTCTGCCTCCCGGGTTCAAGTGATTCTCCTGCCTCAGCCTCACGAGTAGCTGGGACTACAGGCATGTGCCACTGTGCCCAGCTAATTTTTGTATTTTTAGTAGAGACGGGGTTTCACCATGTTGGCCAGGCTGGTCTCGAACCCCTGACCTCGTGACCCACCTGCCTCAGCCTCCCAAAGTGCTGGGATTACAGTCATGAGCCACCGTGCCCGGCCCACAATTTGGATTTTTTTATGGTGGTTTGCATCCTGTGCTCTGCAAAGCCTTAGTGATTTCTCAGACATCCTTCAGGAGCCATCACAGTAGGGAGAAGAGGAGAATAAAAATAACAGATTTTTTAAAACTGAAGAAACACGGTTGTTCAGCATTTTGCCTTCATTATTTTATAAAGATGAGTGGGAAATGGTAAAAATGGCACAGCCAGTCACTAATAAGCTTAGCTCCTGTAGCCTCAACATCATGAAAAAGGCATGGTAATCATCAGGGATTCCCAAAGCAGCAAATATTTTGCCTCAACTAGATACTCCCTGGACATAAGCCAGAAGATTATGTGGTCAATTTTGAAGAAAAAGAACAAAATATACTAACATGCACAAATCTTTCGAATACCACATTGAAGAAGTGTTTTTATGTGCTTGGACTCTCTGGGAAGAAATTTCCCTTTAAAACACACATACACTAAACCTAAATGCCCATTTTCATGAACAAATCACATATGAAAACAGGAATCCTAGATTCAGCCAGCAAGGGAAAGACATGACACAATCAATCATGGCTGGCATGGGCCAGACTGAACCCGGTCTCTGGCCTGTATCTGTATCCTCATTTCATGTAAATTCACCTCTAGATTTCATTTTTAACAATAATCAGGGTACTAATTTACTTGGAGCTTTGAGAAGGAGCATTTGGATTTGAGTATGTTAAATATGGGGCAACTTCCCAAAGAACTGTGATAATGTAATGACTATTCTAAGTACTGGGCACAAAGTTCTGGAAGCTTGTAACAAGGTCATTCCCAAGTACAAGAGAAATTTATATGACCCAGTGATGAACTTACAGATAGGAGAAAGCGAAAAGAAAGTGGGTGAACGAAAGTACAGGTAGATCTGAGATTCAAGATAATTTAAATTAAGAAAAACATTTCAGCATGCCATGCCACTGTCCTGGATATTACGTTAACCTCTTTTTTTTTTTTTTTTTTTTTGAGACGGAGTCTCACTCTGTCACTCTGTCACCCAGGCTGGAGTGCAGTGGCACGATCTCGGCTCACTGCAACCTCCGCCTCCTGGGTTCAAGTGATTCTCCTGCCTCGGCCTCCCGAGCAGCTGGGACTATAGGCACATGCCACCACACCCAGCTAATTTTTTTCTATTTTTAGTAGAGACAGGGTTTCACCGTGTTAGCCAGGATGGTCTCGATCTCCTGACCTCATGATCCACCCGCCTTGGCCTCTCAAGGTGCTGGGATTACAGGCATGAGCCACCATGCCCAGCCTATGTTAACCTCTTTACTGACAAATATTTTCAAGCCTTCCTATTGGGAAGCTGCTGTGGTATATTGCCATAGTTTCCAAACTACTAGATTTCATGGCTGGTAAAATTTTTTACTTAAAGTTTGGGGACTGATATAAGGTTATTAACTAACTTTTAGTCTTGACAAGTAAGATTATAAAACCATTAATTATTGGCAGCACTTACAGACAAGTAGAGGCTAAAGCCCTCACACTCAGCAGAGGCAACATAAATACCAATTTACTGTCTAATATCACCATCGTTTTACAAAATAAAGGACATTTTAACAAGAAAACAGTAGGACAAATAGCCATCACAGTTTTTTTGTTTTCTGTTTTTCTGACACAGAGTTTTCCTCTTGTTGCCCAGGTTGGAGTGCAATGGCATGATCTCGGCTCATTGCAGCCTCCGCTTCTGGGGTTCAAGCGATTCTCCTGCCTCAGCCTCCCAAGTAGCTGGGATTACAGGTGCCTGCCACCACACCTGGCTACTTTTTTGTTGTTGTTGTATTTTTAGTAGAGACAGGGTTTCGCCATGTTGGCCAGGCTGGTCTCAAACTCCTAGCCTCAGAGAGTGATCCTCCCACCTTGGCCTCCCAAAGTGCTGGGATTACGGCGTGAGCCACCACACCTGGCCTGGCCATCATAGTTAACATACAAATCCCTTACCATGTTCTACAAGGGCCTTCATGACCTGTCCTTTCCTTCCCCTGCCAACCTCTAAGCCGGCACTATGCAGATCTTATTTTAGTTCTTCAGGAACACAGTTTTGTTTGCTCCTGTCTCTAGACCCTGGCTCTTGTTAAGCCCTCTATAATGTACTTCTCCCAGATCTGCTTATGTCTGCCTCCTTCTCACTTATATGATAGCTCAAATGTAAACCTCTTCAGAGAGGCCTTCCCAGACCTTTCTAGCGGAAATCAATCCAAACTACTATTACCATTCTCTATTTTACATTCTTCAGCACTCTTATTCACTATCTGAAATCACCTGCTGTTATGTTCTTGTTTGTTTACTTATTTACTATCTCTCTTCCTTCATTAGAACATAAGTTCTGTGTCTGTGTTGTTCAACACAGCAGGCAGTACTTAGAACAGTACCTGACACAGAGCTGGTGCTTAGTAAGAACTTATCGAAAGAAGATCAGAATAAAAGGCATCTCTTTAAATTGAATATAAGTAGCATGATTAAAAGCTCGCTCAATTGCTTTAATTTTCTCTTATTATTACCAACACATACAAACTTTTAATCTAAACAGTTTGCAGAGGAAAGAGTATGGAATTAGACTATGGGTTCTACTCCCAGGGCCACCAGATGGGCCTTGGCCTTTATTTCAGGCAACAATAAAATGAGGATGACAACAATAGTCTTCTAGTTTATTGCAAAGGCTTACGCACATAGAAACTTCATGAAAAGTATAAACCAATATATAAGTACAAGGTGGGGTTGTTACTGTTTTTCCCATAGGAAGTGATTTCTAATGTCATATATCAAACATGTTACTGAAATTTGTTTTACAACTTTTTTCCCAGGGACACAGTCCATAAACTGAGTAATATCTGTACATATCACTAAAGCCTTACTCATGTAATAAATATTTCTATGTACTAACTGCTCCCACTCTGAAGCTTACTTTACAAAGACAGCACTTTTGTAGCTTTCTCTGGAAGGCACTACTGGTTCCAGAAAAGATATATAAATATAAAGAGATTAAGAGTCGGGCTGGGCACAGTGGCTCATGCCTGTAATCCCAGCTCTTTGGGAGGCTTAGGCAGGCGGATCACTTGAGCTCAGGAGTTAGAGACCAGCCTGACCAACATGGTGAAACCCCGCCTCTACTAAAAATACAAAAATTAGCCAGGCATGGTGGTTCGTGCCTGTAACCCCAGCTACTCAGGAGGCTGAGGTGGGAGGATTACTTGAGCCCAGGAGGTGGAGGTTGCAGTGAGCTAAGATCAAGTCACTGCACTCCAGCCTGGGCAACAGAGCAAGACTCCATCTCAAAAAAAAAAAAAAAAAAAAAAGAGAGAGAGATATTCAGAATCATGAAATGACCTATCACCTTGACTGATGAAAACACAAAAAAGGAAAATGTGTCCAAGTGAGTTTGTAGAAGCATGACTGACCAGTGCCTAAACATGAGGAGACTTTAAATCTAGAAAGTGCCTTCATGTTCTGTGTTAGTAGGGAGCTCCAGCTCAGATTTCCACAAGTATTTTGCAAAAAGTAGATACTTTGCCAAAGACCAGATTTCCAAGGGCTAGATGTTAACAACACTTACAGATAAGCAGTGGGAGGATAAGGCCCTCATATTCACCAAAAGCAAGATATTTAAACACTGAACACCACCCTGATAACCAATTTCCTCTTTATCTTAGCTTTACCTCTGAGGAAAGCATCCAAGGAGAAATAGGTCAGAAACCATTCTATTATTACCATTGCCTTTCTGTGGTTCTTTTCCATCTTAACCAATGAGATCAGTGACTCTGCAGAAACAACTATGCCAGAAGGGGGTCAGTTTGAGGATATATACCTTAGATGCTGAAACAGGGAAATCTCAACCTGATATGCCACTTCCTACTGCTTTCATCACTTCCAACCCTGCCTCCCCCAGGCCGCAAAGCAAATACACATGGCAGGAATAGAACTAAACTTGTCCAGTCACATCCGGTGAGAAGACTGGGGGAAGGCAGGCAAGAAGACAAGGCCACTGGAACGCATGAGGAACCTAGAAATGGGACACAGTGTGAGTCGGGCAGGAATCAGAAACAAGGATAGACACTGCCTACTTAGTCTGCAGAAGGCCCTCCTGGTGAAAAAGAAGCAGTTAGAAAACAATAACCCTGGCCAAAGTGAATCAAACTGGACACAGCCCCAGCAAGGCAAGGGAAAGCCCCTGTTGAGAGACAGGACTAGCTGGATTTCCTAGGCAGACTAAGAATCCCTAAGCCTAGCTGGGAAGGTGACCACGTCCACCTTTAAAGATGGGGCTTGCAACTTAGCTCACACCCGAGCCATCAGAGAGCTCACTAAAATGCTAATTAGGCAAAAACAGGAGGTAAAGAAATAGCTAATCATCTATCGCCTAAGAGCACAGCGGGAGGGACAATGATCGGGATATAAACCCAGGCATTCCAGCCGGCAACGGCTACCCTCTTTGGGTCCCCTCCCTTTGTATGGGAGCTCTGTCTTCACTCTATTAAATCTTGCAACTGCACTTTCTTTTGGTCTGTGTTTGTTACGGCTCGAGCTGAGCTTTCGCTCGCCGTCCACCACTGCTGTTTGCCACTGTTACAGACCTGTGGCTGACTTCCACAGGGTGGATCCAGCAGGGTGTCTGCTGTACTCCTGATCCAGCTAGGCGCCCACTGCTGCTCCCGATAGGGCTACAGGCTTGCCATCGTTCCTGCATGGCTAAGTGCCCGGGTTCGTCCTAATCGAGCTGAACACTAGTCAGTCACTGGGTTCCACAGTTCTCTTCCGTGACCCACGGCTTCTAATAGAGCTATAACACTCACCGCATGGCCCAAGATTCCATTCCTTGGAATCCGTGAGGCCAAGAACCCCAGGTCAGAGAACATGAGGCTTGCCACCATCTTGGAAGTGGCCCGCCGCCATTTTGGAAGTGGCCTGCCACCATCTTGGGAGCTCTGGGAGCAAGGACGACCCGGTAACACTGTCATGTAGCTGGATTCTGTCATGATTAGCTAACAAAGGGTTAGGCTCTCTTTCAGTGATCCCCGTTTCCTCTTCTCCACTCACACTACTCTAGATCTAGTCCCTCATTATCTTGTGAGAGTCTCTCAAACATCTCACTTATGCTACCTGAAACCTTATTTTAGTTATTTATGAATCTACCTACCTTCCATACCAGACTATATACTCTTTCAAAGCCATCTTTGAATCCCCTTTGAGGTCAGCCAAGTTCCTGGCCCATAGTTTGTGGGCAGCACATATATGTTGATTTTATTTAAGACTGAGATAAGGTAAGGCAAGGAAAAGAGGTGAGAAAAATTGGCAACATTCCACAGGCTTAGCTCAGGATTTTCCATGAAGCCATACCAGAGTTTGAGGCCACCAAGCAGGGTTGAGATGGGGCATGAATCAGAGGCTTAAAGAAGAGAGACTCATGAAGTAGTAGGTAAAGAAAAAGTAAATAATGATGTAGAAACTGGTAGGAGAAGGAAAAAGAAGAGCCTGAGATTTGAGGTATTGGGATTAAAGAAAAAACCTAGGGAGGGAGAAATGAGAAAATAAACCTAAACTACATAAAATGTAAACACACATCAAAGATTTGTGACAATTCAAATGAACCACTTGACAAAAAATCAGGATGAGAATAAAATGAAGACGGACTAAATTTTATAATAGCTAAAATCTGAGAAAATAATGCTAGCACAGATTTAACCTGCATAATAGCTTGCAAGGAAAATAAAAGACATCTGTCCTTCCACAATACAATTTAATGAGGCCTGCCTGGCAGCAATGAGGTAATTTTGACAGAGTCTAAAAGAAGAGCACTAGAAAGGCACGTTCAAGGGACATGCTGGCACTGGAACATGCCAGAGAGAGGCACCAAGCAGTGTTGGCTCACCCAGCACTGCCCTTGCACCTCCTTGGGGGTTACACCCAGCCTTGCATGTTTAAGGAGGCACCAGCCATCTTTTTTTTTTCTTTTTCTTTTTTTTTTTCTGAGATGGAGTCTCGCTCTGTTGCCCAGGCTGGAGTGCAGTGGCACAATCTCTGCTCACTGCTACCTTTGCCTCCCAGGTTCAAGCGATTCTCCTGCCTCAGCCTCCCAAGTAGCCGAGATTACAGGCATGCACCACAACACCTGGCTAATTTTTATATTATTAGTAGAGACGGGGCTTCGCCATGTTGGCCAGGCTGGTCTTGAACCCCTGACCTCAGGTGATCTGCCCACCTCGGCCTCTCAAAGTGCTAGGATTAAAGGCATGAGTCACCGCACCTGGCCCACCAGTCATCTTTCTTTTGGTATCTTACCATGATGACAACACTGAAGAGGCCCTTGATTGATGCAGATGACTCACTGGAAGTTTTGCTAACTTGTGTTTTGTCTGTCAAGGAACACTGAGGGTGTGGGCACCAAAAGCAGTTGCTTCTGATGCCCCAGACACTTTTGGGAACAAAACTAACAGCATTAACAGAGTAAACTGACCAGCCCTCAAAACCCAAAGAATTTGACCCATATGATCTTCTCTCTTCTCCCCCTAACTCCCATATACATTATTTGCTTTATAGCACATGTGCACATCTTTATTAGCTTCTGTATTAAATCATGAGCAGCTTGGCAATTCAGAATCGGCCATGGCTCACTTTCGATAGCCCATTGTGAATGTTTGCAAAAATGAGTGCTTTATGTCACAATTCAATCAAGCATATTACAAAAACTAAGTGCTCCTCTGGGCTTTGAACTAAAGCAGGGAAGAAATCCTGAAACGTCACCAGTACCCCCTCCTCTGAAATCTGACATTAATGCGGATGTTACACATGATTACTAAGTAATTCATATAGTCTTTAGAGCATGTTTTTGGTATAAAAAATTCAGGAACTACTATTCTAAAAGCACATGATGAGCTCCCCAGAAAAAAGGAAACAAAAATTATTAAAGAAACTAGGAAATCTAGAAAATTGCCCCCCTTAGTAATGGTGTATTTTGTATTTTTTAAATTTGTTATGAAATATGTCATACAAGAGGATGTGTGTGTGTGTGTCTGCATGTGTGTGTATACATAAATAATTTGTTGAATGAAAGAATGACGTAATGAACTTCCATATGCCCACCACTTAGGTTCATAAGTAGAACACTACTTACGCTATTGAAGGCCCTTGATGGAATATATTCTTAAACATTTCATCCTGCTCCCCACCAATTTTCACTTGCCACTTCTATTCTCCAGTCACAGAAAACTATGGGTTTGCTATACCCTGAACAAGCCATGCTGTTTCACACTTGTAAGCCTTTGCTGTAGCTGTTTCCTCCATCTGAAACACAATCTCTTCCCTCTTCAGCAGCAAGCTCCTATTTATTCCTCAATTCTGTGTTCAAGTGCCACCTCCTCTAACAGGCTTTTCCTGACTTCTTCTCCTCATTTGGCTCTCCATTCTCAACATCTCTATTACCTTATACGATCTTCTGCTAGAATCCTTATCCCACTAAATGATGACTTTGGGTGCCTATCTTTAAAGACTGTGAGCTCCTTGCAAGGAGAGCTGTATCTTTTTCAACTTTGTCTATTCAGCAGGGACTGCCCATAATAATTTTTCAAAAAACTTTTGTTATATGAGTGTTCTTAGCTTCCAAGAGGGTGGACAAAAAGAATTATCGGTCTTACCAAACACTCCCAAAATCTTCTGAAAGGCTCTGTAATTTCCAGAAACAGAGAATATGCATGATGCATTAGACAGTTATGTAAGAAATATTTGTGTGACAGAAGGAAAAAGAGCTAGGCATGTGGGGAGCAGAGAAGTAATGAGAAATCCTTTTCTCTCCTCCCACCCCCGACAAACCCACAACTCTTCCCTTCATGTTCATGTGTTTAGAGTGGAAGCTACCCCAAACCTCCAGAACAGAGATTCAGTCCCCACCCAAACCCTACCACAAATTCCTTCCTCAGAAGGAAAAGAAATGCTGGCGCCACCACCTCCACCAGCCATCTCCTGGAGCAGCAAGGAGGGGGACAGATGGGAAGAAAGGAAAGCCAGAGGGTCTAGATCAGGGCAAGGGGTCACAGTAAAATGGGTGTAAGAGAAAAAAGGGGTGTGGAGTGCTGAACACATGGTGCATTCTGGGTAGAGTCGAGAAGTGAAGAGCAGAAGTGTCCTGTACCTCACTGCAGCGTCACAGAAATGCTGCCGAGGAGCTGAATGACAACCAACTCTGCTTGACAGGACTTAGCAAAGGCTTATAAGGAACCAGAGCTAACATTTATTGAGCACCTTTTGTGTGCCAGTAGAGGCCCAGGTATTTTACATGTATAATTTCATTCAAATAATCACAATAACTAACCCCAGTACTAACCCATTTTAACAGCTATTGAGGCTTAAACCTTAAACATGATAGAGATGAAGTTCCAAGTCTACTCTAGGAGCCATACATTCTTTCTACTCCACTATGCCCACCCATTGTTAAAACAGTTTTTTTCTTTTTTTTTTTTTTTGAGATAGAGTCTTGCTCTGTTGCCCAGGCTGGAGTGCAGTGGCACGATCTCGGCTCACTGCAACCTCCACCTCCCAGGTTCGAGCGATTCTCTTCCCTCAGCCTCCCAAGTAGCTGGGACTACAATACAAGTGCATGCCACCAATCCTGGCTAATTTTTAGTAAAGAAAGGGTTTCACCGTGTTAGCCAGGACGGTCTCGATCTCCTGACCTTGTGATCCGCCTGCCTTGGCCTCCCAAAGTGCTGGGATTACAGGCGTGAGCCACCGTGCCTGGCCAAAACAGTAGATTTTATTATGAAGGAATTCCCCTCCTCCACCCCCAAATTGTTCTTGGTATCATAATGAAAACAGCTATTAAACTGGCCCATGTCATCTGGTGAAACTTAAGAATGTCTCATCTAAGACAACATGTCAAAGCCATGCCAATCAGCTTGCCATCCATCCTGCAGTGTTCCAATGAGCTCTGACAAGAGAATGAAGGCTCTACCAAAAATGAGGTTAGTCAATAACAGCAAAAAAACAATCTGAGGATGCTGAAGACTAAAATTTTAATGAATGAGCTCAGGTTCATGAACTTCTATAAATGAACAAAATCATAGGGTTGACTTAAAATTTTTATTTTTTTGCTGACTCTGCAAGTTACCTTGCATATACTGTGAAATGTACCTGGTTTAAAAGTAAATCACGCTTCACTTTGGGAGGCTGAGGCGGGTAGATCACGAGGTTAGGAGTTCGAGACCAGCCTGGCCAACATGGAGAAACCCCGTCTCTACTAAAAACACAAAAATTAGCTGGGCATGGTGGTGGGTGCCTGTAATCCTAGCTACTCGGGAGGCTGAGGCAGAACTGTTTGAACCAGGGAAGCAGAGGTTGCAGTGAGCTGAGACTGGGCCACTGCACTTTAGCCTGGGCGACAGGGCAAGACTCCATCTCAAAAAAAAAAAAAAAAAGTAAATCACACTTTGGGAGGCCGAGGCGGGTGGATTGTCTGAGCTCAGGAGTTCAAGACCAGCTTGGGCAACATGGTGAAACCCTGTCTCTACTAAAATACAAAAAATTAACTGGGAGTGGTGACACGCACCTGCACAGTCCCAGCTACTTGGGAGGCTGAGGCACAAGAATTGCTTGAACCTGAGAGGCGGAGGTTGCAGTGAGCCGAGATTGTGCCACTACACTCCAGCCTGGGCAACAGAGGAAGACTCTGTCTCCAAAAAAAAAAGGAAAATCAAGTTCAAGTCAGCTCCCTCCAGACACTGAAATTATCATTTTAAATTTAGGAAGAAAACAAGAACTTGCAAATTGATGGATATGCTTTGTCACCATTAAGTAGCAAAAATTAAATATTCTTATTTTTCTAAAATTTTATGTGAGATGACAGAGCTTTGGAATGAGTATTTTTAGACACTGTAGTTATTTAACATTCGTGTAAAGATTATTTTCAGAACTAGATCTCACTTCTTAAGAACAGTGTTAATATGCATATCAAGAAAAATTAGTATTTCCATCTATAATTAGCTGGTGGTATTTTAAACCACAAAATTCTAAATAATTAAAATAATCAAAGGTAAAACAGAATCACCAACAGGGAAGCGAACTATATAGGTTGTATTCATCACAGGACTTTGATCAGGATAAAGAAAAGTCCTAACTTTACTTAACCTCATAATATGCTTTATAATTATTATTAAAGAAGTTCCTTATTCAACAAAACACTTGAGAGAAGTTAGATAACTTGCCCCAAAGTCACTCAGCTAATAAATGGCAGAAGCAGAATTCAAACCGAGAAAGATCTCTGATTTCAAAATGATTAGGTTGTATAAGGAAGAATAAGAAAAACACAATCTCATTGAATCACTTTCTCCTGATTGGGACCAAAGTTGCTCAACTAAGCAAAACAACTCACACTTTCCTATCATTTTCAACACTTGTTCTCAATGTAGAAAAAAGTATTAAATGGAAGTCATATTAAATATGTACAGGCCTCTTTATATAGGGGTCTTCCTCCCACATAGACTATCTATCACCCTGATAAATGATGTAGTGATGAAAGAAGTCATGGGTAATTTTTTAAATTTTAACTAAAATGTCTTAACATGGTAAGATTTAAGGAATCATGGCATTAAACATCAAACAACACATACATTATATGAGACAATATGGATAAGGTGCCAAAACAGTACCTGGGAAATAATAGACAGGTGCCGGTATGTATTTCCCTCCCACTTATAACAGGCAGCTCCCTTTGTGTTGCTCCCCAGCTTTGGGAATCGACACTTCTAGGTCTTTTGCTAACTTGGGAAATGACACAGTTTGGATATTTGTCCCTGCCCAAATCCCATGTTGAAATGTAATCCCCAATGCTGGAGGTGAGGCCTGGTGGGAGGTATTTGAATCATGTGGGCAGATCCCTCATGGCTTGCTACTGCCTTTGTGATAGTGAGTTCTCGTGAGATCTGGGCATTTTAAAATGTGTTGCAACCTCCGCCCACCTTCTCTGTCTCTTGCTCCTGCTTTTTGCCATGTGATGTGTCTGCTCCTGCCTTGCTTTCCACCGTGAAAGCTCCCTGAGGCCTCCCTAGAAGCAGATGCCGCCATGCTTCATGTACAGCCTGCAGAACCGTAAGCCAATTAAACCCCTTTTCTTATAACTTACCCAGTCTCAGGTCTTTCTTTATAGCAATGCAAGAATGAACTAACACAAAAAATTGGTACTAGGAGTGAGGGATTGCCTCACATACAGATAACTGAAAATGTAGAAGCAACTTTGGAACTAGGTAACAGCAGAGGTTGGAAGCATATGGAAGGCTCAGAAGAAGACAGGAAGAAGAAAGAAAGTTTGGAATTCTTAGAGACTGGTTAAATGGTTGTGACCAAAATGCTGATAGTGATCCAGACAGTGAAGGCCAGGCTGAGAAGGTCTCAGACGGAAATGTGGAACTTAGTGGAACTGGAGCAAAGGTCACGTGTGTTACGCCTCACCAAAGAACTTGGCTACAATGTGGCCCCCGCCCTAGGGGATCTGTGGAACTGAACTTCAGAGTGATGATTTAAGGTATCTGGCAGAAGAAATTTCAAGGCAGAAAAGCATTCAAGATGTGGCCCGACTGCTTCGAACAGCCTACACTCAGGTACAGGAGCAAAGAAGCGACTTAAAGTTGGAATATATATTTAAGCAGGAAGCAGAGCATAAAAGTTTGGAAAATTTGCAGGCTGGCCATGTGGCAGAGATAGCTTTTGCAAGAGAGAAATCCAAGCAGGCTGTGGAGCAGCAACCATTTGCTAGAGAAATTTGCATAACTAAAAGAGAGACAAGTGCTAACAGCCAAGTCAATGGGGAAAAGGCCTGGAAGGCATTTCGGAGACCTTCCCAGCAGCCCCTCCCACCACAGGCCCAGAGGCCTAGGAGGACATTATGGTGTAGAGGGCCAGGCCTAGGGCCCCACTACCCTGCACAGCCTCAGAGCTCTGCTTCCTGCGTGCTGGCTGCTCCAGCTCCAGCTCCAGCCAAGGGTCAAAAAAGCCGGGGTACAGCTCAAGCTGCCACTTTGAAGAATGCAAGCCATAAAGCTTAGCAGATTCCATGTGGTGTTAAGCCTGTAGGTGTACAGAATAAAAAGTGAAGAACGTTTGGCAGCCTCCACTTAGATTTCAGAGGATGTATGAGAAAGCCTGGGTGCCGAGGCAAAAGCCTCCTGCAGGGGCAAAGCCCTCATAGAGAACCTCTACTAGGGCAGTGCCAAAGGAAAATGTGGGGTTGGAGGCCCTATACAGAGTTGCAAGGGGGCATTGCCTAGTGGAGCTGTGAGAAGGGGGCCACCATCCTCCAGATCCCAGAATCGTAAATCCACTGGCACCTTGCACCTTCAGCCTAGAAAAGCCACAGGCATTCAACTCCAACCCATAAGAACAGCCCTAGGGGCTGAACCCTACAAAGCCACAGACAAAGAGCTGCCCAAGGCCTTGGGAACCCACTCTTTCTATCAGTGTGCCCTGGATGGGACGTGTAGTCAAACAGGATTATCTTGGATCTTTAAGATTTAATGATTGCCCTGCTAGGTTTCAAACTTGTCTGTAGCCCCTTTCTTTTGGCCAATTTCTCCCTTTTGGAATGGGAGAAATGTCCATACCCCACGGTATCTTGGCAGTAGTCAACTTGTTTTGATTTTATGGGCTCAGAGGTGGAAGGAGAAAAGTCTCAGATAAGACTTTGGATTTGGACTTCTGAGTTAATAGTAGAATGAGTCAAGGCTTTGGGGGACTGTCGGGAAGGTGTGATTGTATTTTGCAATGTGAGAAGGACATGAGATTTGGAAGGGGTCAGTGGAGGAATGATATGGTTTGGATATTGGTCCTCACCCAATCTTATCTTAAATTATAATCCCTAATGCTGGAGGTAGGGCCTGGTGGAAGGTGTTTGGATCATGGGGGCGGCTCCCTCATGGCTTGGTGCTGTCTTCGTGATAGTGAGTTCTCGCAAGATCGTTATCACTCACTCACACTCTCGCTCTCTCTCTTGCTTTCTCTCTCCCCAATCCTTGCCATGTGATGTGCCCACTCCCCTTTTGCCTTCCACCATGAGTGGAAGCTTCCTGAGGCCTCCCCAGCCATGGTTTCTGTACATCCTGCAGAACCATGAGCCAATTAAACCTCTTTTCCTTATAAATTCCCAGTCCCAGGTATTTCTTTATAGCAATGCAAGAACAAACTAATACAGAAAACTGGTAATGAGGTGTGGGGCATTGCTATAAAGATACCTGAAAATGTGGAAGTGGCTTTAGACCTGGGTAATGGGCAGAGGTTCAAACAGTTTGGAGGGCTCAGAAGAAGACAGGAAGATGAGGGAAAGTTTGGAACTTCCTAGAGACCTATTGAATGGTTATGACCAAAATGCTGATAGGGATATGCACAGTGAAGGCAAGGCTGAGAGGGTCTCAGATGGAAATGAGGAACTTATTGGGAACTGGGGTAAAGGTCACTCATGCTATGCTTTAGGAAAGAGACTGATGGCATTGTGCCCTTGCTCTAGGGATCTGTGGAACTTTGAACTTGAGAGAGATGATTTAGAG
The DNA here is from genome assembly GCF_000001405.40 of Homo sapiens. Classification (NCBI taxonomy): domain Eukaryota; kingdom Metazoa; phylum Chordata; class Mammalia; order Primates; family Hominidae; genus Homo; species Homo sapiens. The sequence continues at coordinate 52,447,841 of NC_000015.10, forward strand.
TATCTGGTGGAAGAAATTTCTAAGCAGCAAAGTGTTCAAGAGAATCAATCTGGCTAGATTTAAGAAGATGTACGGAAAAGCCTGGAAGTCCACACAGAAGCCTGCTGCAGAGGCAGAGCCTTCATGGAGAACCTCTAGTAGGGCAATGTAGGAGGGAAATGTGGGGTTGGGGCACTGCCTAGTGGAGCTGTGAGAAGATGGCTACTGTCCTCCAGACCCCAGAATGGTAGACAGTGACAGCTTACACCATGTGCCTGGAAAAGCCAAAGGCACTCAATCCCAGCCCCTGAGAGCAGCTGTGGGGTGGGGCAGAGCCCTGCAAAGCCACAGAGGTGGAGCTGCCCAAGGCCTTGTGGGCCCACTCCTTGCATCAGTGTGCCTTGGATGTGAGACAGAGAGCCAAAGGAGATTCTTTTGGAACTTTAAGATTTAATGACTGTCCTGCTGGGATTTAATGACTGTCCTGCTGGGTTTTGTACTTGCATGAGGTTTGTAGGCCCCTTCTTTTGGCTGATTTCTCCCATTTGGAAAGGGAGTATTTACTCAATGCCTGTACCTCCATTATATCTTGGAAGTAACTAACTTGTTTTTTATTTTACAGGCTCATAGGCAAAAGGGACTAGCCTTGTCTCAAATGAGATTTTGGATTTTTGAGTTAATGCTGGAATAAGTTAAGACTTTGGACTATTGGGAATTGTATTTTGCAATGTGAGGACATAAGATTTGGGAGGCGCCAGTGGCAGAATGATACGGTTTGAGTCTGTGTCCCAACCCAAATCTCATGCCAAATTGTGATCCCCAGTGTCGAAGATGGGTCCTGGTGGGAGGTGACTGGATCACGGGGGAGGATTTCTCCTTTAGTGCTGTTCTTGTGATAGCGAATTATACCAAGATCAGGTTGTTTAAAAGTGTGTAGCAACACCTCCCACCCTCTCTTGTCCTCATGCTCCAGCTGTGCCTGCTTCCCTTAACCTTCTGCCATGATTGTAAATTTCCTGAGGCCTCCACAGCCATACATCCTATATAGCATGTGGAATCGGGAGCCAATCAAACCTCTTTTCTTTATTAAGTACCCAGTCTCAGGTATTTCTTTTTTTTTTTTCTTTTCTTGTCTTTCTTTTTTTTTTTTTTTTTTTTTTTTTTTTTGAGACAGAGTCTTACTCTGTTGCCCAGGCTGGAGTGCAATGGCACAATCTCGGCTCACTGCAAACTCTGTCTCCCGGGTTCAAGCGATTTTCCTGCCTCAGCCTCCTGAGTACCTTGGATTACAGGCACGTGCCACCACGCCTGGCTAATTTTTGTATTTTTAGTAGAGACGGGGTTTCACCATGTTGGCCAGGCTGGTCTTGAACTCCTGACTTCAAGTGATCCACCCACCTCAGCCTCCCAAAGTGCTGGGATTACAGGCGTGAGCCACTGCGCCCGGCCTCAGGTATTTCTTTATAGCAGTATGAGAATGGACTGTAATACAGAATGTTACAAATCTTTCATGATCTGGCCCTGTCAACTTCTCCAGTGTCATCTCTCACCTCTCCTGGCCTTGCATTCAACCCTCTTAACAACTGCAAACACCAGCTGGTTTCTCCATATCTATCTCTACTCAAATTGCCCAGCAAGCCCTTTCCCCCATCCTCATCACCCATATAATACCTATGTATTCTTTAAGGGCTCACCTTTCAGCAGTGTTTCACCACTGACCCTGGCAGCCTACCTGGAACACTCTGGCCTGGCATGGTTCCTTCCTGCCTCTCTAATCATTCCTTTCCCATTTCCTGTGCCAGCTCTACCTTCTCTATCCTATCTGTAACTATTAGAATTGCCCAGACCTCTAAGCTAAGTCTCTTCTCTCTTTTAATGTGGTGTTAAGAATGCAGGCTTGCTAGGCACAGTAGCTCATGCCTGTAATCCCAGCACTTTGGGAAGCCAAAGGAGGAGGACTGCTTGAGTCCAGGAGTTCAAGATCAGCCTGGGCAACACAGTGAGACCTCACCTCTACAAAAAATGAACAGAATTAGCCAGGTGTGATAGCACATGCCTGCAGTCCCAGCTACTTAGAAAGCTGAGGTTGGGAGGATTGCTTGAGCCTGGGAGGTCAAGGCTGCAGTGAGCCAAGATCTTGCCACTGCACTCTAGCCTGAGCGACAGGGCTAGATCCTGTCTCCAAAAAAAAAATTGAATTCAGGCTCAGGCTTTAGAGCAGGGCGTGGTGATGTGCACACCTGTAAACCCTGGTACTCGAGAGGCTTAGGTGGGAGGATCACTTGAGCTCAGGAGTTTGAGACCAGCCTTGGCAACATAACAAGACCCATCTCAAAAATAATAATAATAATAGTTCAGGATAAGACTTTCTGGGTTTACTAGCCCTGTGGTTTTCCTATGTATTGCCTACAATGAGGGTAATAATACCTACCACATAGGGGTATCATGAAGATTAAATCAGTTATATATGTGAAGTACTCAGAACAGTGCTTAGTACGTAGAAGGCAGTTGATATGTGACCTATTCTCATTAATAATATTCTTTAAAAAAAAAAATTAGAGATGGGGCTGGGAGCAGTGGATCACGCCTGTAATCCCAGCACTTTAGGAGGCTGAGGTGGGCAGATCCCTTGAGGTCAGGAGTTCGAGACCAGCCTGGCCAACACAGTGAAACCCTGTCTCTACCAAAAAAATACAAAAATTAGTTGGGCATGGTGGTGCACGCCTGTAGTCCCAGCTACTCGGTAGGCTGAGGTGGGAGAACCACTTGAACTCAAGAGGTGGAGGCTGCAAGAGCCAAGATGGTGCCACTGTACTCCAGCCTGGATGACAGTGAGAACTTGTCTCAAAAAAAAAAAAAAAAAAATTTAGAAACAAGGTCTCACTGTCACCCAGGCTGGTCGTGAACTCCTTGGCTCAAGTGATCCTCCCATCTCAGCCTCCCAGAGTGCTGGGATTATAGACGTAAGTCACCACATCTAGCCTATGTTAATATTATTCTTATGATTAGATTGCACTACTGTGGTTTTTTTTTTTTTTTTTTTTTTGTGACAGGGTCTCACTCTGTTGCCCAGGCTGGATTGCAGTGGTGTGATCATGGCTCAGTGCAACCTTCACCTCCTGGGTCTTATTTTTATGTTTACATTGTATCCCACCCACTCTCAGGAGTTTAAATGCCAATTTTTTCCCAAATTTCTATCTCTACCTAGACTTTTCTACTGAACTCCAGACCCCTAGATCCACATTACTTCCTAAAATCTCTATTTAGATGTCTCATAGACATCTTAAATTCAACAAGTCCAAAACAGAACTCTTCTCCTACCTCTTTTTAAATATGTCCTTCCTGCAGCATTCCCATCTCAGACAGGCACCTCTACGCAGATAGTTGCTCCTGGGAAAAAAACTGATACTCAGGACTTCCCTCTCCTTCACTCCTGTAACAAATCCATCACTAAGTCCTACCTGCAATATTTTAACTAAATTTTGTCCCCCTCTCTCCATCTCTACAGCCACCACCAAATCCTAGCCAATATTCACTCTAATGCCAGAAATAGTTCTCTATCAAGCTTTCCTCCCCCAACTCTCTATTCAGCAGCCAGAGTGATGTTTTTGAAATGGAAAAACAGGATGAAAAATGGAAAAATGATGTTTCATCTTTGCTTAAAATCCTTTAATAACTTTGGCTAAAACATTCACATAACCCCTATGAGCCCTGCATTATTTGGCACTTGCCCTCAGAAGGTTCGAAGAACCAACCCCATCTCATGACATTCCCTACTACCTCACTGCTTAGCCCCTCTATTCACCCCACCAAGGGCCATCTGCACTACCTGTCCTTTAACTGCTTAAACAATCCATGCTAGATCAAGCCTCGAGATTTTCTCTCTTGCTTTTTCTTGGCCTGGAATCCCTAGTTCACTTGTTTTCTGACTGACTCCTCCTTATCCTTCACATCTTAAGTTTTAATATCCGTTACTTGGAAAGACCTTCCCTGACGTGTCTATCTAAATTAAGCTCCACTGTTACGTTTTCTCAGATAACCCTGTACTTTTTCTTCACTATGAAAACCATGAAGATAGGAAGATGTCTGTTTTACTCAAACTGATGCCCACAGCCCAACATAGTGTCTGATCTATAATAGATGCCCAGTAATTACTTACTGAATAAATGTATATTTCATTAAATCTAAGAGACTACCAATAAGATGCATTCCTACTATAAAAAACAATGTGTATGTCAGAATTGAGTAAATATAGGCAGATTCTTCTCCAAAATGGTGGCACAGAAGCAAGCTGGTTTCACCACCCCCTCCCCCCACTGAAAACCAAAAACAAAAATATAATGCCAAGATTATCACCAGCAATATCCCAGAATTAAAATGAGAATGAGACAGTTCCCAGGGCCACAGAGAAGTATTAAAAAAAACTCTGAGCAGATGGTAAGATAATCAGACTCCTATATCAATGACGCAGCTCCACCAAATCTGTCTGGCACCAAGTGCAAGGAAAATTTCCCTCTGACTGAGTTTCTACACTGGAAAAAGTGAGATCAAGGTACAACTTCCCTGCCACCTTGGGTTACCTGACAGAAGACCTATCTTTGCCTCAACCCACAGGAAGTATCATGAGTGCCTGAAGGGTGAAATACCCCTGAGGACAGCCAGAAACAAAGAGAGGATATAGGACCATCATCCTGGGCCCTGGAAACTCCGCTCTTAAACTCAGAGGAGACTCCAAATCAGAGTTCAGCAGTATCATACTGTAGGAGGTATATTCCATAATTCCCCTGTGCCCAAATCCCTAGCCAGCCTTTCCACACTGACAGGATATTCCCTTTGGGACCATCCTCATTCAGGATGGGCAGCACTCAGATCATTTACTAGAGCCAGGTATGGTGGTGCACTCCTGTAATCCCAGCTACTCAGGAGGCTGAGGCAGAAGAATCACTTGTACCCGGGAGGCATAAGTTGCAGTGAGCCAAGATTGCGCCACTGTACTCCAGCCTGAGCAACAAAGTGAGACTCCATGTAAAAAAAAAAAAAAAATAGCCATAGGAGAAACAAAAAAGAATAAAAAGGAATGAAGCTCTGCCAAGGAGATATTGAAAACTACCCTAAAAGACTAAACCTAAGAATTATTGGTGTTCAAGAGGGAGTTGATTAAGAATGAGGGAAAGAAGGCTTATTCAAAGAAATATTAATAGTAAGAGAAAACTTTCCAAAACTTGAGAAACATATAAATATCCAGGTATAGGAAGGTCATAGAATACCACATACATTTGACCCAAATGAGGCTACCCCAAGACATATAATAATCAAATTCTCAAAGGTGAAGGACAAACAGAGGGTCCTAAAAGTAGCAAGGGAAAAGAAGCAAATAACATATAAAGGAGTTCCAATGCATTTTGCAACAGACCTCTCAAGCGAAAGTATATGGGCCAGAAGGGAGTGAAAGGACATTTTCAATGTGCTGAAAGACAAAAAAACCCTGCCATCTTAGAATACCATATCCAACAAAGCTATCCTTCAAACATGAAGGAGAGATAAAGTCCTTCCCACAAAACAAAAGTTGAGAGAATTCACCACCACCAGACCTGTCTTATAAGAAATACTAAAGGGAGTTCTTCAATGTGGAAGAAGAAAAAAAAAGCAAAACACTAATGTGAAAAAACAAAACATGTGAAGGTATAAAACTCACAGGTAAAAATAGGTACACAAAAAAACCTCAGAATAATTGAAACTGCAATGGTGATGTGCTTTCAATTCATAACTAGTATAATGTCTGGAAGATAAATCTATCAAAAAGAAATAGCAGCAGGAACCCGTTAAGAGATAAGCTATATTAAATATGTAAATTGAGACAATAAAAAGTGAAAACGTAGGGGGAATGGAATTAGATTATAGAGGTTTTTTTTAAAAAAATATTTCTGCATTTCTGTCTTGTCTTTGTGATCTAAGATAAATAGTCATCTCCTTGACATAACTTATTATATCTATAAGATGTTTTCTATAAGTCTCATGGTAACTACAAAGTAAAAACTTATGAAAAATACAGTAAAAATAAAATGCAACAAATTAAAACATACTACTAGAGAAAACTACTTAACCACAAAGGAGGATAGTATGAGAGGGAGAAGAGAGAATAAGAAAATAACTAGAAAACAAGCAACAAAATGACAGTAGAAAGTACTTACTTATCAATAACACTGAATGCAAATGGATAAAATTCTCCAATCAAAAAAGATATAGAGTGGCTAAATCAAAAAAGAAACAAGAGTCAACTATCTGTTGTCCCTAGGAAACCCATTTTACCTATAAAGACATACGTAGACTGAAAGTGAAGGGATGGAAAGAGATATTGCATGCATGTGGAAACCAAAAAAGAGTAGGAGTAGCTATACTTGTATCAGATAAAATAGACTACAAGTCAAAGACTGTAAAAAGTAACAAAGAAGGTCACTATATAATGATAAAGGGATCAATTAAGCAAGAAGATACAACAATTATTAATATCTATGCACCCAACACCAAAGTACCCAAGTATATATAGCAAACATTAATAGGTCCAAGAGAGGGATACACTGTAATAAAATAAAAGTCAGAGACTTCAACACCTCACTGTCAGTAATGGACAGATCACCCAGACAGAAAATCAACAAGGAAACATCAGAGTTAAACTACAGGCAAACAGGCCTAACATTTACAGAACATTTCACCCATTTGCAGAAGAGTACACATTCTTTTCATCAGCACATGAAATATTCTCCAGAATAGAACATAACTTGGGCCACAAAACAAATCTCAACACATTCAAAAAAGGAGAAACCAAGTATCTTTTCTGACTACAGTGGAACCCTGGAAAATTCACAAATACATGGAAATTAAACAACATGCTCCTGAATGACCAAAGGGTCAATTTAAAAAATTAAGATGGAAATTTAAAATTTCCTTGAAAATACAAAAACGGTAATACAACATACCAAAATCTATGGGATACAGCAAAAGCAGTACTAAGAAAGATGTTTATAGCAATAAATGCCTACATCAAAAAAGTAAAAAGACTTCAAATGAACAATCTAATAATGGTGCATGTTAAGGAACTAGAAGAGCAAGAACAAATCAAATCCAAAATTGGTAGAGGAAAAGAAATAATAAAGACCAGAGCAGAAATAAATGAAATTGAAACTAAAAAAAAAATACAGAAGGTCAATGAAACAAAAAGTTTACTGTTTGAAAATATTGACAAACCTTGACCAAGGCTAAGATAAAAAGAGAGAAGACCCAAATAAATAAAATCAGAGATTAGAAAGGAGACATAACAACTGAGACTACAGAAATACAAAGAATCATTAGAGACATTATAAAGTACTATATGCCAACAAATTGGAAATCCTAGAATAAATTGATAATTCCTGGACACATACAACCTACCATAATTGAATAATGAAAAAATTGAAAACCTGAACTAATAATGAGTAATAAGTAATAAGATCAGAGTCATAACAACAACGACAAAAAAGAAGCCCTGGATCTGATGGCTTAATTGCTGAATTCTACCAAGCAGTTAAGGAAGAACTAATACCAATTCTGCTCAAACTCTTCAAAAAAATTGAAAAGTGGGGAATAGTTCCGAACTCATTCTACAAGCCCAGCTTTACCTGATACCAAAATCAGAAAAGGAGACAACAAAATAAGAAAACTACAGGCTAATATCACTGATGAATACAGATGCAAAAATTCTCAAAAAAAATACTAGCCCAACTGAATTCAACAACACATTAAAAAGATCATTCACCATAATCAAGTGGGATTCATCCCAGACATGCAAGGATGGTTCAACATACACAAATCAATAAATGTAATACATCACATTAACAGAACGAAGAACAAAAACCATATGATCATTTTGATACATGTTAAAAAAGCATTCAATAAAATTCAACATCCCTTCATGATAAAAAAAAAAAAACCTCAACAAAGTGGTTACAGAAGGACTATACTTCAAAATAATAAAGGCCACATATGAGAAACCCACAGCTAACATCATTGAATGGGGACCATTTGAAAGCCTTTCATCTAACATACGGATCAACAAAAGGATGTCTACTTTTACTTTTATTCAACATAATATTGGAAGTCCTCACCAGAGCAATCAGATAAGAGAAAGAAAAGACATCCAAATTGGAAAGGAAGAAGTCAAATTACCCTTGCTCGCAGATGACATGATCTTATTATTTAGAAAACCCTAAAAACGCCACCAAATAAAACTGTTAGAACTGATAAACGAATCTAGTAAAATTGCAGGATACAAAATCAACATACAAAACCAGTAACATTTATATATGCCAACAGCAAACAATCTGAAAAAGAAATCAAGAAATTAACCCCATTCACAACTGCTACAAATAATATAAAATACCTAGAAATTAACTTAACCAAAGAAGTAAAACATCTATACAACCAAAACTATAAAAACACTGATGAAAGAAATTAAAGAGGACACACAAAAACATGGAAAGATATTCCATGCTTGTGGATGAAAAGACTTAATTTTGTTAAAATGCCAGTATCACCCAAAGCAATTTACAGATTCAATGCAATCCATTTCAAAAATACTAATGATATTCTTCACAGAAACAGAAAAACAATCCTAAAATTTATATGGAACCAGAAAAGACCTCACATAGACATAGCAATCCTGAGCAAAAAAAAACAAAGCTGGAGGCATGACACTACCTGACTTCAAAATATACTATAAAGTTGTAGTAACCAAATAAGCATGCCTGGTACTGGTATAAAAACAGACACATAGACCAAGGGAAAAGAATAGAGAATACAGATATAAATGTATACATTTACAGCCAACTCATTTTTGAAAAAAGCACCAAGTACGTACAATTGGGAAGGACAGTCACCTCAATAGATGGTGCTGGGAAAACTGGATAACCATATGCAGAAGAATGAAACTAGACCCCAGTCTCTCAACATACACAAAATATACATCAAAATGGATTAAAGGCTTAAATGTAAGATCTGAAACTTGTAGAAGTAAGCATTGGGCAAACATTCCAGGACATCAGTCTAGATAAAGATTTTATAGCTAAGACTTCAAAATTACAAGAAAAACAAAAATAGACAAGCAGGACTATGTTAAACTAAAAGGCTTCTACACAGCAAAGAAAACGATTAACAGAGTAAAGAGATAACCCACAGAACTGGAGAAAATATTTGCCAACTTTTCATTCAACAAGAGACTAATATCCAGAATATACAAAGAACTCAATTCAACAGCAAAACAAAACAAAACAAAAAACAAATAATCTCATTAAAAAGTAGGCAAAGGGGCTTGGTGTGGTGGCTCACGTCTGTAATCCTAACTCTTTGGGAGGCTGAGGCAGGTAGACTGCTTGAGCTCAGGAGTTCAAGACCTGCCTGGGCAACATGGCGAAACCCTATCTCTACAAAAAATACAAAAATTAGCCAGGTGTGGTGTAGTCCCAGCTACTTGGGGGCTGAGGTGGGAGAAGCGCTTGAGCCCAGGGAGGTTAAGGCTGCAGTGCACAATGACTGCACCAGCCTAAGTGACAGAGTGAGACCCTGTCTCAAAAAAAAAAAAAAAAAAAGTAGACAAAGGATCTGAACACACATTTCTCACAAGAAGGCATATAAATGGCTAACAGGTATATGACAAAATGCTCAACACCACTAATCATCAGAAAATGCAAATCAAAACTACAATGAGATATAATCTCACTCCCGTTAGAATGACTTTTATCAAAAAGGCAAAAAATAACAGAGACTGTTGAGGATGTGGAGAAAAGGAAATTCTTATACATTGTTGGTGGAAATGTAAATTAGAACAGTCATTATGGAAAAGAGCATGGAGATTTTTCAAAAGTCTAAAAATAGAACTACCATACAATCCAGTAATCCCACTTCTGGGTATTTATTCAAGGGAAAGGAAATCAGTATGTCAAAAGCATATCTGCACCCTCATGTTTATTGCAGTACTATTAACAATAGCTACGATATGGAATCAACCTAAGTGTCCACCGACAGATCAACTGATAAAGTGTTATGTATACATAATAGAATACTATTCGGCCATAAAAAAGAATAAAATCTTGTCGTTGCAGCAGCATGGATGAAACTGGAGGTCATTAAGTTGAGTGAAATAAACCAAGCACAGAAAAACAAATATCACACATTCTCATTCATATGTAAGCTACAAAAAAGTAGATCTCACGGAGGTAAAGAGTAAAATTATAATTACTAGAGGCTAGAAGGGTGTATGTGGCAGTAGAGGGATAAAGAGAGGTTAGTTAATGGGTACAAACATACTGTTAGAAGAAATAACTGCTAGTGTTCAATAGCACAATAATAGGGTGACTATAGCTAACGACAATGTATTATGTATTTCAAAACAGCTAGAAGAAGAAGATTCCAAATGTTCCTAACACAAAGAAATGATAAATGTGGCCGGGCACAGTGGCTCATGCCTGTAATCCCAGCACTTTGAAAGGCCGAGGCAAGTATATCACTTGAGGTCAGGAGTTCAAGACCAGCCTGGGCTGGTGACATGGTGAAACCCTGTCTCTACAAAAAATACAAAAATTAGCCTGGCATGGTGGCATCTTTACAAAAAATACAAATATTAGCTGGGCGTGGTGGCATGCACCTGTAGTCCCCGCCACTAGAGAGGCTGAGGTGAGAGGATCATTTGAGCCCAGGAAGTCAAGGCTGCAGTGAGCCATGTTTGCACCATTGCACTCCAGCCCTGCACAAAGCAAGATTCTGTCTCAAAAAAAAAAGAAAAATAATAAAAAAGAAATAATAAATGTTCAAGGGGATGGATATTCTAAATACCATATTTGATCATTACACATTCTATGCATGTATCAAAATATCACAGGTACCTCACAAATACATACAAATATAAATAAATATAAAAACAAAAAACAAAAAGACTAACTTCATTTTATAACATTCTTTCATAAATTAATTTTTCAAAAGGTACCATTTTCAACTGTCAAATTTTAAAATATTAGAAATTTGAAAATATTGGCAAGGGCACAGGAATTAGGAATCTCAGGCACTGGTTTTTAGCATATAAATCTTCATAGCATTTCTGGGAAGGAAGCTTGACAATTTTTTTTTCAAATACCTTAAAAATGTAAAAATTCTTTTTTGGGGGGCAGGGGGAGAAGGGGTCTCGCTCTGTTGCCCAGGCTGGAGTGTAATGGTGCAATCTTGGCTCACTGCAACTTCCGCCTCCCAGGATCAAGCAATTCTCTGGCCTCAGCCTCCTGAGTAGCTGGGATTTTCCAGAAATTTTTTTTTTTTTTTTTTTTTTTTTTTAGTATTTATTGATCATTCTTGGGTGTTTCTCAGAGAGGGGGATTTGGCAGGGTCATAGGACAATAGTGGTGGGAAGGTCAGCAGATAAACATGTGAACAAAGGTCTCTGGTTTTCCTAGGCAGAGGGCCCTGCCGCCTTCCACCTTCCACAGTGTTTGTGTCCCTGGGTAGTTGAGATTAGGGAGTGGTGATGACTCTTAACGACTATGCTGCCTTCAAGCATCTGTTTAACAAAGCACATCTTGCACCGCCCTTAATCCATTTAACCCTTAGTGGACACAGCACATGTTTCAGAGAGCACGGGGTTGGCGGTAAGGTTATAGATTAACAGCATCCCAAGGCAGAAGAATTTTTCCTAGTACAGAACAAAATGGAGTCTCCTATGTCTACTTCTTTCTACACAGACACAATAACAATCTGATCTCCCTTTCTTTTCCCCACATTTCCCCCTTTTCTATTCGACAAAACCGCCATTGTCATCACGGCCCGCTCTCAATGAGCTGTTGGGTACACCTCCCAGACGGGGTGGCTGCCGGGCAGAGGGGCTCCTCACTTCCCAAAAGGGGCTGCCGGGCAGAGGGGCCCCCCACCTCCCAGACGGGGCGGCGGCCGGGCAGAGGGGCTCCTCACTTCCCAGACGGGGCGGCCGGGCAGAGGGGCCCCCGATCTCCCAGATGGGGTGGCGGCCAGGCAGAGGGGTTCCCCACTTCCCAGACGGGGCGGTTGCCGGGCGGAGGGGCTCCTCACTTCTCAGACGGGGCGGCCGGTCAGAGACGCTCCTCACCTCCCAGACGGGGTGGCGGCGGGGCAGAGACACTCCTCAGTTCCCAGACGGGGTCGCGGCCGGGCAGAGGCACTCTTTATATCTCAGACGGGGCGGCGGGGCAGAGGCGCTCCCCACATCCCAGATGATGGGCGGCCAGGCAGAGACGCTCCTCACCTCCTAGACGGGATGACGGCCGGGAAGAGGCGCTCCTCACTTCCCAGACTGGGCGGCCAGGCAGAGGGGCTCCTCACATCCCAGACGATGGGCGGCCAGGCCGAGACGCTCCTCACTTCCTATACGGGGTGGCGGCCGGGCAGAGGCTGCAATCTTGGCACTTTAGGAGGCCAAGGCAGGCGGCTGGGAGGTGGAGGTTGTAGCGATCCGAGATCACGCCACTGCACTCCAGCCTGGGCAACATTGAGCACTGAGTGAGCGAGACTCCGTCTACAATCCCGGCACCTCGGGAGGCCGAGGCTGGCAGACCACTCGCCGTCAGGAGCTGGAGACCAGCCCGGCCAACACGGCCAAACCCCGTCTCCACCAAAAAATACGAAAACCAGTCAGGTGTGGCGGCGCGCGCCTGCAATCCCAGGCACTCGGCAGGCTGAGGCAGGAGAATCAGGCAGGGAGGCTGCAGTGAGCCCAGATGGCGGCAGTACAGTCCAGCCTCGGCTCGGCATCAGAGGGAGACTGTGCAAAGGGGAGACGAGGACCGTGCGAGGGCGAGGGCGAGGGCGAGGCTCCAGAAATTTTTTGTAGCGTTATAGCTTAAAGAAGTTATCTAAGCTATATAAAGACTTTAATGACATAGTTTCTCCCCCCACCCCAAAACAAAGAAGACAAAAAGAAAACAACTGAAAGGACCAACAATAAAAAAAATCGACTAAGGAAATTCAGTGCAATTTTAAATAAAATAATATCATAAAATATATATGATCATAAAATATATGTGAGTAGAATACATGTGGTCAAAGGAAAGTGCTCACAATATATTTTTAAGTGAAAACAATATGTATTTTTGTTTGTTTTTTGAGACAGAGTCTTGCTGTTGCCCAGGCTGGAGTGCAGGGGCACAATCATGGCTCACTGCAGCCTCAACCTTCCCAGGCTCAGACGATCCTCCCGCCTCAGCCTCCTGAGTAATTGTGACTACAGGCACGTGCCACCATGCCTGTTTAATTTTTGTATTTTTTGCGGAGACTAGGTGTCAACATGTTGCCCAGGATGATCTCCAACTCCTGGGCTCAAGCGATCCTCCTACTTCAGCCTCCCAAAGTGCTGGGATTATAGGTATGAGCCACTGTGTCGGGCCAATAGGTATGTTTTGTAAAAAGGAAAATGATATGACATTTAAAGGGCATACTTAAAATCTTAGCAGTGGTTAATTTTTGTTTTTGCAATTTTTTACAGCAAACATTGCCTGATGTTTTTGCAATTATTAATAAACAATAAATCATCTTAACATTAAAAACAAAAATACTGTAATTTGCTATCAACCATAAGCATGAGTGAAAAACAGAAACCTAGTCACCCAAACTTAAAAACAGGCTAGCTTGCCCAAACAAAACAGCATTTCACAATAGGAAGTTATTTTGAAGGTGATGAACAGAACATGAGTAAGCATGAAGGGGCTCTAGGTTAGTAAAACTTATTCATATTTAAATCTTATATGCTATCTATTCCTCTCCCCATAGCTTAGGTAGACTTGTTCAGCAGAAACCCCATAAAAACTGTGTGATCAGCCAGGTGTGGTCATTCACGCCTGTAATCCCAGCACTTTGGGAGGCTGAGGTGGGCAGATCGCGAGGTGAGGAGTTTGAGACCAGCCTGGCCAACATAGTGAAACCCCGTCTCTACTACAAATACAAAAATTAGCCGGACATGGTGGCATGCGCCTGTAGTCCCAGCTACTCAGGAGGCTGAGGCAGGAGAATTGCTTGAACCTGGAAGGCAGAGGTTGTGGTGAGCTGAGATCGCGCCACTGTACTCTAGCCAGCCTGGGCAACACAGCGAGACTCCATCTCAAAAAAAAAAAAGTTTGGGCCAGGCGCAGTGGCTCATGCCTGTAATCCCAGCACTTTGGGAGGCCGAGGTGGGCGGATCACGAGGTCAGGAGATGGAGACCATCCCAACTAACACACTGAAACCCCGTCTCTACTAAAAAAATACAAAAAAATTAGCCAGGCATGGTGGCAGGCGCCTGTAGTCCCAGCTACTCAGGAGGCTGAGGCAGGAGAATGGCGTGAACCCAGGAGGCAGAGCTTGCAGTGAGCCGAGATTGTGCCACTGCACTCCAGCCTGGGCGACAGAGCGAGACTCTGTCTCAAAAAAAAAAAAAAGGTTTGATCAAAACCCACAATTTCTACTTTGTGGCATTAATATTTTTAAATATATACTACAGGTTAGGCGAATAATACAAGGCTGCAGTGTTCATCTGATATCTTGAAAGCACAACTGTATGCATACTAAGTACCAAAAAGATCACCGAGAGAAATCCTCAAGGAAGAAAAGAACACAGAAGTGGCATTAGACCCAAGCCAGCTGCTGGCCATGCTTGCACCTTGATCATGATAAGACAATTACTAGAGAACGAAGCAGCACAAATAATTAGATATTAAGGTTATCGGCCAGGCACAGTGGCTCACGCCTATAATCCCAGCACTTTCGGAGGCCAAGGTGGGCAGATTGCCTGAGGTCAAGAGTTCCAGACCAGCCTGGCCAACATGGTGAAACCCCATCTCTACTAAAAATACAAAAATTGGCCGGGCACGGTGGCACACACCTGTAGTCCCAGCTACTCTGGAGGCTGAGGCAGGATAATCTCTTGAACCCTGGAGGTGGAGGTTGCTGTGAGCCAAGATTGTGCCACTGCACTCCATCCTGGGCGACAGCGAGAATCCGTCTTGGAAAAAAAAAAAAAAGGTTATGAAATTCTCATTCAGTAATTTCCAAACATCTAGAGAGATCAAGAGTACACTTTGCTTCCCTTAAATCTGACAGCCCTAAGATGTTAAGTGGTATGATTGAACTGATAGAGAAAATCATCCAAATTGGGTGGTCGGGTTCTCAGTATGACTGAGAGAAACTGACAGGACAATGGGAATCATAACAGAAAGATCAAAATTGATTGTCAGTCTATTTTAGGTTGTAAAAATCTCATGAACTAAAGGACATTTTTTCTTGAGTGACAGGTACTCCAACTGTATACGCTGAGAGGGTATTTTGAGAGAAAAATGCAGCATAAGCAAACAAAGACTCTAAAAGAACTTGTGCCTCAGCCTTTTCCCCAGATGTCAAGCCGGCATCCTGGCAGTGACTTGACCACACTTTCTTCATCAAGATGGACTTCTCTAGAAATAAGAATTTCATTCTGTCTGTAAAAACTAAGAAAGGATATTATTTCCTTTACCCCTCTATAGTGGCTTTTCAGTTATATTAAAAAACGTCATCCATGAGTTAAGTATTTCTTAAGACATATAAAACTAAAATGTTTAAATATTATAAAACTTACAACTAAAATTGCTTTCTTTTTTTATTATTATAAAATTTCATTTTCCCTGTACTCATTTTTTCCTCATTTTCTTAGTTATTTAAACTTCTCTTACAGACATTTTCATCAGTATTTTAGTATGCTTTATACAGAAGAGGTTTTCTGTTTTGCTAACTTGTTCTACAGATTTCCTAAAAGCTACTGGAAACATTGTTAATCTGTATCTGAAATAATCAGCTACCAACTGTATCAAAAGCACTTCCTTTTATTTGACCTGTGAATTACTTATCTGAAGCTTCAAAAGATGCCTAAGCTATTTTTGTAGTGAATAAGTCAGCATTGCCCTCTTCAGGTGCCTCATAGTGTTAGAAGCTTCCACCAGATCAAAAGTTCATTCTTCATCTTTCCAGATGGAAGAAGAGCATAAATTTTTTAAACAGTGCCTCACATCCTCTTAATCATTCTAGTTTATTTTTAATTTTTCTGAATCTCAATTCCCTTACTTACAAAATAAACCAATTAGACTGTATATACAATTACATTTGAGAACATGGGCTCTGGAGTTAGACAGATCCAGAAGCTCCAATACTTTCCAACTGTGTGACCTTGAACAATTACCCAACTTTCTTCCTCAGGATTCTCATCCATAAAACTGGTTATTAGTAATACCTGCCTCAGAGAGTTGTGATGCAGATAAATTAGATAAGGCTTAAAACCACTACACAGTTTTGTCGCCAGCCCAACCCCAGGCCAAACCCCGATTCAGGTACCTCATTGTGCTGCATCTGAATTCCTTTACTATACTCTACGATGTACTATGTGATCTGGCCCCTACCCACAGGTTTAACAGCAACTCACTGGGGTCTTCTCCCTTCCCCTGAGCTCTGGCTGTGCCAGCCTTCTGTTGTTCCTAGAACACCCAAACTACAAGTTCAATGCCATTGCTGTACCCACTGCCTAGAACACCTTCCCCTCATTTCCCATCTCTTCTTAGGACTAGTTCCTTCTCACTCTTCTGGTCTCAGTTTATATATGCGTTTTTCTCAGAAAAAGTCCACCCTGACTACTCTATAGATTGTTTTGGTTATGTGGGATTCTTTGTGTCCCTAACTAGCCAGAAAGCCTGTGAGGGCAGGGACAACGAACACCGAAACCTAGAACAATGTTTGGTAACTAGCAGGTACTCAATAAATATGTGTGAAATGAAAGTGCTTAGCATAGTGTTTAGCTGACTGAAAAAATAGGTTAGGAGCAGGATGTGAAAGACCTCATGTGCCATGGTAGGCAGTTTGGCCTATATACTGCATGAGACAGGGATTCATCACAGGCTTTTAAGCAGAGTAATGAATGACCAGATGTTTCCAACACCCTAGTTCTAATCAGCAGTCTTTTAATCATAAACAAAAGCACATCTTGTACAACTCCTGCTTATGATTAGTCGTTTTCCTAGTTATGTATATATGACTGTCACTCACATTTAGCCTGTAGACAGGATTTATCTAATATACACATAATTGCTTCCAAAATGTCATCCATATTAGGCAAATAGAGACTGTATTGGCCACACTGGGAGTCAGCTTTACCTAAGGGCAGGGGCAAGGAGGGACATTTCACTGGTATTACCTCATTAATGATGAGCACTAGAAGGGAGATTCTTGACCTGGAAACAGCAGCCTTGGTAGTAAGGTCAGGGCAAGATTATTACGGAATTCTATAATGAGCTGGCTTTGAGAGGGCAAATGAGTAGGCCATCTTGCTGCTGGCTGAGACACCTTAAGCAAAAAAGCCCTGTTGGCCTGCATCTTTAAGTGGAAGTGTTAAACTTTGGGCTGCATGATGCTTTCTTATTAACTCCTCCCATGATCCCCTATCCTTGCCCCTTTTATTAAGTGTCCTTTTAGCTTAATTTTAGCCGAGAAAAGCAGCTATGAAAGTTGATCTAGGTTTTATAATTTTGAAAGAATGGTTGGTATAAAATATTTTTCAGAAAAATAAAAAACTTCTGGGTGCCAAAATACATCATAAACAAACCCAAAATACAGGGTGACCAAAAATATATTTGTAAAAAAGCAAAGTCCCTTAATGTATAAAGAACTTTTGCCTGTAGTCCCAGCTACTTGGGAGGCTAGGGCAGGAGGATTGCTTGAATTCAGGAATTCGAAAGTATAGTGCGCTATGATCATGCCACTGCACTCCAGCCTGAGCAACAGAGCAAGACCCTGTCTCTAGAAAATAAATAGAATAAATTTAAAAAGACTTTTAAAAAGAACTCTTACAAATCATTAAGAAAAAGATACATCTTGAGATTTTTTTCGCCCAAGATGGCTGACTAGAGGCTTTTCTAGCACACTTCATAAACTCAGAAGAACCAAAATAGTGTGTAGACAATCATACTTTGAACATATTATCCATGATAATATGTTTGACATGAAAAGCAATGAGTCCAACAGAAAAGCAAAAAGAAACTCCAAAATCTGAGAAGAAGGAAGGTAGGTAGCCCGTATGGCCAGGACCGGCCAAAAACCAGGAGTGAATCCCCAATATGGAAAAGGGTACATATCTCTCTGTGGTCCACTTTCCCACTAGGGAATCGAGCAATCCAGACCACAGGAAAGTACCTTGCCCCTTCTAAGCCCTAGATCTAACATGCGGAGCAGCCAGGAGACTGTGAGAAGGAACTGCTTGAGGAAGTATCCCAGGCATTCCTTCAGACTGGACACCTACAGCAGGACCCTATTCTCTTTCCTAGCTCTTACTTAGCAAGCTGCACCTCACACGCCTGGGAGCTAGCCACAGCAGCAGCAGTCTTTGGCAGTAGAGAGACTCAGGCTGGGGCTTGGGGAACTGAAACCTGTGGGAGGGGCTCCCACAGCCAGAACTGAGAAATGAGTGTGGTATGGGCTCCAGCTGCTGGTGCTGAAACTGGGCTCCCCCCAACCCCACCCATGGACCAGAGGAGGAGAAGTGCCAGAGAGGTGTAGTATTGAGCTGCACAGTGACTCCTATAGCCCAAGACTGCACTGCAGACGAGAAGCAAACTGTAGTGACTAAGTGAACAGCCAGACTGGCTAACATAGTTGAGATGGGGGCATGAACCTTGCCAAGACTGGGGTGTAAGAGGGAAGCAGGTCCCATGTCTGCCAGCCAAGGCTGTGAAGCTAGAACCACCCTCCCTTCCCAGGCTGAGACATCAGCATAACAGTGGTCAGCCCTAACCCAGGTATTTTACCAGAGGCCTAAATCAGGGTAGGTAGCCACTCCCATCAGGGTAGGTGGTCTGAGTGCAGGCCTAGCTAACTTAGCTCCATTCCAGCTTTGCCCCCCACTCCAAGATAGGGTGCAGGATCCAGGCCCCTGGGGGTTCCATGGCCCAATCCACCTTCTGGGACAGCCTGAAGAGCCCACTGCAACAATTAACACAAGAGCACAGCACTTGAGAAAGAGAAGAGCTTCTCACAACTACTGCCCCTATCACCCATGACATCACAGCTGCACAGGAGGTTGTGTGTCTGCTCACTGCCTGGTACGCCACTACAACCAGCATTCAAGAAAGCTACCGCATTAAGGCTATGTATATCCAAGGAAATCATACAAAGTCTTTGTCACTTCATGCAGACAAATGGCCCTACCCAATCAGCATCATAGTCACATCTTCAGATACACAGAAATCAACATATAGGAAGTATGAAAAAGCAAGGTATTATGGCGCCCTCAAAGGAACAAAATAATTATTTGGCAATAGATCCTAAGCAGAACAAAAATCCTTGAAATGTCGATAAATAATTCAAAGTATTGATTTTAAAGAAGCTCAATGAGATGCAAGAGAAATCTGCAAACTAATATAAAGAAAATCAGAAAATCAATTTAGGATGCACATGAGGAATTTACAGGAGACAGATTTCAAAAACAAACAGAAATTCTGGGTCTGAAAAATTATTGAAGGAATTACAAAATACATTTGAAATGCTTCAAAAATAGACTAGACTAAGCAGAAAAAAAGAATCTCAAAACTTGAAGACAAGTCTTTTGAAATAACATAATCAGACAAAAGTGAGGAAAAAAGAATGAATAAAGACATCAAGATATTAGGGTCTACATAAGGCAACCAAGCTTACGAATTATTGGTATTCTCAAGGAGGAAGAAAATGCAAAAAGTTCTGAAAACCTATTTAAGGAAATAATTGATGAAAATTTCCCAAGTCAAGAAAGAGATTTAGACATCCAGCTACAGGAGGCCCAGCAATCCCCAGGAAAATAAACTGCAAAAAAAACTTCACCACAGCATATTATCATCAGACTGTCTAAAGTCAAAGTGAAGGAAAAAAATTTTAAATCGGCAAGAGAAAAGCACACTTAGTTGCCTATAAAGGAAACCCCATCAGACTAATGGCACACTTCTCAGCAGAACTCTCACAGGCCAGAAGAGAATGGGATGGCATTTTCAAAGTGATGAAAGAAAAAAGAAAAACCTAGCAGCCAATAATTTTATGTCCAGCAAGATTAAGCTTCATAAAACAAAACCTCACATATCAGCGAATTAATAAGAAAAAGATAAACAACCTAGTAGCAAATAGGCAAAAGAAAAAAACAGGTAGCGAACAGAAGCACCATTTAAAAAGTTAAACAAAGAAAAGATGGACCAGGTGCAGTGGCTCATGTCTGTAATCCCAGCACTTTGAGAAGCTGAGGCATGAGGATTGCTTGAGCCTAGGAGTTGGAGACCAGCCTGGGCAATACAGTGAGACCTCATCTCTAGACAAAATTGTCCCAACTATTCGGGAGGATCACCCGAGCTGGGAAGGCAGAGGCTGCAGTGAGCCGAGGTCACACCACTGTACACCAGCCTGGGTGACAGAATGAGATCCTGTCTCAGAAAAATAAAAAATTAAAAAGATGTGCAGTCTCACTAATAATTAAGCAAATGCAAATTTAAAATACAGTATTAGGCCAGGTACAATGGCTAATATCTATAATCCCAGCATTTTGAGAGGCTGAGGTGGGAGTACTGCTTGAGCCCAGGAGTTCAAGCCCAGCTTGGGCAAGACGGTGAGACCCCGTCTCTACAAAAATGTAAAAAAAATTTTTTTTAATTAGCTGGGTGTGGTGGTGTGCACCTGTAGTTCCAGTTACTTGGGAGGCTGGGGTGGGAGAACCACTTGAGCCCAGGAGTTCAAGGCTGTAGTGATTTATGATCATGCCAGTGCACTCCAGCCTTGGTGACAGAGACAGACCCTGTCTCTATAAAACATAATAACAAAATATTTAAAAGTTGCAAATTAAATTTGAAAATATTTAAAGGATTGAAAATAACCTGTGTTAGGAAGAAAGTGGACAAACAGGTATTTTCATATATTGGTGATGGAATCAACAGGCACAACCTTTGAGAGAGCAATTTGGTAATTTCTTCAACAATGTGAAATACATATTTCAGGGATGCATACTGAAATAGGTGGTGAGGGAACCTTTAATTTTGTACTTTACATACTTCCATATTTCTCATTTTTTCATGAGTAAGTACTATTTTTACAATAAAACCAAAAGTTTTTAAAATATACATATCCTTGAATCAGAAAGTTCATATATAAAATTTTCCCACGGAGATACTAAAAAATACAAATAATTATTTCTAAAAATGTTCTGCAGCATTGTTTGTAAAAGTGAAAAATTGGAAATTACACAAAGGCTAATTCATATATGTATATTAGTGTAAAGGTTAACTATAATAATATACAGTTGACCCTTGAACAACATGTGGGTAAGCAGTGCCAATCCCCTGCACAGTTGGAAATTTGTGTGTAACTTTTGACTCCCCAAAAACTTTACTACTACTAATAGCCTCCTATTGACCAGAAGTTTTACTGATAACATAAACAGTTGATTAACACATATTCTGTATATGTATTAAAATACCATATTTTTACAATAAAGTAAGCTAGAGAAAAGAAACTTATTAAGAAAATCAAAAGGAAAAGAATATATTTACTATTTAGTAAGTGGAAGTGGAGAATCATAAAGGTGTTCACCTTGTCATCTTCATACTGAGTAGGCTGAGGAGGAGGAGGAAGAGGAGGGCTTGGTCTTGCTGCCTCAGGGATGACAGAGGCAGCAGAGATAGAGGAGACAGAAGGGGAGGCAGGAGAAACAGGCACACTTAGTGTAACTTTACAGAAATACGTCATAATTTCTGTCTTTTTTGCTTTTCCATTCTCTAAGAATGTTTCTATAAGGGTACCAATCCTTCTGCAACTGTTTGATTTTGTTTCAGTGCCCAAATCATAGGAGGGTTCATGTAAAAGAAGTCAAAAGCAGTCTTGAAAAATCAGAACTCTTCTGCTAGATTGTCTAATGTCAATTTGCTTCCTGACACTGCTACTTCTGTATCTTTTTTCTCACAGTCCGGCACTGGTTCAGATATACTCATCTCCATCAAGTTGGCTTCCGTTAATTGCTTTGGTGTAGTGTCTATTTGCTCTTGAATTTCTCCAAGATTCATAGCCCAAAACTCTTCACTCCCCACCCTTTTTGCCACATCCATAATCTCTTTCATGATTTCCTTGATTGGCACTGTTGTAAATCCTACGAAGGCATTCACAACATCTGGACGATTTTCTACAGCACCAATTTATTGTTTTGGGCTGCATGGCTTTCACAGCGTTTTCTATAACAATAATGGCACCTTCAATGGTGTAATCCTTCCAGACACTGATGACGTTCCCTCTGTTGGGGGTCTTCTTCCATAGCATTGACAATTCTTTCCACAGAGTACCATGTGTAATGAAGCTTAAAGGTTCTTATGACCCCCTGATCTAGAGGCTGAATTAGACGTGCTGTGTTTGGGGGCAAGTAGACCACTTTGATAGCTTTGGTGTTGAATTCATAGGGTTCTAGGTGGCCAGGGACATTGCCCAATATCAAAGGAACTTTAAAAGGCCATCCTTGGGCCAGGCGCAGTGGCTCACGCCTGTAAAACCAGCACGTTGGGAGGCCGAGGCAGGCAGATCACCTGAGGTGGGGAGTTCGAGAACACCCGGACCAACATGGAGAAACTCCGTCTCTACTAAAAACACAAAATTAGCCGGCGTGGTGGCGCATCTCTGTAATCCCAGCTACTCGGGAGGCTGAGGCAGGAGAATCCCTTGAACCTGGGAGGTGGAGGTTGTGGTGAGCCAAGATCGCACCATTGCACTCCAGCCTGGGCAATAAGAGTGAAACTCCATCCCCCCTCAAAAAAAGGCCATTCCTTACTGACAAGGTATTCCCTCACATCAGGGACAAGGCATCAATGGAACCAATTCAGAAAAAGGGTTCTTGGCCGGGCACAGTGGCTCACATCGGTAATCCCAGCACTTTGGGAGGCCAAGGAGGGCGGATCACTCGAGGTCAGGCATTCGAGACCAGGCTGGCCAACATGGTGAAACCCCATCTCTACTAAGAACACAAAAATTAGCCGGGCATGGTGACAGGCGCCTGTAGTCCCAGCTACTTGGGAGGCTGAGACAGGAGAACTGCTTGAACCCGGGAGGCAGAGGTTGCAGTGAGCCGAGATCACGCCACTGCATTCCAGCCTGGGCGACAGAGCAAGACTCCATCTCAAAAAAAAAAAAAAAAAGGAAAGGAAAAAGAGTTCTTGTTGTCCAGACCTTCTTGGGGTCCACTTAAAAGACTGGCAGCTAGTATTTATCTTTTCCCTTCAAGGCTCATGGATTAGCAGCTTTATAGATAAAGATAGTCCTGATTATAAACTTGACTGCATTTGCACAAAATAGTACAGTTATCTTGTCCCTTCCTGCCTTAAATCCTGGTACTCAATTCTCTTCCTTACTAGTAAATGTCTTTTGTGGCATTATTTTCCAGAATAGGGCACTTTTGTGTGCATTAAAAATCAGTTCGGGGCCAGGTGCAGTGGCTCACGCCTGTAATCCCAGCACTCTGAGAGACCAAGGTGGGAGGATCGCTTGAGCCCAGGAGTTTGAGACCAGCCTCGGCAACATAGTGAGACTCTGTCTCATTTGAAAAAAGAAAAAGAAAAAGGAAATCTGTTTAGCCAGGCATGGTAGTGTGCACCTGTAGTCCCAGCTACTTGGGACACTGAGGTAGGAGGATCGTTTGAGCCCAGCAACTTGAGGCCAGCCTGGGCAACACAGCCAGATTCTGTCTCTAAAACACACACACACACACACACACACACACCCCAAACAAAAAAACAAAAACAAAAAAAGCAACTTCTTTCAGGCAGATATCCTTTCTCCTCAATGATTTTATTTTTGGGGAGAGCTGGGGTGGGGTGGACAGGGTCTCATTCTGTTGCCCCAGGCTGACATGCAGTGGTGCATTCATGGCTCACTGCAGCCTCAACCTCCCAGACTCAAGTGATCATCCCTTCTCAGCCTCCTGAGTAGATAGAACTACAAGTACACACCACCATGCGTGGCGAATTTTTTAATTTGTTGTAGAGTCAGTGTCTCCCTATGTTGCCCAGGCTGGTCTCAAACTCCCAGGCTCAAGGAATCCTCCTGCCTCGGCCTCTTAAAGTGCTAGGATTACAGGCATGAGCCACTGTTTCTGGTCCTCAGTGATTTTCTTAATGGCATCTGGCAACTCCTCTGCTGCCTCTTGGTCGGCAGAAGCGTCTTCTCCTGTTATCCTGACATTTTTTTTTTTTTTTGAGATGGAGTCTCGCTCTTGTTGCCCAGGCTGGAGTGCAGTGGCAGGATCTCGGCTCACTGCAAGCTCCGCCTCCCAGGTTCACACCATTCTTCTGCCTCAGCCGCCCAAGTAGCTGGGACTACAGGGACCAGCCACCACGCCCGGCTAATTTTTTTGTACTTTTAGTAGAGACAGGGTTTCACCGTGTTAGCCAGGATGGTCTCGATCGCCTGACCTCGTGATCGGCCCACCTCGGTCTCCTAAAGTGCTGGGATTACAGGCTTGAGCCATCGCGACTGGCCCTATCCAGACATTTTTTTCATTTTTTTTTATTATACTTTAAGTTCTAGGGTACATGTGCACAACGTGCAGGTTTGTTACATATGTATACATGTGCCATGTTGGTGTGCTGCACCCATTAACTTGTCATTTACATTAGGTATATCTCCTAATGCTATCCCTCCCCCATCCCCCCACCGCACAACAGGCCCCGGTGTGATGTACCCCATCCTGTGTCCCTGTGTTCTCATTGTTCAGTTCCCACCTATGAGTGAGAACATGCAGTGTTTGGTTTTCTGTCCTTGCGATAGTTTGCTCAGAATGATGGTTTCCAGCTTCACTGATGACCTTACGAAGGACATGAACTCATCCTTTTTTATGGCTACGTAGTATTCCATGGTATACATGTGCCACATTTTCTTAATCCAGTCTATCATTGTTGGACATTTGGGTTGGTTCCAAGTCTTTGCTATTGTGAATAGTACCTCAATAAACATACGTGTACATGTGTCTTTATAGCAGCATGACTTATAATCCTTTGGGTATATACCCAGTAATGGGATGGCTGGGTCAAATGGTATTTCTAGTTCTAGATCCTTGAGGAATTGCCACACTGTCTTCCACAATGGTTGAACTAGTTTATAGTCCCACCAGCAGTGTAAAAGTGTTCCTATTTCTCCACATTCTCTCCGGCACCTGTTGTTTCCTGACTTTTTAATGATCGCCATTCTAACTGGTGTGAGATGGTATCTCATTGTGGTTTTGATTTGCATTTCTCTGATGGTCAGTGATGATGAGCATTTTTTCATGTGTCTGTTGGCTGCATAAATGTCTTCTTTTTGAGAAGTGTCTGTTCATATCCTTCGCCCAGTTTTTGATGGGGCTGTTTGATTTTTTCTTGTAAATTTGTTTAAGTTCTTTGTAGATTCTGGATATTGGCCCTTTGTCAGATGGACAGGTTGCAAAAATTTTCTCCCATTCTGTAGGTTGCCTGTTCACTCTGATAGTAGTTTCTTTTGCTGTGCAGAAGCTCTTTAGTTTAATTAGATCCCATTTGTCAATTTTGGCTTTTGTTGCCATTGCTTTTGGTGTTTTAGACGTGAAGTCCTTGCCCATGCCTATGTCCTGAATGGTATTGCCTAGGTTTTCTTCCAGGGTTTTTATGGTTTTAGGTCTTACATTTAAGTCTTTAATCCATCGTGAATTAATTTTCGTATAAGGTGTAAGGAAGGGATCCAGTTTCAGCTTTCTACATATGGCTACCCAGTTTTCCCAGCACCATTAATTAAACAAGGAATCCTTTCCCCATTTCTTGTTTTTGTCAGGTTTGTCAAAGATCAGATAGTTGTAGATGTGTATTATTTCTGAGGGCTCTATTCTGTTCCATTGGTCTATATCTCTGTTTTGGTACCAGTACCATGCTGTTTTGGTTACTGTAGCCTTGTAGTATAGTTTGAAGTCAGGTAGTGTGATGCCTCCAGCTTTGTTCTTTTGGCGTAGGATTGTCTTGGCAATGTGGGCTCTTCTGTGGTTCCATATGAACTTTAAAGTAGTTTTTTCCAATTCTGTGAAGAAAGTCATTGGTAGCTTGATGGGGATGGCATTGAATCTATAAATTACCTTGGGCAGTATGGCCATTTTCACGATATTGATTCTTCCTATCCATGAGCATGGAATGTTCTTCCATGTTTGTGTCCTCTTCTATTTCATTGAGCAGTGGTTTGTAGTTCTCCTTGAAGAGGTCCTTCATGTCCCTTGTAAGTTGGATTCCTAGGTATTTTATTCTCTTTGAAGCAATTGTGAATGGGAGTTCACTCATGATTTGGCTCTCTGTTTGTCTGTTATTGATGTGTAAGAATGCTTGTGATTTTTGCACACGGATTTTGTATCCTGAGACTGCTGAAGTTGCTTATCAGCTTAAGGAGATTTGGGGCTGAGACAATGGGGTTTTCTAAATATACAATCATGTCATCTGCAAACAGGGACAATTTGACTTCCTCTTTTCCTAATTGAATACCCTTTCTTTCTTTCTCCTGCCTAATTGCCCTGGCCAGAACTTCCAACACTATGTTGAATAGGAGTGGTGAGAGAGGGCATCCCTGTCTTGTGCCAGTTTTCAAAGGGAA
The DNA here is from genome assembly GCF_000001405.40 of Homo sapiens. NCBI lineage: Eukaryota > Metazoa > Chordata > Mammalia > Primates > Hominidae > Homo > Homo sapiens. The sequence goes on from NC_000015.10 coordinate 52,474,482, forward strand.
TGCTTCCAGTTTTTGCCCATTCAGTATGATATTGGCTGTGGGACTGTCATAAATAGCTCTTATTATTTTGAGATACATCCCATCAATACCTAATTTATTGAGGGTTTTTAGCATGAAGGGCTGTTGAATTTTGTCAAAGGCCTTTTCTGCATCTATTGAGATAATCATGTGGTTTTCGTCTTTGGTTCTGTTTTTATGATGGATTACATTTATTGATTTGAGTATGTTGAACCAGCCTTGCATCCCAGGGATGAGGTCCGCTTGATCATGGTGGATAAGCTTTTTGATGTGCTGCTGGATTCAGTTTGCCAGTATTTTATTGAGGATTTTTGCATCGATGTTCATCAGGGATATTGGCCTAAAATTCTTTTTTTGTTGTGTCTCTGCCAGGCTTTGGTATCAGGATGATGCTGGCCTCATAAAATGAGTTAGGGAGGATTCCCTCTTTTTCTATTGATTGGAATAGTTTCAGAAGGAATGGTACCAGCTCCTCTTTGTACCTCTGGTAGAACTCGGCTGTGAATCCGTCTGGTCCTGGACTTTTTTTGGTTGGTAGGCTATTAATTATTGCCTCAATTTCAGAGCCTGTTATTGGTCTATTCAGGGATTCAGCTTCTTCCTGGTTTAGTCTTGGGAGGGTGTATGTGTCCAGGAATTTATCCATTTCTTCTAGATTTTCTAGTTTACTTGTGTAGAGGTGTTTACAGTATTCTCTGATGGTAGTTTGTATCTCTGTGAGATCAGTGGTGATATCCCCTTTATCATTTTTTATTGCATCTATTTGATTCTTCTCTCTTTTCTTCTTTAGTAGTCTTGCTAGCAGTCTATCAATTTTGTTGACCTTTTCAAAAAACCAGGTCCTGGATTCATTGATTTTTTGAAGGGTTTTTTGTGTCTCTATCTCCTTCAGTTCTGCTCTGAACTTAGTTATTTCTTGCCTTCTGCTAGCTTTTGAATGTGTTTGCTCTTGTTTCTCTAGTTCTTTTAATTGTGATGTTAGGGTGTCAATTTTAGATCTTTCCTGGTTTCTCTTGTGGGCATTTAGTGCTATAAATTTCCCTCTACACACTGCTTTGAATGTGTCCCAGAGATTCTGGTATGTTGTGTCTTTGTTCTCATTGGTTTCAAAGAACATCTTTATTTCTGCATTCATTTTGTTATGTACTCAGTAGTCATTCAGGAGCAGGTTGTTCAGTTTCCATGTAGTTGTGTGGTTTTGAGTGAGTTTCTTAATCCTGAGTTCTAGTTTGATTGCACTGTGGTCTGAGAGGCAGTTTGTTATAATTTCTATTCTTTTACATTTGCTGAGGAGTGCTTTACTTCCAACTATGTGGTCAATTTTGGAATAAGTGCAATGTGGTGCTGAGAAGAATGTATATTCTGTTGATTTGGGGTGGAGAGTTCTGTAGATGTCTATTAGGTACACTTGGTGCAGAGCTGAGTTCAAGTCCTGGATATATCCTTATTAACTTTCTGTCTTGTGGATCTGTCTAATATTGACAGTGGGGTGTTAAAGTCTCTCAGTATTATTGTGTGGGAGTCTAAGTCTCTTTGTAGGTCTCTAAGGACTTGCTTTTTGAATCTGGGTGCTCCTGTATTGGGTGCATATATATTTAGGATAGTTAGCTCTTCTCGTTGAATTCAGCCCTTTATCATTATGTAATGGCCTTCTTTGTCTCTTCTGATCTTTGTTGGTTTAAAGTCTGTCTTATCAGAGACTAGGATTGCAACCCCTGCCTTTTTTTTTGTTTTCCATTTGCTTGGTAGATCTTCCTCCATCCCTTTATTTTGAGCCTATGTGTGTCTCTGCACGTGAGATGGGTCTCCTGAATACAGCACACTGATGGGTCTTGACTCTTTATCAAATTTGCCAGTCTGTGTCTTTTAATTGGAGCATTTAGCCCATTTACATTTAAGGTTAATATTCTTATGGGTGAATTTGATCCTGTCATTATGATGTTAGCTGGTTATTTTGCTCGTTAGTTGATGCAGTTTCTTCCTAGCATCGATGGTCTTTACAATTTGGCATGTTTTTGCAGTGGCTGGTACTGGTTGTTCCTTTCCATGTTTAATGCTTCCTTCAGGAGCTCTTGTAAGGCAGGCCTGGTGGTGACAAAATCTCTCAGCATTTGCTTGTCTGTAAAGGATTTTATTTCTCCTTCACTTATGAAGCTTAGTTTGGCTGGATATGAAATTCTAGCTTGAAAATTCTTTTCTTTAAGATTGTTGAATATTGGTCCCCACTCTCTTCTGGCTTGTAGAGTTTCTGCCGAGAGATCTGCAGTTAGTCTGATGGGCTTCCCTTTGTGGGTAACCGGACCTTTCTCTCTGGCTGCCCTTAACATTTTTTCCTTCATTTCAACTTTGGTGAATCTGACAATTATGTGTCTTGGGGTTGTTCTTCTCAAGGAGTATCTTTGTGGTGTTCTCTGTATTTCCTGAATTTGAATGTTGGCCTGCCTTGCTAGGTTGGGGAAGTTCTCCTGGATAATAACCTGAAGAGTGTTTTCCAACTTGGTTCCATTTTCCCCGTCACTTTCAGGTACGCCAATCAGATGTAGATTTGGTCTTTTCACATAGTCCCATATTTCTTGGAGGCTTTGTCATTTCTTTTTACTCTTTTTTCTCTAAACTTCTCTTCTTGCTTCATTTCATTCATTTGATCTTCAATCACTCATATCCTTTCTTCCAGTTGATCAAATTGGCTACTGAAGCTTGTGCATGCGTCACGTAGTTCTTGTGCCATGGTTTTCAGCTCCATCAGGTAATTTAAGGTCTTCTCTACGCTGTTTACTCTAGTTAGCCATTCGTCCAATCTTTTTTTAAGGTTCTTGGCTTCTTTGCGATGGGTTTGAACATCCTCCTTTAGCTTGGAGAAGTTTGTTATTACTGATCTTCCGAAGCCTTCTTCTCTCAACTCGTCAAAGTCATTCTCCGTCCACCTTTGTTCCATTGCTGGCAAGGAGCTGCGTTCCTTTGTGTTCCTTTGGAGGAGAAGAGGCGCTCTGATTTTTTGAATTTTCAGCTTTTCTGCTCTGATTTCTCCCCATCTTTGTGGTTTTATCTACCTTTGGTCTTTAGTGATGGTGACGTACAGATGGGATTTTGGTGTGGATGTCCTTTCTGTTTGTTAGTTTTCCTTCTAACAGTCAGGACCCTCAGCTGCAGGTCTGTTGGAAGTTTGCTGGAGGTCCACTCCAGACCCTGTTTGCCTGGGTATCACCAGTGGAGGCTGCAGAACTGCAAATATTCCAGAACGGCTAATGTTGCTGCCTGATCATTCCTCTGGAAGCTTCGTCTCAGAGGTGCACCCGGCCGTATGAGGTGTGAGTCAGCCCCAACTGTGAGGTGCCTCCCAGTTAGGCTACTCAGGGGTCAGGGACCCACTTGAGGAGGCAGTCTGTCTGTTCTCAGATCTCAAACTCCATGCTGGGAGAACCACTACTCTCTTGAAAGCTGTCACACAGGGACGTTTAAGTCTGCAGAAGTTTCTGCTGCCTTTTGTTCAGCTATGCCCTGCCCCCAGAGGTGGAGTCTACAGTGGCAGGCAGGCCTCCTTGAGCTGCGGTGGGCTCCACCCAGTTCGAGCTTCCCAGCTGCTTTGTTTACCTACTCAAGCCTCCGCAATGGCGGGCACCCCTCCCCCAGCCTCGCTGCCACCTTGCAGTTCAATCTCAGACTGCTGTGCTAGCAGTGAGCAAGGCTCTATGGGTGTGGGACCCTCCGAGCCAGGCGCGGGATATAATCTCGTGGTGTGCAGTTTGCTAAGAACGTTGGAAAAGTGCAGTATTAGGGTGGGAGTGACCCAATTTTCCAGGTGCCATCTCTCACAGCTTCCCTTGGCTAGGAAAGGGAATTCCCCGACCCCTTGTGCTTCCTGGGTGAGGCGATGCCTCACCCTGCTTCAGCTCATGCTCCGTGGGCTGTACCCACTGTCCTGCACCCACTGTCCGACAAGCCCCAGTGAGATGAACCCGGTACCTCAGTTGGAAATGCAGAAATCACTCGTCTTCTGCGTCGCTCATGCTGGGAGCTATAGGCTGGAGCTGTTCCTATTCAGCCATTTTGGAACCTTCCCCTCTCCAGACATTTTTAAAAGAGTGAACCTCTTTCTAAAATTATCAAACTATCCTTTGCTGGCATTAAGTTCTTCAGCTTAAGATCCTTCATCTGCCTTTTGCCTTAAGTTGTCAGGTTTACTGTATTGCACTAAACACAATGAAAAATACGTGAGAAGCGTGAGATCACTTTTTGCTGTGATATGCAATGTACTGGAGAGACAAACTGTTCACACGGGGATGGTTAGTGTCACACATTTTAAGGGAATACTCACAACCTTTTTAGCTCACTCAAGCAACAGCAACACAACATGGCTACAGAATTACTACAGTAAAACTGTAGTACTATGTGTACTGCAGTTAATTTTGTGTGGTTATGTCTTTATATTTGTTTACATTTCTCTCAACTGTGAACAGTGCCATGTGCAGTCTATGTCTGTGTAAGTTTTTATAAATTTTAACTTTTTTTTTTTTAAGATGGAGTCTCGCTCTGTCACCCAGGCTGGAGTGCAGTGGCGTGATCTCAGCTCACTGTAACCTCTGCCCCCTGGGTTCAAGCAATTCTCCTGCCTCAGCCTCCTGAGTAGCTGGAATTACCTGGCTAATTTTTGTACTTTTAGTAGAGATAGAGTTTTACCATCTTAGCCAGGCTGGTCTCGAATGCCTGACCTCCAGTGACCTGCCCTCCTCAGCCTCCCAAAGTGCTGGTATTACAGGAGTGAGCCACTGCGCCCAGCCAATTTTAACTTTTTATAATAGATTTATGTGTATTTTATGGTAGTAAATGATAAAATAGACTAGTATTTACGTATACTTTATGTATTCATGACATAACTTTTTCTTATTTTTTTCGATATTTCTAGGCTACATAGTTCATCTGAGAATTTTTTCAAATTGTTGCAAATCTCAAAAAATTTTCCAATATATTTATTTTTAAAAATCCATGTGTAAGTGGACCCATGCAGTTCAAATCCAGGTTGTTCACAGGTCAACTGCATAGTTTAGAGGTTGTGGTATATCTATATAATGGAATACTTAAAAAAAAGTTAGGTCTGTATGTGCTGACATGGAAAGATACTGTTAATTGAGAAAGAGCAAGCTGTAAAACATCATCATTGTATGATCCTATTTTTGTTTAATATATATTCATAAACTATATTCATATATCCATATAATACAGTAGCTTGGAATTCACAGATTATCATTTGTGGTTTCCACTCTTTGTGAACCATACTGAAAGTCCATGGCATCTGAACATTTATCATTCTGCCCAATCATGAAAGAGCCACACCTCTCTTAGACCTCTCTGAGTAAAGGAGAAAAGAGCTGGACAGTGAGTCTGGCCTTGCTCTGGGCTCCAGCTCAGCATGCCTTTGCTCTTCTCCACCAGTTTGTGTGTGTATTCCTGAAGAGATATGAACTGAAGCCACCTATCTGCACCTGTGATGGAAGTAAAGATTATGTAAAGAGGTCTCTGAACGTGACTGATCTAAGCAATGCTGTCTCCTCTCTCCCAAACCCTACATCCCCACCTAGCATCACATCGTATACCTTGAATATATACAATTTTTGTCAATTATACCTCAATAAAACTAAAAAGAAATCAGTTCCCTTAATTTTCTACAACATGTCTACTTGATTTTTCATATGTGAAGGAAGAAATAAGAACTAAATACTAATTGCGATAGAAACTTGACTGGCAAACATCTACAAAGTCTCTAGCTAAAACGCAAAGAAACTTAACTACACCATCTACAATTTGATCTATTTACAGTCAGCTTTTAACTCATCCAGGAAACACCTGCAGAATTTAGGAAAACCCGTAACTATTTCAAATCTTACAATTGTTTAGCGAATGTAAAATCTCAGAATCAGAAGAGGGCTTAAAGATGATCTGGTCCAAACACCCCATTTCCAAGAAAACTAGAGCTCCAAGAACAAAGCTGGCTCAGACCAGAGCCCACACCAGACCAAGGATGTCCTGATCCCCGATCCTTGAGGCCCTCTCTGGCTCCCCTCTCCCTTCAGAAGCAAACATAATGGATCTGAAAAAAGTTGCACAGCTGCACAAATGGCAAGAGGAAAGCAAAATCAGGACTCAACTAAAATTCCATTTCATTGTAACACAACTTGGTTTCCCACATTCTCTTTTCCTTGGCAGTGCTAGTTATCATTGGAGAGTGTGGTATAAGGAGGAGTCGCATGAGAAAATTCTTCCTTAGCATTATCTCCCCTAGCTTCAGTCCTTAGCCATGCCTCCAGCACAGTCAAAATCTACAGTGCTACAAAGTGCCAAACCATAGCTTCCTTACATATAGCTAAATCCATTTACCCAAATGCAGTCATTCATTTAACAAGTACTTACTGAGTACCAACAGGCACAGGTCTAGTCCTGGGATACAGCATTGCACTTGCAGCTGGATTCATGGTTGGGTTCCCTTATGCCTACCCATCTAAGATACCAGATTCTTTGCTAGAGCCATGGCATTTGGTAGTGCACTGGACCACACTATATGTAGGTATTATGAGTCTTCATAATCATGTCTACTGCCTGACTTTGGAGGTTAGAACTAGCATTATTAGGTGCAAGCACATTTATCTGCATTGCCAAAATCCCAGTCAGCACCGGTGCAGTAAAAAACAGATGGTGTGCCTGTAACTCATGATTGACACATTGCTGCAACAGATGCTAGGTATGTCCTTGCTGAAGATCTAAGCAAATGGTCTCTAGGAATGAAAAACAGATTTTAATGCAAACAAAGATTGCCTAGAGATTCTATAAGATTTTCTATTTTACTTTATACCCTAACTAATTCTGTTTGGTTCCACAAGTATTTAGTATGTGTATATTCTATTTCATACACTGTTCTAAGAATTGCAGAAACAAAAATGGGTAAGATGTTTTCCCTTCCCTCAAAGTTCTGCTGATGAGATGGACACACACAGACACTGTCAATATGACACACAAAGTTCTGTGATGGAGGAATGTACAAGGTGCCATGGGAGCCCAGTGGAGTTTGCAAACCTCACCCAACTTGTGCAAAGAAAAATAGAGTACATGGTAACTTCCTAAAGGAGGGGGACATGGATTTGGGCTAGAAGGACAAATAGGAGTTAACCAAGCAAATGAACAAATTCATGTTCCAGACATGAATGAAGACATAAAGATGTGGAACAGGATAAAATACACATGAGGAATAACAAGTAGTTTAGAATCACTGTAGCAAGAAATGAGAGGCCAGAGAGATTCCCAGGGCTCAGATCATAAAAGGACTGGAACATAGTAGTACTCAGTAAATACTTGATGAAAGAATTGGCTAGAGCTTTCATGAAGGAAAAGGTATAAGTATGTGGTTATGCATGTTGGACAAATTTTGTATGTCCATTTTGTTAGTAGAAACAGGATATAATCAGTATTATTCTACATCAGTAGAATTATAAGAACATGATTCAGTCAGCAAGAACTTGGCTCACTCAGCATGATAACTGGAGACTCAGGCATAATAAAGAGGAAGTGGCTAGGCAGTTTTTATATTCTTGTGACCACAAGAGAGAGAAGAGCTAGAGTGGTATCTGCACAGACACAGGCAAAGATCATACGGAGAAAGATGAAAGAGGCATGCACGGGGTCTGTGAGCTTGAGAACTTCCTGGATATAGCAACCATCTCTTTTCTCCTATAGGCCATCTCTTTTTTTCGTTTAACATAAATAAACCAAGTATCTGTGACTCTACCTGACCTTCTTCATGGCATCATGTGGAAGAAACCCTGATCCAGAAGGGAATAGAACTCATATTCCTGGTAGTTGTTTTTTGTGAGTGGGCTTGGGCCCTTTGCTGCTGCTGAAGAGGGAAGAGGATAGCCAGAGCTGGGAAAAAGAGGAGTCAACATGATCCATACTCTAACAACTCCATGTTGAACATATTGAAACACACAGGAATCCTGGGCCAGAGTAGATTTCCAATAATTTTACAAAAACAGAAGCAATACAGACACCATAAGTACTGGCTATAAATTCTAAAAACTTTCATCACACATCAAAAACAACTCAACAAGGTGAAATTTATTCCATTTGATATCCCTAACATTAATTTCCTGTTCATAATTTTTTTTTTTAATAAAAGGTAAGACTGTGGAGGAGGGCAATCTGCTTAATTTTGCTGTGAACCTAAAATGGCTTTAAAAAAATTTTTTTAAGTGAATCCGGTCCATTAGTAGAGGAGTTGCGGCAGCTCAAGGCAAGGAGCCTGAGGCCCAGATTCCTAATTTCTTGGCCCTAAATAGTGACTCTATCCCCTGATGCCCCTGGACTACCAACCTGCCCGTGGCTCTTCCAGGTTTCTAAGGTCTCCTGTGATTAGGCTTCTATCATTGCAATGGACTGATACTCAAGCTCACTCAGGTGAAGGATGAGCAGGGCACACATATGAATACAGAGGAAACAACAGGATAAGGAACCAGAGAAGAGCTAAGTCACATAGAGGAAAAAACCGAAGCAAAGTGTTGGTTCCAAGGCAGGCCCTGGAAGCCCATGAGTAGGAATTGGTGGCTTTTCTGGTACACCACTGCTAATGGGGTCAGAACTGTCAATGTGTCTACACCACTCCTCTGGTTTATCTTTTCCATACTTGTTACAGAAATCCCCAAAACAGGACACCTAAATGGCTCACTTAAACATTGCTACTTCTGTTTAGACTGCCCTTTTGAGACCAGGCCACATCAAAAGGCCCTTACGAGTGAGCCATTTTCAGGTCAGGGCCTCCCCTTGTCCAATCAGCTTGGCTGGATCATTTGGTTTCTTAGCAGGGGCCCCAGGTCAACAGGGAGAGTGAGGGGTACAGTTACCCTTTGAAGGGACCGTGAGTATGGCAAGCACTGTGAATTAATTTATGATACACTGATGGTAGCAATGCCTTAGAAATTTCAGGAGTAGGGAAGAGAAAAAGTGACATCTGGGAGGCAGTAGAGACTCAGCAATATATTTAAAAACAACAACAACAACAAAAAACTATGGGTGCAAGGACACGCCTAGAAATTTCTAAAAAACCCATTCTCAGCACTCAGTTTTCCTTCCCCATCCATTCCAATCCATAATTTGGAAAAACATGTCCCACTCCCCAACATTCTATGGATTAAGGTATTTTAATTGAGCAAATGTTATGTTAAAAGATATCCTGGCAAGAATGCGAAGGTCCATCCCCAGACTAGATGAACTTCTTCCTTAGCTTATGGCTATGTCCACACCCTTATGACAGCCCTAATTGTGGTTCCTGAACTTCTATTATTATAACACAACGATTTAGAAAAACAGTCTGCTCTATACAGCTAATGTCACACTGTGGAAATGAATCATTCTGACCAAAAGCCTTGCTTCTGGCAGTGCCAATCCCTTCCTAAAGCAACTGCAAGCCGTCCACCTCCCAGTCAGGAAGCATCTGGTAGCTGGGGCTCTAGAAGTATCCCTGGGAAGTCAGTCAGAACTAGAGAGACCACTAACATTTGTTAGGGGGCACTGGAATTGTTGAGCTCTGACACATGATCAAGTAGGCCAGGAAAAGTAACTAATCTTAGGATCCTCATGTTAAGAAAGATTAAAGTGATTAGATCAATCACTAAATGACTATAAGAGCAGAACCAAAAGTATTCTATGATAATTGTAGCAAGTTGAACGTATTACAGGTATGCATTACATTTTCCTGAAAATATATGTGAATTAGAATGCAAGGAACTAGAACACAAGAAGCCCTGGCTAGTTAGGTAGCTATGGTAGAAAATACACATACACACACCCTTCCTTTTTGTTTTTAGAAAATAAGAATGTGGATCTGTTCCAGTAGCCAGGGAGGATAGAGTAGATATTAAAGACAAAAGTATTTTGCCCTCCTAATCCTTTTTATTACCAGAAAAAGGACAGAAGATGAAATCAACACTAACTTTAATCCTGACTTCTGTTTCACTCTTCACAGGATTTTGCAGATACAAGTATTTCAAAGTGATCATTATATGAAATGCCATATATGTTCCTGAATTAACAAAACAACTTGGTAGAAAGAATCAAAAATTGCAGGTATTTCCTTATTCCCCCAAATGTTTTCTGATTTCAATGTTTGTTTGTTTGTTTTTGAGACAGAGTCTCGCTCTGTCCCCCAGGCTGGAGTGCAGTGGCATGATCTCGGCTCACTGCAACCTCTACCTCCCAGGTTCAAGCAATTCTCCTGCCTTAGTCTCCGAGTAGCTGGGATTGCAGGCACCCACCACCACGCTTGCCACCAGCCTGGCCAACATGGTGAAACCCCGTCTCTACTGAAAATACAAAGAAATACAATTTTTCGCTGCTCCTGGATGAATTTTTTTGTATTTTTAGTAGCGATGGGGTTTCACCATGTTGGCCAGGCTGGTCTTGAACTCCTGACCACAGGTGATCCGCCCGCCCTGGCCTCCCAAAGTGCTGGGATTACAGGTGTAAGCCACCGCACCCAGCCTCAATGTTGTCTTTTTAAGTAAACTGTCTGTTCTTTTGAATAATTACAAAAAACAGTAAGGCAGAGTTAATAATTACAGAACTTTCAATAGCTAGGAAGTATGTAAGTCATTACAAATGATTTTCATTTCTAAACAATTTTCAACTAACTTCTTAATCCCTTAAATTATCCTTCTCTACTAAAGATCTGTAAATGACAGAACACAAATCTTTAAAAGAGAATAAAGAATTCACTATGTAAAAAAAAAAAAAAAAAAAACAAGACTGTCAGGTGATTAATCACTTCTAATGACAAAAAATGTTTTAGGGTATTGAATTTGAACAAAGTAGTATATATTCTCAAATACTATTGGAATTAAGGGGACAATTAGAATCCTAGAGAGTTCAAGTTTTCCGTCACATGAGTTAAGTAGCCTAAGTCAGTTGATCTCTGCACGAGACCTCTGATTAGATCATGAGATACTGAATTCTAGAATAACAAGGTCTCTTTTTAGAAATCCTTACTCTAGGTAGTACTAGATGAATGTTATTAAAATGAAATAAAAACATGAATCAGCATAATATTTACCCTTTTAAAAAAAAGATTAAGTAACCTCTTGTATGGATAATATAGTTTCTACTATGCTAATGTAATTTTTCACATCATAGCCAGAAAGGAGTGGGTTTTACATAGACTGTTAAAAAAGATAATAACATAAACATACACTTTTGGTAGAAAAAGCCTCAATAACTTGAACAGAAACGACAAGAATAAAGATTTTTTAGCATGATAGTAATATGCTAAATAATTAAATTTCTCAAATTTTTCTTCTAACAACACACAAACGTATTTGTCAGTTCAAAATGTTGCTTCTTTGAAAACACTATAGTAAATCCTTTAGGCGAATCTTAGGATTTCAAGAGCCTGGCATTAAGCATCAACACAAAATTATTTTAAGTTGCTAATTATCACCGTAAACAAGCAGTCATGAGGGCACAGTTCTGAAACCCACATTTCCATAGTAAACGTTTTCATTTTTATGAACTGTTTAAATCACATTCCTCTTCTATACTTTTCCTATTCATTTTCAAATCAAATTCCAATTCAACACGTATTTACCAAGTCCCTCTTACAAGCGAGGTTCTGCGTTAAGCTGGGGGTGGGGGATGGTGAAACAAGGAGGATGAGAGCAGAGCCTGTTCTCTGTTTGCCATGTCCAGGCGTCTCTTCCTGATCCATGTCAAAAGGAGGTCAAAGAGCCACGTCCATTTTAATCCTAATAGCCCTATCGCTGAGCATTATTACCTCAGTTTTACAGATGAAAAAACTCAGGTTGAGTGAGTCAAAGTAGCTTGGTCAAGATGACATGTCTAGTTAAGTGGTGGAGCCAGGATTTGACCAAAGAATGTCTGGCCCCGACTTTCATTCTCTCTCCACTACACTGTATCTTCCTTATTCAAACCTCAGCTCAAATGTTACCTTCTCAGAGAGGCTGTGTTTTTAAATGAGTAGTTTTATTTTCTTCCCATTTTAAAAGAGATTAGACTTATTAATAAATTCTAGAAATCAGACTTTTCCAGTTGAAAACAAGAGACTCTTGGGGATTTTTTGTTTTAATATTGTTGTCACTAAGGTAAAAGTCTTTAAAAAGAGGAGAAATAAAGGAAAGGAAATAACACACAGGCAGAGAAAAAGAAAGACTATGTTACAAAGGAGAGCAGTATTACACTTTCTCCTTTGTTGCTTCACTAAAGGCAAAGAGGAGTGCGGCCAATTCTAAAGGCCAAGGGTGTACACCTGCCTGACCACATCATGCCCACTGGAATCATCAAAGGCTTACAACTGAGGCTCTATAGAAGATTCCCACGAGGACACACCCATGTCATAGGCACACGGGTGAAGGAAACACTCAGAGCTAGAAATGTCAGCATAAGGGATATGGGCTTTCTTAAGAAAAGAATGAGTATTTGTGTTATGTACAAATGCTTCTTAAATATCTTTTTAGAAGACTCTGTGATACAAGTTTTACGTTGATACTAAAAATTTGGAAGCTTTCAAAGAGGAGAAATAGGTCATACGACACAAAATTATTTCCTGGGGGATGTATGGAACACTGTGCTAAAATGGGTACTAGGGCCGAAGCAGCAGCTCACTCTTGTAATGCCAACACTCTGGGAGGCCAGGGTGGGAGGATCGCATGAGTCCAGGAGTTCGAGACCAGCCTGGGCAACATAGGGAAACCTTGTTTCTACAAAAAATAAAAAAGTTAGCTGCACATGATGACACACACCCGTAGTTCCAGCTACTCAGGGGGCTGAGGTGGGAGGATTGCTTGAGGACAGGAGGTCAAGACTGCAGTGAGCCATGATCACACCACTGAACTCCAGCCTGGGCAACAGAGCAGACCCTGTCCCAAAAATTAAAAAAAAATTAAAAATAAGGGCCGGGTATGGTGGCTCACAACTATAATCGCAACACTTTGGGAGGCCGAGGCAAGTAGATCACCTGAGGTCAGGAGTTCAAGACCAGCTTGGACCACATGGTGAAACCCCGTCTCTGCTAAAAATATAAAAATTAGCCGAGCATGGTGACAGGTGCCTATAATCCCAGCTACTCAGGAGGCTGAGGCAGGAGAATCACTGGAACCCAGGAGGCAGGGGTTGCAGTGAGCCAAGATCATGCCACTGCACTCCAGCCTAGATGACAGAACGAGACTCTGTCTCAAAAAAAAAAAAAAAAAAGTTTTACACTATGACATTTCCTGGTTTCAATTTTGCATTATCCTTGGCTGACTAAGGAAACCAGCATACTTGTACGGCCGGCGTTCCTGATGCCCCTCACTCACTACCCTCAATCCCTACCCCACATTCCCAGACAGCTTTATTTCAGTCTGCTGAGATGACCTATCCACCAAGAGCCCATTCTTTGGGCTCCAGCAGTACCTGACAATAGCAACATAAACACTAAGATGAAAGCTTTCTAATTCTGGGTGAGGCCTCTGATTATCTCTCATTTCAATGGCCATGTATTTGTGAATTCTTAACTTCTACATAGTACTTCTGTAGCAAAAAGTTCCTTTACTTTATTGAACTTTACTAAATTATCTAGGGTGAAAAAAAAACCCATAAGGGGTTGAAAGAATTATGGATGAGGTGAATGCTTTTGTTGCATAGTATTCACCAGGACTCAAAAGACAGAGAAGGATTAAAAAAAAAAAAAGACAGAGAAGCTTATTTTTGTAATCTTTCCTGTGAGTTTTCATTCTGAGCCATTTGTAAATATATGTAGCTGATGTCTGTAAATAATGAATTCTTGGAAACCACATTTTAATGTGGAGGGCTGTAAAGCAGTTCATATTTCCCCAAAAGAGCTATAATTGGGGTCTGCATTTCTGAAGCATATGCAGCACATTAGTTGTACACATGATCAAATACATTCTATAAAGCAAATATGTGAACTCTAAAGCAATTACAAATATCAAAATTCTGCTGCTGGTGCTAGTCCCTAGACCTAGGCTTTAAAACAACAAAATTAATTATACAAGAACTCTACCATAAAGTACATAGAAAGGCATACTCTGACATAACACACATTTGATCAGAAATGTCTATGTTTACCTTAAACATATGAGTGAAATAATAAAATGGTTGTGATTTGCCTTAAAATCTTTCAGAAGAAGAAAATGTTGGGAAAAAGAAGAAATGAAGCAAATGTGCAGAAGGCTGTTATTTGTTGAAGCTGCGGGCTTGGGGGGATTTGTTTTACTCTTCTCCTTACTTTGTGAATGTTTCAAAAACTTTTCAAAATAAAAAGTTTAAAAAGCTAAACTAAAAAGTATAAATGACACTTAATAACAAATAATATTTAACAATTTCTCTTTCTTAAAACGCAAAACTCTCTGGGGAAAGATGAGATAAATCAGTAACAACTGCCCATGGGAGGAGGCATTATAGCAAGATTTCCACAGCAAGCAGTTGTCAATAGCATAACTAAATTTAGAACCTTAACTTATCTTCTACATGGCGTGTACATGCACCATTAGACCAAAGTGTAAAAGTAAAACTGCAGAGAATGAAGATAAACCTTCCTTATACCACATAGAAAAATTAACTCAAAATGGACCAAAGACCTAAATGTTAAGAGCTAAAACTGTAAGACTCTTAGAAGAAAATACAGGAGGAAAACTTCATGATACTGAATTTGGCACTGATTTCTTGGAGCTGACACCAGGAGCACAGGCAATAAAAGAAAAAGGTAAATAAATTTAAAACCTCTCTGCATCGGCTGGGCGCGGTGGCTCATGCCTGTAATCCCAGCACTTTGGGAGGCCGGGGCGGGCGGATCACGAGGTCAGGAGATCAAGACCATCCTGATTAACACAGTGAAACCCCGTCTCTACTAAAAATACAAAAAATTAGCCGGGCGTGGTGGCACGCACCTGTAGTCCCAGCTACTCGGGAGGCGGAGGCAGGAGAACTGCTTGAACCCAGGAGGCAGAGGTTGCAGTGAGCCAAGATCGTGCCAGGGCACTCCAGCCTGGTGACAGAGCAAGACTTTGTCTAAAAAAAAAAAAAAAAACCAACCTCTGTGCATCAAAGGGCACAATCAACAGAGTGAAAAGGAAACCCACATAATGAAAGGAAATATTTGCAAATCATATATCTGATAAAAGATTCATACCCAGAATATATAAAGAATTCTACAACTCAGCTGTGCATGGTGGCTCACACCTGTAACCTCAGCACTTTGGGAGGCCAAGGCAGGAGGACTGCTTGAGCCCAGGAGTTCAAGACTAGCCTAGGCAACATAGTGAGACCTGTCTCTAAGTAAATTTAAAACAAAAATAAAAGAATTCTACAGCTGAACAGCAACAATGATGAACAACCTGATTTTAAAATGAGCAAAGACTTTGAATAGACGTTTCTCCAAACAAGATACACAAATGGCCAATAGGCACATGAAAAGATGCTGAACATCATTAATCATTAGGGAAATGCAAATCAAGCCTACAATGAGATACCATTTCACTCCTATTAGAATACCTACTATCAAAAAACTAGAAAATAACAAGAGTTGGACAGGATGTGGAGAAATTAGAACGATTGTGCCCTGGAGAAATTAGAACCTCTGCACCCTGGTAATGTAAAATGG
The DNA here is from genome assembly GCF_000001405.40 of Homo sapiens. Lineage (NCBI taxonomy): Eukaryota > Metazoa > Chordata > Mammalia > Primates > Hominidae > Homo > Homo sapiens. The sequence goes on from NC_000015.10 coordinate 52,490,152, forward strand.
TGCAGCCAGTACGGAAAACAGTATGGTGGTTCCTCAAAAAATTAAATATATAATTCCTATATAACCGAGGAATCCCACTTCTGGTTATATATCCAAAAGATTTGAAAGCAAGGTCTCAAAGAGATGCTTGTACACCCATGTTCACAGCAGCATTCTTCACAATAGCCAAAGGATGGAAGCAACCCATGTCCATCAATGGATGAATAGATTAAACAAAAATGTGGTGTATTTACTCAAAAGAATATTATTTGGCCTCAAAAGAGAAGGAAATTCTGAAAGATGTCACGACATGGATGAACCTTGAGGAAATTCTGAAAGATGTCACGACATGGATGAACCTTGAGGACATTACGCCATATGAAATAAGCCAGTCATGAAAAGACAAATACTATATGATTCCACTTATATAGGGTACCTAGAGTAGTCAGATTCATAGGGAGAGAAAGTAGAATAATGGTTGCCAGGGACTAGAGGGAGTGGGGAATAGGGAGTTATTGTTTAATGGGTACAGGGATATAGTTTTGCAAGATGAAGAGTTTTAGAGATTGGTTGTACAACAATATGTTGTTGTTGTTGTTGTTGTTTGAGACAGGGTCTCATTCTGTTGCCGAGGCTGGAGTGCAGTGGTGTGATGATCACAGCTCACTGCAACCTCAAACTCCTGGGCTCAAGCAATCCTCCCACCTCAGCCTCCCAAGTAGCTATAACTAGAGGTGCAGCCACCACATCCAGCTAATTTTTTTATTTTTTGTATAGACGGGGTCTCACTATGTTACCTAAGCTGGTCTTGAACTCCTGCGCTCAAGGGATCCTCCTGCCCCAGCCTCTCAAAGTGCTGGGATTATAGGTGTGAGCACCATGCCTGGCCTGGTTGTACAACAATATGAATGTACTTAACATTACTGACCTGTACACTTACACATGGTTAAGATGGTTAACTTACGTTATGTGTATTTTACAATTTAATTTTTTTAAATTTAAGTATACATTTACATTCTAAATATTTATTAAACGCCCAACCATCCAGCTGTTTCAAAAAAGGCACATCTCCAAAGATGACCTACGATGATAACTACATTGGGCCTTGGCTGTTGGATTATTCCTACCAAGTTGAATTAAGAGGGACTTAAGTAACTCATTAATTAGAACTTCATTACTAAGGTACTGAAGGATTTCATTGCATAGAAAATTAATGCATGTGGGGGTCTACAATTTTTAGTAGGGTTCTGATGTTTTCTATTAATATTTTGTTTTTATAGAGTCTTTAAAAAATAAGAAAACCCCACATTTCCACCTACATCATAATATCTAGTCACAATGACACTGTACCAACTCTAGATAATTAAAGCCAGCTTTTGCTCAGAGATCCCCGCCAGGGTTACCTCCTGAAAAGCAAGTAATGAACACTAAGCCATGTATTTTTTATTGGATTCTCTAAAGTAACATGAGTCAGGCTCCAAGTGTCAGAAGATCTGTCTCATGCTAACAAAAACAAAGATATTTACTGTTTAATCCCCTTTTATCCAAGTACATCAATGTTCTTGGCAAACATTAATCAAACGGAAATTAAGGCATATCCTCAGGATATATGAAGGCATTGGGCTTTCAAAAACTCATACACGAAGCATCTAGATCCAACTACTAATTTACAAAGCAACACATTGAACTACACCATGGCAACATAATTAGCAAAAACTGGACTGCGGGAAACTATGCAGGAAAAATGATCCAGTTTTTTCAACAAAATAAATTTCAAGGAAAAAAGAAAAGAAAAAGAGATAGAGTACGAACCTATAGCTTGAGACTTACAATAAGTGTCAACCAGTTGCAATACCTGAACCTTGATTAGAACAAAGTAGACAAAAAGAATATGACATTTATGAGACAATAGGAAATGCAAACACTGGCTTGATATTTGATAATATTAAGGAATTATAAACATTTTTAGGTGTCACAATGGTTTTGTGGTCATACATAGATATATAGATTTTTTTAAGTGCTTATGTTAGAGATAATCTGTCAGGGATCCCCAGACCACACCCAGGTTTGGTGATTTGGTAGGAGGGTTCACAAGACTCAGCATATAACTGTACTCGTGGCCAAGATTTATTACAGCAAAAAGACACGGAGCAAAATCAGCAAAAGTAAAAGGTGCATGACATAATGTTTAGAGGAAACCAAATACAGGTTTCGAAGAGCCCTCTCCCAGTGAAGTCACACAGGATGGGCTTAATTCCCCCAGCGGCTAGTTACAATAATGCTGTCTACCAGAGAGGCTCATTAGGGACACATTGCTCAGTTTTTACTGAGGACAGGTTACATAGGCAAACTCTGTATAGCACTTACTAAGATTCCAGACTCCCAGAAGGAAAGCAAGTATTCACCACAAACCATGTAGTTTGCACACAAAGCTTAGGTACAGTACACTACTACTAGTTAGGGTGGTTGAGAACCCTCCCAAAATCCAAGTTCCCAGATGCTCGCCAAGGGCCAACCTTGTAAACAGGCCTTCCAAAGGACAGCAATCAGGCCTGCTATGCTCTTTTCTGCACAGATACACAGTGGAATATCTGGGATGAATTAACAGTATGTCTGGGACTTGCTTCAAAATAACATGGAAAGGCAAAATGAGTGAGGATATAGCTGACATAAGATTGGCCAGGAGTTGATACTGTTGAAGTTGGGGCCCGGGCACATGGGAATTTATTGTACTGTTCTTTCTACTTTAGTATATATGTGAGATTTTCCCATAATAAAAAGTTTTGGTAGTTTTTAAACATAGGAGAAAACTCAGAGATAGTGCTTAGGCTATGAGTCAACAGAGCCTATAGGCTGGTGGGGATGAGAATCAGAATTTATAGAACCCTTAGTCTATCACCAAGGCCTGAGGGAAGAAAGGCCTGAGGTGCAGGCCATATGTGAAAAAGGCTTTTGATTGGGACTCTCAAGAGTTAGTGAACATGTTTTGGAAGATAGAGATAGAAAAGGTAGCCTTTTGTCCAAGAAAAACTAAATCTCAGAGCCGGAAGTTTGAGAGTAATTTAATTATAGCCACAGATTAAGTGGCTAGCAAATGATCTTAAATAATCTATGGAGCATTGCAAATGAGATGTATAATACTTTGAATCATTAATTCCAGAGCTATAAAATAAATATGTAGCCACTCTTTCCCATAGCACATTAACAAAGAATGGAGAATGTTTCTTCCATTTCAAAAATTTATTACTGGAGCTGGGCATGGTGGCTCACACCTGTAATCTCAGCACTTTGAGAGGTCGAGGCAGGCAGATCACTTGAGGTCAGGAGTTTGAGACTAGCCTGGCCAACACCGTGAAACTCCGTTCTACTAAAAATACAAAAATCAGCTGGGCACGGTGGCGGGCCCCTCTAATCCCAGCTACTCGGGAGGCTGAGGCAAGAGAATCGCTTGAAGCCGGGAGGCAGAGGTTGCAGTGAGCCAAGATCATGCCATTGCACTCCAGTCTGGGCGATAGAGCGAGACTCAGTCTCAAAAAAAAAAGAAAAAAAATGTATTCTTTAGCACTGATACTTGCTTATACAATAATATTATACTCTAGAAGACATTAGGCTCAGTGTGTCTAAAACCTTGACAACAAGGTCCACACACTAGAAATACCGTGCATTCTGAGTTACTGTTACACAGCCTCCATAGACAAGAATTGAAGGAAGTGAGGGAAATATAGGAAAAGTATATTCTTTATCTGAAACTATAATCTGTATTCAATAATAAATTATCTGAAACAAAAATATTACGAAACCATATTTTAGCTTGTATCATACAAGAGTAGAAAAAAACAACTAAAAGCCCAAGAGCAAACTACGAGCACAGCAAGCTTCACTGCCTGGCCCCTCGCTCCAACACCCCACAATCTGAGATGTCGACCTGTAATAGACAGAAAAGAATGAGGCAGGGAGGACCAGAGCAAATCAGCAATACAGAGTCAAACATGTTCCCTATATCATATGAAGGAAATACATGTTTATCACTGAATGGTGTCATCTTTGATCTCCAAACAAAAAGCATTAATGACTCATCATCAAAACATTCCCTATTACTAAGGATGGCTTTTCACTAATCCACCCATAATCTGCTATCCAATATGAACAAAAATATAAGATGAAATTTCTGGCTGGGGACCAGAACAAAGCCCACAGATGTACAAGGGACCAAGGGTCTTCTTGGTTCTGTGCTAACACCCACAGATCTTTCTTGCCAATGGAAATCATTTAGTATTGGGTTACAAATATACTATAGTATTTAGTCACAGAGGTCCTTCAAAATAACATTATGATTAAATAAAAGATCTAATGTTATTTCTTGTTTTTTGTTTTTTGTTTTTAATGGAGTTTTGCTCTATCGCCCGGTCAGGAGTGCAGTGGCACCATCTCGGCTCACTGCATTCTCCCCCTCCTGGCTTTAAGAGATTCTCCTGACTCAGCCTCCCGAGTAGCTGGGACTTCAGGCACACACCACCACGTCCGGATAATTTTTGTATTTTTAGTAGAGATAGGTTTTTGCCAAGTTGGCCAGCCTAGTCTCGAACTCCTGACCTCAGGTGATCCACCCACTTTGGCCTCCCAAAGTGCTGGGAATACAGGCATGAGCCACTGTGCCTGGCCTTTCTTGTTATCTATTATCCTAGGTGCTAGGTGCCAAGCTACGGGCAAGTGTTAAGGATTCCGCTGAATTTATCTACCTGAGCACTTCAATACATAAGCAAGAACAGCTATTGCATAGACTTTACAATAAATGTTAAAGGTTGGCAATAACATAATTCTCAACAATGTCCTATTGGCAAATTAATTTTCCTTCTACTATCTACAAGTTTCAATGTTAGCTAGCATTCATTCTTGAGATATATGATATATATATATCCATATTTTTTGACATATATCAAAATATATTTAAGCCTAAAATACTAAAAAAATTAAATTGACTTTAAAATGGCCAAAATTCAACTATCCAAAGCAAACCTAAGTGTCCAGTAACAAATGAATGGATAATGAAAATGTACTATACATATACACAATAGAATACTACTAATCAGCCTTAGAAGGAAGTCTTGTCATTTGGGACAATGAATGAACCTGGAGGACATTATGTTAAGTGAAATAAGCTAGTCACAGAGATATAAATACTGCATGATTTCACTTATATGTGGATTGTAAAAAAAAGTCAAAGTCATAGAAGCAGAGAGTGAAATGGAGATTACCAGAGGCTGAGGGCCAGGAACATTGAGGAACTACTGGTCAAAAAACACAAAATTTCAGTTAGACAGGAAGAGTAAGTTCCAGAGATCTATTGTACTTCATGATAATCAATGGTTAATAACAATATATTGTATATCTGAATATTGTTGACAGTAGATTTTGTGTTCTCATCACAAAAGAAAGTGAGGTAATGCATATGTTAAACAGCTTGATTTAGGTATTCCATAGTGTATACATATACCAAAACATCATATTGTAAGCCACAAATATATACAGTATTTACTTGTCAATTAAAATAAGTAAATAGATAGATAAATAGAAGTTTAAGAAGCAAAAATGGACTCTGAGTGGTCAAAAGAGAAGGCATAAAGTCCTTGCATGCATTAAAGCTTTTCTTGAGAGAGAATCCCTTGTTTTCATTCAAAAACTCTACCTCTAGTCTTATTTTATAATTTTATCTGTTATACAGTTTCCAAGTTCATCTGAGTTTAAGTTAGAAAATTCATGTTGTCCTCAGGGTGGGGAACATCACACCCCAGGGCCTGGCGTGGGGTGGGAGGCAGGGGGAGGGATAGCATTAGGAGAAAAACCTAATGTAAATGATGAGTTAATGGGTGCAGCAAACCAACATGGCACATGTGTAACAAACCTGCACATTGTGCACATGTACCCTAGAACTTAAAGTATAATTTTTAAAAAAAAGAGAAATGAAAAAAAAAAAGAAAATTAATGTTGTCCTAAGTAGCATAAACTGGCCTGAGTTAAGCTAAGGCAGGCAAAGAAGATTATAAGGATATAGGTCCCTTCATGAAGTCCAAGAACAGGAACAGTGCTTCAGACAGGACTGGAAGCAGGGCTTAGATGGCTCATCATCCCTCTTGGTTTCTCATCTCTGCTCATTTGTGTATATCTGCCCCCTGTGCTTTCTAGGCCACATGACTGGTAAAAGATGCCCACTGCATAGCTCCTGAGCTTCAAGTTTACAGGTGTAACTACAGAAAGTAAGCTTCCTCCCCTGGAAACGTCCCAGGAAATGGACACGGAATGACTAGGTTGCCACTCCTGGTCCAGTCCCTTGTGGCTGAGGTGAAAGAGGAAGTCGAGTTATAAAATGGCTGGGGATTAAAGAAGGTTCTTAAAATCTAGGAAGACCCTCCGAAGAGTATTCATTAAGGAAGAAAAGCTGTGAAAATACAGGGATCTAGAGGAGCTTTGAAAATATAACAAAAAGTAAGGGTTTATGACATTATCATGAAGGACGCAGGCCCTCCAAATATTTTGACTTGAGGTATATGGGCAAATATCCCATAACACCTTAGTAGACTATGAGGGCTTCATTGTACTATTGGACTATTGATGACTCAACACTGAGAAAAGTTTAAGTTCTATTCAATATACACTTTGAGAAGAATGCAATGCCTCCCTCAGTCAACCCCATGAGGTGCTGTGAAACTGGAATGCCCTTCCTTCAGGGTAGTCCTGAGTTGGCACAATGGGGATGGGCCTTTACTAAACCTGTGCAACAACCAGTCAGTCACCGATATAGGCTGCCCTGCAAGAGGGTGTGATCTTAGTTGAAACAGCTTTTTTTTTCAGACAGAGTCATCTTGCTCTGTCACCCAGGCTGCACTGCAGTGACACAATCACGACTCACTGCAACTTCCACCTCTCAGGCTCAAGCGATTCTCCCACCTCAGCCTTCTGAGTAGCTGGGACTACAGGCATGCACCACCATGCCCGGCTAATTTTTGTATTTTTAGTAGAGATGAGGTTTTGCCATGTGGCCTAGGCTGGTCTCAAACTCCTGAGATCAAGGGATCCACCCACATCAGCCTCCCAAAGTGTTGGGATTACAGGTGTGGGCCACTGCACCCAGCCCGAGAAAAAAATGTTAAAAGCAGCTGGCAGCAGATGGAATGAGGAGTCAGGATGGCAAGTCTCAACAAATTTCAAAAAATATACGCAGATATTCATTGTTCACAGTGAAATTATGCTAGAAGTTGAGAGCAGATGTCCTGAAATAGCTTAAATAAATAAATAGATAAATAAATAAATAAATAAATAAAATTTAAATATTTAAAAGAAGAAATTGGCTGGGTGCGGTGGCTCACATCTGTAATCCTAGTGCTTTGGAAGGCTGAGGCGGGCGGATTGCCTGAGCTCAGGAGTTCGTGACCAGCCTGGGCAACATGATGAAACACTGTCTCTACTGAAATACAAAAAATTAGCCGGGCGTGGCAGTGTGCACCTGTAGTCCCAGCTACTCGGGAGGCTGAGGCAAGAGAATCGCTTGAACCCGGGAGGTGGAGGTTGCAGTGAGCCAAGATCACGCCACTGCACTCCAGCCTGGGCAACAGAGTGAGACTCTGTCTCAAAAAAAAAAAAAAAAAAAAAGAAGCAGAAGAAGAAATTGAGGGCAGAAGGATAACTTAAAAACTGCCAAATTTTTGGAAATAAAGCAATTTCTTTATGAAATGATTCACAGAAAAACTATCAAGGGAAATTAATAAATAAATGAAAAATAATAAAAATTCAACATATCAAAACCTGAGGAATATAGCCAAAGTGTTGCTTCGAGGGAAATTTACATCCTTAAATCATATATTAGAAGCAAAGAAAGGCTGAAAAGCAATGTCTGAGCATTCATTCCAAGAAGCTACAAAAAGAATAGCAAATTAAACTCAAAGAAAGTAGAAAAAAGAAAACAACAAAAACTCATAATCAGCAAACTAGAAAATAATTGTACAATAAAGAAAAATCAACAAAACCAAAAATTAATTATTTAAGAAGACTAATAAAATTATAAAACACTAGTTTGTACAGATATAATCTATGTAAACAATTCCCTATTGCTGGACATCTACGTTATCTCCACTTGGATACACTATTCCACAGCACTGACATAATCATCCTTCCAATATTCATTCATGCTTATTTCCTGAAAATAAATCTTAAAATTATGACTGTTAGCTCAAAGGGTGTAAAAAATTCTAAGGCTTCTGATACATATATTGTGTTAAACTGCCCTATAGAAAGACTGAACGAATTTTACTCCCACTAGCAGTTTGTGATAGTGTTCATTTCCCTAAGAAATAAGTGTGATTTTAAAAAATATTTATTAATTTGTTTGGTTAAAAAAAAACCTCTTCATTTTAATGTGCATTTCTTACATTACTGAGTTGAACACTTCCTCAATGTTTACAGGCTAAGTTTCTTTTGTGAATTGCCTTAGTGTTTTCTATTCTTCTATTAAGGTGTTAGTCTTTCTCACAGATATTATTACTTTTTATATATTGATATTGAGCCCTGAACCAAAGAATTAAAAATATTTTCCTGTTCTGTCAGATGGCCTATTAATGTCCTTTTGAACATGTTGTTGTTGTAGAGAGCTTGAAACTGTATATTCTTGTCAATTTTTTCCTTTATGGTTTGCCTTCATTTGATGTTTAGAAGTACCAACCCCATACCAAGATTATTATGTGAATACTCACCCATATTAACCCCTAATGGAATAGCAGTGGTAAAGACTTGATGAATTTCTACAAATGTCTTGCTGGCTCAGGAATGTAGTCAGGAATTCCATAAAGCATATCAAATGTAAGATATCATTTAAGATTTTTAAAAACTAGAGCTACTACTAGATTCTAGGCTTTGTGGGGCAGAGCCAAGGCAAGGCAAAATTGTGATGTGACTGAAATTGCTTTTAGTGGCCCAAAGTATCTCCTTTTTTCTTTGCCCTTTTACTCCTGAAGCAGCTTCTCCTCCATCCCCAGTTCTAGCTACCTATCTCATTCTCAGTGAAGGAAGGACTGATACTTGTTTACCATAAGACATTAAAGATATTTAAGCTTTTAAAATAACAACTTGCAAAGAGGATGGCCAAGAAAAGGTTAGAAGATTCTGAAGCATTAATGGATTTTCTTTTTTTATTATTATTTTTAATTGTGGTAAAATACACATATTTACAACCTTTATCATTTTTAAGTATACACTTCAGTGGTGGTATTAAATACATTTGCTTTGTTGTGTAACCATCACCACCGTCTGTCCACAGAACTTTTTCATCTTCCAAAACCGAAACTCCATATCCATTAAATGAACGCCCCATTTTCCCCCTCCCTCAGCCACTAGGAGCAACTATGCTACTTTGTCTCTACCGATTGTACTACTTTAGGTACTTCATGTAAGTAGAATCACACAGTATGTGTCTTTTGTGACTGGCTTATTTCACATGGCATAATGTCATCAAGGTTATTCATGTTGAGGCATCTTTCAGAATTTCCTTCCTTTTTGAGGCTGAATAATGTTCCATTGTATAAATACACGACATTTTGTTTATCCATTCATCCACCAATGGACACTGGGTTGCTTCCATCCTTTGGCCATTGTGAATAATGCTACTGTGAACACAGATGTACAAGTATCTCTTTGAGACCTTGCTTTGAATTCTTTTGGGTATATTCCCAGAAGTGAGATTGCTGGATCATATGGTAATTATCAGTTTAATTTTTTTAGGGGGCCGGGCACAGTAGGTCACACCTGTAACCCCAGTGCTTTGGGAGAACAAGGCAGGGGGATCGCTTGGGTGATCAGAGGATTTTGAGGGTTACAGTGAGCTACAATCACCCCTCTGCACTTCAGCGTAGGTGACAGAGGAATACTGCCTCTTAAAAATAAAAAATAAAATAAATAAAAATTTGAGGAACTGACATACTGTTTTCCATAGTGGCTGCATTTTACATTATCACCACCCGTGCACAAGAGTTCCAATTTCTCCACATCCTCTTCAACATTTGTATTTTTTTGTTTTTGTTTTGTGTGATAATAGGCATGAAATGATATTTCATTGTAGGCTAGATTTGCATTTCCCTAATGATTAATGATGTTCAGCATCTTTTCATGTGCTTATTAGCCATTTGTATATATTCTTGGAGAAATGTCTATTCAAATCCTTTGCCCATTTTTTTTTTTTTTTTTTTTGAGATGGAGTTTCGCTCTTTTTACCCGAGCTGGAGTGCAATAGCACGATCTCAGCTCACTGCAACCTCTGCCCCTAGGGTTCAAGTGATTCTCCTGCCTCAGCCTCCTGAGTAGCTGGGATTACAGGCGTGCGCCACCAGGCCCAGCTAATTTTTTGTATTTTTAGTAGAAACGGGGTTTCACCATGTTAGCTAGGCTGGTCTCAAACTCCTGACCTCAGGTGATCCGCCCGCCTCGGCCTCCCAAAGTGCTGGGATTACAGGTGTGAGCCACCATGCCTGGCCTCTTTGCCCATTTTTCAACAGGGAGTTTAATAGGGTTCTTTGGTTGTTTGTCGTTGAGTTGTAGAAATTCTTTATGGATTTTCTTTTATTTGTAGCCTTTCTTAGTACCCTCCAAATCAGTTCATTCAGGTAGCTTTCTCCTTTTCTCTCCCTTCTCTCAAAAAACGTTCTTCTTAGTTCATGCCTAATCCAAGAGGCTAATCCCAACACCAAAAAATGGATCAGGAGTGAGGCATCTCAATTCTAAAAGCATCAAACAATGCTTTAAATATATTATAAAATATATTTAAATATTGTTTGTATTGTGTGTATACACAAAATCAGAAAACTTTTTTTTTTTGAGACGGAGTCTTGCTCTGTCGCCCAGGCTGGAGTGCAGTGGCAAGATCTTGGCTCGCTGCAAGCTCCGCCTCCCGGGTTCACGCCATTCTCCTGCCTCAGCCTCCCGAGTAGCTGGGACTACAGGCGCCTCCCACCAGGCCCGGCTAATTTTTTTTGTATTTTTAGTAGAGATGGGGATTTACCTTGTTAGCCAGGATGGTCTCCATCTCCTGACCTCATGATCCACCCGCCTCGGCCTCCCAAAGTGCTGGGATTACAGGCGTGAGCCACCGCGCCCAGCCAGAAAACGTTTTTTTTTTACTCAAAAATGTCTCTTTGAAATACCTTTGGCCAGGTGTGGTGTCTCATGCCTGTTATCCCACCATTTTGGAAGGCCAAGGAGGGAGGATCGCTTGAGCCCCAGGGCTCAAGACCAGCCTAGGCAACATTGTGAGGCCCCGTTTCTACAAAAAAATACAAAAATTAGCTGGGCGTGGTGGTGTGTCTGTAGTTCCAGCTGCTTGGGAGACTGAGGTGGGAGAATTGCTTTAGCCCAGGAGTTCAAGGCTGCAGTGAGGTATGATTGTGCCACTGTACTCCAGCCTGGATGACAGAACAAATCCCTGGCTCTAAATAATAAAAATAAAAATAAGATAAAATTGAAAAAGGAATATATTTGTTTACACTACTTGAAAAAAGAAAATATTTGTTTTTTTCTGATTATAAAAGAATGTATGTTGATTATAACAATTCAGATATTACATAATTGAATAAAGTATTAATAGAAAATGAAAATCTCCCAAAACCCTCTTGCCCACAGAAAAAAATATTTTAAGCAGTCTAAACAGTCTAGTATAAACTTCCATAACATAGGCATACACACAGACACACACACACATACATATACTACACACACACACACACACACACACACACACACACTGTATTTTACTTTTCTCTATTTAACAATATATCCTAGACATTTATCCATATTAATATGAGATGCTGTTAATTATCTTTTTTAAATAGTGGTCAAGATAGTATTTATATATATAAACTAATATTAAATTTTTGTTTGGGAGGCCAAAGCGGGCAGATCACCTGAGGTCAGGAGTTCCAGACCAGCCAGGCCAGTGAAACCTCGTCTCTACTAAAAATATAAAAATTATCCGGGCATGGCGGCACACACCTGTAATCCCAACTACTCAGGAGGCTGAAGCAGGAGAATTGCTTGAACCTGGGAGTCAGAGGTTACAGTGAGCCAAGATCGCGCCACTGCACTCCAGCCTATGCAACAGAGTGAGACTCCATCCCAATACATATATACATACATACATACATACATAAATTTTTGAAATTCACAAAACCTGACAAAATGGATTCTAATTAGATCAGAAGTACTTCAGGGTCTAACACTGAACAACAGAGAGTAGAGACAAAATATAAAATAAAGCTCGTAATTATTCTGTATCATTTGTACATAAGATCTAAATATTTAATAGTGCTGTAATTGCAGACTTGCCATATTTACCTATAGTGCATTTACAAACTCTCTTTCTCACTCCAAACCAGAAATAATATAACCTCTGACCATACCACATCTATAGAAGTGTCTGATCAGTAAGGCCAGCCATTTCCAAAACTTTTAGTAAGAGAACAGAGAGGATACCAACCTAGTTGACAAATGTAAAAGGCAGATGAACACATACAGGGGTTTGCAAGTGTCAGCCTCCATTTAAAGTAATCAATTCTCTCATTGTGCCATTAGTAAATAACATTTTGGTTGATTTCTTCAGTTACACAAAGAATTAGTGTCTTCCTTTATGATTAAGGAAACAGAGATTGCCTTGTAAGTCTCAGCAAACGATACAAATTTAAGTACAAGTTGAAATCCTGTCATTTGGAGCAACATGGATAGAACCAGAGGTCATTATGTTAAGTGAAATAAGCCAGGCACAGAAAGACAAATATCACATGTTCTCATTCATATGTGAGAGCTAAAAAAGTAGGTCTCATGAAGACAAGAGAGTAGACTGGTGGATACCAGAGGCCAGGCAAGGTAGCAGGGACGGGGAGATAAAGAGAGGTTGATTAATGGGCACAAATATTAATATACAGTTTGATAGAAGAAATAAGATCTAGTGTTCAACAGATCAGTGGGATAACTACAGGTTACAATAATCTACTGTATATTTCAAAATAGCTAACAGACTAATTTGAATGTTTCTAGCATAAAGAAAAAACAAATAGGGAAGGTGATGGCTATCCCAATTACACTGATTAGATCTTTATAAATTATATCAATGTATTAAATTATAACATTACCCGCAAAATATGTACATCTATTATGTATCAATAAAAAATAAATTTAGGCTGGGCATGGTGGCTCACACCTGTAAATGCCAGCACTTTGGGAGGCCAAGGTGGGAGGATCTCTTGAGTCAAGGAGTTCAGGACAAGGAGTTCAGCCTGGGCAATATAGTGAGATGCTGTCTCTAAAAAAAAAAATAAAGAAATTTGCCAGGCATGGTGGCGCATATCTGTAGTTCCAGCTACTCAGGAGGCTGAAGTGGGAGGATCACTTGAACCTGGGAGGATGATGCAGTGAGCTAAGATTGTGCCATTGCACACCAGCCTGGGTGACAGAGCAAGACCATGTCTAGGAAAAATAATAATAAATTTACAAAAATAAATTTTAGAAACAACAAAACTGAATGAAATAAAAACTGAATCAAAAAAATTAAGTAAGTGGAAACTTATTATGTTCGTCTCCTGATATGGTCAAATTTTCTTAATTTCCTAACTACTTTTTTTCCACAAGGGTCCTATGTATTTTCTCACTTCTAAGAGGTATTATCTACCTCTACTTTAACTTTCCATACCAAATGAACAAATTTACCAAACATTTTACCATTAATCTAAAACTTAACAGGAATGGGTTAGCACATGATCGACATTGCTTTACCATCAACTTCACATAAGTGTTCAGAAACCAGGCGGAAGTGAAACCCTAAGTTGAAGGAGCTTTTAACGCTTGCATGAAAATTTTCTAGACCTTCAAAGGCTGTTGCTGCTGTTTCTCCTTCTTTTTTTTTTTTTTTTTTTGCCTTTTTAAATATCTTGTTCTCTTCTTTCCCCCACTGAAATTCAAGAATTTGCAGATACCATAAACTTGGGATATCCTAGAAACAACCATGGTTAGAAAACTGATATGTTTCTACACACTCATCCTTTAATTGATGTCCTCCACCCACTCACTCTTACTCATACCCAGCTAGCTTCTCCCATATTATTGAAACTTCAATCCTTGCCTCTGTCATGTTCAGGTTTCTAAGCCTGGGGAAGATAACACTTTAAAATGCCGTAAGTACAGTGGGAAAGGACTGAGGAGGTAGCCAGAAAACCTAGAAATTATGACTAGGACTGGATTCTTTGGCATTAATACCCATGTTTTGCAATGTCCAAAGCATGACTAGAATTGATCTTTCACCCCCGAATGCTGTCATATTCCCATATTACCTGTATTTCTGTGCCTAAATAACACCATATAGACAAATTCTCCAATTTTATATTAACTTTATTCACATTGAAGCTGCCACATCTTACATTAGGAATGCTTTCAGCTACAAGGAACAGAAAAGTCTGACAGAACGCTGGGCGAGGTGGCTCACGTCGGTAATCCCAGCATTTTGGGAGACCAAGGCGGGTGGATCGCGAGGTCAGGAGTTCAAGACCAGATGGTGAAACCCTGTCTCTACTAAAAATACAAAAATTAGCCGGGCATGGTGGCGGGCACCTGTAATCCCAGCTACTCAGGAGGTTGAGGCAGAGAATTGCTTGGACCCAGCAGGCAGAGGTTGCAGGGAGCTGAGATCGCACCACTGCACTCCAGCCCGGGCGACACAGCGAGACTCCATCTCAAAAAAAAAAAAGAAAAAAGAAAAGTCTGACAGGTAGGTTAAACTCTTAGGAGTTTGTATCCTTAACAAGAAGTCCAGAGAAGGTTATCTCGGGGCTATTCTGGCAGCTCAATAATGTCGTTAAGAACTCAGACTCGGCAGTTCCCATTATCTTCGGGAGCTGTGGAGGTAGGAATTTAAGACAGGCCCATTTTATTAATTTATTTTCAAATGCAACAAAAGGTCCAAGGACAATCTGTGGGCCACTTAATTCAGGGCCCTCAATTCGTACATGGAGAACTCTCAGATACAGCCAAAGCCATGGGTTTTGGAGACCTGAAAAGCCCCGCCGGCCTCCAGGTGCTCAATGATTACCTGACAGACAAGAGCTACATCAAGGGGTATGTGCCATCACAAGCAGATGTGGCAGTATTTGAAGCAGTGCCCCGCCCACTGCCTGCCGACTTGTGTCATGCTCTATGTTGGTATAATCACATCAAGTCTTACGAAAAGGAAAAGGCCAGCCTGCCAGGAGTGAAGAAAGCTTTGGGCAAGTATGGTCCTGCAGATGTGGAAGACACTACAGGAAGTGGAGCTACAGATAGTAAAGATGATGATGACATTGATCTCTCTGGATCTGATGATGAGGAAGAAAGTGAAGAAGCAAAGAGGCTAAGGGAAGAACGTCTTGCACAATATGAATCAAAGAAAGCCAAAAAACCTGCACTTGTTTCCAAGTCTTCCATCTTATTAGATGTGAAATCTTGGGATGATGAGACAGATATGGCGAAATTAGAGGGCGTCAGAAGCATTCAAGCAGACGTCTTAGTCTGGGACTCATCTAAACTAGTTCCAGTGGGATACAGAATTAAGAAACTTCAAATACAGTGTGTAGTTGAGGATGATAAAGTTGGAACAGATATGCTGGAGGAGCAGATCACTGCGTTTGAGGACTATGTGCAGCCCATGGATGTGGCTGCTTTCAACAAGATCTAAAATCCATCCTGGATCATGGCATTTAAATAAAAGCTTGAAAGATTAAAAAAAAAATTTTTCAGACTCTTGGCTGGGCGCAGTGGCTCATACCTGTAATCCCATCACTTTGGGAGGCTGAGGAGGGCAGATATCTTGAGGTCAGGAGTTCGAGACCAGCCTGGCCAATATGGCAAAACCCTCTCTCTACTAAAAAAATATGAAAATTAGGCCGGGCGCTGTGGCTCATGCCTGTAATCCCAGCACTTTAGGAGGCCGAGGCAGGCAGATCACGAGGTCAGGAGATCGAGACCATCTTGGCTAACGCAGTGAAACCCCGTCTCTACTAAAAATACAAAAAATTAGCCGGGCATGGTGGCAGGCACCTGTAGTCCCACCTACTTGGGAGGCTGAGGCAGGAGAATGACGTGAACCCGGGAGGCTGAGCTTGCAGTAAGCCAAGACTGCGCCGCTGCACTCCAGCCTGGGTGACAGAGCGAGACTCTGTCTCAAAAAAATAATAATAATAAAATGAAAATTAGCTGGGCGTGGTGGCACACACCTGTAATCCCAGCTACTCAGGTGGCTGAGGCGTGGGAATCACTTGAACCTGGGAAGTGGAGGTTACAGTTAGCCGAGATCGCGCCATTGTACTCCAGCCTGGGCAACAGAGTGAGACCCTTTCTCAAAAAAAAAAAAAAAAAATTCAGTCCCTTGGCCAGATGCAGTGGCTCATGCTTGTAATCCAGCAATTTGGGAGGACAAGGAGGGCGGATCTCTTGAGGTCAGGAGTTCAACACCAGCCTGGCCAACATGGTGAAACCCTGACTCTACTAAAAATACAAAATTAGCCGGCGTGGTTGCCTGCACCTGTAATCCCAGATACACAGGTGGCTGAGGTGTGACAATCACTTGAACCCGAGAGGGGGAGGTGGCAGTGAGCCGAGATTGTGCCACTGCACTCCAGCCTGGGCTATAGAATGAAACGCTGTCTCAAAATAAAAAAAAGAATTCAGATTCTGTCTTTCTGCTCTACCTTCTTAGCTTGTTAACTTTTCATTCTGAGGCTTGTCACCTTATGATTACAATTTGGCTGCCAAAGACTCCATATATCACATTACATACTTAAGGATGGAAGAAAGAGAGTATATATACAAACAAATGTTTCTATTCCTTTTATGAGAGAAGCTACTTTTTTTTCCCCCTGTAGAGGTCTTCCAGAAGATTTCTGGTTATATCACATTAGCCAGAACTAAATCACACAGCTGGCCCTAACTGCAAGGGAAGTTAGAAAAAGGCATATTTGTCTTCGAACCTCTATAACAGAAGGAGAAATGGGTTTGGAACTGACTTTAGGATTCAAGCAACAGTTTATGACACATGTCTATATTACACATAAAATGCTAATTATGCTAGTTAATTACAACTGGGTGCAGTACCTTTAAAAGCCCTCGTTTAGAATACAGTTCTCCTTTCCAGCAGAAAACTGGTTAAGAATGTTGATGATGGAAACATTAAAAAGGGACTGGAATGAAAGTTACAGCTTTGTCAGATGGTGCTGACATTGCTGAGTTGTAGACAGATTACAATCGAAAGAGTATCCATAGCCAAATCCTAACTAGAATGAAGGGAAAATTTTAATAGTGTACATAGCTGATGTCCTAAAACGTTCCAGAAGCTTTAAGAGTGTGATAAGGGCCTGGTACAGGGACTCACACCTGTAATCCCAGCACTTTGGGAGGCCAAGGCAGGAGGATCACTTTAGCCTAGGAGCAGACCAGCCTGAGCAACATGGCAAAACCCCAACTCTACAAAAAAATACAAAAATCAGCAGGGCATAGTGGCATGCACCTGTAGTCCCAGCCGAAGTGGGAGGATCACTTGAGCCTGAGAGGTCGAGGCTGCAGTGAGCCATGATCCCACCACTACACTCTAGCCTGAGCAACAGAATGAGACCCTGTCCCCAAAAAAAAAAAAAAAAAGTGTAATAACTAGAGATCTATCTAGGGCTACCACTTTTTTAAAATAAGAAAATAGATTTTTATAAATTATTTAAAATAGACAAGCCAATAATGCTACCTAAGAGTTAACATTAAGGGACTCTATTATGATATGCCAAGTACTGGGCTTTACATATATATGTATGTATCTAATCTCTCAACTGCCCTATCAGGAAAGTACATTCACTAACTTGCTTATGGTCACACAAGGAGAAGCTCAACCTAACTCTAGAGATGATGCCCTTAACCATATTACGTTACTGTTTGTTATTTTATTTGTTCTCCTTGGTGTTTCTTATTCATTTTATGTATTTGTTATTTAATCATTCAAATTTGTAAAGTTTAACTCTTGTTTATAAATTGTAAATTGTCTTTCTCTATTTTCTTTTCATAGTATTTCTGGTTCACACAAGTCCTAAAATGGCAAAGCTGTTTCAATCATATCTTTCAAAAACTTAGAATCAGATAATCCAAGTGGATTTTGTAGCTAGTTTTATGAAAACTTTGATAAAATTACAACAAACATTGTTAGGGTTTTATAAGGAAAAAAAAAAAAAGTAGAACTAACCTGACAAAACAAACCACCAAAAAAGGCATCACAACACACAATGTACAAACAACAAAAGTAGAAACATAAATATACATCTATATTAGTCCTATGTGTTCTAAATCCCTCCTTTGTTTCATCTACTGTGAGTTTGCTACCTCCATAGCACACTGGCCAAGATTACTTGTAGGCATACCATTGGTTCCCTGAATTATTGGGCTATTATTCCCCGCCTCACCCCCACCCCCTGCCAAAACATTAACCCTGTTTACTCCACACATAGCTGGTAACACACATGTGGTTAATTATACCCAAATCTCTAGTCTCAAACTACTGTACTTAGCTTTTTATTTTAGGTTTTTATGCTTCCCTTTTTCTTTTACTGTCTTTTTCTTTACCTCTTTATTATTATGTTCCCAGAAATTTAGCTCCTGAACATACATAAGATCCTTGCATATTTTCAACAATACAATGAAATCCGTACCTTCTTATCTACCAAAAAAAACGTAAGCCGTATGTTATACGTTATTTTCTCCTATTCTCTTCTCATGTGTTATTAAAATTGGAAGTGGATTCAACTTTTTTTGTAATTTTTTTTTTTTTGAGACAGAGTCTTGCTCTATCACCCAGGCTGGAGTGCAATGGTTTGATCGTGGCTCACTGCAGCCTCAACCTCTCGGGCTCAAGTGATCTTCCTACCTCAGCCTCCTGAGTAACTGGGACTATGGGCATGTGCCACCACACCCAGCTAATATTTTAATTTTTTGTAGAGACGGAGTCTCACCATGTTGCCCTGGCTTGGATTGAACTCCTGGGCTCAAGCAATCCACTTGCTTCAGCCTCCCAAAGTGTTGGGATTACAGGCATTAGACCTAGCACCTGGCCAGATTAAACTCTTTTTTAGTTTACTCAAAGGCAGCATCCTCATATTGGGTTGGAAAACCAAGATGATCACATATAAGAAAGGATCTTCCTACTTGTCTCTCTACCTGTTTTTCCCAACTCTGGCTAATCTCTGTTTAATAATGCATCTTTCTTTAACTATTTGGAAGAAAAACAAAAACAAAAAAACTCCATGACAGCATGATCAGCTGACAGACAGCATGATTAATGAAGAAAACAGTGATGGGAACATATAAGCCTCTTCTCTCCCTCCAATAACCTGGCAGACAACCCCACCTGGGATTTGTCCCATACTTGTAACACACAAATGTTTGCTTGCTAGGTCAACTGTATTTAAACTAAAATATGACAGCTGTAAATAAGCCAATAAAATAGGGGCCATTTTTAGATTCTGACAAGCCAAAGATCAGGCACTGCTCTCTTGAAAACTGTCACCAAAGGCAAAGAGAGAGCAGCCTCAAGAGGAAATAAGAGAAAATCACTACATGGCCTGAATGATTCACGTTGAAATCAGAGGCATCAGATGAGGACTTAAGATGGATCAATAGCTTAAAAAGGTCTCAAGTGAACAATCTGTGCCATTCTCCTTCTCTAATCTCTTGGAGAAAAAAAAAAAGAGCACAAAAAAGCTCTAAGGTCTTTTAATGAGACTATTATTCCATTAATTATTTGAGGCAGTTTTTGTTTCACTAGAATTAATTAACATAACCCTTCTACTTTCAGCTCCAGCTGCATCTGATGTCACTGCTATGGCAGTGAAGAATGAAAACCAAAGGACAACTGGCTACTTAAGGAATTAAGCGGACTAAAATGAAAACCATTCACAGAAGCAGTTCCAGTACTCTGGCTGAGACTCTGTTTTCCTACATACAGCCCACACATTCTGAATATACTCAAATCTACGCAATTTCAAACTTAGAAAACTTTAACTGCTGCCCCACTGAAGCCATTTTCAAGCTGGAATCATGTATAATAAACTACTCCATCTATTTCACCAATATATACATTTTAAAATAATTAATTTAGCCTCTACTCATTCAGATCTATTAAATTTCACCACTATGACAGTTATCTTAGAAAATCCTCTTAAACATAGCCAACAGATAAATCAAATAAGAATTTTTGGAAATCTTTAACCTTAAGGACAATATTAAGAATCTAGGTCAAGGGTCCCCCATCCCCGGGCTATGGACCAGTACCAGTCCCTGGCCTGTTAGGAACCGGGCCTCACAGCAGGAGGTGAGTGGTGAGCTAGCGAGCAATACCACCTGAGCTCCGTCTCCTGTCAGATCAGCAGTGGCATTAGATTCTCATAGGAGCATGAACCCTATTATGAACTGCACAGGCGAAGGATCTAGGTTGCATGCTTCTCATGAGAATCTAACTAATGCCTGATTATCTAAGGTGAAACAGTTTCACCCCAAAACCAACCATCACCATCGCCACACCTGCTCCCCAGGTCTGTGGAAAAACTGTCTTCCATGAAACTGGTCCCTGGGGCCAAAAAGGTTGGGGACCGCTGACCTAAGTCTAATGTATAGAATGGCACAGATTACAAATGAGTCTTACAGATTTGTGAAACAGTCACTGACTTTCATTTAATTGTACCCATCACTTTGATTTTTTGTGAACTCAAATGAGACATCCTAATCCTCAATCTAACCAGCTAAGCTGTACTATACAGGTTTTGTCTAGATCCTCCTTAAACACACCCTAGTGGAGGCCCCAGCTCCAAAAGACAAATTGGACCTCAATGACTCCCACAGGCAGTGACTGAGGAGGCAACTTCTGCATGGTCCACAGACTATTCTCATTTTCCTGAGACAAAGGCACTGCTCCTTACACAGACTCAGAAAACTCTTCAACCCTAGGAGATGCCACCTCTGACCCAAGGGAAGTGAATGCCTTCTGAAGAACCAGGCTCCTTAAAACCCCTGGCCAGTTTCCCAGACACATTTCAGTTGTAAACTCATTATGAGAAACATTTAATTACGGAATCTGCAAACCAGGGGAGCTTATTTGAAATACATTAACTAAATAACTCCTTTTCAGATCTTTCCAGATCGCAGTCTGTCTCAGAGATTATTTCCCACATTACTTCTCCTGATTCAGTACATGTGTTTTTTTCTTGAATAACTGCCTCTGCTATATTTCTCCTTCCTTTAGCCTAAGTCAACCTTTCCATTTCTAAAGCCAACAGCTTCTGAGCAATGAGGCTATCATTCCATTAAATATGCATGCAAGAGCTTGACAAATCTTGAGTGCCTTTAATTACTCAGGGGTAGTCTCCTCAGCTAACATGAGAATGTGTAGGTTATAATACAACTCATCCTTATATGGCTTCCAAAATACTGGAATGGGAAGGGATCTTTTACCCTCTCAGGTTGGAGCTAACTGGCCCGCTGATTAATAATCTTAACCTATCTACCTCTGTAGTTTGGAGAACTGCCTTTTAGTAAGCTGTTGTGCCTGGCATACTCTGAGATCCCAAATATATAATTATTTTTAAGGATTTATTCCTGAGTTCTTTGATATTTCTGTTTGTTTTTTGGTCTTCTAAGATCTAACTAGATTAATCTTAACATTGATATCGGCTGGGCGCAGTGGCTCACGCCTGTAATCCCAGCACTTTGGGAGACAGAGGTGGGCAGATCATGAGGTCAGGAGATCGAGACCATCCTGGCTAACACGGTGAAACCCCGCCTCTACTAAAAATACAAAAAATTAGCCGGGCGTGGTGGCAGGCGCCTGTAGTCCCAGCCGTTCGTGAGGCTGAGGCAGGAGAATGGCGTGAACCCGGGAGGTGGAGCTTGCAGTGAGCCGAGATTGCGCCACTGCACTCCAGCCTAGGCGACAGAGCAAGACTGTCTCAAAAAAAAAAAAAAAAAATTGATATCATAATTCACCAAGTTTGTGTTCCAATATTGTTATAGTAGAAAAATGGGATATTTTGCAATTACAGTTAAATTAATTAATGACTACAATTTATTTCTTTGTAAACAAACACACAAAGGCTTTGGTTATCTTCAGTTTAAATGTAAACTGTCAAAAAATTAGAAGTCCTTATCGCAGGGGTCTCGTTCAGTAACATATGACTGATTAATGCAATATAATACTCTGAGGTCATGAAAAAAACACACTGTAGAATAACACGTATTGGCATGGGAAAACCTTCACAATATACTTCTTAGAGAAAATAGTATTCATAAAGTAAATCATTTCGCTAAAAAATATATATATATATAGGGAAAAAGACAAGAAGGACATACATCAAAACATTAAGAGTATCTGAGGACAGTGAGATTACATACAATTTTTCTTTTGCATTTCAAAATGTTCCAAAATTCTACCCTGGGCATTTATTATTTTTATACCTTTTTAAATAGTTTATTTTAAAGGAAAAGAGTTCCCAAGTAATTTTGTGAGTGATTTCCTATACTATTTCACACCTATTATTAGCAAAGGTAATGGAACTTCTTTTGCCATAGAAGACTCTCAATTATGTTTTAATATAAGTGAGGCAGTTGTTCCAGTTGCCTTTAAAAATAGCAAAAAGGGCCAGGCACAGTGGCTCACACCTGTAATCCCAGCACTTTGGGAGGCCGAGGTGGGTGGATCATGAGGTCAGGAGACGGAGACCATGCTGGTAAACAGGTTGCAGTGAGCTGAGATCGCACCAGTGCACTCCAGCCTGGGTGACAGAGCCAGACTCTGTCTCCACAGGAAAAAAAAAAAAGTATTCCAGATGATTGCTACACATAGTAAAGTCTGAGAAACTCCAGTGTTGTGAAAGATCAAGCCAAGACAGTAGGTTTAGAAAAAGATCGTAAGTCTTAATCACCAGGCTACAGAATAAGCTGGCCGGGTGCGGTGGCTCACACCCGTAATCCCAGCACTTTGGGAGGCCGAGATGGGCTGATCACCTGAGGTCAGGGGTTCAACACCAGCCTGGCCAATATGGCAAAACCCCATCTCTACTAAAAATACAAAAATTAGCAGGGTGTGGTGCCATGTGCCTATAATCCCAGCTACTCAGGAGGCTGAGGCAGGAGAATAGCCTGAACCCGGGAGGCAGAGGTTGCAGTGAGCCGAGATGGTGCCATTGCACTCCAGCCTGGGCAACAAGAGCAAAACTCCATCTTAAAAAAAAAAAAGGCATAGTTTTGCTCTTGTTGCCCAGGCTGGAGTGCAGTGGCACAATCTCGGCTCACTGCAACCTCTACCTCCTGGGTTCAAGCGATTCTCCTGACTCAGCGTCCTGAGTAGCTGGGATTATAGGCATGTGCCACCACGTCCAGCTAATTTTTTTTTTTTAATTTTTAGTAGAGACAGGGTTTCAACATGCTGGCCAGGCTGGTCTCGAACTCCTGACCCCAGGTGATCCACCCACCTCGGCCTCCCAAAGTGCAGGGATTATAGGCATGAGCCACTGCGCCCGGCCAAGAATAAGTTAATTCTATAGCCAATAACTAGGCTGGGGAAGTAAGTGATTGGGTACCACTCAGGGGTGTTGAGCTAGAGAGTAGCATGTTGAGATCTCTGACATGGGTCAGTACTGCTCCTCATAGCATGGGTTGAAAAAGAGAACTGGAAGCACTGGAGACTAAGGAAAGTCATCTATAATGACATGTTAAAACTGGCCAAGAGACTAAGGAAAGTCATCTATAATGACATGTTAAAACTGGCCAAGAGAAGAATAAAGTGGTTGCCTTCCCAGGTGCCAAAGGGAGGGAGCAGTAGAAGAGGGGAAGCACATGAAGAGTTACTGATAAATAAATAAGATGATTTGAATGATCTGATTCGTTAAATCCAAAAAATACAAAGAAGATTTGGAAAAAACTTTCCAATGATAATTTATTGTAATTCCACTCATTCATATGTTCAATCACTAACTTGGTACCTACTACATAGCAAACACTGGTCTAGATACTGAGTCAAAAAATAAATGTGAACCATTGAATTATACACTTTATACAATGAATTGTATGGTATATGAATTACAGCTCAAAAAAGTTGTCAATGAAATGAAACAAATGAGATGTTTTCCCTGTCTTTAAGGGGTTCAGAGAAGCAAAGGGGAGATAGACAACTGCAATGCAGTGCAGTAAAGGGTTAGGACAGAAGTAAACTGAATGGGCAATATGAACACACAGAAGGAACATCTTAGCCACACTGGGGTCCGGAAGAACTAATTCATGAATGAAAAGTAATCCAGGAAGGGGAATGCTGGAAATCAGAAGAAGGCAAAGTTGGCAAGCTCCTCACTTAAAGTGAAGACTGAATGCCAGGAGGGAAACATGAGAGATGAGGCAGGCCCAGGGCGAAGGCAGGTCATGAAGAGCCTGTGTACTACAGCCTCACTGCTCAAGGTGTGGTTCTCAATTCAGCACAGGCATCACCTGGGAGTTGTTAGAAATGCAGGCTCATGCCCTGTCACAGACCTACTGAGTCAGAATCTTCCCTTTAACAAGATTCCTAGTAATTCAGATGGACACCAAAGTTCAGGAAGCATTACACTAACAAATTTATTCTCAGGACAAAATCCTATGGGGAATCATGAAGGAATTTCAAGCCAGGCAGTGGCATGCTCAGATATGTGCATTACAAAGATCTCACTAGTAACAGAATGAAAAAACAGATTATAGAAAGTAAGACCAAAGATTGCTTAGGAAGCTGTTTGAGGAACCAGGAAAGAATAAGGGACCAAGCTGAGTATGGTGGCTCACACCTCTAATCTCAGCACTTTGGGAGGCCAGGGTGGGAGGATCACTTGAGCCCAGGAGTTCAAGACCAGCCTGGACAACACAGTGAGACCCTGTTTCCAAAAAACAAAAAATTAGCTGGGTGTGGTGGCATGCAGCTACTATAGTGCCAGCTACTTGGGGGGCTAAGGCAGAAGGATTAGTTAGCTCACAAGGTCGAGACTGCAGTGAGCTATGATCACGTCACTGCACTCCAGCCTGAGCAACAGAGCAAGACCCTGTCTCAAGAAAAAAAAAAGAAAGAAAGAAAGAAAAAAAAGATAAGGGCCCCAAATAGAGCAGTAACAGTACTAGGAAATGATAACTGATTAGGTGGGGTGCAGGGGTGTGGGGGAAAGTAAATCAAGACGATTTCTAAGTTTTGTGTTTGGGTTACTGGAGGGATACTGATGTCATTCACCAGACAGGAAAAAGAAATAACAACAACAATGACAGTAGCTAACATTTCTTAAATATGTGCCAGGCATTATTCTAAGTGCTTCCCATGTACTATCTCATTTAATCTTCATAACAACCCTATGAAGTAAGTATTATGCCATCATACAGATGTAGAAACTAAGACACAGAGAAATTAAATCAGGTAGGGTAGTATGAAGAAGGAGGGAGCAGATGACAATCGATTTTGAATATGCTGGGTTTGGGGGGCTTGTGAAGATGTCCATAAGGCAGTTGTCTGTAGGGATCTAGGTTTGTAGGAAGAGCAAGCAGGCTGGAAACAGGTTTGGAAGTCATCAGCACAGGGCTGGCACCTGACTCTTCAGGACTGGATCAGGCCACAGTGGGAGGGAGTGTAGGTCAAGGACAGAGCCCAGGAACATCAATATCTAAGGTGCAATAGGAGGTAAGTGAGCTTAAGAAGATGAGAAAGCAGACAGAGAGAAAGGAGAATGACAGCTATAACAGCAACAATAGTAATAACTAATACTTGTAAGAATTTACTAAATACCGGTCACTATTCTAAGCATTTCTTAATATATTATAAGTCAGTCATCATTAAAACCACATAAGGTAGGTTTTATTATCACCATTATAAAGATAAGGAAATTGAAGCATAAAGAGGTTAAGTGGCTTGCTTAAAGACACAGAGAAAGTAGAATAGCAAAACCAGGATTCAAACCAAGATCCAGTATCTAGGTGTGGATTCCATGCCCTTGACTTCTATGATGTACTGCCTCGCTTTCAGGACCCTGGGAGGGTTGGAAGGCAAGGAAGGAAACAGTTGCAACAAAGCCCTCAGAATAGTATCTGGCCTACAGTAAAGCCTCAGTAAATATTAATCACTATTATTTGATAATTTACTGCCATGGAACCACACATTTGACTGAGCCACAGTCTTTACAAGAAAACAAGTAACAACTATATAAGGTTAAAAAAAATCAAGGTTTTAGTGGAGGAAGAAAAGCAAAGAAACTTCCAAGGCTGCTAAGGCTTCAACTCAGTTTCCTATGCCTTTAATGTCTAAGGCTCCACACAATCAACCCTTGCCCAGGTCTGTGGCTACTGCCGTGATCCTAGTCCTTCGGAAGGGCTGCTACACACGGCAATGACCTGAAGGCCTCACTAATCCCAAAACACCTTCTGACTGCTATAAAGATTCCATTCTATAACGCTCCTTTAGCATTGGGCATATTTTGCTCCATTCTAATTGTTTTACAAAGCAGGTTGTTGATGCTGAAGGACTCTCGGGTTCTCAACTGTCCCCGAAAGCAAAGGCATGGCCTTCTCCAGACACTGTTAATTTGTTCTAATTAGGAGGACATGTCTACAATGTCCTGATAACATATTATCAGGTAATTTTCAAACTAAAATTATATCATGTATAGTAATTTAGAAGCTTCATGTTTTTTCTCTTTTTAAAATTCTTTCTAGTTCAATTATTCTCTCTGGCACAGATTGATCCAAGATCAAGAAACAGAGTGAATAAAAGCAACAATAATGACAATGGTCAGAAAAAGAAGCAGTTTCAATTTTTAAAAGGTTAAATTTTTGAAATGAACTTATATGTTTCTAGTCTAAGAAAATTTCTCAAAACAGAATAAAGGTATTAAAAAGCAGAAAGCATCTTCTAGAAGTGGGACATCTGGTCACCCTATCCCTCAGGCAATGCACATAAAGAGTGCTATTTTTAAAATGAAGTGAATGTGAATGCCCTATCCTGCATAAATACAAATGCTAATTCTTGCTAGGGAGACTTGAATTCTAAAATTAACTAAAACTGACTAAGCAGACTTATGAACAAAGATGCTCACCATAACATATCACTTCCATTAGTGAAAAATACCCAGCAGTAAATACATTTTGGTATACCCAGATGACTGAATATTATGCTGCCATTAAAAATATTTTCAGTGGGCTGGGGGCGGTGGCTCACACCCATAATCCCAGCACTTTGGGAATCTGAGGTGGGCAGATCACCTGAGGTCAGGAGTTCAAGACCAGCCTAGCCAACATGGTGAAATCCCGTCTCTACTAAAAGTACAAAAAATTAGCTAGGCGTGGTGGCAGGCACTTGTAATCCCAGCTACTCTGGGTGCCTGTAATCCTAGCTACTCCAGAGGCTGAGGCAGAGGTATTACTTGAACCCAGGAAGCAGAGGTTGCAGTGAGCCAAGATCGCACCAATGTGCTCCAGCCTGGGCAACAAGAGCGAAACTCCGTCTCAAAAAATATATATACAGATATATTTTTTCAACGAATATTTATTGATATAAATTCTCACAATACATATTAAGTTTAAAAATCATTTTAAAAATCATTACCATTTGTGAATATAGACAAAAGACTTAACAAAGTAAATCAATAGTTGACAATGATTATTTCTAGGTGGTATAATTAGTTTATTTTAACTTTCTTCCCTTATATGTTCTGTATTATTCAAATAATCCAGATTAGCTACAAGGCATCACTTCTACAAGCAGAAAAAAAATGCTTATAAATCAACTTTTTAAAAAAGTTTTCCCAATTAATTCTAATTTCCCAATTAATTTCTTCCTACTTGTTCTTACCCTAAGTTGAAGGCTTATCATCTAGTTTAGCAGTTTCAAGGGTTTGTGTGATTCTCCCCCATCCCCACCATCCCAAGAGATATCTAGCAATGTCTGTAGGCAATATTGGTTGTCACAACTAGGGATGGAGGGTGCTACTGGATCTCATAGATAAAGGTCAGAGATTTGGCTAAACATACTACAATACACAGGAGAGCCACCCCTCCCACAAAAAAAAAAAAAAAAAAAAAAGAATTATCCAGCCTACTATCAGTGGTGCAGAGGTTGAGAAATTTTGGTCAAGGATGAAAAAAATTAGTATAAACAGTAAGAGTGGGTTAAAATGCAATAGTAACTCTAAGGGGCTTAACATTTTCATTTCTTAAACAAGAAATACACATTCCGACTTTATGAAAATGTAATCTAGGTTGTGGACCAAAATTCCTTATTATTAAGATATACATTTCCCAATTTTACAGACAGCATCTCCAGAAAAATTCTGCTCCCAACCCAACCATGCTGCTTATCAAACTAGAAGATTTTTTTCTAAGCTTAAGCATAGAGAGACCAACCCCGTGTAAAAGTTGTTTAAGTACTGGCAGAAAAGTGTTTTAAGGTGAGATCATATCTTTAAAGGAATATCTAGTCATCTTACTGTAATGCAGACCAGTATGGTAAGCTAAAAAACTAAGGTTGAACTAGTCTAGTCTAACTAGTCTAAAACTAGTCTAACACAAAAGTGTTTGTTTGAAACACATAAACATGCTCACAAACACAGAAAATGATTTATGCAAACTCATAAAAAATGACTTCCTTTGTGATGTCAGATCAGGGAGTGGTAATAAAGCAAAAACAAAAATGAAGTTCCCTCCTCAATCTAAGTTATGAAAAAAAGATTCACCCTTTAGTAACTTATTTTATTCCATTATAGGTGTGGGATGTATATATACTTCGTTATAACAAATCATAACAGGGCATAAGGGGTGGGTAGATAAAATTAAATAGTAGGGGGATAAAGCAGATGAACAGGTGGAAGGAAGAGAACAGAAGACAGACTACCACTAGACATGAACAAGGAATGACGGACAGGCAAAAAGAAATTGTGCACAATTCTTACTGTTGTGCAATAAGAAATCGTGCAACTTATCTATGTATGAAAATAGGGGAAGAGAATAACGTATGCAAGCAAGGATGTGAAGAAAATAGGGGAAATAAAATGCTGAGGAAATACGGTAGAAAGAAATCAGTAAGAAAGGTGACATAGGGTTCATAGCCCCCAAATTAAGACTGAATAATGGCCGGGCATGGTAGCTCCCGCCTATAATCTCAGCACTTTTGGGATAATTAAGTGGGAGATTGCTTGAAGCCAAAAGTTTGAGACTAGTCTGAGAAACAAAGTGAGACTCTGTCTCTACAAAAATTAAAAAATTAGCCAGGCATGGTGGCATGCGCTTACAGTCCCGGTTACTCAGGAGGCTGAGCTGGGAGGGCTGCTTGAGCCCAGGAGTTCGAGGCTGCAGTGAGCTATGCTTGCGCTACTGCACTCTAGTGTGGGCAACAGAACGAGACCTTGTCTAAAAAAAATAATAATAATAATAATAATAATAATACATGAAAAATCAAAATTGAAGACTGAATAAATTTTCAAAATTTCAATTTCTAACATGCTATTAGTAACATTTGCTTGCACAGACGCTCCATGGCTTTTTTTTTTGAGACAGAGTCTTGCTTTGTCGCCCAGGCTGGAGTGCACCGGCACGATCTCAACTCACTGGAACCTCTGCTTCCCGGGTTCAAGCGATTCTCCTGCCTCGGCCTCCTGAGTAGCTGGGATTACAGGCACACGCCACCACGCCCGGCTAATTTTTGTATTTTTAGTAGAGACAGGGTTTCACCGTGTTAGCCAAGCTGGTCTCAAGCTCCTGACCTCATGATCCGCCCGCCTTGGCCTCCCAAAGTGCTGAGGATTACAGGCATGAGCCACCGCACCTGGCCTGGCTTCTATTTTTCAATCCAAAATGATTCTCTAGGGGAAAGATACCTAATGTCCCCGGTCAAGCAAAATTTCCCATTCTTCTTGCTCAAAGATCAGAAAAGGAGGGGTAGAATTCCATGACTATCATTTTCAGTGACCTATTCATAGCATACATGGACTGAGGGTAGTTGTTTATTTTGACTACCTAGCACTTTTCCTTCCAATGGCGAACAGCTCACAGCCATCCCATGAGGTTGGAGTAGGACTATCAATCACAGTGCCCTGTCCTCCCCCTGGTCTCTGGGGTGAGCACAGACTTGACCACTCATGGTGCTCCTCACCTACTGCCTAGAGGCCCAATGAAAGGAGAAGGCACATGACCAGAATTCCTCTATCAGGCTCTCTTCCTCCAGGCCCAGTGCTGTAAGATCATGTGATCTGCAGGTGCCACTGACCATCTTTTCACCCCTAAAAAAAGCTGCCCTCAGGATGAAACCAATGTCAGACAGCATGTGAGAGTCAGTGAAGAGAGCCCCAATGACCATGTCTGAGCCTTGATTCCAGCCATGCCTAGATTTTTAAGTCACATGAGCAAATAAACTCCTCTTTGGCTTTGAGTTTGGGTTTCTGTTTCTTCCAACTAAAACAGCTGTGGCTGGTAAACTGACTAACACTGTTAAAGAGAGGTTTGGTAAGTCAATGTGCCAAACCTCTCATCCATAAATTACCCAGACCCTCTCTATTTACATCCTGTACCTCAGCTAATACCATAACTTGAAGTGATGAGTTTCAGAAATGTAAAATGTAAATGTTTAAAGTAGAAATTCATTTAAAATGGCATATATTGATTTGTTTCAAGATCTAAAACATATCCCTACTAAACTGAGATTTGATGTTACAAACTTCCACTATTCTGGATGTCAAAGAGTCTACTATAGGGCTGGGCACAGTGGTTCACGCCAGTAATCTCAGCACTTTGGGAGGCCGAGGCAGGCGTATCACATGGTCAGGAGTTCGAGACCCGCCTGGCCAGTACTGTGAAACCCCATCGCTACTAAAAATACAAAAATTAGCCAGGGGTGGTGGCACATGCCTGTAGTCCCAGCTACTCGGGAGGCTGAGGCAGAAGAATCGATTGAACACAGGAGGCAGAGGTTGCAGTGAGCTGAGATCACGCCACTGCACTCCAGCCTGGGTGACAGAGCGAGACTCTGTCTCAAAAAAAAAAAAAAAAAACCTCTACTGTATTCCCAGCTCACCTTCATCTTTCTAAACTAGAGAGTTCGACACCTTTAATCTGTCTAGCCTCTTCACTGCCCTGATCATTTTACTTCTCCTATTCTGAAATTTCTCTAGTTTCATGTACATTTGTCAAGAAGTAGAAACCCCAACCACACATGCAGGATTCCTGGCCAGGACTATATGTTTTTGTATATGTGACAAAAGATGGACAAAACCTATCTTTTTTGTGCATCCAGTCTCCCTCTAGCCCAGCATCTTGCCCACATTTTTGGCCACAGTAGTACATTAGGCCACAGGAGGTAGATACATGGTCCTCATGAACACTTAGTGCATTATGTACAATGCACTTCTCCCTTGATTTCAATCAAGTTTAGAACCATTATTTTGAAATCAAAAAATAATTACATCATCCCTAAGTTCTACAATTGGCAAAAAGCCTTTGCTGTACAAGGAGATATTTAACGCTAATGCCTGCTAGTTAAAAAGAATTCCAAGTGAGGAGGGCTTAGAAGAGAAATGGAGAATGCCTGAGGCATGAAGAGCCAGGGATAAGTTTCTGCAAAGTTTAGGTTGTATCAGCACAAACTCAGACTGATGTTACAACCAAGACAGATGGGGAAGAGGAACCGTTAAAGGGCAAAATTAACCAAAGGGCATTTCAGAAGGCATCAAAGGCAGACATCATTAATAAAGGCAAAGTGGTCAGTGTGTGAAGGAAAGATTAAACAAAAATCATCTAAACTCCTTTTATATCCACTTCCGCCTCCCACTGAAAATGAAACTCCACAGCCATGATCTCCAATGCCAGGCCTTTGTAATAAGTATCTCTATTGGTTGGGCTAAGGTGGAACCATAGCATTCATTTCGGAAAAACCAAAAAGAAAAAACTTCCTTCTGCCCTAATGAGCAAGCATAACTCCAGTAAACTCCCTGAAGATGTTGGGGAAGATAAGAGACAAAGCACAAGGGAACTTTTGGGGTGATGGAAATGTTCTGCATCTTGTTTGTGGCGGTGGTTACATGACAGAATATATGTGTCAAAACTCATCAAACTGTACACTTAAAATGAGGGACTTTTCAAGTATATTATACCTCAATAAAGTTGATGAAAGATTGGGAGTGGGGTGGTGCTGGGGAGAAAAGGACAAACTCCCTAGGAAGATAAATAGAATAAGTCTAGGAAGACCACTGTAGGATGGAGGACATGCCTTCAGGTGAGGTGGAAGAAGTGGAATTGCTCACATAATATTTTGTCTATGGCCAGACCTTACTCCACAGATCAGAAGTTTAGACTTCCAACAGTACCTCATACTTCACTGGGAATTGCCTGAAGTGGAGACAAATACATCCAAGTCTATCCTCTAGTGGACCACGTACTCCTGAATTCTCCCAATGGAGGCAAAATTCATCATAAAATGAAAAACAGAGAAACTAAATTACCTTCTGAGGTAAGAAGTAAGGCGGATCATCTCTCCTCTCCCACATTCTCCCATACACGAGTTAGCATTCCCTGTCACCCCTCCCCTGAGGTTACAGTTAAATCCCTGGAAGCCCATTCATAAAGCTTCCTCCAGTTCTCTTTCATTATTTAAAAAAAAAAAAAAAAAGCTAAAAGTACCAGGAAGATCTAAAATATGTGGCAGCAGCAATTCTCATTAGAATCAGAATCTCTCTGTAATCTTTTCTGGACAATACACAAAACTTTCACACTTCAAGAAACAGTAACAAATTTCAAGAGGAAATAATGGGCATTTTGCTTTGTCAAGCTATGTAAAGAAGTATTTCTTAGTAGCATTCAAGTTCCACAGAGGCAGTCAAAATTTGTGATGAAACAGGAATTAATTTTCAGTTTCCAAGTCTGGAGCTACTGGCATTATTTCATACTACTCCTGCTCCTTCCCATCCTATATGTAATCCATCTCGGAGAGACCTGTCTCTCGGATTTATCCTCTTCTTTCCCACACCTTCTGCCCCTGCCTCAGTCCACCAGACCTTCACCACTTCACATTTTGTTTCCTGAAAGTTTCCTGGTCTCCCTGGTTCCCAGTTCTATTACTCATCCTGTTCAACATGCCTGAAAATGTGTTTACTTGTTTAACCACATCTTTATACCCTGCTTCGTCCCTACAAGTGGACTGATCATGCCAAACCATTATTTTCATTCCATCCCTCCCCTGCTTAAGTATTCATTCAACAAATATTCAATGAGCAGCTATTCTGTGTAACACTGGGCTAGGCTCTACAGGAGGTAAACAAAACAGCATGTCAGGGGGCTTAGAGTATCGTGGGAGTGGTAAACATATACACAAATACAGTAACCGTAATAAGACAGAAACATGTTTGGGACATTAAGACAGAGAAAAAGAGTACTAGTGGGAGTTCCAAATCTGAGCTATCAGCTGGATGTCAACTGAAATTAGAATTGATATAGAAGAAGTCGAATGTGAAAGACAAGAAAAAAGATACGGAGGTTTCCAAGCTGCGGAACTAGGAGAACAGCAAGTCGTTAACAGGCCTAGGAACACCAGGAGGAAATTCAAATGGAAAGGGCATGACAGGAGACTTGAGGACAGCTAACATCCTTGCCAAACTCCAAGTCAGGGCACATGATCAGAGATGAGATTTCTGTTCCTCTTTAAGATGTTGGAAGCAGTCTGAGAAATACAGTCTCGACATGAAAATATTAGAATTTCCAAGATCAGTAGTTTGAAGAGACAGTGCCATAGAATATAAAAGTGGATCTATCCCAGAAAAAATCTAGGCCATGTGGCTCCTGTATATATGAGAGGATATGTTGGGAATGGAAAGTTACACATATACAATCTACTGACCTTAAGAGCTGTTTCATCTAGGCAAGTTAACATGCTTTGCAAATGTGGAATTTTAGATTGTCTTTGCACTGTTACAATACTCAGCATCTCAGCACACATGGGAACCTCCTAATCAAACAGCTTCAGGTAAAAACAAAACAAAACACAAAAGTAAACAAAAAAATTAAAACTTTTTTAAAATTAAAAATAAGCCAGGCATGGTGGCTCATGTCTGTAATCTCAACACTTTGAGTGGCCGAGGCAGGAGAATCATTTGACCTGAGGAGTTAGAGATCAGCCTGGGCAACACAGCAAGATCCTGTCTCTGTAAAAAGTACAAAAATTAGCTGGGTTTGGTAGCACATGCCTGTAGATTCAGCTACCCAGGAAGGTGAGGTGGGAGGATGGCTTGCACCTGGGAGGTCGATACTGCAATGAGCCATGTTCACACCACTACACCTCAGCCTGGACAACAGAGTGAGACCCTGAACCTAAATAAATAAATAAATAAATAAATAAATAAATAAATAAAATAGGCTGGGTGTGGTGGCTCATGCCTGTAATCCCACACTATGGGAGGTGGAAGCAGGAGGATCACTTGAGTCCAGGAGTTTAAGACCAGCCTGGGCAACATACTGAGACTATCTCTAGAAGAAATTTAAAAATTAGCTGGGTGCATAGCTGTGGTCCCAGCTACTCACGAGGCTGAGGTGGGAGGACAGCTTGAGCCCAGGAGTTAAAGGCTACAGTGAGCCATGTTCATTTCACTGCACTCCAGCCTGGGTGACACAGTGAGACCCTGTCTCAAAAAAAATAAAAAATTAAAAAAAAAAAAACCCAGCTTCAAGTAATCTTGACCATCCTATAGCATGGATACCATGGTGCTATCCATGGTGTCTGGGAACATGATGACAGGAGGAATAGCATGCCATTCATTATAATGTTCCCGATAATCCTTCTAGGTCTAATTGATAAACCCTACTCCACAAATGTAGAATTGCTTCTAGTTACCAAAAGCACCTATGGATGATGTATGATATAGATATCCACTGGCAAGTCAAGACTAGCAAATATTTTCAAAATCAGAAGCAATGAGATATCATAGTTTCCTTTAATTCTTTTGGGAGCAAGGCAGGTTGACCACAAACACATCAACATACTACTCTGTGAATAAACCAAAAACCATTGAATAGTACACTTTAAATGGTGAATTATATGGTATAAGACACATATCTCAATAAAGCTGTTATTTTTAAAAATCAACAAAACATGTTTTAACCAAAATATTCGTTTCCAGACAAGTATCCCAAGAACCTAGCTATTGTCCTTAAAATGTTTATACTGCTGGAAAAACTTACAAAATGGAAGCCTTGTTAAATTGCTGTGACAAAACCATTACCATTCTGGCTAAAAAGAAGAAATTGAACAGTCTCTTGTCCTTCACTGTAATAGGAACTGATCTGTATCACACATTAAAATCTGCCCTTAAGATCTGAATGACATTTTTTTAAAGAGCACTTTTCAGATTTAACCACAATGTTAAATACCATAATTATGGCATATCACTAATACATCTTTCCTTGTAATCTATCCTAGAACTTCCTTCCTATAATCCTCTGCAAGGGGAAGATCCTTGTGCTTATCCACTGATAATACTTCTAATGATTTTCCTATTCCTCTAGTAATTACAATAGTAGTTTTTATCTCTGGAATCAGCCCAACCTTCCCCATGTCCCAACCCATTCCCTAACTTCTACTAATAAATATCATACCAGCTGTCTGCCTGCTGTTGAGGTAACAGCAGGTTATTTATGCCCCTATAGATTCAAAGTGGGTCAAGAATGTAAGAAGCAGACTATGAGCGTGTTGAGGGAAAGGACTGTATCTTGTTCATTGTTAAATCCTCTAAACATTAAGCAAAGTACCTGGCACACAGGATGCCTGATAAGTATTTCTGCTTGCCATTAAGCTAAGGCCCATTCACAAAAAGAATTTGCCAACAAATAACCAAGTAACCAGACTATTAATTAGGCATAAGTATATTTAGAAGAAGGCAGTGTAAGCCCCAACTTCAGTCTTGATCTCTAAGCCAGTCTGTCTTTATAATGACAAAGAGGTTAAAAAAAATTTTTTTTCAACACACGGTCTTGCTGTTTTGCCCAGGATGGAGTGCAGTGGCACAGTCATGGCTCACTGCAGCCTCAACCTCCCAGGCTCAAGCAATCTTCCTGCCTCAGCTGATCATCCTGCCTCAGCTCTCGAGTAGCTGGGACCGCAGGCGTGACTAACTCGCCCAGCTAATTTTTATTTATTTATTTATTTATTTTTTGAGACAGAGTTTCGCTCTTGTTGCCCAGGCTCGCGATCTTGGTTCACTGCAACCTCCGCCTTCCAGGTTCAAGTGATTCTCCTGCCTCAGCCTCCTGAGTAGCTGGGATTACAGGCATGCGCCACCACGCCCAGCTAATTTTCTATTTTTAGTAGAGACGGGGTTTTGCCATGTTGGTCAAGATGGTCTCGAACTCCTGACCTCAGGTGATTCACCCACCTCGGCAACGTGTTGGGATTACAGGCGTGAGCTACCGTGCCCAGCCTAACTTTTTAATTTTTTTGTAGAGACCAGGTCTCATTATGTTCCTCAGGCTGTTAAAAGGTAAATTTTAAAATAGATTGTGATAAAGCTGTGACAGAAGCCCAAAACTTTACCATTTACAAATCACAACATCTTTTCAATTTTTTCTCCCAAATTATCCTGGGGGAAAAAAGCATTCGAAATCCAACAACAATTTATTATCCACTCAGTCTCTAGTTAAGCAGCCTACTATTAGGTGACTCAAAGATGACTGCTCACCATATAGAACGGAGGGTGTCCAATCTTTTGGCTTCCCTGGGCCACACTGGAAGAAGAATTTTCTTTGGCCACACATAAAATACACTAATGATAAATGATGAGCTAAAAAAAAAATTGCAAAAAAAACACAACAACCCATGTTTTAAGAAAGTTTATGAATTTGTGTTGGGGCACATTCAAAGCCGTCCTGGGCCCACATGCGGCCCATGGGCTGCGGGTTGGACAAACTTGATGTAGAAGTGGAGGGGATGGGCTACACAAAGTAACCAAGGAATGTTTACAGACTGATTATCTCTTCATGTGAAAATGATTTTGATATTTCTTAATATCGACCTCATAAGTTCCTTATGAGGATTATGAGTTCATATTTTTAAAACGCTTAAAACAGTACCTGGCACATAGCAAGCACCATATTAAGTGTTTAAGTTACTTTTAATCAGTTTCCAATTGCATTCGTTCATATGTTAGAGATCTACAATGCCTAAAGAAATTACCAGGTTGAGAGAGAAGTTCCAACTGTACAGTCGTTAAATCTAAAACTAGAAAGAAAGAGGTCTCAGACAATGTTTCATGCAAGCTCATTTCATGGTTGAAGAAATTAATCATATATCTCATATTTGCAGAGAAATTCATAGGTTACAAAAAGCTTTCACAACGATTATTAAGTTTGATTCTCACAACAGCTTGTAAGGGATGCAAGGCAAGTATAATTAACTGCATTTACTCATTAGGAAATCGAACCAGAGATGTTAAGTGACTTGTCCAAGGTCACAGTTAGTAAGTCCCGGCTTGAATCCAGGTCTCTTGATGCCCAGTCTTCTTTCCTCTACAAAACACACTGCAACTTGGGCCCTGGACTTCAGTGACATTTGGAAACAATGATTCCAGTGATTACAGGACCCTAAATGAAAGTTCTGTTGCAAAAGCTAATGTGAAAAGGCAACTCTATTAACTGCATGTAGAAGTAATCAATATCTGGCAAAATATCTACCTACACATGAGTGTACAGTATAAAATGCCATGATTACATATATTCACAAAGGTCATCACAAATCTGCGCAGCACTCAAGTGACAGTTCTCCATAATATGTCATTCAGAGATCGCCAGACCCTGAGTATATTGATGTCAGTCTAAGAAAAGACTGCCACTTCCCTTAAACCAAACCCAGAAGGGAAAGGCTTGCCCCAGAGGATGGTAAAGACATGGAGCCTAACAAGGCTCTGCGGGATTACACGCAGGTTGCAAACTCCCAGCGATAAATGAGTACCGACCCTCCCAGCCGGTGAATCAGCTCGCGTTCATCCGGCAGCATCTTTCCCCGGGGCTCGCCACCCCCAGCGCAGCTAAACTGGGGAGCTAAAGGTGATACGGCCACCGTTTGCAGGATTCAAAATAACCTCACAGAAAGGCTAGCTGGCGGTAGAAGCGGCACTGCATACCAACACAAGACGTTATTTTAAGCGCGTGTCCCCACGAGAGAACCCATCCGATCTACTGGAGCAAGCATCTCCCACCCGCCGGGAATTTTCCAAAGCCAAGCAGGAGGGGAGGCACGCCCGCCCTGCTAAATCCACATGGGCCCCCTTTCCACTCCGAAGCCCGCTCTGCCCCCAGCTCGAGCAGCGCGGCAGGGGCCTGGGAGACCCCCGAGGCGGGCCACCTTCCGCCGCCTTCACCATCTCGCCCGAAAGAGGAAGGTGCCGCAGCGGGCGACCGGCTGGTAGGGCCGAGGGTTCTGAGGCGCTGAAGGGGATGGCGCTGGTGGGGCTCGCCTGGGCCCGGCGCTCCCGCCCCCTCCCCAGCCTGACAGCTGGCGGCGAGGGCCGCACAGCCCCAGTCCTCGACGCCGGCCGCGGGGTGCCTTACCTTTGTGTAGAGCTCCGACGCAGCCATGGCGGGCCCCGCGCGCCTACGCCCCCCGCCTGTGCGGAGGCCGCACCTCGCCTGGGCGGCCGCCCGAGCGGACTAGGAAGCGCCCGCAGCCGCCGGCAGGGAGCAGGGCAGGGCAGGGCCGGGCGGGGAGGGCCGCGCGGGGCGGGGCGGGGCGGGGCGCCTCAGGCGCTGGCCGCCCGCAGGGGCCTCGCCATCACTCCCGGGCTCGCCGCGAGCAGCCGCGAGCGCTCCACCTGCCCGGGGTCCTAGGGGTCGCCGCCGCCGCCGCAGCCACTTCGGCGGCCCGCGATGCTGCCTCCGCTGCCGCCGCCGCCACCGCCGCCGCCCTGTGCATTATGGGAGCGGGAGGAGGCTGCGCTCCAGCGCTGCCACCGCGGCTGCTCTGGGCTCTCTCGGGCTCACGCTGCCTCCCATCGGCTACGAGCACAGAGCATCATCATCATCAGCCTGCCAGCCGGCCCCGCCGCCGCCTCGCGCCCTGCCGAGGCCCGGAAACCCGCCCGGGACGTGAGCCCCGAGGGCGCGGCACACCCCGGGCGCCCCCACCCCGAAGCGAGCCCGGGGCCCTCTGCTGCGGAGCCTAGCTCCCGCGGTAGCGCAGCCATGGCACGGGCTGTTACTGTGTCCGAATAAACGATGGGAGCCTCCAGGCTGCTCCTCCCGTCCTTCCAAGCATTCCTAGGGAGAGGATTTAGGGGAAGCCCTCTTGAAAGACTGTAGAATAACCCAGGACTGTAGAAGAGCCTTGTCAGCAGCAGTGACCCGGGAGATGGGCAATGCAGGACCGGGAATTTCAGGTTAAGGTTGATCACCAAGGTCATTCCGAGCACCTCGATGTCTGCAGCAAAGTCGTCTCCCGATACCAGAGGGCAAGGGCCGCTTCTAAGCTACAGAAACTTAAGTGACTTTGAAACGAGATAGCCCGGGGACAGCCCAGGTGCCTCTTTCCTAGACCTGTGCGTTTGCGGAGATGCAACTACCCTTCTGTCCCAGCCTTCTTCCCGTCCTGTTCGCTGCTGGTGATTGTCGGCTCCATGGTGGCACCTGAAGTTTATCCGGTTGCCACCTGAAAATGACGGAGTACTTACATGGAAAATCTGTATTACAGTTTAACTCAACATCAAAAGGGCAAAGCCGCCCTCACTCTCCTCACGGTGATCCTTGAACATCCAGCACAAGAATGTGGTCTTTCTACTCCCAACCCTGCGCTGTCTTCATCCTCTATCTTCTCCCCACCCTCATTGTCGTTTCTGGTTGAATAATCTTCATTCTTTATTGTTGTCGTTGTTGTTGTTGCTGTTTTTGTTTGTTTAATCCCTGCCTCTTTGTAGTGCCCTCATCTCTCGTTTCTTTGAACTACAACTGGTCCCCAGTGCCTGTCATGGTAATCTGGTAGACCATTTCTATCACGAACAACTCTCATGGCTGAGGCCCCCGGTTGTGTGTGTTGTGTGCGTGTGTATTTGGAGAAAGACCATTCACTGAAAGGAACGGGGCCAGTCCTTACTCCGTGGAACTCAGACCTCTCCTCTTCGCCCACAATCCCCTCAGAAATGCTAGAGGGAATGTCTACTGAGTCGAAAGTCCTACAGATTTGTCTCTGTTCCTTCCCATTGCAAAACCAAATCGCTTTCATGTTTCTGGGACCCACTCTTTCTTCACCCAGACATAAAAAGAGAAAACGTGTGCAGTGACGACCAGCGGAACGGAAGGAGCACTGGACTGAGATTTAGGAGGCCTGGCTCCTACGCCTTGCAGTTTCTTCATGTCGTGTGCAAGGTGGTAACCACTCTGCCTGTTTTCTCACCTTCAAATAATACCTACCTCTCAGGACTGTCGAGAAATGCTGAGTATACTGAGAAAAAAAAAAAAACTAAAAAACTGGACGAGTTCTTGTAGGTGTGAATGCTTTCTTCGTTTTCTATTTTTTTCAAGTGATGAGGAGAAAACAGAAAGGGGAATTATCCTCTTATAAGTCCAGAACGCATGCATTCAACCACTCAAATATTTGGGGCCATACTAAGAGGAAGGTAATGGAGATGAGGAGGAGAAGAGTTTTGTATTTTTATTTATTGATTGATTGATACTGAGTCTTGTTCTCTTGCCTAGGCTGGAGTCCAGTGGCACAATCTCGGCCCATTGCAACCTCTGCCTCCCAGGTTCAAGCAATTCTCATGCCTCAGCCTCCTGAGTAGCTAGGATTACAGGTGTCCACCACCACGCTCAGCTAATTTTTGTATTTTTAGTAGAGACGGGGTTTCACCATGTTGTCCAGGCTGGCCTCAAACTCCTGACCTCAGGCTATCCGCCCGCCTCAGCCTCCCAAAGTTCTGAGATTACAAGAATGAGCCACCACGCCTGGCCGGGTTCTGTATTCTTGACCTTACTTTACTTTGTTCAGAAAAAAAGCAGAGTAAAAAGCCAGAAGCAGCAAAGGGAAGCCCCGAGGGGTGGCCTCCGCTCACTTCCATGTATGCGTTCATAGTCCCAAGCACCCTGTCACTAGTGAGGTGTAGAAATCAGCAATAGTTACAGCTTCTAAGGGTTTAGGATCCCCCTCTCAGAGTAGCCAGAGGGTAGTGTATTCTTAAGTTGTTAAAGTTTTCCGTTATTGCTTTATTATTGGGAGCATTTTTATGTAGGGTGTTTTCAAATGAAAACAATGTCTAGGTTTATATGAAAAATTCCATTCCTTATTTTCAACAAATATTGGAAGCTATCATATGCCAGACATTGTTCTACATGTTGAGAATTCAGGCATGAGCAAAACAGATGAAGAGCCCTGACCCCATGGAGCTTCCATTCTAGTCAGGGAGAAAGACAATGATAGAGTTAGAAGGTAAAGTTGGTAAGTGGTGTATTAGTTTCCTAGGGCTGCCATGATAAAGTAATACAAACTGTGCTTAACCAACGGAGAGGTATTATCTCACAGTTCTGGGGTCTAGAAGTCTGAGATCAAAGGATTGGGAGGGTTGGTTCCTTCTGAGGACTGTGAAGCAGAATCTGTTCCTTGCCTCTCTCCTGCCTTCTGATAGTTTGTGGACAATCTTTGGCATTTGACATTTTTTAGCTTTTGCTACATCCCCCAATCTCTGCCCTCATCTTCATGTGGCAGGCTCCCTGTGTGTGCGCATGTCTCTATATCCAAATTGTTCCTTCTTATAAGGACACAGTCATAATTGAATTAGGGCCCAACCCACTGCCCTCATCCTAAGTTGATCATCTGCAAAGATGGTGTTTCCAAATAAGGTCACACTCACAGGGATGGTGGGGTGGGGAGAGGTCAGAACTTCAACATTTTTTGAGGGACACAACTCAAACCAGAACAGTATGCAATGAGAAAAAACATACAGAGAAGAAAGAATTTGGGGGAAGAAGCAATTTGAATTAGGGTAGTCATCAAATTCCAATTGAATTATTTTTAATTGAGGGCTTATTATATGTCAGCACTTAAGATAATAAAGATATAGAGATGAGTGAAACATGATCACTGGCCTGGAGGAGCTCACTGCAAGGGGTGGCTGGAGGGGTAGCAGAAGAGGCAGTCCTTGCTGCACGGTCATACAAAATAGTAACTAATTCTGTAAGATTGGCCCAATTCTAGAAGTAGAAGCCCAATGCTGTGTTACTGGTTATATATAGTACATCAGTTGAGATTGGCATATCCTAAT
Organism: Homo sapiens; assembly: GCF_000001405.40. Taxonomy (NCBI): domain Eukaryota; kingdom Metazoa; phylum Chordata; class Mammalia; order Primates; family Hominidae; genus Homo; species Homo sapiens. Next base: position 52,532,478 of record NC_000015.10, read on the forward strand.
ATTTAATGCTTCAGAGGACTAGGTACTGGGCATAGGTGACATTTAAGTCAGCGAGAAAGAACTCCAAATAGTTCATTGAGAGATCTAAGTGGTGATATGGATGGGAAGTCGTTTGTGGTTGAAGGACATGTGGGGGAACAGCATGAGGAAATGAAGCTATGGAACAGAAAAAAGTCAAGAATACAGTAAGGCTAACTGAAAACACTTTTGAAAGATGGGAGGCAAGTATCAGGAACTGCTTGGCTTCCCACCTCTTCCCTTCCCCAACTCCAGCTAGTTATTCTAGCTGCCCCTCACCTGTGAGCTTAGGCAACCCTAGGAAAGGAGGATAAAAAAGTGCTGTACTTAACTCAAAAGGTACAATACTTAATTCAATATCAAATAAATAATATATGTGAAAATTTTATGTGCAAAGTATATTGTAAATGTAAATTATTTTATTTTTTATTTTTTGAGACAGAGTCTCACTCTGTCGCCCAGGCTGGAGTGCAGTGGCATGATCTCAGCTTGCTACAATCTACACCTCCCTCTCGGGTTCAAGCGATTCTCCTGCCTCAGCCTCATGAGTAGCTGGGATTACAGGCACGTGCCACCACACCCAGCTAATTTTTGTATTTTACAGTAGAAGCAGAGTTTCACTGTGTTGGCTAGGCTGGTCTTGAATTCCTGAACTCAAGTGATCCACCTGCCTTGGCTTCCCAAACTGCTGGAATTATAGGTGTGACTCACTGCACCTGGCCTATTACTATTATTTTTATTCCCGATACCTATTACTATAATTCTGGATTCTAATCTTGTGTGTCCTAATGTATCTGTCTGATCTCTGGTCTTTTGTACCCCAGTCTTCTAGCCTGTGTCCTGACCACCTGCTATTTGACCAGCTTGTGTATCTCTATGCTTAGCTCCATGGCACCTGATTGCTTCAAACAGTTGATTTTTTTTCTTGGATCTTTAAATACTTCCAGCCCAATTCCATAGACTTCATATTGCCTTGATCTTCCTGAATGACATCATGTTATAGTACTTGTGGACCCCCTCTCATCCTGTACCTCCAACACCCACAGACACACACTTGCCTTACATGTCGTGGTGATGGAACCTCTTGAATAGTGAAAATGACTTAGATCCAAATGGCCTAGATTCTAGTCCCAGTTCCAACCTAGAGCAAGTCAGGGGAGCTTTTTAAAATAATAATAATAATAATAATAATAATAATAAACTTTTTATTTTAGAACAGTTTTAGATTACAGAAAAATTGCAAAGATAGTATGGAATTCCCATATATCCTGCAACCAGTTTCCCCTATTATAAATGTCTTACATTTTTATGATACACTTGTTACAATTAATCAGCCAATAGTGACTTGTTATAATTAACTGAAATACATACTTGACTCAGGTTTCCTTAGTTTTACCTAATGTCCTTTTTCTGTTTCAGGATCCTGTCCAGGATGCCACATTACATTTAGTCGTCATGTCTCATTAGGATCTTCTTTATGACCTGAAGCCTTATTTAAATTTAAAAAAAATTAAAAAAGAACAAAAGATCTTCCTAGCTGACAGTTTCTCAGGCTTTCTTTGTTTTTGATGACAATTTTGAGGAGTATAGGTCAGATATTTTGTAGAATGTGTCTCAATTGGGCTATGTCTTGATTAGACTGGGATTATAAATTTGTTTTGCCTTTTTTTGTTTTTTTTTTGAGACAGGGTCTCACTCTGTCACCCAAGCTGCAGTGCAGTGGAGCAATCTAGGCTCACTACAGCCTCAATCTCCCAGGCTCAAGTGATCCTCCTTCCTTAGCCTCCCAAGTAGCTGGGACCACAGGTATGTGCCACCACGCCTGGCTAATTTAAAAAAATTTTTATCAAGACAAAGTCCTACAATGTTGCACAAGCTGATCTTGAATCTGTGAGCTCAAATGATCCTCTCACCTCAGCCTCCTCAAGTGCTGGGATTACAGGTGTGAGCTACTAAGACCACAGAGTAAAATGTCATTTTCATCACATCACCATGGTCACACTACCAACATGACTTTCCATTGTTGATATTGACCTTGATCGCCTGGCTCAGGTTGTGTTTATCAGGTTTCTTCACTGTGAAGGTGTCTTCTCCTGCTGTTATGGGCTGAATTGTGTCCCCATCCAAAATTCATATGCTGAAATCTTAATTCCCAGTACCTCAGAATGTGACTATATTTGGAGACAGTGTCTTTAAAGAAGAAATTAAGTTACAATGAGGTCAATTGGATTTAATTCAATATGACTGATGTCCTTATAAGAAGAAAAGATTAAGACACAGACAGGTACAGAGGGAAGACCATGCAAAGACACAGAGAAAACACAACCATCTGTAAGCCAAGGAGAGAAGAAACCGGAAGAAACCAACTCTGCCAACCCCTTGATCTTGAGCTTCTAGTCAGAATTGTAAGAAAATAAATTTCTGTTGTTTAAGCCACAGCTCTAGCAAACTAGTACCACAGTCCTCTTTTTCATACTGTGGTCTCGAAAGAAGTCACTATATGCAGCCCCCACCTAAAGATTGGGGCATATGCTCCACCTCCGTGAGGATGGAGTACCTAAATTATTTAGAATTCTTCTGCATGGGAGCTTTGTCTCATCTCCTCCCGTATTCATTCATTCAATCATTTATTGATATCAGTATAGACGTATGGGCATTTATGTTATACTCTGGGGTATAATTCAGTACTACTCAATCTTGTTGCTCGGGTTGTTGATGCTATGGCCATGGGGAGCTCTTTCAGTTGGCTCCTATGTCCCTTTGATACCCTCATCATTGCATGTTATTTGGTTTTAGTTTCGTTTGTTTTTCTCAGAGTACTTCCTTACTTTCTAGAACTATAAGATGCTCCAGGCTCATCCTATATATTTTCTCAGCCAGTTCTATAATCAACCATTTCTCCAAGGAGACTTTCACTGGAGAATGGTATTAGAAACCAAGATTTGGGTCTTGTTGCTACTGGGGTATTGTTGCTTCTAGGTCCTCTTAGCTACAGAGTGAGAAAATACTGTATGTATGTTTACTAATTCATGCATGTACACATATCTATAAGTATTTCTGTATGTGGCCCTGTGTCTATATTAAGGTAAATGTGAGTTCACACTGATGTTTCCAACTTTAGTTCATTACCATATGAATCATTCTAGCCTCTTCCCCTTGCTTTCTATAAACTCTCACTCAGTGAAAAACCTGAGCCTATCTTTTTTAGTCAGAGAAACCTACATGGCCAGGCACAGTGGCTCACGCCTGTAATCCCAGCACTTTGGGAGGCTGAGGCCGGTGAATCACAAGGTCAGGAGTTCAAGACCAGCCTGGCCAACACGGCGAAACTCCATCTCTACTAAAAATACAAAAAAATTAGCTGGGCATGGTGGTGCATGCCTGTAATCCCAGCTACTCGGGAGGCTGAAGCAGGAGAATTGCTTGAACCAGGACCCAGGAGGTGGAGGTTGCAGTGAGCCGAGATCACACCACTGCATTCCAGCCTGGGCTACAGAGCGAGACTCCATCTCAAAATAAAAAAAAAAAGAAAAAGAAAAGAAAAAAAAGAAACCAGGATAACTTTTATGTGTATTATTATTAAGGAGTTCAGATGAGATAATGAGAAAGTATGTTGGAAACCAGATTGTGCTATACAATTTTAATATATTATTAATCACAGGTCTTTTGGGTGTTTTGTTTGTTTGTTTGTTTTTGAGACAGAGTCTCACTCTGTCACCCAGGCTGGAGTGCAGTGGCCCAATCTCAGCTCACTGCAACCTCCACCTCCCGGGTTCAAATTATTCTCCTGCCTTAGCCTCCTGAGTACCTGGGACAACAGGCGCCAGCCACCACGCCCAGCTAATTTTTTTTTTTTTCTATTTTTAGTAGAGACGATGTTTCACCATATTGACCAGGCTGGTCTCGAACTCCTGACCTTGTGATCTGCCCGCCTCGGCCTCACAAAGTGCTGGGATTACAGGTGTGAGCCACCATGCCCAGCCATTAATCATGTTTTTAATCCCACCTCCTCCTGCATATTCTCTCCATGCCCTGAACTGCCCGATTCTGTCATGCTGCAGGATCCGGTGGAAGCTGAATCAATAATTGAGTGGCTTCTGAAAGAGCACTTTTGATAGGGAACAAAATGAAGTTAGGGTCAGCCAGAAAGAATGAGTAACTCAAATATTAGGACCATAAGAATGTATTGATATATTTGGGTATACAGTACTACCTGGCTGTAAGGACCTCTTTTAATAACTTAAGGCATAGCAAATTCAAATGAATAAGGAGATATTGGATTTTTTTTTTTTTTTTTTTGAGATGGAGTCTCGCTCTGTCACCCAGGCTGGAGTGAAGTGGCACAATCTCGGCTCACTGCAAGCTCCGCCTCCCGGGTTCACGCTATTCTCCTGCCTCAGCCTCCTGAGTAGCTGGGACTACAGGCGCCCGCCACCATGCCGGCTAATTTTTTTGTATTTTTAGTAGAGACGGGGTTTCACCGTGTTAGCCAGGATGGTCTCGATCTCCTGACCTCGTGATCCGCCCGTCTCAGCCTCCCAAAGTGCTGGGATTACAGGCGTGAGCCACCGCGCCCGGCCTAGGAGATATTGGATTCTTATAACTCTCTGAAGTTCTCACACACTGAAGTGGGTGACTGACAACATTGCAGTGTTGTAGTGAAGAGTCATATCAGAAGGTGTGACAGCTGTCATATTTATGTTTGTCTGTCATCTTTTCTATAATTAGGGGAAATTTCTATATTAGTCCTGCCTCCTGATAGAAATATCAGACTCAAATTTTCATCTCTTTTGTAGCTCGATGCAGTCATATAACCTAGGCTCTAACAACCTAGATTCTAACAACCTTGATTCCTCTGTACAAGACAGGATTCAAAAGTGAGAAATGTGAGGAAAGTGGCTCTTCCCAGAACTTCCAATGAGCATAGCAGCAGAGATGAACAAATCTGGGGGATAACAGTGGTTACAGCAAGGTTGGGCTCCTGGCTTTCAGTGTTTTGTGGTGGCAAAAGCAGTAGCAGCAGCAGTTTCCATGATCAGACCGTTGCTGTAACGTGTTTCTGGGGTTGCTCCTGGAATATTTACATAAAGCTGTTTCTCTAGCCTTTCCAATAATTTTGTAAGTCATCCAGTAACTTTTAGTTACTTAGTTTGTTTATTGAGACAAGGTCCCGCTCTTATTTATTTAAAAGGCCCTGTCTCACTCTGTCGCCCAGCTGGAGTGCAGTGGTGTGATCATGGCTCACTGCAGCCTCGACCTCGCTGGGCTCAGGTGATTCTCCCGCCTCAGCCTCCCAAGTAGCTGGGACTACAGGCATGCGCCACCACACCCAGCTAATTTTTGTATTTTTTGTGGAGATGGAGGTTTTATCATGTTGATCAGGCTGGCCTCAAACTCCTGAACTCAAGCAGTCCACCCACCTCAACCTCCCAAAGCGCTGGGATTACCGTCATAAGCCACCGTTTCTGGTCATGATCTGGTAACTTTTGATAAATCCTTTATCTGATTAAATGAGCCAGAATTACATATTTGTGATTAATAGCCCTGACTATTATAGAGTGGTATACTAGGGGTCAATGGAAATGACTATAATCTCAAGAATACAATTTTGTCCAGAAAGTATTTATTGGGTACCCACTGTGACTTGGCACTGGACTGAGGGCTATAGCAAAATAGTACGACACTATAAAGGATAGTAACGGAATGAAGGTACTTAAAATACATTGTAATTCAGTGCTAAAACAGTTGGAAATAGTTATTGTTTCAGAGGATGGAACAATTAACTTGCTATGGGGAAAGGAAATATTCAGCTTTCACGGAGGTGATGTTTAAGTTCTAAAATATAAGTAGTAATGTATAAACAGATATCACCAACTAAGACAAGCCATGGATTGGAGAAAGATATTTATGATGCATATAACTATCAAATAATTTTTTAAAATAAAGAACTTCCACCACTTATAGGCAACCTGACTGATATGGTTTGGCTGTGTCCCCACCCAAATCTCATCTCAAATTGTAATCCAAATTGTAATCCCCACATGTGAGGGAGGGACCTGGTGGGAGCTGATTGAATCACAGGGGTAGTTTCCCCCATGCTATTCTTGTGATAGTGAGTGAGTTCTCACGAGAGATGGTTGTTTGATAAGTGTCTGGCACTTCTCCCTTCTTGCTCTCTCTCTCCTGCTTCCTTGTGAAGAAGGTACTTGCCTCCCCTTTGCCTTCTGCCATGATTATAAGTTTCCTGAGGTGTCCCCAGCCATGTGGAACTGTGAGTCAATTAAACCTCTTTCCTTTATAAATTATCCAGTCTCAGGTAGTATCTATAGCAGTGTGAAAACAGACTGATACACTGACCTAAGACATGGACAGAAAGCAATAGCTGCCATTCATGTAATCCAGAAAATAATGAATTCAGTTCAGAGTTTTCTGTAGCAAAAACAAACAAACAAAACCCCACAAAAAAACTCTAAAGATACTTGATATGATAGAAGGCATTAAAATATTGTGGCTGGCTGGGCACGGTGGCTCACACCTGTAATCCCAGCACTTTGGGAGGCCGAGGCAGGTGGATCACCTGAGGTCAGGAGTTCGAGACCAGCCTGACCAACACAGAGAAACCCCATCTTTACTAAAAATACAAAATTAGCCAGGCATGTGGCACATGCCTGTAATCCCAGCTACTTGGGAGGCTGAGACAAGAGAATCGCTTGAACCCAGGAGGTAGAGGTTGTGATGAGCCGAGATTGCACCATTGTACTCCAGCCTGAGCAACAAGAGCAAAACTTTGTCTCAAAAAAAAAAAAAAAAAAAAAATTGTGGCTATGATGGAGGCCAAAAGTACAAGGGAAAAAAATAATTAGAAACGCCAGGTGTGTTACTCCATTCTCATGGTGCTATGAAGAAATACCCAAGGTTGGATAATTAATAAAGAAAAAAGATTTAATTGACTCACAGTTTCACATGGCTGAGGAGGCCTAAGGAAAGATACTATTATGGTGGAAGGCACCTCTTCACATGGCAGCAGGAGAGAGAATAAGTGCAAGCAGGGGAAATGCCAGATGCTTATAAAACCATCAGATCTCGTGAGAACTCACTCGCTGTTGCAAGAACAGCATGGGGGAAATGACCCCCATGATTCAATTACCTCCCATGGGGTCCCTCTCATGATGTGGGGATTATAGGACTACAATTCAAGATGAGATTTGGGTGGGGACACAAAGCCTAACCATATCATTCCACTCCTGGCCCCTCCCAAATCTCATGTCCTCACATTTCAAAACACAATCATGCCCTTACAACAGTCCCACAAATGCTTAACTCATTCTAGCTTTAACCCAAAAGTCCAAGTCCAAAGTCTCATCTGAGACAAGGCAAATCCCTTCTGCCTATGAGTCTACAAAATCAAAAGCAAGTTAGTTAGTTCCTAGATACAATGGGGATACCTGCAATGGGTAAATACACCCATTCCAAATGGGAGAAATTGGCCAAAACAAAGGGGCTACAGGCCCCATGCAAGTCTGAAATCCAATTCGGCAGTCACTAAACCTTAAAGTTCCAAAATGATCTCTTTTGACTCCATGTCTCATATCCAAGTCACACTGATGCAAGAGGTGGGTTCCCATGGCCTTGGGCAGCTCCACCCCTGTGGTTTTGCAGGGTACAGCCCTTTTCTCAGCTGCTTTCACAGGCTGGTGTTAAGTGCCTATGGCTCTTCCAGGCACAGGGTACAAGCTGCTGGTGAATCTACCATGCTGGGGTCTGGAGGACAGTGGCCCTCTTCTCACAACCCCAGTAGGCAGAGCCCCAGTGGGGACCCAGAGTGGGGGCTCTGACCTCACATTTCCCTTCTGCACTGCCCTAGCAGAGGTTCTCCATGAGGGCCCTGCTCCTGCAGCAGACTTCTGCCTGGACATCCAGGCATTTCCATACATCCTCTGAAATCTAGATGGAGATTCCCAAACCTCGATTCTTGACTTCTGTGCACCCACAGGAAATTGCCAAAGCTTGGGGCTTGCACTCTCTAAAGCAACAGCCTGAGCTGTACCTTGACCTGTTTTAGCCATGGCTGGAGCAGCTGGGATGCAGTCCAGAGGCTGCACACAGCAGGGGGGCCTGGACCCGGCCCAAGAAACCACATTTTCCTCCTAGGCCTCCAGGTCTGTGATGGGAGGGGCTGCTATGAAGGTCTCTGACATGACCTGGAGACATTTTCCCCATTGTCTTGGTAATTAACATTCAGGTCCTTGTTACTTACGCAAATTTATGCTGCCAGCTTGAGTTTCTCCCCAGAAAATGGGTTTTTCTTGTCTATTGCATCATCAGGCAGCAAATTTTCCAAACTTTTATGCTCTGCTTCCTCTTGAGTGCTTTGCCACTTAGAAATTTCTTCTACCAGATACCCTTAATCATCTCTCTCAAGTTTAAAGTTCCACAGATTTCTTGGGCAGGGGCAAAATGCCACCAGTCTCTTTGCATGGCAAGAGTGACCTTTACTCCAGTTCCCAACAAGTTCCTTATCTCCATCTGAGACCACCTCAGCCTGGACTTTATTGCCTATATCACTATCAGCATTTTGGTCAAAGCCATTCAACAAGTCTCTAAAAAGTTCCAAATTTTCCCACATTCTTTCTGTCTTCTGAGCCCTCCAAGGCTCCAGGAAGTGCCAAACTTTCCCACATTTTCCTGTCTTCTTCTGAGCCCTCCAAACTGTTCCAACGTCTGCCTGTTACCAGTTCCAAAGTCACTTCCACATTTTCGGTATTCTTTTTTTTTTTTGAGGAGTCTCGCTCTGTCGCCCAGGCTGGAGTGCAGTGGCGCGATCTCTGCTCACTGCAAGCTCCGCCTCCCAGGTTCACGCCATTCTCCTGCCTCAGCCTCCTGAGTAGCTGGGACTACAGGTGCCCACCCCCACGCCCGGCTAATTATTTTTTGTGATTTTTTTTAGTAGAGACAGGGTTTCACCATGTTAGCTAGGATGGTCTCAATCTCCTGACCTCATGATTTGCCCGCCTTGGCCTCCCAGAGTGCTGGGATTACAGGCGTGAGCCACCGCACCCGGCCATTTTCGGTATTCTTATAGCAGTGCCCCACTACCTCAGTACCAATTTACTGTATTAGTCCATTCTCATGCTGCTATGAAAAGATACCAAAGGCGGGGTAATTTATAAAGAAAAGACGTTTAATTGACTCAGTTTTGCGTGGCTAGGGAGGCCTCAGGAAACTTATAATCATGGCAGAAGGCACCTCTTCACAGGGCTGCAGGAGAGACAATGAGTGCAAGCAGGGGAAATGCCAGACAGCATAAACTGATCTGCAGTGACTTATATCAACCTAAAGATAGAAGAACTACTAATAACGGTTATAAGATAGAATGCAAATGTTATCAAACTTGATAATGAAATTGTAAAAACACACATGACAAAACTTAAGGGTTGAGAGTCAAAGAGAAATAATAAGGGCCTTAATATTGCCATCTTATACAATAGAGAGCCAAGAAATACTGTCTACAGCTAATGAAATAAGAAAGATAAAACTGTATTATTAAATATTATAAAGGAAGCCTATAAAGGAATCAAAAATAGTGATATTATGATACTAAAAGAAGGATGGGGAAAAATGGAGGTGGGAAGTGTTGTGAGCAAAATCATCATCTATCTGTCTGGAAAGCCATTAATTAATTAATTATTAATATTATTATGATGTATTTTTTAGAGACAGGATCTTGCTCTGTCACCCAGGTTGGAGTGCAGTGGCATAATCATACCTCACTTCTGCCTACACTCCCAGGCTCAAACAATTCTCCTGCCTCAGCCTTCTGAGTAGCTAGGACTACACACCACCACACCACCATGCCCAGCTAATTGGAAAAAAAAATTTTTTTTTTTTTTTCGAGATGGATTCTCACTACGTTGCCCGGGTTGGTCTGAACTCTTGGCCTCAAGCAATCCTCCTACCTCAACCTCCCAAAGTCCCCGATTCCAGGCGTGAGCCACTGCACCTGGCCCCCATTAATTTATGTCTAAAGTTAAATTAAGAAAACAAGAAACAGTGGTATAAAATACTATTGAGAGATATGGAGGCAACTGCCAGAAAAAAAACCAAAAACACAAAATAGTTTGAGTCTTCCAAGTAGTTCTTCCTCTAAAGAGCTAAACTTGGTGGCAGAGAGGTACATTTTGTAATTCTTGGGTTTTCACAATGTCCTTCTATACTATTCACTTCAGAATCACATGCAATAACAATTTTTGATGAAAAAGATGAGAGGAGCAGAAAATGAAGTCTAATGGGAATTTAACTTGGAACCAAGTTTCCGTTCTATCATTCTATTTCATATTTTTTACCCTATGGTTGAGCCCCTGCTTGATGGCATTTGCTGCATTTGGTTCTCTTAAAAAAATAGTTATGGTAGTTAGGAATTTAAACAATGATCCCAAAGAAACCACTTTTACATTTTGAGATCCTTTCTGGATCTTTTAATGTACTTACACGCTTTTACAAAGTTGTAAAGACCCTTCTGAACCCTCAGCACACTTCTCAAACCTCTACCCTCTTCCCTTCATACCCCACCCTGGAAAATGACCTTACCAACCTTTCTCCTATGGATGGGACTCAGGTCATTTAGCAGGCACTGTCCTCTACTGTCCTTTGTCCCCACCTGACCTCTAGTCACTCACCACTGACTGAAAGACATGCTAAGGCTGATCATCCCAGCACTTGCCCTCTTGCCTCCTCTCTATCTTTGGTTTGCCTTTCATACTTTTTGTTTTGCCTATAACCATAATCAAATCTTTCTTACATTTAAAAGTAAAACCAAAAACTGTTTTTTTCTTCTTGAGACAGCATCTCACTCTGTCACCCAAGCTGGAGTGCAGTGGTGTGATCATGGCTCACTGCATCCTTGACCTCCTGGGCTCAAGGGATTCTCCCACCTCAGCCTCCTGAGTAGCTGGGACCACAGAGGTATGCTACCATGCCTGGCTAATTTTTATTATTTTTATTTTTATTTTTTGAGACAGAGTCTCACTTTGTTGCCCAGGGTGCAGTGCAGTGGCACAATCTCGGCTCACTGCAACCTCCACCTCCCGGGTTCAAGCAATTCTCCTGCCTCAGCCTCCCGAGTAGCTGGGATTACAGGTGCACACCACCATGCCCAGCTATTTTTTTGTATTTTTTGTAGAAACGGGGTTTTACCATGTTGGCCAGGCTGCTCTCGAACTCCTGACCTTAAGTGATTCACCTGCCATGGCCTCCCAAAGTGCTGGGATTACAGGCATGAGGTGGGATGCGGTGATGACTGGCCCTTGGCTAATTTTTAAAGTGATTTCTAGAGACAGAGTCTCAATGTGTTGCCCAGGCTGGTCTCAAACTTCTGGGCTCAAGTGATCCTCCCACCTCAGCCTCCCAAAGTGTTCAGATTACAGATATGAGCCACATCACCCAGCCCCTTTCACTAACTTTGAGCTTGGTTTGTTCATGCTTTTCTAGTTCTTTGAGGTGTATTATTAGATTGTTTATTTGGAAGCTTTCTACTTTTTTGTTGTAGGTGTTTATTGCTATAAACTTCTCTCTCAGCACTGCTTTTGCTATATCTCATAGGTTTGCTATGTTGTGTCTTTCTTTCTCTTTCTTTCTTTCTCTTTCTTTCTTTCTTTCTTTTCTTTCTTTCTCTCTCTCTCTCTTTCTTTTCTTTTCTTTCTTTCTTTTTTTGACAAAGTCTTGCTCTTGCCCCCTAGGCTGGAGTGCAATTGGAGTGCAATGGCACGATCTCGGCTCACTGCAACCTCTGCCTCCCGGGTTCAAGTGATTCTCCTGCCTCAGCCTCCTGAGTAGCTGGGATTACAGGTGCCTGCCACCATGCCCGGCTAATTTTTGTATTTGCAGTAGAGACGGGGTTTCACCATGTTGGCCAGGCTGGTCTCGAACTCCTGACCTCAGGTGGTCCGCCCGTCTCAGCCTCCCAAAGTGCTGGGATTACAGGCATGAACCACATTTTTTTTTTGAGACAGGGTTTGTCTTCGTCACCCAGGCTGGAGGTACAGTGGCTTGATCATGGCAACACTCCAGCCTCAACCTCCTGGACTCAAGACATCCTCTCAACTTAGCCTCCCAAGTAGCTGAGACTACAGGTGTGCATCACTACACCTGGATAGTTTTTAAAATTTTTTGTAGAGATGGAGTCTTCACCATGTTGCCCAGGCTGGTCTCAAAATCCTGGGCTCAAGTGATCCTCCTGTCTTGGCCTCCCAATGTGCTGTGATTACAGGAATGAGCCACCTTGCCTGGCTGATATGTTGTGTTTCAATTTTCATTTGTTTCGAGAAAGATTTTGATTTCCTCCTTAATTTCTTCCTTGACTCAATCAATGGTCATTCAGAAGCATGTTGTTTAATTTCCACTGTATTTTTATAATTTCCCAGGTTCCTCTTATTACTGATTTCTAGTTTTATTCCATTGTGGTCTGAAAAGATACTTGATTTTTAAGAACTTGTTGTGACTTGTTTTGTGTCATAACAAACATATGATCTATCCTGCAGAATGTTCCATGTGCTAATGAGAATGTATATTTTGTAACTGTTGGATAACTGTTCTGTAAATGTCTGTTAGGTCCATTTGGTCTAATGTGCAGTTTTTTTGTTTTTGTTTTGTTTTTTTGAGATGGAGTCTCACTCTGTCACCCAGGCTAGAGTGCGTTGGTGTGATCTCAGCTCACTGCAACCTCTGCCTCCCAGGTTCAAGATTCCCCTGCCTCTGCCACCTGAGTAGCTGGGATTACAGGTGCATGCCACCACGTCTGGCTAATTTTTGTATTCTTAGCAGAAATACGGTTTCACCATGTTGGCCAGTCTGGTCTCAAACTGGTGACCTCAAGTGATCCATCCACCTTGGCCTCCTGAAGTGCTGGGATTACAGGAGTGAGCCACCAAACCTAATGTGTAATTTAAATGCAGTTTTTAAATTTTCTGTCTAATGCTGAAAATGCAGTGTTGCAGTCTCCAACTATGATTGCATTAGTGTCTCTCTTTAGATCTAATAATACTTGCTTTATTAATTGGTGCTCCAATGCTGAGTATGTTTAGAACTGTTATATCCTGATAAAATTGATCCTTTTATCATTAAATAATATGCTTCTCTCCTTACCGTTTTTGACTTAAAATCTGTTTAATCTAAGTATAGCTATTCCTGCATGCTTTTGGTCTCCGTTTGCATGGAAAAATCTTTTCCCATCCCTTTACTTTCAGTCTTATATGTGTCGTTACAAGTGAGATTAGTTCCTTGTAGGCAGCATACAGTTGGGTCATGATTTTGAATCCATTCAGCCACTTTACCTCTTTTAACTGGAAAGCTGTAATCCATTTACAAGATTATTATTGATATGTGAGGGCTTATTTCTGTGATTTTATTATTTCTGGTTGTTCTGTATATCACGAGCTGGTGTTGGCAGTTGCTGCAAGGGGCTGGGTTGGGCCAGTCCCCAGGCCTAGTGGTGGCATATTAGGTGGGTGCCCACTGTGGTGGTAGCAGCAGGTTCAACAGGACTGACATCAGGCCCCCAGGAGTCCTCAGAAGTCAACAATGGTGGACTGAGCTGGGTAATCCCCAGGCCCCTGGATGGCATGCTTGGACACAGGATGTGGAGCCAGACTGAGTGGACCTGTTCTCAAGCCTTCTAGTGGTGTGTGCAGGTGCTGACTGTGGCAGGCAGGGGAAGGGTGATCCTCAGGCTTATAGCAGGATGCTTGTGGTGGCGGTGGCAGGGCAGTGGCTACACTGCAGCTCTGACACTGTGGAGGGCAAGGTTGTTTTCAGTTGCAGCAGCCACACCCAGGAGGCTGTGAGCCTGTGCTTCACTCGTCCATTGGCCCTGGTTACAGCAGCCTGCAGTCAGACCACCACAGGTAGGGGAGTTTGTCCTTGGGGCACATGAAAATGCATGGCAGCTTTACTACTGGGGCAGCAAGGTCTTTGCCAATGGCTGGGCACTTCAGCCCTGTAGGTAGCAGCCAGCTGTGATGGTGGCTATTGGTGGTGAACATCAATGAGGTTCTAGAGATGTGGAGATGCAAGGGCTGTAGGGCCTCTGGGCAGGATGCAGTTTGCAGGGCTAAGCTCTCAATATGGTGCCTTGCTGCAGCTGCTTAGGGCTTTGGGTGGGGGGACGGCATAAGCTCCGTCTCTGGAGCAGTATCTTTTGTGGTCTCCAGGCAGCTCCCTATGTTAGTCTTGGGGTCTGCGAGGGTCTAAAGGCTGTCCTGTGGCTGGGATGCAGGAGTCTGTGGTGAGAATGTGGACTTCTGGCAATCACTCATTTAATCTTTCCAGGCCCCCAGAAGATCCTGGCCAAGTAGGCTGCCTTGCTTCCCTCTCCTACCTTAACTGTTTCCTGTCCTTTTTCTGTTTAATTCCTGAGTTCTCTCTTGAATGATCTAGTTGAGGTGTTATCTCCTCACTATTGTGGCTCTTTGTAGAGAAGCTGAGTACCAGATGTCTCTAGTCAGCCATGTTGAAGCCCCTCCTCTGTAATGTTTCACAAATAAGATGAAAAAGACTCACAATCTGCAAACATTTAATCCTACCTTAAGTACAAAGCCTTTACAAATGCAAAAAAAAAAAAAAAATCAAAGATTACAAGTCAGTTTCTTCCTGCATACAGTAATAGCTGAAATGTAAAGAGATCAACTTCAGAAAAAATACACTGAAAAACATACCACTTTAATAAGACAAAACTGCAAATTAAATCAATAGAAATTAGGTAGATCCATTTATTTTTTAAATACAAGTATAATTTTGGAAGGGGTATTTGACAAATTCAGCATTAACTGCCAACTCTATAGACATGTTTTAACAAAAAGCAAAACAAAACAAAACAAAAAAACAAAACAAGGCATTTACTCTTGGCCCTTTCAGTACAGGCGAAGTGTTCTATTGCATCACAAGTGCTAGTGATGCAGTAACAGATCCAAGGGCATAATATTAAATATGTTTTTTTCCAACTGCGATTTAGTTGAAAAATAACATAATACAAACATATATTAATGGCTATCAAGACCAGCAGTGATCTGCAGAATACCTAGAGGCCTACCTAATTAGAAGGTTGAAACTTAGTAAAACCGTATTAAAGTCAGTGTTTTTATTCTTAGATTAACAATGACAGAGTGAGATATCTTTGATTACAATTTTATAAGGTGTGGTGGGGAATTGAGAGGAGACAGATATTGGGGAAGACTGGCAGTGTGTGCTGAGTTAGAGTTGGGAATGTGGCTCAAATTAGTCAATATTGATTAGGATATTGTTTTAGAAAATTTTAAATGTGTCCTAAATTGTGGCATATTGAAAACGATATTAAGGAACAATGACTCATTAGCCCTAAATACAATTTAATGAGTGCCATCAATGGGCTTAAGAAATAAGCAGGGATGGGGGATAGAGAGGCAAAATGAGGTGAAAGAGAAAATGGAAAGTGGAAAATATGTTTGAACATTGGAGAATGTGAAAAGGCCACCAAACTGCTTTAGTTATCACTCAGAAGTGCTCTTCCCATTGGCTACCTGCTTCTGATCACCCAAACACCAATTTTAGAGCAGAGGAGCAGTAATCCCCTTTATCTGCAATTTCACTTTCTGTAGTTTGTTACCTGAGGCAACCTTGGTCCAAAAATATTATGTGGAAAATTCCAGAAATAAACAATTCATGTTTTAAATCATAAGCCGGCCGGGCATGGTGGCACATGCCTATAATCCCAGCACTTTGGGAGGCCGAGGCGAGTGGATCACCTGAGGTCAGGAGTTCGAGACCAGCCTGGCCAACATGGTGAAACCCCATCTCTACTAAAAGTACAAAAATTGGCTGGGCATGGTGGCGGACGCCTGTAATCCCAGCTACTTGGGAGGCTGAGGCAGGAGAACTGCTTGAACCCAGGAGGCAGAGGTTGCAGTGAGCCAAGATCGCACCACTGCACTCCAGCCTGGGCAAGAGTGAGACTCCATCTCAAAAAAAAAAAAGAATAAAATAAAATAAATCACAAGCCATCCTGAGTGATGAAATCTCATGATCTCCTGCTCTGTCCTGCCTGGGATGTGAATCACCCCTTTGTCCTGCTTATCCACACTGTATACTACCTGCCCCTTAGTCACTTAGTAGCCGCCTTGGTTGTCAGACTGAAAAAACATAGTTGATAAAGGGTTCAGTACTATCTGAGGTTTCAGGCATCCACTAGGGGTCTTGGAATGTATCTCTTACAGATAAGGGGAGACTACTGTATTACATTTCAGCTTCCATAAAACTTTACTAATTTGGATTAAGAACACAAGCCTGATTTAGTAAAAAGTATCCATAAATATTCAGAGGTATAGTTTTGTTTCATCAAGTAAAAAGAGCAACTAATTCCAACTGTTGAAGTAGTAACAAGTAAAGGCTTCACCAGGCTTTCCTTGATGAATAGTTAAGACATATTTTTAGGTCATCAGCACAAGATTATTGAATAACTTGTATGCTACAAACATGCCGCTTCCACTCATCGAAACAAGCCAATAATCCTTACTATTCCAACTTGCTGAGAACCATGTCAGATGCTGCGTTCAAGAATGAAATGTTCCTCAAAACTGTTCTATCAAATGTAGTAGCTATTGGACATAAAACAAGTAATTTATTTCAGACTTTAGTTTTCATGAAGTATTTATCAACAACTTCAATTTATTCCAACATTAATTTATGATAGGACAGTTATTAAAATTAACCATTTCTGAGACTGTAACTTTGAAATTGTAAGAAATGGACAATTAAGCTCACTAGTCAAAATCTTGATTCAAGTGATGATCCAATAGCTTACAAATGTCTTCAATAAACTGAGCTTTGAGGCAGAACAAAAAAAAAACAAAAATCTAAAACCTCTCTATCCCAAGCACCAATAATGGAGGCTAAGCAATTATACCTACAAATCCTTAACGACAGGTCTCTCCTAATGAAAAATCCTGAGATTTAAGCACTGTGACTTACAGAAGGCAGGTTGGCTTAATGAGGAAATTTACTTTTAATAAAAAGACAATCAGCAATATTTTATTTTGGGCACTTAGCATTTCACAGATCCTCAATACATTTTGAGGTAGGTCAAATATTAATTATGTATTTTACAAACAAAACTCAAGCAGTTGTTTTATTACTTGTCCCAAACCACAGGAGCAGTTCTATCGTGGTCAGGAATAACATGGTCTCTGATCTTTCAGATTAATCTTTCATGTGTGAATTTAATGGTAATTACTTGCAAATATTCATGAAAAAAACCAAGACTAGATATAGAAATTCTACTCTGGGTTATTTTAAACTTCTTAAATTGATTCTATAATGAGTATATACTTGCTCTCATTACAAATATATATATATAACTGATCTTTACATTACAAATGACCACAGCAGTGACTGTGTTGCTTTTCTGCCTTTTGGGGTGAGTAGATCAGGAAGATAATCAGCAAGCTTTCCTCAGAGCACTAGGCAGCCTTTAACTTAAGGTGCTATGTTTGAGGCACCATTGACTATGATTTGGGGTCATAGGAGAGCAGGTATACTGATGGAACCAGGATTCAGAAAAGATGCCTGGATCCAAAAACGGGAGGCTCTCTGCAAGTCAAAGATGAAGAGAAAAATAGTAGCATCTCAAGCTACTGATCCTGAGTATCATGCTACAGCATTACAACTACTTGTGAGAGGAGCTCCTACAAGAGCAGTAAACTTGTCCCAGTAAAGTCTGCTAAGTTCTAACTAGATAAGCCACAAGTAAAACTAAATTGGTATTTTACTAAAGTGACATCTACAGAAGCAAACATCTAAACATTTTTAATAGGAGTTTTACCTGTCATGTAAATTACTCTAATTGTCACAAGCCTAATTCAATTAGCTTGTCATAATTCCTAAAATAATTTACCAAAATTCAGCTCATCTTGACATAGGTTCTTGAGCCAGTATTCCGAACCGTTTCATTATAAAGTTCCTTTTATTTAAACAATTGTAGAATATTAGTAATAATAAAGGATCAAGAATAGTTAACTTGAGCCTAGGAGTAAGGTTGCAGTGAGCTGTGATTGCACTACTGCACTAGAGCTCAGGTGACAGAGCAAGGCCCTATCCTAAAAAAAAAAGAGAAAGAAGTTAACAACTGAGAAATTAGAAGGAAAACGCCATTATTGTGTTATATAAAAGAGTAAGGATATAGACACCTATGCTTCCATATACAACAAACAGCTCAATACCATTTGAGTCAAAGAACAAAGGGGAAAAAAAAGCAGGTGGCAGAGGGCATGGAATGCAGAGTATTGAAGCCTTTTATTCTAGGGTCTCCAAAACTGAGTGTGGAAGTAAAAAGTTTCTACATTTAAAAAGTTTATATAAATTACATGAATTGCAACTTTCATAAAAATCAAAATGAAAGGTTCTGCATAGGACAAAAGATATGCCTAAGCAACATATCGTATTTGCACAAGGCCACTGAATGTCATGGATATTAGTAACAAATGAAAAGCTTAAGTCTATGGCAGATTGAACTAAGATTTCAGTTTGGTATTCTATAAGCCCGAGATTGTAAACTACTCTTATTATACAAAAGCTATAATGATTTACAGAGTTTTGTGTAGGAACTCTTGTGCTTCTGGTTGGCACATTATCTACTTTTTAAGTATGTGAAATTAATACAGACATTTGTGAGAGGTTGTGCAAAACTACTGTATTTACAAAAATGGCACAAAAGTGAATTCAACAGTTAATGCACATGCATACTTCATTCACATCTTCAACAACAAAAGGTATTCTAACTCTACAGAACTGAATATTAGCTTCAACGGCAGCTGTTAAGCACTAGAGTCACATAAGTTACACCAGAATGGGCAAATATTGCCCAAGTAAAATTCTACTGTTAAAGCTGAAACAGGTTTAAGGCCATTCAAGTTCAAGCACAGAGATACAAATCTTTCAGAGCCCCATCTAGTTGTGTTTGAAATATGTGACCTTTCTTCTAACTTGTGGTCTTAAACTTCTGTTTTACAAAATCCAAAAGGTAAATACAGAAGAAATCAATACAATAGAGATTATATTAAATAAGAGTAACATACAAAGCTATAATTAAGATGAAGTAATGAAAGCCAAAACATTAAAATTTTAAAACTTGCTTGTTACTTGTTAGAACCAGTACTACACTAGAAGTTAGGTAATATATACAACTATTTTCAAGTAGTTTACTTATGTTGCTCTAACATGTCCTCTTCACCAGTGCACTGTTAAACTAATCAAAAACTCTACACACGTATATTCCACAATAGCAGCACACACTACTGCTACCTGCAAAGCTGTCAGTCTCAAATGACTAGTGAATGAAAGGAAATAAAAAGTAGATAAGTAACATATTAAGGAGAAATAATGAGATTTAGCAGATTCATGCAGTTCAGCCTCTTAATCAGCCAGCCAGCTTGCTAGCAACAAGGGACGGCTTCCGTTGAGGAAGGTCTTGCGGAGTGGGAATGTGGTCACCAGTGACCTCCGTCTTATCCGGAGCTGCAGTAGGAAGTTGCTTGTTCTTCATTTTTGCTTTAGCCATGTTGTAATCCCCAGAATCAAAATATTTTTGCTATAAGTAAAAACAAAAAAAATTCAGATTAGAGCTTAGCAATTACTGATTTAAGATGTCGATGCAACCCCATACTGTCCGTATAAGGTTGGTCTAAAAGAATTTAAACAGGAATATTAATTAGATGAAATAGTCTCTGTACTGAGTTCCAGCATAAGTCAACAGCCGAGAAGCCCCCCTTCAGACTGGGCACAGTGGCTCACTCTTGAAATCCCAACACTTTGGGAGGCCAAGGCAGGCGAAACACTTAAGGTCAGGAGTTCCAGGCCAGCCTGGCCAATATGGCGAAACCCTGTCTCTACTAAAAAAAAACAAAAAAAACAAAAAACAAACATTAGCTGGGTGTGGTGGTGCACATCTGTAACTCCAGCTACTCCAGAGGTTGAGGCTTAAGAGTCATGTGAACCTGGGAGGTGGAGGCTGCAGTGAGCCAAGATTGCCCCACTGCACTCCAGCCTGGGCAACAGAGACTGTCTCACAAAAAAAAAAAAAAAAAAAAAAAAAAGAACCTGCCTTCAGGCTTTCTTGAACCATTCTGGTTCTAATAAAGAACCATCAAGACTAATATAATATTAAGCTATTTGGGAAGTCCCAGACTCAGTGAAATAAAATCTTTCATTTACTAATGGAACAACCAGGTGAAACACTTGCTTAAATTATTTTATAAATAAAACACATAATTTGGCTGGGCATGGTGGCTCATGCCTGTAATCCCAGCACTTTGGGAGGCCGAGTTGGGTGGATCACTTGAGGTCAGAGGTCAGGAGTTTGAAACCAGAACGGCCAATATGGTGAAACCCCGTCTCTACTAAAAATACAAAAATTAGTCGGTTGTGGTGGCAGGTGTCTGGAATCCCAGCTACCCTGGAGGCTGAGACAAGAGAATCGCTTGAACCCGGGGTGTGGAGGTTGCAGAGAGCTGAGATTGTGCCACTGCACTCCAGCCTGGGCGACAGAGCAAGACTCTGTCTCAAAAACAAAAAAACCAACCCCCCCATAATTATAGTTATTAAAACTATTATTTACAGTTCCTGGTATTCTGTTATTTAGAACAAGTGTTTCTGCAAGAATTTAAATCATACTTATTTGAACTAGAGCAGTTTACCAAAAATTAAGGTAAAAATATAAATATTAGAGTAATGAAAG
The DNA here is from genome assembly GCF_000001405.40 of Homo sapiens. Taxonomy (NCBI): domain Eukaryota; kingdom Metazoa; phylum Chordata; class Mammalia; order Primates; family Hominidae; genus Homo; species Homo sapiens. The sequence continues at coordinate 52,553,251 of NC_000015.10, forward strand.
AAATAAACTCACTAGAAATTATTACTTAAAATGCATATCCCTACTCCACACCTCCTCCATTTTTCACAGAGAGACATGAAGTATGACTACTGCTTTTTTTTTAGCTGCCCTTTACCACTAACATGCAAATTGTGATGAGAGCTAAACATCAACCTTAATACAACTAACCTACTTGACTTCCAGAGCAAAAACATAAATTTGCCTGGGTTCTAACTTACACCTATCATGCTGAGCCCATCTTTACTGAGTGCCTGCTATATGTGAGGCACTATGTGAGAGCTGGAGTCAGATACAAAGATGGGACAATAGTCAAGTAAATCAACAATTACAATACTGCCTTAAGCACACACAGTGCTATATGGTGCTCAAAGAAGGGGGCTCTAATCTCAGTCTTGGGTTGGCAAAGGAAATAATCCAGGTATGAAACAAGGGCTTGGACAAAGGGTGAAGGGGAAGAAAACAGATAATATTTATGGAATCTTAAGCTAATATCTTCAGGGATACTTCATGTGATAAAACAAAATAGCTAGGAACTCACAGCTTAGTATAAGACTATTGAGTGGCCTGAGGAAAAAGTCTCATTGGCTGCTTTCCTCCACCACTTTTTGATAAGCCAGACCTGGTCTATGGCCCAAAGGCCTAAAGACAGAAACTGCTTTAATGTATTACTGTATATGTACCATACGGAACAGTAACAAGGAACCCTGGAACAGGCCCATCTAAAGCTTTCTGCAGCTTCACTTCTGTATGTTTTAAAATGAGCAGACAGAAAAACCTCAGAATTGTGATGCACTGTAATATATTAAAAAGCTATTTCTGAATTTTGTAGCCTCTAGAGGAGAACAAAGCAGCCTGCCAAATTTCTTATTTTGTCAGAAGCACATACTGAGAAATTTAACACACATGTAAATTTTAGGCAGATTTTCCCCCTATGTAATAAACGCAGTTTCTAATGTAAGTAATTTTATAGTAAGCAAAAGTTCATCACAAGGGGGTCTCAATTAACTGTAGATTAGGCTACTCTGCTTGGGGGAAAGGAATTAAATTTAGTGTGACTAGAGATAAAACTAAAATCAATGCCTGACAATTAGAATTGCCCTAAAAAGGAAAAGGTTACTGCAAAAGGCAGAGATTCAGCAAAGACAATAAAACAACAAAGATGTCAGAGAAAGAAGCTAATGCTTTAAGATAGAGAAGTGAACTAATGTTTATCAAATTGGGATCCACAGATAACAACGATGATGATATGTCTTTAACAATCTCTAAATTTCATGAGTTTGTAATGAAAATATTTAAAAATTAATTATGATCTAGATGACAATCTTATAAAAGCCTCCTCTCACACAAATTTATGGGCCATACTTACATCAGCATTTACAACTACACTGACACTAAGTGATCACCTAAAGTGGTAATGTTCAACTTTAAAGCCATGTTTCTTACAACTGGATTCTCTGTTTTCTAGGGACTTCACAACCCCTACAAATATGAAAAAACAAAACAAAAAGCAAAAAGAAATAAAAAATGTAAAAACAGGCCACACAGCTTCTTGATATCCCTCCCAGCTCTGATAATCTATGTAGTCATGTGTACACAGTCATATTGTTAAAAGCCTAATAATAACATTAACCTCATAATAACATTAATGAGTACAACACAAGAAGAGACCTATTATAATAATCATAATATCTAATCAAACCTTCTCAAATTAAGAAGCTACTTAAAGATGCTAAGGTAATTTGTCAAGTTTGCTAACTAGTGATAGAGGAAAATTAAAACCCAGAACCTGTGATCCAGAGTTTTAAAAAAAATCAAAACTTCATATAAAATAACTTATTCACTGACATTCTGTTATAATACAGAATCATTAAAGAGCTCACTTCTCAAATTCTATCTACTTATTTCTTGATTCAGTAGCATTTTCTTCATTCTCAACTATTTATATCTACAACACCAACTCCAAGATACAATGTATATGAAATCTGACTTGAAGATACTTAAAAATAAATAGTTCAAGCTAGAGAAAAATTACAGTGACAATTGGCCCAATGTTGGAAGAAAGCCTATTAGCCAAGGTTATGCTGGAGATTAGCAAAGAAAATATTTCCTAAACAATAATCAAATCAAAATAATTTAATAGCCAAAGATTAAATAATTTATCTCATAACTAAAAACACAGTTGTCATTCTACTTCTTCTATTTATCCCCTATATTATGATCTTTATGTTCTAAAATAACCACATAATACTATTTTATTGACTTACTTCAATTTATTTAATCATTTCTCTGCTGTTGAATAGTGGTGCTGCTACTAATTATAGTTATAAGCTATAAGGAGGACCTTCCAACTTGGAAGACTTTCCTTGTACTGAATTATACTCTTAGATTAATAAATAAGAGATTATTGATTTGAAGAACATTTTTATAAACCTTAATCCATACCCTGTTCTGAAACGAGTAATAATTTTTAATGTTTAAACACAACAAAGAGCATATTAGTTTCATTCAACTTCAACCTTAGCAATAGGTATTATTTTAAACATTTTTGCAATTTAGTTATATAAATACTATGATGTAATTTGCATTTCACTGATGTCTATAATATATAAACATTTCTCTGTTTTTTATATTTCCTGTTAAAATCCTTTATCCAGGAGCACCTTAAGTGTTTTTCTTGTACACTTAAAAGTTCCCTTTCATATATTTAAAAGTTTCTGTATGTATTTTAGACATTAACTAACATTTTTGTAATAACTTCCCTACTTGATTATATATTTCATGGTACGGGAGTTTTACATCTTCATAAATTTGGTGTCATTATTCCATCATCCTAGTATTTCAAAGCTGTGAATATTATTCTTTCATGTAAGATTAAAAATACCATTCTATTTTTTGCCACTTTAAAACAATCCATATGTACCTAGAGCTAATACACACACAGACGTGTTTTAAGCAAGGAGCCGATATCAGTATATGAATGTATTTAAGGAGAAACATGATTTAGCATCTCATTCAACAATTCTCTTCCGTAAGTAGTATTTCATCCTTCCCTGTATAGTAAGTAATTTGAATATGCTTAAGCTGAAGATGGAACTCTCTAATTTTTTACAGCAAAGGAAGGGGTCACAGGACAATACTTAGGGAACAAACAGGCCAGCATTATCTCAATCTCATTATTGAGAAATAATGGTATCTACCTCGCAAAACATGGCAAGAATTTGAAAATAATATCTTCAGTAATTTGAACTATGAAAATGAAAATGTTTAAATTGTATTAGAGTAAATCTGACTGTGAAACATATTACATAAAGGAGATAGCTGTGCATTTATTAAGTGATCATTTCATCCAAATAAGTATTTTAAGCTTTTGAATGTTGTGTGGGAATCACCTGCAAAAAATATGGAAGTTTCAAAATATGGGCAGAAGGATAAACACCAGCTTCTGGATAGTGGCTGCTTTTGGAGAGATAAGGGAAAGGGCTCATATTTACATATAGGGTGGGTTTCAACAGTATCTACAACATTTTCTTTCTTAAGAAAGATAAAACTGAAACCAACATGGCAAAATATAAACATTAAATCTGGGAAGGGGTATATGGGTTCTGTTATATCTGCACTATTTCTACATGCTTTAAATAGTTTATTATTAAAAATGCTGAAGAGTTGTAGATTCTCACAATGCTTATTTATAAACTGCAAAATATTGGAAAAACCCATTACAGATACATATACACATATGTACATACCTGATAAAGTACAATGCTATACGCACAGATATCCGTTTCACAATCTGTCAGCATACTGAGTTTGTAGGGCTTAAGTATTTGGAAATTACCCATGAGAACTTACCCCTTTCTGCAACCGTTTCCTTAAGAAATCTGAACCTCCAGGCTTTTGTCCCAGATGAGGATATCTTGCTTTTAATTTTGCTTCTTCTGCTTTCTCTGGACTAGTCACTTTATCTTCCATTTCCTAAAATAATTTCAAATAAATTACTTCTCTATTACAACTCAGTTATTTAAAATAATTCACCTTTAAAAATCTGGATTCTGAATTCTAGTTGTTAAATGCCAAGTACCACAGCATCTGACTAAGAAATCAAACCCAGAAGCCTTTAAAACATCTCTATCTTGTTTTTCAAAAGATCCATGTGATAGCTCTATTATAGCTGTGATGCATGTGTAACACCCCACACACTGGATAAAAATATCAAGATAGCTCAGCTCTGAAGTCTTGCTTGCCATTACTTTTCCAGTCATGTATAATACATTTATAGTTAGTCACCTTCTATGGAACTCTTCAGTTCTTTGCCTATATTTAGAGAATCATCCTAATACTGTTAAAATATACAGAATTTTTTCTATTTATCTAAAATTATGTATGATTTGAAGTTAGATTCTTTACTAGAAATTAACAGCAGCCTACTTATCAGTACATTTTTCTTGAATACAGATGATCCTGATATTTGTTTTTTTATAATAAATTTTTAATATTTTTATTATTTTAAATAATAGAGATGGGGTCTTGCTATATTGCCTAGGCTGGTCTTGAACTCCTGGGCTCAAACAATCCTGCCTCGACCTCCCAAAGTCATAGGATTACAGGCATGACCCACCATGCCTGGCCCATCCTGTTATTTTTAAAGAAGAGAAACATCATTTTTGTCAATCCTCACATCTATGTATATCATTGCCTAACTCTCCCCCATGTTTAAAATGACAAACTCTGTTCATGTCAAACATCCTATTCTTTAATATATCAAAAACCTGTTTCCTGACAGAACTATCAATTCTTCCATCTATTCACTTTGAACAACAGTCTTGATTTAGTCTGCTTTCTTTCAAAGTGCTATATTTAATAGGGAAGGAGTGTTTATTACTTCATGGCAAGTACTGCAGAAGAATTAATCAAGAAAAACAGACTGGGCACGGTGGCTCACTCCTGTAATCCCAACACTTTGGGAGCTGTGGGCGGATTGCTTGAAGCTAGTAGTTCGAGACCAGCCTGGGCAATATGGACAAAACCCAACCTTTGTAAAAAAGTTTAAAAATTAGCCGGGCATGATGGTACATGTCTGTGGTTCCAGCTACTCAAAAGGCTGAGGCAAAATGACTGCTTAAGCATGGAAGGTTGAGGCTGCAGTGAGTCATGATCACACCACTGCACTCTAGCCTGGGTGCATACCCAGGTCTAGCGAGAACTTGTCTCAAAACAAAACAGAAAAAAAAAAAAAAAGAAAGAAAAAGAGAAAGAGAAAAAGCTGTACTGAGATAGATAAACCGGGCAGCTGGCAAGGCACATTTTCTAAGTAATGGACTCATTTCTGCACATTAAATCAGCAAAATCACATACCTCTGCCTATCTTGAGCCTTCCAGGTTACTTAGGAATAGTCAAAGCAGGAATGTTAAATCCATAAATGTCAAACCTATGTTCTTATATAGCAAGCAAACCATTTATCTATCTAAGCACTGAAAGAAAAAAAAACTTCATAAAATTTTGGCATATATTTCACTCAAAATTATATTCATACATTAAAAAAAAAAAAAAAAGATGAAGATCCTGTTTCCCTTCCCTTTGTACCCACGGGGGGGAAAAAATTACAGGTCAGGCCATATTGCCCAAACTGGTCTTGAACTCCTGGCCTCAAAGCTATCCTCTCACCTCAGCCTCCCAATGTGCTGGGATTATAGGCATGCACCACCACATCCAGCTCTCATACATGTTTTATAATCAGCTTCATTCACTTTATATATTATCAGTATTTCATCCTGAACTGCTTCTTCATTTGTTGTTAGATCTTCTCATTTTCAGTCTCGGAGAATTTTGAGAAAAAAGCTGCTTCTGTCAAATACTGTTTTCTGTGGAGCCTCTTTTTATGTTGCAGATTCATCCATTTATGTTATCTCTTTACAGTGGCCACGTCATTCACTCACTTGACATGCACGACATTCAATTATGTGCACTTAGCCAGAAATAGAGAATTTAAATAGTGGTGAGTCTACCAGTCATTCCATTCAAGAAGGGTATGCTCCAGAGAGGTAAGTGTGAGGTATGTGATGCAAACCTGCCATTCCCACGTTAGTCTCTCGTTGGGTATCTTGCAGAGCATAAGTACATCAACATGCTGTTTATCATTGCAGTGTTTAAAATCTCAGCCCGTACAATACAAGCCTATTACCTTAGCTAGCACTCAACTTAAGAATCACCCTAGCCATCTAGCCATCTGTTCAAACGCTGGACATAAAAGTGACTACCTGCTCTACTGAGAATTGATGGGGCAGTCTCCAATATGATTATGCCTTCTCTAGAATTTTGTCAAGGGTGATTTTAGCTATATGTGATTTTTTTCCCTTACTAACATTAGAACCTAACCCCATGTAAGATATGACTATACCATATTCATCACCAAAGCCAGAGAAATAAACATAAATGTAAGATTACCAAGTTTAATGTAGGAAGGCGGGCTGAGTCACTGCACAGCTTCGATGTGGCTCAGCCCTCACTGCAGATATCTACTGCAGCCCAAGGGTGTTCTCAGTGCTGCAGTTTAGAAGTGGATGTGGGAGGAGAGGCCTACTCTTGGGTTTCCCTGCACAGCTGGCTTCAAATAATTTTGGCTGAAAAGGATCCCAAGCTAATTGTCACCCTTTAGTCCCTGCACCTTCAAATTAAGGGTGTTACTGGAGTCCTACATTTCCAATAAAAATTCAGCTTTCTTGAGCCTAGGAAGTGAGAGCTCTCCACTTCTTCCTTTGATTTGAAATAGTTCTCCAAGTCTAATAGTTCCCCGAATTCCTTAAAAATTTTTAAAGGAAAATTGTATGTAGGTAGCAACTTACTCTGGTTTCCAGTGTTTCTGCAGGTTTCCTCCATTTGATATATAAAGGAAAATACCTTGTACACAATCCGGGCATTCCCTTATTTTCTTTTTCTTTTTTTTTTGCCATGTTGGCCAGGCTGGTCTCGAACTCCTGACCCCAGGTCATCTGCCCGCCTCGGCCTCCCAAAGTGCTGGATCACAGGCATGAGCCACTGGGCCCAGCCGCATTCCCTTGTTTTCTTAATAAGGAATACATTGATATATCATATTAAGCATGCTTAATTAAATTAAAAAATGTTTGGGTAAAACAGCATCTATGAGCTGCAAATGTCATTTATATTTAGAATGAATTTATAACATGTCTTAGAAAAAAACAAGCCGATTCTTGAACTTTCTTGCCAAATACATAGCACAACTGAAAGCCCCTGCTAGCTGCAACTTCCTAACTGGATTCAGAATTTCAGTTGGATTTAACAGGGGGGAAAAGATGACCTAATCTAGATTTTTAAATGTGGTAAACACCATTAAGACTTCCACAAAAGTTTTCATGAATCCTACAGAAACATTCTACAGAGCTAGGCAGTTCTAGGACCTTAATGATAAGTTAGTTCAAGTGCTTGGACATGCATTAATATTCTGACAGTTACTGAGTTCTTATTAGGTTCTGTCAACGGCATCTATGCCAGATTAAAAGGCATGAGAGAAAGAATCCATTCTGCTCCTGGTGATGCCACCACCAACAGCAGACAGCAGTCGCCCCTGTGAGCTCCTACAGAGGGACATATGGCAGATAAACAGGGGCTCTAGTAGCAGCTACACGACAAGGGAGGCAGACGATGGTGGACTCTGAACAGTACTCATCCTTGCAGGGTCAAAGGCTTTCTGTAATCCTTACCTCTGGAAACACCATCTTCCTCCCTTTTGTTCCTCTATTCCTTCTAATAATTTGTAACCTTATTCCCTAAAAATCATATTCCTTCCTTTTTAAAAACATGCAAAGTGGTTTCTGCTCCTGTCTCCCAACAGGACACTGATAAAAGCAGGTAAAATAAGCGATTTATCCACAGTCATGTTCAAAAATGCAAAATAGAACACAATTTGATGTGACTCCACGTTTCTGGACCTCAAGGGAATTCCTAAACATTTACTTAAGCTAGAATGAAAACAAAGGGGAGATAAGCCAATAGTTATTTATTTGTTTATTTTTTCCAAAAAGAATCACAGAAAGATTAAATCATAAACTAATCAAGCTTTGGGTTAAATAGGTTAGGATGTAAGGGATAAAGGACAGGAATGACTATTACTAAACAAAGAAAATTGGTATATACATACACATATACTGATAACAAGTCAATATTGTAATTTTAATATCTTTATCATGTGGAGTTAAAAAAGAAAAGAATACTATAACAGTACCATATTTTTAGTTTAAGTGTTCTATGGTCCTGTATAATTTAGAAAAGGGTTTATAATCTTAATTTTTACATCTTGTTTAGTTAAGAATGCATGAAAAATTTCAAGGGGAACCAATTAAATAGCAGAAATAAAAAGGAGTGTTGGGGAGAGCAAGAAAGGAAGAAAAATAAAAAAAATTTTAAATACCAAAAAGAAACCAAACATAAGGAGAAACAAATCCCAATATGTTAATAACCACAATAACCATACTGAAGCAACAGACTGTCCATTTAAATCCAGTGGCTGGATTAAGGAAAAAAAAAAAACCTAGCCACTTGTGGAGTACACATTTAAAAAAATCTAAAAACAAGGACATAGGTTGAAAGTAAAAAGACTGAGGGTGGGTGGTGGTGGTAACATACCAGGCAAAAAATCCTTACCAAAACAGAGCTAGTGCAGTGCACCTACTTTTTTTTTTTTTTTTTTTTTTATTAAGATACATGGTCTTCCTATGTTGCCCAGGCTGGTCTAGAACTCCTGGCCTCAAGCAATCCTCCTGCCTTGGCCTCCCAAAGTGCTGGGACTGCAGGCGTGAGCCACTGTGCCACTAATAAAATGGCATGAAAATATACAAAGCAAAAACTGACAGAACTATAGGGAGCAACTGACAAGTCCACTACTATGGAATTCAACACAGCTTCCTCAATTATTGATAGCTATAAAAGATAAAGTAGTTAAGATACTTGATTTTAATTTTACATCTAACAATTAGGGAATGCATAGTCTTCCACAGCACAAATGGAAAAACTGACTAATACTAGGCCATAAAGCAAATCTTAACTATTTTCTTCCAGACCACCATCTATGACTGCAATTCATTAAAGTCAGTAACAACAAAAAAATTATAAATCTCTAATATTTAGAAATTAAAAACATACTTCTAAATAATTCCTGGTTAAAAAAGAAAGCACGAGTATTTAAAAAAAATAGGAGTTCTAGACCTACCCGGGCAACACAGTAAGACCTTGGCCTTTACAAAAAAAATTTAAAAATTAGATAGGTGTCGTGGTAGATGCTTATATGCCTATAGTCCTGGCTGCTTGGGAGGCTGAGGTGGGAGGGTCACTTAAGCCTACCCTGGGAGACAGAGTGAGACCCTGTTTCTTTAAAAACAAACAAACAAAACCCTACACATACCAAAACTTGTCAGGTATAGCAAGTATCTCTCAAGGGCTTATATCAGAGAAGAAAGCTAAATCTCAATGAGCGATGCATCCAATTTAAGAAGTTAGACAAAGAAAGGAGCCCAAAGAAAATGGAGAAATAAAAAGCAGAAATTAATGAAAAAGATACAATAGAAAGGGCCAACAAAGGGGGTGGATATGGCAAGCTTAAGAAGTTTTTTTTTTTTTTTTTTTTGAGACAGAGTCTCACTCTGTCGCCCAGGCTGGAGTGTGGTGGCACGATCTCGGCTCACTGCAACCTCCACCCCTCCCCACGCTGGGTTCAAGTGATTCTCCTGCCTCAGCCTCCCGAGTAGCTGGGATTACAGGTGCCCATCACCGCACCTGGCTGATTTTTGTATTTTTAGTACAGACAGGGTTTCACCATCTTGCCCACGCTGGTCTTGAACTCCTGACCTCGTGATCCATCTGCCTCTGCCTCCCAAAGTGCTGGGATTACAGGTGTGAGCCACCGTGAAGAAGTATTTTTTATGATTCAAATCTGGTTTTGAAGTTTCATTCTCCAAGAAGCCTTTGTGTTACACAGCAATTTTACTACATTTTAAAAATAGATGCTGTAATGTAAATGGATTTACTTAGGTAAGTAGCTTCTAAATTGATAATAGGGTCCGCAGAAGGCAGAATTCTGAACTTTTGGCTATTGGCTACAAGCTGGGAAAGGAACCCCAGGATATGGTAACACAGATACATGTTTACACACAGATACATGTATACGATGTATGTATCCAAAAAACAAAAACAAAAATCTTAAGAACAGTATTTTTAATAATAGTTATTGTCTCGGCATGTGCATTTTTGTGAATTGTACCACTGAAATACATCAGAAATCCTTTCTGTGAATAGGTGGGGTATAAGTTATAAATATATACACGTAAAAAGGACACTCAAATAACTAAGGATTATTTTGTAGTCTATTATACACTGAGCAGAATTATGTCTCAATGACTGATACCACTTTTCAGCCTTCGGCAGAGGAGGGTTATACAGCAACGTCAGCAATAAAAATCTGACCACTCTAAGCAAATTCTCCTCTATCTGCTCAGCAACATGTTGACTGATGCACTGATTGACGAATAACTAGAAAGGATTAATGAAAGCCAACAAATCCTTTGGGATACTGCCAGGAAGGTACCAATACTGTATCAAGCTCTATGGAAAATTACTGTTGTCATTCTATTAAGTCTTTGTTTGCCTAGTGCCTAGCATTTAATGAATGTTCAATAAAAGTTCATTCATCTGAATGAAAAAATACAATGTACTTGTTTCCATAAAGCTATAAAGCTAAGAAACTTTCTTCACACTTGAGGATTTCACCATCAGCTCATCTTTAATATTTTATGTTATAGTAAACACAGCTTCTGGATTAGAAGTTAAGTATTCAAGTCTTGCACAAACAAAAGAAGCAACCCTAACAAACTGTTGTATCGCAAACTGCTAAGACGGCTAAGAGAAACATTTAAAAACTTTTCTGAGGTTTACCTCTAGGCTGTTAGGAATCGATGGTTGCAGAGACCAAGGGAGCATGTTGTGTTCACTCTGAATAGAAATAGAAAACATGGATGAGGCGGTTGCTCACACCTGCAGTCCCAGCTACTTGGAGGCTGAGGTGGGAGGCTAGGTGAACCCAGGAGTTCAAGGCGGCAATATGCTATCATTGTGCCATTGCACCCCAGCCTGGGCGACAGAGTAAGACCCTGTCTCAAACATAACAAAAACATTCTTCAGCCTTTAGGTAACCAAAAGTAGTTGTCAAAAGAGCTCCTGAAAATACCAATATGAACTCCTATTTTTAAAATACTGGAAGCATGGGAAAACAATTTATATCTCTTTATGGTTGATATATTAAAATAATGCAGATAAAGGTTCTTTTCCTCTTCTACCACTCATAAAGGCACCAACCTGTATCTCTTACCTGACAAATAATTTCATTGACAGCTTTCCTGTGGGTATCCTTTCCAAGACATATTAGTTTGGTGAGTCTTATAACCTCTAGAAAACTTGCTATTGAGATCTTAAAAAAAAAATTAAGGCCACAACACAAACGAAAAAATATATACACACATCACTGTAGTTTCGTTCAAGAGTTCTTAAGTGGGTCTAAGCTAAGGTTTTCATCTTACCATGGTCTATTCTTCTCTGTGGTACTAGCATTGTCATTTGTTTTGAAATAGTACTTTGGCAAAGGTTTTAACAGAAAAGTTCTGAGGAAAATCCATTCAACCATTTTGTAAATAATGTCAAGCACAATGTTGAGTGCTGTGAGAGAACAGATATATAAACCAGGGTCCCTGAGCATAAGCTGCTCACAGTGCAATTAAAATTACCATCTTTTTTTTTTTTTTTTTTGAGACAGGGTCTCCCTCAGTCACCCAGTGGCGCCATCAAAGCTCACTGTGGTGCCATCAAAGGTCCCTGTGGTTTTGACCTCCTGGAGGTCAAGTGATCCTCCCCTCAGCCTCTGGAGTAGGTGGGACTACAGGTGTAGATTTATTATTTTAGAGACGGGGTTTTGCTATGTTGCCCAGGCCGGTCTCAAACTCCTGGCCTCAAGCGATCTTCCCACCTTGGCTTCCCAAAGTGCTGGGATTACAGGCAAGAGCCACCCTGTAGGGCCAGAATTATCTGTTTTAAGTTTCCACTTGCCTCTTCTCCCCTCCAGGACTAGTACACATGCCTTAGCTTACTGCTGATAGATTCATGAGATCTGTACTCAAAACTTTTAAATGTTTTGTTTTCACTTCAGTGGTTATCTCAAAGGCAAATATAAGCATATTCTGGGGAATCTGAATCACCACGTTGCATCTAAGTAGTGCTATGTGGGTTCTGCATCTGAGCTTTCTTTGACAAAGACTCAGCAGGTTACTCCAACTGTCCAAGAAAATGAGAAAAGAATGGAGCTGAACTTAAAATGTGATTGTATCTATGACTCTGGAAACTTAGTGACCTCATAGTTTACTCTTAAAAGGGGAACTGAGCCACCACATGGCCTAGGGGAGTGTTTACTTGACAAACTCAAAAACTCCCTCAACTTTTAACAATTGCTGCCATATTCCAAATACATTGGAAATTTAGTTTCAGCAAAATACCAAGCACACAATCAAAAATTTAGACTGGCTTTGTTGTATTTAATCTGTTTTAGTTTAAATTTTATTTTATTTTTTTGAGATGCAGTCTCACTCTGTTGCCCAGGCTAGAGTGCAGTGGCACGATCTCGGCTAACTGCACCCTCCGCCTCCCAGGTTCAAGCAATTCTCCTGCCTCAGCCTCCTGAGTAGCTGGAACTACAGGTGCGTGCCACCACACCCGGATAATTTTTGTATTTTTTAGTAGAGAGGGGGTTTCCCCATATTGGCCAGGCTGGTATCGAACTCCTGACCTCATGATCCGCCAGCCTCGGCCTCCCAAAGCGCTGGGATTACAGGTGTGAGCCACCGTGCCCGGCCAAATTTTATTTTATTTATTTTCTGACACAGAATCTTGTTCTGTTGCCCAGGCAGGAGTACAGTGGTATGATCTCAGCTCACTGCAACCTCTGCCTCCTGGGTTCAAGCAATTCTTATGCCTCAGTCTCCCGAGTAGCTGGGATTATAGGTGTGGGCCACCATGCCTGGCTAGTTTTTGTACTTTTAGTAAAGACAGGGTTTCACCGTGTTGGCCAGGCTGGTCTTCAACTCCTGGCTTCAAGTGATCCACTCGCCATGACCTCCCAAAGTGCTGGGATTACAGCTGTGAGCCACAGCACAGGCCTTTTAAATTTTTAAAAAATATTTTAAAAGTAGCTCACTGTAGCCTCGAACTCCTGGTCTCAAGTGATCCTCCCACCTCAGCCTCCCAAGTAGCTGGGACTACAGGCCTACAGACATGCCACCACACCTGGCTAATTTTTATTTTATTTTATTTTATTTTGTAGAGACAGAATCTTACTATGTTGACCAGGCTGGTCTCAAACTCCTGGCCTCAAGCAATCCTCCTGCCTCAGCCTCCCAAAGTGCCAGAATTATAGGCAAGAGCCACCACGCCTGGCTGTTTTAGTCTTAGAGTGGTATACAAGTTAAGAGATAAGAGTTTATACTTATTTTTTATGTTTGTACATATTGTTTCCTAATACAAGACAGGAATCTATCTGGTTTTCTTCTCTTACCAAGGGTGCACACACCACTCAAGATAGAGAAAGTGACTTAGCTTTTACTCCATGCAAGGCCCAGCTATCTACCTTAATTCTTTAGCGGCAACAGGCAACCTACCAGTAAACTATAAAGGTATTTTTAGCTGAATACTTTGGCTTTAAGTGGAAGGTCAATTGGGTACACAGACAATAACTTAATTTTTTAGGTCATCGAACTGATCTTCCAAATAGAAGAAACAGGTGATTTGGCCCACAGGAACACAGAAGTGACTGTGCACATTTTCTTCATGGTTAGGGACACCATCCACGCCACAGGCACTTAGCATTTACAGCCAATCCTCAATTTAAGAAGGAACATTATATTCCTAACACACTTTGGTTGATTTTAATGACAGCAGCTAAAACCAAAGCACCTTAAATGTTTAATGTAGACAATCAATAAGAGAAAACGTTCAAGCTATCCTTAATATTGTTAAAAGATACATTAGGCTTTTCCAAGTAAAAGTATTTACACTCTAGAAGTCAATACTGCATACTTTGGCAACATACTAACAGAACTTATCAAAGAAAATTACATAGCACACTACTGTGCACCAGAAGTTAATGCTAAGTTTGATGTAAGTGTTTAAGGCAAACCACCACAGACAGGGACTTGTTATTTTTGGGGGCTCCTAAATTTCAAGCAATAATGAACACAATACGCATTTTACAATAAGCAGGTGATACTTAATAATACTGTTAAGATTGCAAACTTTAATATTTGTATTTTTGCCCCCAAAATCCATTTTTTTGGTAATGCGTAAATATATCTATTTTCACGGGATATTCTCAAATAATGTGGTAACTTGGACTTTTACCTATGCTATATGTTTTCTTGTTTTTCAATTACTTTAACATCCTAACAGAAGCACCCAACTTAAGAAAAGTTAACACGGTTTTAAGAACATATGGAATGGGCTTAGAACACTAATCCAATTCCCAACTTAATTAGGACATAAGTGCAACATTAAGCAGAAACCCGCACGAAGGTCAAGCAGTAGACCAAAATCGTATTTAACGGCAACACAACCTGATTTGTAAGAAAAATTGTTGATAAACAATTTAGGAGACAAGATACCTCGGCCCTTTCTCACTTCTCGGCCAGTCACACCTGCCTAGGAGGGCAGGGCGGTGGAAATAATTACAGTGGGAGAGACAAACACCAGCCTAGATAAATACAAAGGCTTGATATTCATAATTTGAACCACAGTGACACTCCCGGCCTATTCCCCTACATCAGGAAGACACAAGGGCGTTTACAAAATATTCCTGTTTCCAATAAAACCCTGATTAATTTCGTGAGTAAAATTTTAAAATTCCACCCTTTCGATTTTTAGTCAAGTACCATATTTGAGTCCCATCGACTGAAACCTTTTTGAGCACAGACTGCGCTGCACACTACACCTGACTCACCTCCTCTAGGCCTCACCCCGCCGTGGGAGGCAAGCACCAGTATTCGGCCTTTACAGGTGAAGACACTGAAGGCCGGACTTTACTCACTGACCATGGTTACAAGGGTTGGCCCTGAAATGCCAATCCTGGCCCACATCGCGGCCCGCACACGAGGCACTGCTTTTGGAGTGAACCGCACGCTCACAATACAAGTAGTTGGAGAGTTCTTCAAAGGAAAAAATAAAACTTCCTAACCAAATTGAGGCTTACAGAAAAACTTAGGCTCTACGCCCAAAGCCTGCGTCCTGGGCTCTCGCGTAAATATAAGTGACTGAGGAACACCGCGACCCACGGAGGTGTTACAAAAGGCACGATTCGGAGTAAACGCGGGGCACGTTGGAACTCCCAATTCGTCGGCGCACCAGCCAGCGACGGCGGGAAGCCAAAGGTGGGGCGCAGGAGCCTCGGCCTCATGCGCCTCGGCCCCGCATCTCGGGCGCGGCCCTCCGCCTGGCGGGAGCAGGCCGCCCGCCAGACCCGGCCTTGGGCAGGGCCCAGGGCTCACGCCCCGCGCGCTCACCTTCTGCTCCTCCGCGGAGGCTGCCTCGGGGACTTCCGCAGACATAGTGCTCCCTCTGCAGACGAGACGCCGGGAAAAGATGCAATTAGCGGGTGGCCGAGGCCACCCGGCCGCCGCCCGTCCCAGCTCTCCCAGGGCCCGCCGGGCCGCCTCCGCCCGCGAAAATGGCCGCCGCCTTATGACGACACGGAGCCGCGAAACGCTCCGCTGGCCAAGGCCCTCGCACGCCGGAGCCCGCCTGCCCCTCCCGCACCGCACCCCTACCTACTTGACCCCGCTTCTCCCGCTCGCTGTCGTCCAAACACTTCCTTTTTTCCTTCAAAGGTCGCCGCTCCTGCCTCACCTCACATCCGTTTGTGGCTGCCGAGTGCTTCCTGGGAATTGTAGTTTCTAAGTGGAACCGCCCCTCCCCGCCCTTTCCTGTCCACTCTGGTCCCCTCGTTCTAGGAGCTTTATTTTACTCTTTCCACTTACCCATCCTCGCCTAGTTCTGTTCTCCTCGCTCTCCGCTCTGTAGCCACACAGGCTGTCTTTTGGGCACGCCAAAAGTCTTGCTCCACTCTGCCACGCCTTCACATCTCCAGTCCTACGTCTCTGCCTCAGAACCTTTCCTTCCTAAACCTCTACACTAGGCCAGAGCCACCTCTTAAAGGCTGTCACAGCCCTGTACAGTTCCTCAACAACATGAACTGTATCATTACACAATTGTCGTGACTTTAGGTCACCTTTCCTTCTCAGATAAGCCGCACCAGGGCAGGGATCTCGTCTGTAATTACTTATATTTTACTCTGAGGGTCCAGCACTTCCTAGATATCTAACGAAGGAATTCAGATTCATTTGTCCACTCCCAGGGGGTCCACTCCCACAAGCTTACCGAAACTGCTAGCATTGAGCTCCCCCAATGACCTTTTTATTTGCCAAGTCCTGCGGCTTCTTACTGAATCCTCATTCTACTTGATATCTGAATAGTTACTCGCAATGTTTGTTGGTTCCAACAAAGTGTCCCTCAGAAACTTGGAAATAAGATTGCCCTCTAAAAGTTAAACTAGTAAAAAGCCACAGAAAATGAATGCATTTCTGGGGGCAGGGGAACAATTGAAAGACCCTAAATGCCTGGATAAGGAATTTGGAAACCATCGAAACTCAACCAGGATGTAGAATCTCAGACAGGAAGAATTGCACTGGAATTGCAACTAGAAAAACAAAAAGAGTTAATATTGCACTCCTTTTGGAGAAACGAAGGAAGGCATTTGTCAGCCAAGGAAGTATTGAAAATAAAAGGGTTCAACAGGCCAACTGTTTGACAAAGATATCCCTTAAGAATGTCTCACGCTGGGCTAGCTGAGAAACTGTAAGATCCACGACATATTTGTTCTCCTTCTATACTCACAAAGTAACATACTGAAAATTTGCCTTTCCCTTAAGCAGAACTGCAGAGAGAAAGAAGAGTGCAGTAGTTAGGCCACTGAAGCATTTAACAGTTGTATTTTTATTAATAAATTGACTGACGTTCTAGTATATGTCCTATATCAATGTATTTGTGAACTTGAGTTAAAATCTGATAGACATACACTTAATGATGAAACTCAGCCTCAAGAAAATTGGCTGTGGCTGGGCACAGTGGCTCACTCGTAATCCCAGCACTTTGGGAGGCCAAGGCGGGCAAATCGCTCGAGCTCAGGAGTTCAAGACCAGCCTGGCCAACATGGCAAATCTCTGTCTCTACAAAAAGAAAAAAAACTTTTTTTTCTTTTTCTTTTTGAGACAGAGTCTCAACTCTGTCACCCAGGCTGGAGTGCAATGGCACAATCTCGGCTCACTGCAACCTCCACTTCCTGGGTTCAAGCAATTCTCCTGCCTCTGCCTCCCAAGTAGCTGGGATTACAGTTGCCCACCACCACACCCTGATAATTTTTTGTATTTTTAGTAGAGACAGGGTTTTGCCGTGTTGTCCAGGCTGGTCTCGAACTCCCGGCCTCAAGTGATCCACCCGCCTCGGCCTCCCAAAGTGCTGGGATTATAGGAGCGAGCCACCACATCTGGCCTTTTTTTTAAAATTGGCTATGTGACCTTGGATAAAAAGAATCTGTTTCTGATAGTGACACTCGCAGAAGGGGAAGTTTGAATTTCTGGGGGCAGACTTTGGTCAAATGGAGAATTCACCATGGGCAATGCTCCACAATGAGGACCTGTCTGGAAAGCCATTCTTTCCCAACTAACACCACTCTGCATCATTATGAACCTTAATGTGTAAAACTGCACACTGGTCCCCAGCACCCTGTTTGTCAAAACTTCCTTCTCTTGATCTCCAGGATACTATTGTCTCATGGATTTCCTCCTACTTAACCTCCCTGTTGAATCTTAACCTGCCTCTTAATGGGAGGATTCTAACAGTTCTGTCCTTGGATCTCCTTCTCTTCTATGTTTACACAGCCTCCAGGAAATAACTTCCACCTTCATAGTTTTTTTTCTTTTTTGAAACAAAGTGTCACTCTGCCACCCAGGCTGGGGTGCAGTGGCACCATCTCAGCTCACTGCAATCTGCCTTCTAGGTTCAAGTGATTCTCCTGCCTCAGCTTCCCAAGTAGCTGGGACCACAGGCACATGCCACCATGCCCGGCTAATTTTTGTATTTTTAATAATTGTAGGCCTGGCACGGTGGCTCACACCTGTAATCCCAGCACTTTGGGAGGCCGAGGCGGGTGGATCACTTGAGGTCAGGAGTTCGAGACCAGCCTGGCCAACGTGGTAAAACCATCTCTACTAAAAATACAAAAATCAGCTGGGCATGGTGGTGGGCACCTGTAATCCCAGCTACTTGGGAGGCTGAGGCAGGAGAATTGCTCAAACCTAGGAGATGGAGGTTGTAGTGAGCTGAGATCATATCACTGCACTCCAGCCTGGGCAACAAGAGCAAAACTGTTTCAAATAATAATAATAATAATTTGTAAAGACGGGGTGTTGCTATGTTGGCCAGGCTGGTCTCAAACTCCTGGCCTCAAGTGCTCGGCCTGCCTCGGCCTCCCAAAGTGCTAGGATTACAGACTTGAGCCACTGCGCCCGGTGGACATTCATAGTCTAAACTGCCATCTAGGGATACCTTGTTTTTTGGGGCTTCATTTTATTGTACTTCTAGATACTGCATTTTTCACAAATTGAAGGTTTGTGGCAATCCTGCATCCAGCCTCTATAGGCGCCATTTCTCCAACACCATGTGCTTACTTTGTGATCGTGTGTAACATTTGGGTAATTCTTGCAATATTTCAAACGTTTTCATTATTATTATATCTATTATAGTGATCTGTAATCAGTTATCTTTGACATTACTATTGTAATTTTGGGGGAGTACCACAAACCACTCCCACATAAGACAGTGAACTTAACCAATAAATGTGTATGCTCTGACTGCTGTACCAACCAGCATTCCCCTGTCTCTCTCTCCTTGGGCTTCCCTATACCCTGAGACACAACGATATTGAAATTAGGCCAAATTATAACCCTACAATGGCCTCTAAGTGTTCAAGTGAAAGGAAGAGTTGCATATCTCTTCCTTTAAATCAAAAGCTAGAAATGGCCAGGTGCGGTGGCTCATGCCTGTAATCCCAGCATTTTGAGAGGCTGGGGCTGGTGGATTGCTTGAGCCCAGGAGTTTGAAACCAGCCTTGGCAATATGGTAAACTTCGTCTCTACCAAAAATACAAAAATTAGCCAGTCTCATAACCCGGTCTCTAAATAAACAAATAAATAGATTAAACATTTTTAAAAAGCTGGAAATGATTAAGCTTCGTGAGGAAGGCATGTCAAAAGCTGAGACAGCCAAAAACTAGGCCTTTTGTGACGAAGAGTTAGCCAAGTTATGAATGCAAAGGAAAGTTATTGAAGGAAATTAAAAGTGCTACTCCTGTGAACACATGAATGATATGAAAACGAGACAGTCTTATCGCTGATATGGTCCAAGTTTTAGTGATCTGTATAGGAGAGCAAACCAGCCACAACACTCCTTTAAGCCAAAGCCTAATCCAGAACAAGGGCTTAGCTGTCTTCAATTCTGTGAAGTCTCAGAGAGGTGAGGAAGCTAAAGAAGAAAAGTTTGAAGCTAGCAGAGGTGAGTTCATGAAGTTTAAAGAAAGAAGCCATCTTCATAACATAAAAGTATAAGGCAAAGTAGAAAGTGCTGATGGAGAAGCTGCAGCAAGTTATCCAGAAGATCTAGCTAAGCTAATTGACTAAGGGGGCTACAATGAGCAACAGATTTTCAATGTGGACAAAACGACCTTCTGTTGGAAAATGTCATCCAGGAGTTTCATACTA
Source organism: Homo sapiens (assembly GCF_000001405.40). Lineage (NCBI taxonomy): Eukaryota > Metazoa > Chordata > Mammalia > Primates > Hominidae > Homo > Homo sapiens. The sequence continues at coordinate 52,573,159 of NC_000015.10, forward strand.
GAGGAAGTCAATGCCCGGCTTCGAAGCTTCAAAAGACAGGCTGACTCTCTTCTTAGGGGCTATTGTGGCTGGTGTCTTTAAGCTGAAGCCAATGCTCATTTACTATTCTGAAAATCCTAGGGTTCTAAATCTGCTCTACCTGTACTCTGCAAATGGAACTACAAAGCCTGGATGACAGCACATCTGTTTACAACATGGTTTAGTTAATATTTTAAGCTCACTATTGAGACCTACTGCTCAGAAAAAAAAAATCCTTTCAAAATATTGTAGCTCATTGACAATGCACTTGGTCTCCTAAGAGCCCTGATGGAGGTGTACAAGGAGATTAATGTTGTTTTCATGCTTTCTAACGCAACATCCATCTTGTAGTCCATAGATCAAGGAATAATTTCAACTTTCAAGTCTTTTTTTTTTTTTGAGTTGGAGTCTTGCTCTGTTGCCCAGGCTAGAGTGCAGTGGGTGCAATCTCAGCTCACTGCAGCCTCTGCCTCTCGGGTTCCAGCGATTCTCCTGCCTCAGCCTGTTGGGTAGCTGGGATTTACAGGCACACACCACCACAGCTGGCTAATTTTTTTATTTTTAGTAGAGATGGGGTTTTGCCATGTTGGCCGGGCTGGTTTCGAACTCCTGACTTCAGGTGATCCGCCTATCTTGACCTCCCAGAGTGCTTCAAGTCTTAATGGGAAATACATTTTGTAAAGCTATAGCTGTCATATACAGTGATTTGTCTTATAGATGTGGGAAAACTAAATTGAAAACCTTCTGGAAAGGATTCACCATTCTAGATGCTATTAAGAACATTTGTGATTCAAGGGAGAAGGTCATTGTATTAACATTAACAGAAGTTTGGAAGAAGTTAATTCCAACCCTCATGGATGACTTTGAGGGATTCAAGACTTCAGTGGAGGAAATAACTGCAGATGTGACAAGAAGAGCAAGAGAACTACAAGTGGAGTCTGACAATGTGACTGAATTACTGCAATATCATGATAAAATTTGAATGGATGAAGAGTTGCTTCTTATGGATGAGCAAAGTAACTGGTTTCTTGAGATGGAATTTACTCCTGATGAAGATGCTGTGAATGTTGTTGAAATGACAACAGAAACTTCATTTGTATTCATTACCAACCTCTCTTCATCCTCCTCTCCCCTCTTCCTTCGCAGCTTCTGGTAATCACCATTCCTCTCTCTATCTCCATGAGATCCACTTTTTTTAGCTCCCATATGAGTGAGAACATGCTACATTTGACTTCCTCTGACTTTTATTTCACTGAACATAATGACCCCAAATTCCATCCAGTTGCTGCAAATGACAGAATTTCATTCTTTTTTATGGCTGAATAATATTCCATTATGTATGTATACTACATTTTCTATACCTATTCATCCATTGATGGACACCTAGGTTGACTCCATATCTTGGCTATTGTGAATAGTGCTTCAGTAAACATGGGAATGCAGATATCTCTTTGACACACTGATTTCCTTTCTTTCTTTTTTTTTGAGAGAGAGTCTCACTCTGCCAACCCAGGCTGGAATGCAGTGGCTCACTGCAACCTCTGCCTCCTGGGTTCAAGCGATTCTCGTGCCTCAGCCTCCCGAGTAGCTGGGATTACAGGATGCATCACCACACCTGGCTAATTTTTAGACAGGGTTTCACCATGTTGGCCAGGCTGGTCTCCAACTCCTGATGACCTCAAGTGATCCATCTACCTTGTCCTCCCAAAGTGCCAAGATTACAGGCATGAGTCACTGCACCTGGCCAAGGATCTGAATTCTTTTCTTTTTTTTAATTAACATTTTTTTTTTGAGACAGAGTCTCACTTGGTTGTCCAGGCTGGAGTGTAGTGGTGTGATCTTGGCTCACTACAACCTCTGCCTCCCAGGTTCAAACAGTCCTCCTCAGCCTCCCAAGTAGCTGGGATTACAAGTGTGTGCCACCACGCATAGATAATTTTTGTAGTTTTTTGTAGAGAGAGTCTCACTGTGGTGTCCAGGCTGGTTTTGAACTCTGAGCTCAAGTGATCTGCCCACCTCGGCCTCCCAAAGTGCTGGGATTACAGGCCTGAGCCACTGTACACAGCCATATGTCTTCTTTTGAGAAATGTCTAGTCAGGTCTTTTGTGCATTTTAAAATTGGATTATTTGGGTTTTTTTTTTTTGCTATTGTTTGGGTTGCTTATATATTCAATCTCTTGTTTGATGGAAGTTTGCAAATGTTCTTTGTAGCTTCTCTTCTCTTCACTTGTTTACTCTGCTATGCAGAAGATTTTTAGCTTGATGTAATCCCACTTGTCTATTTTTGCTTTTGTTGCCTGTGCTTTTTTTTTTTTTTTTTTCTTTTTGAGATGGAGCCTTGCTCTGTCACCCAGGCTGGAGTGCAATGGTGCGATCTCGGCTCACTGCTATCTCCGCCTCCCGAGTTCAAGCAATTCTCCTGCCTCAGCCTCCCGGGTAGCTGGGATTACAGGCAGGCACCACCACACCTGGCTCATTTTTGTGTTTTCAGTAGAGATGGGGTTTCACCATGTTGGTCAGATTGGTCTTGAACCCCTGACCTCAGGTAATCCACCCACCTTGGCCTCCCAAAGTGCTGGGATTATAGGCGTGAACCATCGCGCCCGGCCTGTTGCCTGTGCAACACCTGTTGAGGTGTTACCTAAAAAGTCTTTGCCCGGACCAATGTCCTGGAGCATTTACTCAGTGTATTTTTTTAGTAGTTTCAGGTCTTACATTTAAATCTCTAATCCATTTTGACTTGATTTTTGTATATGGTGAAAGATAAGGATCTAATTTCATTCTTCTGCATATGGATATCATTTTCCCAGAACTGTTTACCAGAGAAACTGTCCTTTCTGCAGTGTATGTTCTGGGCACCTTTGTCAAAAATGGGTTGGCTGTATATTTGTTTCTGGGTTCTTTATTCTGTTCCTTTGGTCTATGTGTCTGTTTTTGTGCCAGTACTATTCTGTTTTGGTTACTATAGTTTTGTAGTACAATTTGTGTAGTATAGAAATTTTAACAATATTAACTGTTCCAATCCATGAGCAAGGGATAGCTTTACATTTTTGTGTGTGTTCTCTTCAATTTCTTTCATCAGTGTTTTATAAATTTCCTCATAGAGGTCTTTCACTTCTTCACTTAAATTTATTCCTAGGTATTTTACTTTTTTTGTAGCTATTGTAAATGTAATTGCTTTCGTTTTCAGATTGATTGCTACAATAAAATATTTTAAAATATTACATAAACTTAGCTCATAAAGCAGTGGAAAGATTTGAGAGGACTGACTCCAGTTTTGAAACCAGTTCTATTGTGGGTATGTAAAATGCTATCAAACAGCATTGCATGCTACAGAGAAATCTTGCGTGAAAGGAAGAGTCAATTGATGAGAAACTTCATTGATGTTTTATTTTAAGAAATTCTCACAGCCACTCCAACCTTCAGCAACCACTATCCTGACCAGTCAGCAGCCATCAACATCCAGGCAAGATCCTCCACCAGCAAAAAGATTATGACTCCTTGAGGGTTCAGATGATTGTTAGTATTTTTTAGCAATAGATTATTAATTTTTTTTTTTTAGAGATAAGGTGTCACATTGTCACTCAGGCTGGAGTTCAGAGGTGCCATCATAGCCCACTGTAACCTTGAACTCCCGGGCTCAAGTGACAATAAACTATTTTTTACTTTTATTTATTTTAGAGACAGGGTCTCACTTGTTACTGAGGCTGGAGTGAGCTTGGCTCACTAACCTTGAAATCTTGGCCTCAAGTAATTTACCTGTCTCAGCTTCCCAAAGTGCTTGGATTACAGGTGTGAATCACCATGCCCAGCCCTATAATCTGTTTTTTATTTAGGGTGTCTACATCTTTTTAGACATAATGCTATTACACACTTCTAAGCTATAATATAGTATAAACGTAACTTTTTAAATTATTATTTTGAGGGGAGTTTCGCTCTTGTTGCCCAGGCTGGAGTGCAATGGCATGATCTCAGCTCACTGCAACCTCCACCTGCTGGGTTCAGTTGATTCTCCTGCCTCAGCCTCCCAAGTACCTGGGATTACAGGCATGTGCCACCATGCCTAATTTTTTGTATTTAGTAGAGACGGGGTTTCACCATGTTAGTCAGGCTGGTCTTGAACCCCTAACCTCAGGTGATCCACCTGCTTCAGCCTCCTAAAATGCTGGGATTACAGGGTGCTCGGCCAAATGTAACTTTTATATGCGCTGGAAATAAAAAAAAATGTGTATGACTTACTTCATTGTTGTGGTCTGGAACCAAACCTGCAACATCTCCAAGGTATGTGTGTATTCTAGATTAGTGCTGTCTTATAGCAACTTGTGTGATGGAACTATTCTATATATGTGCTCTCCAATACAGTAGCCACTAGCTACATATGACTATTGAGCATTTGAAATGTAACTAGGGCAACCAAGGAACGGAATTTTTAATTAATTCTATTAGCCATAGGGAATAGAATCATGGAATGACCCTTTAGACAGAGATTCTCACTAAGTTTGGGGCAAGGTCCAAGAAGTGATGTTTAACCAAAGTTCCCCTGGTGATTCTGATGCATACATGCACAAAATAGTTTTTTGATTTGGAACTTGATAGGTGTATAAAAGCTTTAAAAAGAACAGGGTTCTTTTTGAGGTTTAGTTGGCCTAGTTCAAGAGTTTATAGGAATAAGGAGATGAAGTAGTGTCTCCCTCCATTCAATCCTCAAACAATTGAGAGAGGAAATTCACCTTTATCATCTGAGTGTAGCAAACACCAAGAACAGAATACATTTTGAATGAGAGGAAGAGACTGGAAAATCAACTCAGGGAAAACAAGTGAGATACTGAACACCAAAAATCCTGGGATGAATGGTGATTTCTATGAGCAAAGCCCAGAGATTGTTAACTGAATAAACAGGTCAGATAACTGTAAACAGCAGTTTCAACAACTTGCGTGTTGAAAGTGGAACTTAGAAAGTGGATGATCCCACTTCTCTAGAGACTTAGTGGTTGGAACAGGAAAATTTTGAATAAATTAAAAAGAAAGGGCTGGGTGCGGTGGCTCACGCCTGTAATCCCAGCATTTTGGGAGGCAGAGGTGGGCGGATCACCTGAGGTCAGGAGTTCGAGACCAGCCTGGCCAGCATGGTGAAATCCTGTCTCTACTAAAAATACAAAAATTAGCTGGGCATGGTGGCAGGCACCCAGCTACTCAAGAGGCTGAGGCAGGAGAATCAACTGAACCTGCAAGGCGGAGATTGCAGTGAGCCAAGATCACGCCACTGTACTCCAGCCTGGGTGACAGAGAAAGACTCATCTCAAAAAACAAAAACAAAAGCCAAAACAAAACAAAAAACCAGTGAACAATAGGGTAAAAGGGGACCTGGAAGAGACTTGAAAAACTGAATCTTTACCTCATGCCTCCTGACAGTATATTACGTCGAATAGCTTCTGAGTTGCATTAGGATATTCATTCCCAAAGTTGTAGGTTTTAAAAAAACTGGACACTTGAGGTAGGCATTTCCTTACTATATCTCACTTACCACATGGAAAGTTATTATCTTCACTTCCAAGAATATTGATGGAAAGTATATTTCTGGTGGAAAAATATAATGGAAATGAGGAAAAAAGGCAAAATATCACTGTAGTAGAGTGAAAAAGACAATCTTTAACCCAGATTGGAATTCTGGTTCTTCTACTTATTGCCAGTATGACCTTGGGCAAGCTTCAAACCCCCTTTTAACTGGAGAATAACTAGAATTTCCACTCTTTTTCTGAAGTATGGTTTTTAAGGACTCAGTGACATATAAACTGACTGTACAATGCCTAGCACATTGCAAGCATTCAGATATTCTCTTCCTTCTCCCCATGTCCACATTTTTGCCATATCTCCCACAGACAGCCCATGATGGAGTAGAATGGGCTGATTCCAGTGCTATATACGGATAGTCTAGGGATTTAGAGTTAATGCTCACCAATATGAAAAGCCTACTTCCGTTTAGATTGATCCTGTTTTCCTAGGTCTAGCAAACCATATGGTGTATCACATACCAAATTTTCAGCAGTCACCAGCCCTGTTAAAGCAGTAGCTGCAAAGGTCAACTTGAGGGAGGGGACTTTTACATTTACTTTATATACTTATATGGTGTGAACATTTTTTATAATAAACATGTATTTTATGTTTATAAATTAAGTTAGAAAAGAATCACCACTTTATTCATAAAGTTAATTAGGAAAGAGTGAGGATTTCAAAGATGAAGGCTTTGAAGGAGAAATTTTCCCCTTCCTTAGCCCTCAGGGAATGACAGATCTGGTGAGGGCAAATGGCAAGAGGGGAGAAACTTCCGTTGGGTATTTTCCAGCTAGACTTCATCACTTTGATTTTTTTAATTCTGACAGATTTTAGCATTCTCATCGAAGAAAATCTCCAAAGGTTATTTGTGATCCCATAGTTCCTTTTTTTTTTTTTTGAGACGGAGTCTCGCTCTGTCACCCAAGCTGGAGTGCAATGGCGCATTTTCGGCTCACTGCAAGCTCCGCCTCCAGGGTTCACGCCATTCTCCTGCCTCAGCCTCCTGAGCAGGTGGGACTACAGGCGCCCGCCACCGGGCCCGGCTAATTTTTTGTATTTTTTTTTAGTAGAGACTGGGTTTCACCATGTTAGCCAGGATGGTCTCGATCTCCTGACCTTGTGATCCGCCCGCCTCGGCCTCCCAACCGTAGTTCCTTTTTAAAGGGAGTTATCAGTTATGACTCATTTTACTGATCTGCAACACTGCCAGGTGGGCCTGCAGTAAGATCTCTCGTATCTATCACAGGTAACCATGTTGGTTGTCTGCTGGTATCTTTCTGTGCATGCCAACACTCAACTGTTATATAATCCAGTGACATAATCTTTGAATACAGATAATAGAGATGTGGTAATGCCTTGGCCTATAACTACACAAGGGTAGAGAAAGAACCAGCGTGATAGAGACAATGCCAGGGCAAGTGAGAACAGACAGACGCTGGGTAATTATACCTCACAGAGGAAAAACATAAGTGAAAAAGGCCCTAAGAAGTAGAGGAGCAAAAGGTCAGCACGTGCTTGCTCTGCACAAACTTTCCAGGAAGAAAGCACAGGATGCACCCAGGTGTTCCATTCAACTTCAAAGTTTCTAAAAAGTGCTCAGAAAGGTTGGAAGACTGTTTACTAGAAAGAATTCCGGTGTGGTATCCATGCAAAAAGACACCTGCACACAAGTATGTGACTATTTTTTGGGTAAACTTTACTGGAGAGGTCAAAAAAGAAATTTAAAAATGTTTTTGATGTTTTTCAAGTTTTATATAAAATTATCAATATTGACTTTTGCCAAATGCATATCTAGATTTATGTATCGAAATGCTTATTTCAAGGATTAGATAACAGAATTTAAGAAGAGAAGGCACATTAATCATATACTCTCACCACATTTTCTCAATCACACAGACCTGGAAACATTAGGGGACTCCTAGAGTCAGTTCCATCAGATACCATTAGAGCTGGGACTACAATCCAAACCTTTGGGTCCTTGTCCCATCTGTTTTCCACACAGTCTAAAGATTGAAAACAATCTTCATAAATTTGTACCACTGAAATTTTTTTTTTTAGTTTTATGGAATATAAATAGCCTTTTTTTAACTGATATTTTAAAAGAAATATATAAAAGGTATCTGCTTGCCATTCCACAGCCTGCTGGCCTGCAGCCACACACTCATCACCTGGACTGATAGATTCTCTTAAGCGGTCTAATGCCTGGGTCCAAAAGTAGATTTTCTCCTTTCCCAATTCCAGACTGCTTACCAGGTTCTAGATTCCCAGGTCTCCTGGGTCTGGCCTACTTGAGTGGTCTTTTTTTTTAACCTGCGGTCATAGATTTCTACCAGCATTCCTAGTATTTTTGCCTTGTTATTTAATCTGCTGTTGCCCGCTGTCTGAGCACAAACATCTAAAAACCACCCTGTTCTTTCCAAGGGTGTTGGAAGACAGATTTCTGATGCACTTAGTGATAAATTGGGAACAAGACTCAAGACATCTTCCCCCTCCCTCTTTGCAGCTGTAGAGCTAGAATGAAAATGTCTAATGGCTAATTCACTCAATCACATAAATGTCTCATCTACAAATAAAAGCCAAGTACACGTTTCTTAGTTTTTTTTGAATATATTTACAATATAAATACTAATTTGTTTCCAAAGTACATATTCTTTTAACAATTTGAGAAAATTATCTAGCATACGACAGTAATTTAATGTAAAGACTCTATAGTAGTGATTAAGGAAAAATAGAACTGTTTTGGGGATAAGGAATCCTGGCTATGAATGGGCATGATGATCTGAACTTGCAAAGGGAAAGTGAAGCAGCTTAGTCCACATTGCACTGCTAATACAATATGTTAAAGGACTACTATGTGAGATAGCAACCTGGATATGGTGTTATAAAAACTAAACATGAGAGATATAAAAAGTACACATGCTTGCATAGTGTGTTACTTTTAAAGAAGCTCAACATTTTATTCTCATTTTCAATAACTTAAATGAACAGCACTTAACACATTACACAAAATTAAAGACTTGTGCATATATTTGATTTCAACATTAATGTCAAAAATACATAGTATGATTTTACATAGGATTTGTGCTACATTAGAACACTAGAGACAAACATCACTTGAGTATTAAGGAAAACATTAAATATTAAATAACTGAGAAAATGTGTAAACACTAATCTAACTGGGGGTTTTGCTATTGCAACATGTCCAATGAAGTGGTTTCAACAGTACAAAAAGGATTAGGACATGAGTTTTTCCAGTCTACATGGAATATATGGATTTCATTTCAGGAATCCTTTCATAAAAACTGGTCCAGGATAACAGGAGAGAATCCACTCTCCTGATTGTTAATTTGGTACACTCCATTCTATGCTAATTTTTACTTGCAAACTTGGGTACTGAGTAAATACTTTAAATCATCACTCCTTATCAACATCTTGGTGAAAACTGAGGGTTTGTTGGTGATTCAGTGTAAGATTTGAGTTCATATGCAGCACCGCTATCAACCTCCATTGACTTTCTAGAGAACAGGAGCCGTACGTCTCTATGGAGGTAGATCTTTCCAGATTTAGAACTCTGGAACCTAAACAAATAAACAAAATATAAAACATTTCAGAGAACGAGTCTTTAAAAGAAACTAGAATAATTAAAATTTGAAAGTAGGAAGAACAAATCTTGCTACAATATTAGGTCAACACTAACTCTTTAACATGATATTTAAGATCTTTCTAAAGACCAAAGCATATGCTTTTATTTAAATGCTGCTCTCTTACCATTCCCTAAATAACTCATACTCCTTTTCCTTCCCTCAGTGCCTGAGATGCTTCTTCCTGTAAATCTGAGTGTCAAATAAATCTTACTTTTCCTCCCTGACTCCACAGTACATGCACCTTTCCTCATCTGCAGGTTCACGTGGCAGTTCACTCACATTACTCAATAACATTACATTTGGGCTCTGTAGCCCTGGCATCTTCTAGCTCCATAGACTGACCCATTTCACACAGCTTAGCCTCCCATGATTTGGGGTAGATGATAAAAAACTGCTATAATCAGCAGTGGCTAGGCTAAGTAAAACCCAGCCACCATCAAAAGTCAAGAGAAAAGTTAGCAGTAAAATGAAAATGGCTATCAAAACTGTATATGAAACTGTTTCTATCCACTGCTAATATCTGTAATACAGTGCAGGGATTTGGAATCTTCACTCACATTAACTTACCTACCAAACAGACAAACATACCCTGTAGTGCTAATTTCTCTTTGTTTTTCCCTTGGCATAGCATAAATACTCTCTGGGTTTGTGGATTTTACTCCTGAACTAGCTGAAAGATGTGGTGGTTACAGCTCTGTATGTTAAAACAGACTGGCTCTGACTGGCTCACTCTTCCCTCCTTTCTGAAGTTTTTCACCTTCCCAAACTGAAGGAGAACATTCTTTGGGAAGTGTACAGTTTTCCCCAAAAAGGTTTCTTTAAAGTATCCTGTCATTATGTGGAGATTATAAAAGCTAAGGTGGCTGATTTTTACTCTGGCCAGTATTGGTTTTGGTTACAAATAGCTATGGTTGTTAAACTTCAAGAGGAATGCTGTCAAATGCAAGTTTAACCAGAGAGGGTTGAATCTTTTTCTAGTTTGGTAGGTATTCTTATAGTCTGCTATTTCATACCATGTCATTCATTCATTCATTCATTCATTCATTCATGTGAGAGTCTTGCTCCTTTGCCCAGGCTGGAGTGCAGTGGTACAATCTCAGCTCCCAGGTTCAAGTGATTCTCCTGCCTCAGCTTCCTGAGGAGCTGGGATTACAGGTGTCCACCACCACGCCTGGCTAATTTTTGTATTTTTAGTAGAGATGGGGTTTCACCATGTTGGCCAGGCTGGTCTTGAGCTCCTGACCTCAGGTGATCCACCCACCTCGGCCTCCCAGAGTGCTGGGATTATAGGTGTGAGCCACCGTGCCCGGCTATACCATGTCTTTTAAAAAAAGTTTTCCAAGTCTGTTTTTCATAGATTTTTCATTCCCACAATCTGTGTAACATTTCCCATGTGGCTTACATCAGGTAGTGTCAGATTTGGTTGAAATACATTGTGCTGGCTGAACACGTCTTTTGCATACAGAACAGGCAGAAGACTGAGATGAAAGAACTAATTAAATAGAGCTTTGGGGAGAATAATTAACGGACTTTCATGTATGGGACTTGAGTGTACAGCTCACTGCTTATTCACTCCAGAACACCACTGCAAGGCATATATAAAGAAAGATAGCAGGTGGTCCCCATCAGCAATAACAGATTGAAGAAGTCTTCTGCCTGGACCCGAGATGAAAGGTGACTCCTCCTGATGAACAGAGTGAGACTCCGTCTCAAGAAGAAAAAAAAAAAAAAAAAAAAGAAAAATATAAAATGATTTATATGGCTCATATTACTTTTTTTTTTTTTTTTGAGATGGAGTCTCATTCTTGTCACCCAGGCTGGAGTCCAATGGTGTGATCTCAGCTCACTGCAACCTCCACCTCCCGGGTTCAAGCAATTCTCCTGCCTCAGCTTGAGTAGCTGGGATTACAGGCTCCCACCACCATGCCCAGGTAATTTTTGTATTTTTAGTAGAGACAGGGTTTCACTATGTTGGCCAGGTTGGTCTCAAACTCCTGAAGGTGATTGGCCCACCTTGGCCTCCCAAAGTGCTGGAATTACAAGGTGTGAGCCACTGTGCCCGGCCCTCGTATTACATTTTTAAATAGTATTCGTTTAGAAAATGTGTTTCACTGCCCCAGATGCATGTGTTTTGGCATAAAATATTTTATATTAAACAGCTATAAATGAAAACTTCCCTAATTCAACAAGTAATGACCACCACAGGAAGGTATGCCATGTACTTTCGGCATCTTGGCACATCATCAAGAGTTCCCAAGCTAAGCAAAGTCCCAAGGGACACTGGTCTAGTTAGAGTCACAGTTTAAAAAAAAAAACTAAAAATTTTAGAGTTGTTCTAAAGTAACATTTTCATATTAATTTGAAGCATTACCTCAGATGTATGAGGTAGCGTAATAACCGTTCTTCTGTGTGTCGGATGTTCTCTTTATTAACACTTCTCTTCACTTCTTGTTTAACAGGTACAGAAAAAGTTCTTTGTCGTAGGAATGTCTGATGATTGGCTGGCATATCTCGTAAATCATATATCACAACAAACATCTTCACCACAGTCTTATTAGGATTAAATAAGGTCTGAAGAAACAATATAGAAATTATTCTTTAAAAATAGTGATTTGTTGATGTGATTCAGAATGATTGTGCCAATAATCAAACAAGATTTTAAACAACAAGGTAATACCACTGAATATAATTCAGTTTCAAGGACTAAAATTAACACAATTTCAAAAGTTTAAGAAATAATATTATTTTTTAAAAGGTTCAATTTTTTGTTTTACAATAATATAAGGTCCAATAACAAATCAAAATCTTTAGTCACAAATTTCATATATATAAATTTTACTCCTTGTTCAGAGGAGCAACTTTAAGGAATAGTTCCAGTAGCTTAAGCAAAATACATCCTTATTGGGTTAAAATATTCCAGTTCAATTATTTCAAACATAATAGCTTTGCTAAAGAGTATCAAGTTCAAACTTCTCAAAATTGAGTTTTAATTTTTCTCACATTTTAATAGCAAACAGAATATTTCAAATAAAAATACAAGCTCTGTAAAATTAGCATGTTTGATGTCTTAGGTACATATGATTATTATAAAATTTAAAATAGGTGCTCAAAGAAGAGACTTTTTCCTATCTGAACATTTCCCCAAGTTTAGAAAACAAAGCTCACTATTATTAATTAATTAGATCTAAAGTAGGCTAATACTTCATTTACTCATACATGGAATCATTTCAAAATTTGTAGCAACACTAGCCCTTAAAAAATTCTCAATATTATTATAGACCAAAATATGTATCCTGGTAAAGACTGAATTAAATTCAATTGTTGCTTGGTTATGAATAATTGAAGGAATATTATTTTTAAAGTACTCGTTTTGAAACAAAACCCCAAGCTGCTGATCTGACTTTAACCAAATTACCAACACATCAATAGGTAACTTGGTACCCATGCTTTCAGAAGCTCATCCGTGGCACTGGACATCACTCACTGAATCAAAATGAGAAATATATCAATATCATAATCCAGTTTTTGAAATCTAGTGAGTCTTAAGATTAAGGCTAATACATTCAACAACCACACCTCATAAGCCAGGAGTTCAAATCATGTTTATACACAGTTAAACTGTATACAGAATAGAAGACATATAATTAACCACTAAAGCTGGCAGTCTCCAAACAAGAGGTGAATGTGTTACCTCCGAGTTTATGATTCATTATTATCACAACTGACAGCTAGCTTTCCACTGACCCACACTTTCTCATGAGCTGCATAGCCGAAGGCAAGAGAACACTGTCACTCCTTTACTTCAAGAAATCGGTTTACTTGTGGTATTCTTGTGGTAATTCCTCCTCAAACTTATATAAATATTACTATATATGTGTGTATATATATATATACACACACGTACACATGTTACATACTTCTGTTTCATTCCTGTGTGATATGAAATAAACAAATATACAGATTCCTTGCAGTATTGGAACAATGATGATGAGTAAAAGTGATCTGACAAAGTACTGAACACACTGAGGTCAAAGGTCATACAAAGGCTTGTTGGATTAGATCAAATCCTGGGTATGAGGAGCAAGCCTTAGCTAGACTCTCTTTCAGTCTGCAAACTCTGTAATAGATTTGAGGGCTTGCAGGATTACGCTGGGTCAGATCTAGAGTTAACTCAATTTCAAGCTGGCCTTAATATCAGATTATTCTTCTGAGAACCCTAGACCAGGGATGATGAAGGACTGTTCTGAGACAGCAGGACTCTCCTGAGCCAAAAGAGATCAATGCCTAGACCAAAAGGAATGATGCCTTCTCTGCCCTGACATCTGTCAGACTATATTTCTGCTTTGTGTGGTCATCTCATTAAATCAATTTTAGAAATTATTAGAAATAAAATAATTTTGTTTCCCAAGTTTTCCTGTGAAAGCAATTCTAATATTTGGGGTCTCCTTTTAAACAGGTTCGTCTCAATTTGGTTTATTAAAAAGAAGGCACCAGTAATATTAGGTTCTAAATATGTATTGAAGAGTCCTATTGAAGTTATGCAAACTGTCATATGCTATTTTTCTTAAGTATTCACCTTGATTAGCTTATTAATGCTTTCCTTTTATGGAGGTCCCCAAATGGTCATTCCTGGGGCAGAGCAGGGGAACTCCAAACAAAGCTGCAGCCCCACTGTTACTTACCAAAGTTGTTGCAGCAGCAGTAGCAGGAGAAAGGGCTAAGTTCTATATGTATGTGAGAGAATGATTATTGCAATTGTAGGCTATAAAACACATACCACTTGTATTGTTCCTGAAGGAGGTACTCGATAACCCCTTTTACCAAGGGACTCTAAAGTAATCACACCCTTGAAATAAAAGAAGACAAATTGAGTACAAACTGATGCATATGTACATAAAAGACTAAAATAAGAATAACTCATGTAATTTATTAAAATTTCAGAATTCTATTTCTATGGAAAAACATTCATATTGAATTAATAGAGATACATTCTATGTTTCTACCCCTAAGGAAACATTTTACTGTTCCTCCTGGTGATGTCGCTATAAAGAATATATAACATCAATGGCCACAGCACTCAAAATTACTATTAAGATATAGGAATAAAAGAAAGAAGTTCCTAACTAAAAAGGAAATAAAGGAAGGTAATAGGACCCTTCCCATGTATCTTGAGGGAGAGGGGAAATGAAGAAGCAAGTAATTTATTGGTCTTCGGGCATGTAAAAAGTCACAAGTGTAGGAAAGTAAGCCTTGGCCAAAAATAAAGTCAATTCTTCAGTCTGGGAGTTAAGTTACATATCTGGATTTCTGAATAAAGACAGGAAAAAAAATAGAAAAGCAATTTGGAAGTCTGTAGTTCCTGCCTGGTACTACTTTATGGGATAAGAGATGTTTAAGACAAAAAGTGAAAAATGAAAGTTAAATCAGTAACTTTAAGGCTGTGGAATGTTCTATAGTAAAGCTATAAAATCTCACTTTCCTAAAATTAAATATTTCTTCAGAAACAACTTTATATCATGTTGTGTCTTAATCTGGATATTATTAAGGTATTTTGATTTTGTTTGGTCATTTACTTATTAAGGAATCTAAGAATCCAAATTGATTCTAAATCAGAACACAATGGATTGAGAGCTGATTTGAGTCAAGGTTAAAGCTAAATTAGGGTCATGTCACTAGAGAAGTCTAAAAGAGGATATCAGGAGTCCTCCAGTTAGTTTGGTACTCAAAGAATGATCCTCAGATGAGCATCATCAGCATCACTTGTGAACTCGTTAGGAATGTGAAATGTCTGGCCTCTTCCCAGACCTTACAAAGTCAAATATACATTTTAACAAGATTCTCCAGATTATATCAATTTACATTAAGGTTTGGGAGCCCTGCTCTACTATATGAAGTAGTTTTTCTCAGGATGTTCTCCTTACTGCAAAAATGCAATCAATGGGGAAAAAGTGTATGTTAAAACAAGGTAAGTTCAAATTGAATGTGTAAAAGTTTCTCAATAACCAGGATGATCAATAACCAGGATAACCAAATGACTATCAGTGGTAATTGTGATACTTAATTATTATTATTATTATTATTTTGAGATGCTTTCTCACTCTGTCACCAGGGCTGGAGTGCAGTGGCACAATCTTGGCTCACTGCAACCCTTGCCTCCCGGGTTCAAGCGATTCTTCTGTCTCAGCCTCCCAAGTAGCTGGGACTACAGGAACTCACCACCACGCCCAGCTAATTTTTGTATTTTTAGTAGAGATGGTTGGGGGCAGGGGCGGTGGTTCTACCATGTTGTCCAGGCTTCGACCTCCTGACCTCAGGTGATCCACCCGCCTCTGCCACCCAAAGTGCTGGGATGACAGGCGTGAGCCATCGTGCCCAGGCTGTGATACTTAAAGAGCTTTAAAAAATGAATGCTGATGCATTTACGTTAACTGGGCTAATACTTTTCTTTCAAGTAGTTAAGGAGAACTGTATGTTCTACATTTCATGATTTCATTATTATACATTGTACATGCCAAACTTATGTAAAAGCAAATATAAAACAGCACTGTTCTATCAGGTGACGTCTCTCTGTTGGGTTCGGAAGTTGGACCAGGGTTAGGAAGTAAAAAGGAGTGGATAAAGGTAAAAGGGAAAGCCACATTCTGACATATGAATTTACTCCAAGTGAACAACACTTGACATCAGATTATTAAATTAACACATTAAGGTTAACACATACGTGGTTCTTGACAAATCAGATTTGTCATATGGTTATTTAAAGCATGAAAAAAGCACATCAACAAACTGCAACCCTAACCAAAACAGCAATGAAACTTTAACAATTTATCTCTTACAATCTGCCCTACGTGCCTAATGAGGTACTCTGTATACCACTTTTTTTTAAATGAGCAGAGTGTGGCTATTTACTCTACATGAAAAAGATATGGTATATTATACATGTTTTCTTCCTAGTTTCAGAAAGAAAAAGTAAAATATACCTAAATAATAGCTATCTTTAAAATCACATAACTACACGTAATATATTACCGTTCTTCCTTGCCAGCCATCTGCCTCCCCACCAAATACATACAGTAAAACTGGTAAGGCAACTACTACCAAGTTTATACTTGTTTCCTTTAATACATTCAATTCCAATAGTTTTTAGAACACAGTAACTAAATCAATTTATTTAAAAAAACAGCTTTTTGAAAAAAACCATAAAGTTGAAGGCAACAATTTAAAACAATTTGTAAGCAATGTTAAGACTAGTAGCATTGGCAAGTTAGGAATTTTAGAAAGGGACTGGGAAATTATTTGGAATTTTATTATTCATCATTATTGTAATAATTTCATCATTTTAATTGATCAGCATATTAATATTTATACCTAGAAAAAGTTACCATATTTAACACAAAAGAGAAAAACACATTTTCTTCTGGCATTTTTTTTTTTTGAGATGGAGCCTTGTTCTGTCATCCAGACTGGAGTGCAGTGACACGATCTTGGCTCAGTGCAACCTCTGCCTCCTGGGTTCAAGCCATTCTCATGCCTCAGCCTCCCGAGTAGCTGGGATTATAGGCGCCCACCATCACGCCCAGCTAATTTTTGTGCTTTTAGTAGAGACGGGGTTTTACCATGTTGGCCAGGCTGGTCTTGAACTCCTGACCTCAAGTTATCCGCCTGCCCCAGCCTCCCAAAGTGCTGGGATTACAGGTGTGAGCCACCATGCCCGGCCCTTCTTCTGGGATTTTAAAATGGAATAGTAGGGTTAAAATAAATATGCTCAAAATCTTATACAAAAATTGCTCAGATTATTATGGAATAGGGAATATGCACAAGTAAGTGGAAAACTGAAAGAACTATATCTTGATCTGGTTAATTACAAAGAAAGGAAATCATACGTGGCCCTAATATTATAATGAAAGTCTTATTAGAAATTTGCCACTGGCACACCTGCCTTAGATATTTCTGCCTGGTTTCACACTGCAACCGTTTCTAAACAGCTAAGTGTTGTCATATAACACTTGGAGAACATTTTTACCACTGACTCCCAACCGGAGAATAATATTATATGGCTTTGAGTTAATCTTTAAGGGAATTATTTAATGAGAAGTCCTATACCACCTCTATACCACAAAGATAGGATTTTCTGTGCTAAAATTTTACCCTTGTGAGTCATTTGTATAATCTGTGATAAGAGGTCCCAAAATTATTATTAGAGTAACAAGGTTATTATAAGAGTAACAAGTGTTTTATGTCTTCGCTCTGCTGGTCTGTGATATGTATAGTCTTACCAAAACATAATCACATTCTTTGAAAACAGATTCAACTACAAAAATAAAGAGAATATTCCCTGAGGAACAAAATTAATTCATAGCAGGAAAGACTGGAACTGGGTCACTTGCAAAAAGAATGCATTCCTGGTAAGTAAACTTTTAATAGAAAAATACAGACTATTTTTTGAAAATGTTCTAATTTTTTCATAGGAAAAATATAAATGGGATAGTTGACTCAAGAATGTTATCAGAGAAAAGAAAGTCAGAGTTTCTCAAAAGCATAGATTAAATTCAGTAACCTGATTTATACCCTTGCCAATACCTATTTAACAATCTGCAATCATCTGCGTGTACATCTCTAGTACTTTCTGGAGTGACAAAATCTTTTATCTCCCAATCCTTCATTTTTGAGATATCAACTAAGGTGAAAGATTAATGCTGTCTTGCTTTTTAAAAGCATAGTTCAAGTTACCTCTTGCTCATTAATTTCCATCAAAGATATTTATTTGAGCTGATTTTCAGCCAGTTTACTCTTTTATCTTGTTTCCAAGCCATCCTAATGGCCAACAGGGACTCTGTTCACTAATGATAGATCACAGTATTTTATTTTATTTATTTTGAGATGGAGTTTTGCTCTTGTCGCCCAGGCTGCAGTGCAATGACGCGATCTCGGCTCACTGCAACCTCTGCCTCCCGGGTTCAAGCGATTCTCCTGCCTTAGCCTCTTGAGTAGCTGGGATTACAGGCGTGTGCCACCATGCTCGGCTAATTTTTTGTATTATTAGTAGAGACAGGGTTTCATCATGTTGGCTAGGCTGGTCTTGAACTCTTGGCCTCAGGCGATCTGCCAGCTTCAGGTGATCTGTCCGCCCCAGCCTCCCAAAGTGCTGGGATTCAGATATGAGCCACTGTGCCTGGCCAGATCACAGTATTTGAGACCTTATCTTTCCATCCTCTATTACTATATGCCAGTAAAAGGTGTGAAACTGATCAGATTCTTGATGTCCTGGTAAGGCAAAACAGGCTGTTGCTATATTCTCATATTGTAAGCATTCGAGTATAATATGCATTTATTCTGGTATTAAACTTATCTCAGTGGTACTTTCCATTTTATTAAGTGTCCAAAATTAGCAGTTATTTTTTCAAAATAATTCTGGAAAAGTGGGTACATCTTTCTATGGTAAATGAACAGGTAGCATATGTAATAACTGGGCAGGTTTGTGAAGGGGGCCTCTTCTTTCGATAATAACCTATGCTGGGCATCTTCATGCTTATGACCCACAGATGTGAACGTTGTTGGGAAAAGAAAACTTTGAATAAATAAGCAGTCACCACTCTGCTTTTTCTATCAAAGTGTCAAACACTAATCAAGCTCTTGACTAAAATCTTCACCCTTAGAATGGAGTAAGCTTTCCTTGAAGAAACTGGGCCAGTAATGAGTAGGCCACATATAGGTTCCTAAAAGTAGCTTCCTTTCCTCTCTGTTGTTTCTCAATTGTATAGATGTCCCTTTTTACAGCTTTTATTAATGACAAAAGTCATTGTTACTAATGTCCTTGAAAACCTAGAAGGTTGTGGAGAGGGGTGTTAGGAGAGGAAGCAGTTGGGCCAGATAGTAAGTTAGGAAATTCAAGCAGCAAGACTAGGCTATAATGTTCAATGCCTACAGTAATCTGCATTTCTCAAAAGTAACACCTAAAATGAAAACCCAGATTTGACTCCATATTTGATACCATCACTGTCAACTTTTTACAGACCTGCATGGCTAGCTACTTGTCTCTCTTTGTCTTTTGGAAGAGGGCTGATACTAATCATATACTAGTACTCAGTATTGTTTTTGCAAATGAATGCTTATATTATCCACAAGCCATTGGAATAAAAAAATTGGAAAGGTGAAATCATAAGATTGATCTTAAGGCTCAACACTATAACTCAGAGGTGTCCAATCTTTTGGCTTCCCTGGGCCACACTGGTAGAAGAATTGTCTTGGGCCACACATAAAATATACTAACACTAACAATAGCTGATGAGCTAAAAAACAAAAATCACACAAAAAAATCTCATAATGTTTTAAGAATGTTTACAAATTTGTGTTGGGTTACATTCAAAGCCTTCCTGGGTTGCATGTGGGCTGTAGGCCGGACAAGCTTGCTGTAACTCCTCTTAGTTATTTCACTCTCCATTAAGACATTAGCGTGAGTCTGAAGTAGCTAGTATCCTAAAGAACTCTAGGATTAGGCCAGTTGTGGTGGCTCATGCCTGTAATCCCAACACTTGGAAGGCCAAAGTGGGAGGTCTGCTTGAGGCCAGGAGTTCAAGACCAGCCTGGGCAATATAGGGAGGCCCTGCCTCTACAAAACATAAAAATTAGCTAGGCATGGTGGCGCATATCTGTAGACCCAGCTATTTAGGAGCTCCAAGGCAAGAGGATGGTTTGAGGCCAGAAGTTTGAGGCTACAGTGGGCTATGACTGCACCACTGCATTCCAGCCTAGGCAAGAGAGTGAGATGCTGTCAAAAAAAAAAAAGAACCCTAGGATTAGAAAAAAATAGGCCCAAAGACAAACCAAACCGAAAAGGGAGTAAAAGGGCCATACAGAAGCCTTATGTCACCAAAGCCTTGTAGGACTAGAGGACACAGTGCACACTAAGCATTTGAGAATGTGTGTGAACTCAGCAAGATGGAATTACAGTGTCACTAATCAATTTTTATCATTTTTTCAAGACAAAGAGAAATAAGTACATTTTTAGTACCATCCTTAAATGCAAAAGAGGTTATCTGTTGTTTGAACTAGCTTAGAAAGAAGTTGTGAGGTAATATTTTGGCATATTAGTTTGTATTCAGCTGTTAGGAAATGATTTATATTTTCAAGTACTGCATCAAAGCACTTAAATTTGTCATTAAGTTGGTTGATTTGGCAGGAAAACATACAATATAAAAAATACTTGCCATATAAGGAGAGGGAGCATTGTCATCTGAAACACTGTAGAATGACACTTCAACTGGAAGAGTCAAATGTGTGGGGCAGAAAGCACCACTTGCCCCTACCTCGGCAGTAAAACCATCAACAATGCCGAGAGGATCGAAACGATAGTTCAAGACAGATTCCTGGAAGACAAAATAATTTTAAAAACTCAATTAAAAAAGCTAACACATTCATTTTTTTTCTATTTAAAGAAATATACACTTAGTCTAAAGGCAGAGAAGTGATTAAAAGAAATATATTACTATGCTTTCTAGCACTAGAACAGTGGTTGTTACCATTGCCATGTCCTTATTTCTGCTTTTCATCTGACTTGAAGTCAACTGCATCTCCCATCAGTCTTCTACCATCCTACAACAGTTTGGTCTTCTCTCACTATTCCAACTCACACTGAACTCTCCTGCAACTTCAGCATTAGTTAGGCCTAATTGTTTACTATGTTGTTTTTATATCTGTAAATTTAAAAATATGCTCTATCAGAGCAGGTATTTATCCCTCACAGTGCCTATTCATGGTGCTAGACACAGAGAAACACCTGAAAACCTAACAGGTTATATATGGAAGTTCCATCAAAAGATGAAGTCAAGCACTTATAATTCTAACCGAGAAATAATTGCTTCTCTTATAAATACTGTAGTATGTGATATGTTTTAGTTTAAAACATAAAAATGTGCATTTATAAAAAGTTTAGAAGTACAGAAATAGTACAGAAGCTCCTTATCCATCCCTCCCCCAAGGTCACTCACTGAGATAACTACTTTTAAAATTTAGTGGTTATTTTCCCACTTATGAGAAACATTTAAAACTTTTCACAAGCTTTATTTTATATAAATATATCAACACATATATGTATACATCATGAAATGTGAGTAGCATTCCTTTGATTAATTCTTTGAAAAGAAATGCTACAAAGCCTCATGATTCTAAAAGTTTGTGTAGTCTAAATGTGAAACAGTGACATATCAGCAATTCTAATCTCCTGATCAAAAAGATAAAGCCAAAAGACCTGGGTCACAATCAACCTTCTATATCTCCTTTTTGCCCTCTAATCAATCCAATCCATATCCTGTTGATTTTACCTCTCAGTCTCAGGGCCTCATTTCCATCCCCACTACTACCACTATCCTAGTGACCTAGGTGATCCTCATAACCTCTCCTCTGAATAAATGCTACATCTTCTAATTAGTCTTTCCATCTGTAGTGTATCCTCTGTACTACTGCCAGAGTTCTTTTTCTTTTTTTGAAAAAAGCCTTATAGTATCACCTACCACTTAAAAACTTTGTTTCCTGCTGTCTATAGGATGAGGTCAACATTCATAGCACAGCACTTAAGCTCCACCATGCCTCTCATTTCATCTCTCCCAACATATACAGAGTCCCATGCTCTAGCTCCAGTTGATCCTTTCCAACATTGCCATGCTCTTTTACGTTTGCACATGAAGTTCCCTTTGTCTAGAATCTCTGATTCCTGAACAAATTTACCTGGCAAATTCCTTCTCATCTTTTGTGACCAAGCTCAAATGACAGCTCCTCAGTAAAGCTTTCCTCAATCCTTTTAGCAGAGATAGTAGATACACAAGTACTAGGCAACTTCTATTACAATGCTAATTACTTGAGTTTATAAATTATTTACTCACCTGGGTAAATTATATGCCCACCTTCTCCAGTAGACAATAAACGTCTCTAAGGCAGGAACTTTATCATTTAAACTTTGTATTCCTAGCACATAGTAAGTACTCAACAAATATTTCCCAAATAAAAAGTCTATTCTGAAGGTGCAAAAAATTTTCATAGGAGAGGTACATACAAAAATGTTTATGGATTAAGGCAAATGACCAATATTAGTTGCTGACTTTATCTGAGATATTTTAGATTTTTGTAAATTTAATATACAAGCATATATGCTAGGCCCCACTCAGTGCAGTATGACAAGAAAAAAAAAAAAGGCACGAAAATAAAAAAGCCAAAACTATCCCTATTTATAGATGACAAGACTGTCTATGTAGAAAAATCCCAAGGATTATTTTTTAAAATCTACTGAAATTAGTGAGTGAGTTGAGCAAGATCACTGGCGATTTTTTGTAGATAACACACACACACATACATTCATTTAAAAATACTAGCAATGAACAATTGACAATTAATTTTTAAGTTACAATATCCCAGAAAACATGAAATACTTAGGTATACATCTACAAAAAGATATCAAAAATCTGGGCTAGGCGTGGTGGCTTACACTTGTAATCCCAGCAGTTTGGGAGACTGAGGTGAGTAGACTGCTTGAGGCCAGGAGTTTACGAAAAGCCTGTGCAAACACAGCAGGGCCCTATTTCTACAAAAATTTTTTAAAAAATTAGCTGGGTGTGGTGGTACAAGCGTAGAGTCCTAGCTACTTGGGAGGCTGAGGTGGGATGAATGCTTCAACCCAGGAGATCCAGGCTGCAGTGAGGTATGATCACGCAGCTACACTCCAGCCTGGGTGACAGAGAAAAGTCCCTACCCCTATTAAAAATAAAAAAGATGTCCAAGATATGCATGCTAAAAACTATAAAACACTGATGAAACAAATAAAAGAATATATAAATAAATGAATTTCAGGGATTGAAAGACTTTATATTTTTAAGATGTCAATTTTCCTCCAATCGACCTGTATTAATGTAGGCCAAACAAAATCTCAGCAGGCTATTTTGTGGAAATAGACAAGATGATTCTAAAATTTATATGAAAAGATAAAGGAGCTAGAATAGTTTAAGCAATTCTGAGAAAGAACAATAAAGTTAGGACTCACATTACCTGATTTCAAGACTAGAAAATTGAACATCCATATGCGTAAAAGGGAACCTTGATCGCACACCTCCTATCATGTAAAAATTAACTCAAAATAGATCACAGATCTAAACGTATGAGCTAATACAAACTTTCAGAAGAAAACAGAAAAAAAGCTTTGTGACCTTGGGTTGGGCCAGTGGTTCTCACCCAGGGGATATATGGTAATATATGAAGACATTTTTGGTTGCTAGAACTAGGCATGGGGGTACTATTGGAATCAAGTGGGTAGAGGCCAGAGATTCTGCTAAACATCCCACAATGCACAAACAGCCCTTCAGAAGAATTATCTAACTCAAATATCAACAGTATTAGTGTAAAGAAGCCTTGGGCTAGGCAATGTTTTTTTAGATTCAACATCAAAAGTAAGATTCATAAAGAAAATTCGACATCAAAAAACTTAAAATCTTTTACTCTTGTAAAGACACTATCACAAAAATGTACAGCCAAACTTCAGACTTGGAAAAAATATTTGGAAAACATATATGCTTATTTGGCAAGTAAGTGCAGGAAAAGAGGATCAACATCAATAGTCATCAGGGAAATACAAATTAAAACCACAATAATTAAGATGAAAATGACTGATCAGTGCAAACAATGGCAAGGATGTGGAAGAACTAGAACTCTCATACGATGCTGATGCAAATTAAAATGGTATAATCACTTTGGAAAATAGCTTGGCAGTTTCTTAACAGTTAAACTATTCTATTTTATTCTGTTCTGTTCTGTTCTATTCTATTCTATTCTATTCTATTCTATTCTATTCTATTCTATTCTATTCTATTCTATTCTATTCTATTCTATTCTATTCTCTATTCTATTCTGTTCTATTCTAATGTAGTTACCCAAGTGAAATGAAAATTTATGTCCACATAAAAATTCATACACAAATGTTTATAGCAGCTTTATTTTTAATAACCCCGAAGTGGTGACAACCCAAATGTCTAAAATCAGGTGAATGAATAAACAAACTGTGGTCTATCCATACAACAGTAATAAAAACGAATGAACTCTTGATATGCAGGACAACATGGATTATCTTAAAAACAATGACACTCACTTAAATAAATCCCCAAGCCACCCCCTAAGAGTAAATACTGTGTGACTACATTTATATAAAATTATAGAATATACAAGCTATTTTACAGTGACAGAAAGCACTAAGATTCCCTCATATAGGAAAAATAACTCATTTCCAATGGTTGTATTATGCTGGACTGAACTGAATGAAGAAAATCACAGGACAGATGAATTGAATGGATGATGACAAGGTTTTGCAGTAGAAAACTCTAAATCAGGGGTGTCCAATCTTTTGGCTTCCCTGGGCCACACTGGAAGAAGAATTGTCTTGGGGCATATGTAAAATGTGAATTGTCTTGGGCCACATGTAAAATATACTAATATTGGCTAGGCGTGGTGGCTTATGCCTGTAATCCCAGCACTTTGGGAGGCCGAGGCAGGTGGATCACCTGAGTTCAAGAGTTTGAGACCAGCCTGACCAGCATGGTGAAACTCGTCTCTACTGAAAATACAAAAATTAGCTGGGCATGGTGGCGCGCTCCTGTAATCCCAGTTACTTGGGAGGCTGAGGCAGGAGAACTGCTTGAACCCAGGAGGCGGAGGTTGCAGTGAGCCAAGGTTGCACCATTGCACTCAGACCTGGGGAACAGAGTGAGACTCTGTCTCAAAACAAACAAACAAACAAACAAACAAAAATATATATGTAGATATATATAGATACTTACATATACACACTCATTAACAATAGCTGATGAGCTTAAAAAAATCACAAAAAAAATCTAACAACATTTTAAGAAAGTTTACGAATTTGTGTTGGGCTGCATTCAAAGCTGTCCTGGGCCGCAGGCTGGACAAGCTTGCTCTAAATGGTGGCAAGAAAAGGTGACTATTAGCTATTAGACTATTTGGGTGTTATTCTGTGTCCATGTGTTTCCAGACTCCACCTAATGCCCCACAAATAATGTCTAAGGATCATGATTTCCCCCAACAACATTACAGGGATAAGACTTTGCCCTGTTTTCATTAAACAAGTCTAATGTGTCATTTTAGTGACTCAAGTCTAACCCCATCTTTTATTGCACAGAATGTCAAATTCACTAAGCAGAGGAAATATCTTCTGTAATTTACTGAAGAAAACATCAAATTCATTATAAATAAGACCTATGGGTTGGATAGTCTCAGAACATCTCTATTTCTTAAGTCACTTGGAAAATGTATGTATATCTGCACAAATAGAATCGTCTGAAAAAAACTGTGTACTGATCTTTAACTATCTTCCCTGACATGGTTTGCATATTGTCCCCTTCAAATCTCATGTTGAAATGTAATCCCCAAAATTGAAGGTGGGGCCTGGTAGGAGGTATTTCGGTCATGGAGGTGGATCTTTCACAAATAGCTTGGTTCTGTCCTTGCAACAGTAGGTTCTTACGAGATCCGGTTGTTTAAAAGCATATGGCACCTCCCTCCTTGCTCTCTTGTTCCTGCTCTCACCATATGATGTGCCTGCTCCCACTTTGCCTACCACTATAAGTAAAAGCTCCCTGAGGCCTCATCAGAAGCAGATGCCAGCACCATGCTTCATGTAAAGCCTGCAGAACTGTGAGCCAATTAAACCTCTTTTCTTTATAAATTATCCAGCCTCTGGCCTTTCTTTATAGCAATGCAAAAACAGTCTAATACATTCCCTTTTCCAAAGTTTTGACATATCAGACTGCTCTCTTTTTCACTTATACATTTTTTGTAGTACATGTCTCAAAAGGAGCAAGAAAAATAATTTCTTGTAGTACAAAGGTTGCTGAGCCACCCGACCCTAACAATGGCCTATGCAATTTTAATTTGATGACAAAGAGGAATAGAGAGCTTGACATCTCTGAACTGATACCTTGGAATTGACATGGAAAAGACTTACCATGAAATATCTTTTCATTTCCACTAAGACTGTGAAAGATAGCTTCACTATTAAAATAGTTATAAAGCAAATGGTTAATATATCAAAACACAACTCCTGTAAAACTATTTATCTTAAAAATATAAAATTTTAATTATTTTCTCCTAAAAAACTCACCAGTTAAAATCACTTTAAAAATGTCATTTACAAGTTCGTGTTTAAGGTTAAGCTGATTTCTAATTACAGACAATTGAAACCCATGATTTCTACTTGACCCCAAGTAGAAATATTGTGAGTAAACATATCAGAAATCTTTATTTGAATTTTTAAAAAATAACCTTGTTACTTTAGAATAGCTGCAGATTTACAAAAAAGTTGCAAATAAAGTACAGAAAACCTTTTGGTTTTGCAAATCAACTTCCCTGATTATGAGGGGGCTGCTATTAGCCCACCACTATTTTCTCTGGGTCCTAGACCCAATTTTACCAAGTAAGAAGATGTGGTCAAATCTATGCTCCCGGCTTAAGTAACAGATTCCTCAATCCAACCTGATTTCATCAGGTCTTCTCTTCTCCACTACCAGCTATCCAATTCTAAGACATCACTGCCAACAATTCTGATTTCCCTTCTTGTGAAAATAAAATAAAAAGGTAATTTCAAGGCTTGAAAAAAGACAATTATTTCTTTCCTTTTCACAACCAAAGTTAAAGACATATAAAATGACACCCTAGAACCTAGGGTATAAAATTTTCATTTAAAGAACAGTTTCAAAGCACATTACCTCAAAATTTCCTAGGAGACTAAGACTTGTTATAGGTGGAGCACTAGAACTCAAAAATGGTTTTTCATGAATATCTGGATCATCTTCAATGTTTAAACATGGTCGAGGACTATTAGAAAAACAAATCAGCAAAAGAACACATTAGCCACAATACTTTTTTTTTTAATCTTGAGACAGGGTCTCACTCTGTCACCCAGGCGGGAGTACAGTGGCACCATCATAGCTCATACAGCTCAAACTCCTGGCTTCAGGCAATCCTCCTGCCTCAGCCTCCCAAAGTGCTGGAGACTACAGGTGTGAGTCACCAAGCCAAGGCACAATATTATTTACTTTTGTACAAAATTAAGAAAATCTGAACTCTACTCAAACTACCATAATAAATTAATGTTATCAAATTTTAAAATATAAAATTTCAAGTTTTAAATTCCCAGATTTTATCTTTCTTTATATTTTATATTTTATAAACACACATACACACATCCTAAAAGGTTTCGAGGTGGAATTTAGAACATATCACATAGTGGCATCTACTGGAAATAAATAATAATGCAGACTTCTATATCAATCTTATTTTCAGTTAAGAATGAGAATACAAGGGCAAAATTGTGTGACTAAAGATTATAATCAGAGTATTATTTGCCAACACGGAAAAAAATGGCCAAGGTTGTTTTTTTTTTTTCCGTCAAAGAGTAAAAGGTAGTAGAGGTTAATAACTAGAAATATATAAAACCACTTAAAACCAATGTAAGAGTTTATTATGATGACCACTATATAGTTGCTACTCATTGCCTTAATTTCTTCCACACTCATCCTTAATAACTGCGTGTGTACATGGTATCATACTCTAAATAAGATTCCTGTTACAATTCTGATGTTTAGAATCAACATTATTTATTGTTAAAGACCAGAATTTTGTGAAATTCTGTTTGAAACACACAAATGAATTTTGAGATAAATACCTTCTAGATGAGAAGCTTTTCAGATGTAGTAATGAAGAATCCAGATCAAAGCAACCTGATTGTGTTTTTCTTTGAGGAACCTAAGGTCAAAACGATCATTTGTGATATTAAAAAAAAAACTGTTAATTTTTTTCTTGAATTGATAAAACACTTTTTAAATGAAATTTAAGCATATCTTTGAAATATTACAACTTCTCCTATAATAGCTTATTTAAAATCATGCTGTTCATTACATATTGTTCTTATGTTATTTTATTAGTGTTGAAAAAACAGATGACAAATAAAAGCACTTTTACTAGGTTTTGATTTTTTAAGAAGCAGAAACATTTTTTTCCAAAACCAAACCCTGCATGGAATTCCAATATATAATATAAGGAACATTTTGCTTTTTTGTATACTTCTCTATTTTTTTGGGAGGTGGGAAACACTTCCAACTTAAAAAGGAAAAAAAAAAAAAAAAGAAAACCGAATAGAGATAGGAGCCTGAGGCCCCACCAGCACTGCCCACGCTTTGCCCATTCCACCTACTGCAACATTTCCAAGCATCCTAATGCTTTACAGAGAATAGATTTGAAAAGTACTATGCTCCTAGGTTTTCAACCATCACTGTATACCAGATTACATTTAAAGCAAAACACCACCTAGCTCAAAATATCCTAAAATCAAAGACCTAAATGTTAATTAAAGGTAAAATCATATACAAGTTAGACAGTTTTGTTTCTAGAATATTAAATATGTGTACCTGACTCTCTGGTCTAATTAGTGACTGAAGAAACAGATGACACTGAAAATTTAAACCACCTCGACATTTTGGAGAGTTGTACAAGTGTACCATGTTATTTACTGTAGTAAGAACTTATTGTGAAATTTTCAATCTAAACCCTCATGTCTTCAATTCTGGAAAGTTCTCTGCCTTCATTTCTAATATTGCATTTTCTTATTCTATTTAGTCCTTCTTTTTAAACTTCTACCAGACTTACATTGAACATCTCATTCTCTTTATGGCTTTTTCGTATTTTACTATTTCTCTTCCCTTTTGTGCTTCATTCTAGGTGCTTCCTAAATATTTGTCTACTCACTCACAAAATCTCTATTGAGCCGATCCTAGTTTGCTGTTTAATTCATCTGTATGTGTATGCATGTGTGTGTATACACTTCATGCATTTTTCATATCTAGAATTTCTATTTAGTTCAAATCCACATTCTTTCATCTAAATTCCCTATCTTTGCCTTCATCTATCTCCCAGAATACTTTAAACAGTTATTTTTAACTCTCAAATTGCTCTGATAACAGAGTTCCTATATGTGCATCCTCCCATTTCTTGCTCCTGCTGATTCTTTTAAGGTGCTTTGTAATTTTTTTTCCTCTAAGGTCATCTTCAGTAAGACGTATTTGCTATAAAAATAAATCCTCACTGCCCTGGGTTATAGATGTGGGATAGTTTCATGTTTCCCCTACTAATACTAGATGGATTTCATGGGTT
This sequence comes from Homo sapiens, assembly GCF_000001405.40. Lineage (NCBI taxonomy): Eukaryota > Metazoa > Chordata > Mammalia > Primates > Hominidae > Homo > Homo sapiens. The sequence continues at coordinate 52,602,570 of NC_000015.10, forward strand.
CCAATTTAGTTTTTATGGCTATTTCTTAGCTAGACATCTCTGAATCTCATAGGTAGTATAAATTCAGAACCCCTACCATGTGTGGCTTAGATTTAGGTACAATTTCTTTCAGGTGCTTCTTTTTCTCCCATGTACTACTCCACCCGAGTAAATAGATGGATACATTTTCCCCCTCTCTCATTTATAGAAGGCCAGTCTTCCCTGTGCCTGGCTTTATGAAGAATCTGGTCTCAGATAAGATTGTTACAGACTTGCAGCCTTGATTCCTGTTCTCAGCAGGGGAACTGAACCCTAGTGCTATTTTAGGTTCAAATATCCTAGCGGACCAAAATTTGCCCCAGGTTACACCTTGGGAATTTTTCTTTCTTGCTCTTACATAACATTATGCATTTGGAAGTTATACTTCTTCCAGAATCTCTGTGTGGGGGAAGGGGCAAATGTCTTCCTGTATTGACTTAGTCTACCATATTGACCAGAAGTCTGTGGTGCTTTTTACACCAGCAAGACGCTGAAAATTTCTTCCCTGATCACTTGGGCATTTTAAATCACCTCTTAGGTAGGTCAAACATTTGGAGTTTTTATTTTAAAATGGACAAAAAAAATCTGAACAGACGTTTCTCAAAAGACAATATGCAAATGGCCAACAGATATATGAAAAAATGCTCAACACCACTAATCAGAGAAATGCAAATTAAAACCATAATGAGATGTTGTCTCACTCCAGTTACAATGACTTCTATCCAAAAGACAGGCAATAACGGATGCTGGCAACGATGGAACAAAAGGGAAACCCTCATACACTGTTAGTGGGAATGTAAATTAGTACAGCTACTGTGGAGAAGACTATGGAAGTTCCTCAAAAAACTAAAAATAGAACTACTATATGACCCAGCAATCCCACTGCTGGGCATATATCTTAAGGAAAAAAAAGGGAAATTAGTATATTAAAGAGATAGCTGCACTCCAATGTTTAGTGCAGCACCATTTGCAACAGCCAAGATATGGAAGCAACCTAAGTGTCCATCAATAGATGAATGAAGAAAATGTAGTATATACACAATGGAATATTATTCAGCCATAAGAGGAATGAAATCCTGTCATTTGCAACAATATGAATGAAACTGAAGGACATTATGCTAAGTGAAATAGGCCAGGCAAGAAAGACAAATATTCCATGTTCTCACTCATATGGGGGAGCTTAACAAACACATTTGAACTAATGAAGATAAAGGGTATAAGGATGGTTGCCAGAGGCTTGGAAGAGTTGTGAGGAGGGAGGGATAAAGTGGGAATGGTTAATGGGTTCAAAAACACTGTTGGACACAATGAATAAGATCTAGTATTTGGTAGCAAAACAGGGTGACTAAAGTTAACAATAATTTATCGTATATTTAAAAGTAAGAGTGAAATAGGAAGGTTCCTAACACAAAGAAATGATAAAGCCTTGAAGTGATAGATAATCCATTTACTCCGATTTGATTATTACACATTGTATGCCTGTATCAAAACATCACACGTACCCTGTAAATATATACAACTATTATGTACCCATAAGAATTTGAAAAAACATGGCCGGGCGCCGTGGCCCACGCCTGTAATCCCAGCACTTTGGGAGGCGGAGGCGGGCGGATCACGAGGTCAAGAGATCGAGAACATCCTGGCTAACACGGTGAAACCCCGTCTCTACTAAAAATACAAAAAACAACAAAATCCATTTGGAATTTTTTAAAGTTGTTTGGACTTCAACTTTTCTAAAATAGAAGACTGAGCTCCAAGTTATACATTTAAATTCTACATCTATTGTTCAATAATTATTTTTTGAACATACGCGAGATACTGTATTCTTTTAGTTACTAAAAAACACATACAACTAAAAATACGTTTGTGGCAAATTACACGGATTTTTAGTTCTGCTATACAATTTACTGCTTGCCTCAAGTTTAACTGAAATGGTAGCCATACCAACTAACTACTGACTGCTTACATGCAAGAGGGATGATACTAACCATCCTCACAACACTAAGGTAGACATTATCATCCTGATTTACATATGAGGAAACTGAGACTCCAAGAGATTGTGTTGCATAACTAGGGGGAATTCAGTGTGACTCCAAAGTGATGCTTTTAACCACTGCACTCAGATCTCTAAATCTATTAGTAATTGAGGAGTGGAGAGATTTATATGTCTCAAGATGATTAAGTGAAGGGATTCCAAATCAAAAACAGCAATAGTTTTAACTTGCAGATGACCCAGTTAGTGGTATCAGTAAGACACAAATCCACTTGATGGTTTTTGTTTTTTTCACATCTAGTAACAGTTACAATTTGAGGCAAAAGAATTTCAGATAAATTTTATAACTAATAAATTTCATTTTTATTCACATTTTTGTCTTTTCCTGTATTATCACATAGCTGTAAAATGTGTTATCAAAAAATAAAATGTTTCCTTACTGGAAATTTAAAGATATTTAAATTTTTTTCAATTAAAATTTGAATGAAATTATTTGTAAACCTTTCAGATGTATGTAAGTTCTAAGCATGAGATAAGAAAAAAAATGCTTACAGGGCTTGAAAGAAGAGGCAATCCAGTTTGAGGATGAAAGGCTCTGGTTGAAGTTCCATCCAAGGAATGAAAATTATGTTTTCGCCACACATTTGAATGTTTCAGTGTAGTCCTCTGTTAGGAAAATAATTAGATGTTAATTGTAATATTTAAATACCATTTAAAGAACTTGGACAGTGTTTTTGTTTTTAGACTCATTCCTAATACATTCTGAGGTATTGCTGGTGAAGCTGGTGATATACAGGTGGGATATCCCTTATCCAAAATACTTGGGGACTAGAAGTGTTTAGAAGTTTGGATTTTTTTTCTGATTTTGGAGTATTTGCATCATATATACTTTACTGGTTAATCACCCCAAATGCAAAAATCCCAAATCTGAAACATTCCGATGAAAATTTCCTTTGAGCACCTTGTCAGCAATCAAAAAGTTTGGGATTTTCGAACATTTCAAATTTGGGATGCTCAAACTGTGTATCTACATCTTATGTTTACACACAATATATATATACCAATTGGAAAACAATGTCTAAAATGGTTACTGTAATATGCTGAATAAATTAAGTTCTAAAGAAAACATGTCCAAATGTAAATGCTTTATATGGTCATATTTGTTCAGAATTTATCATCTAGCAAACTAATACCTGATTATTTCAATTTGTGAAAAAACTACTATGGTAGTCCCCTCTTATTCTCAGGGGATATATTCCATGAACCCCAGTGGATGCCTGAAACCACGTGTAGTACAAAACAATATATATATTTTTTCCTATACATACCTATCCTAAAGTTTAATTTATAAATTAGGTACAATAAGAGATTAATGATAATAATAAAATACAATTATAATAATATGCCATAATAAAAGTTATGTGAATGTAGTCTTTCTCTCTTTCAAAGTATCTTATTGTACTGTACTCACCTATTTTGTGACCTGGTTGACCATGAGTAACTGAAACCATGGAAAGGAAACCGTGGATAAGGGGCGACTACTGTACTCACAGGAAAAATTCATATAATATTGTAAAATATAAAACTATGTCAATATTAAGAACCATTTTCAGATGATATAATTTGGTGGAACATGATACAGAAATATAAGAAACACTGTAAATTAAAAATTATATATAATGCAGTCACAGCACTATGTTTTTGACGTGATACAAGAAACAGGCTAATTCTTAAGGACTGGAGAAGTTTATACCCAAAGATCAGAAATTCATAAAAATTACATGAATAAAAATTATAAAAGACTATTCTGGGTCTTGGCTCTACCATTTATTAGCTTTGTGACCCTGGCAAGTTTTATAGTTTCCCTAGCTCAAGGTCCTCATTTGTAAACTGGAGTTAGTAAAAGCACCTACCTTCATATCAAAGTGAGAGGGATTAAGTAAGCCAACATGTGTAAAATATTCAGAAGGGGCACACAGTAAATTGTTTATTACATTTAAAACAGGTACATGAAAAAAATGAACCTTAGTGGGCTTGAAAAATATCACGGCCAGATTTAAGCCTCCCTATTAGATAACAGAAAAGATCATAAGAACCGAACATTCTTAAGGCCAGTGTAGGTTTTTGTGACAATTATACTTTTAGAAAATTGGAAACTACCATTTGATTAAACCCCATGTTAGAGCGAGATCTTCTGAAGAAAAATATAAACTGGAAACATGGCAAAATTTTAAAACTCTGTCCAGGAAAGCTAATTTGAGTGATAAAGAAGACAAACTTAGGTCATTTAGACTTGGATCAAGGTACTTCAGAAGAAATTTTCCATATAATTGAGATACTGCTTGGAAAAGTAAAGGAAAGTGAAGCCTAATGATTTTTAGAAATTAAAAGGTGGTTTGGTAGGAAATCAAATGAAATGAAAATAACTTAAAATATCTTTTATGTATATAGTACATTAAGGTCTACAAAATATTTATAAATTGTTTGATTATCACCACTCTAAGATAGGCAAAAGAGATTAATCATGAGTCTTGTAAAATTGAGGAAACAGGTTTTTATAAGTAATACGACTTATTTACGGTCACTTAAGGCCTAAACTATGAAGCCAGGACTAGAACTCAGGTGTTTTGACCAGTAACTTGGTGGTTTCCCTATAGACACTTTGAAAGTCATTAACTGACCAATGGCATAGCACAATGGGCACACCGCTAATATTGGGTCTGACCTGCTAACAAATAATACATTAAGCTAATACAAATTTGATTTCTGACTGTTTTTGCTCTAAGAATTGTTTATAAGTACTGAAATAAACAAAAAAGGGCAACAGGAGGAATTAATTCATTTTCTAAACAAGAGGAATGAACCAAGGACTTGTACAGTCCACAAATTTGTCCTTGATTATTGTGAGGTAGTAGAAAGGAGCCTGGATTAGGAGTCAAGAGACTGGGGTGGGGGCGCCAGTTGAATCACTAAGGACTTTGTACAGCTACTGGTATGTCATTCTCTTTGAGTCCTAGTTTCCTCATAACTGTCCTACCTGTCCCATATGGTGAAGTATCAAAAAGAACCAAGTACCCTATTAGGTTGGTGCAAAAGTAACTGAGGTTTGCCATTACTTTCAATGGCAAAAACTTCAACTACTTTTGCAGAAACCTAATATGTAATATAACTGAACGTTATATACAAGCAATATACAAAATCCAAGTAGTATTTTATAAATATTATATAGTATTCATTCTCTTGAAATTACAAATCAAATATTAAAAAGCTGAGTGCTTCTGTTTTGGTTGGTTGGTTTTTTTCTGTTTCTGTTTTTTTGAAACAGGGTCTCACTCTGTTGCCCACACTGGAATGCAGTGGCACAATCATAGTTCACTGCAACCTTCAACTCCTGGGCTCAAGTGATTCCCCCACCTCAGCCTCCCAAACAGTTGGGCCTACAGGCATGTACCACCATGCCTGGCCAATTTTTATTTATTTATTTTTTTTTGTAGAGACAGAGTCTCACTATGTTGCCCAGGCTAGTCTCCAACTCCTGAGCTCAAGTGATCCTTCTGCCTTGGCCTCCCAAAGTGTTGCAATTATAGGCTGTGAGCCATTGTGCCTGGCCTGGGTGCTTCTGACTAGAAGAAAAAGAGGCCTTTAAGATGGGGGAGCAGGGGGAGAACAGAGCTAAAAGACCTAAATAATAGACCTAACATGTCATGAAAACAATTACTGTCCTATTAACAGTTTTTTAAAAAGGTACCACTTCCTATTTTTTAAACAGCATGATCTTTATTTCCTCCATTTACTTAGCATTTGTTCTTAGGAGAGTGGGTTATTTGCAAGGATGTTAATACTAGTTCTGTAGGTTTATTATTCTATCAGACTGTGTGTCCTATAGATAATGGAACCTTGGGCCTTTATAACCAGATCTCCTGTGAACAAAATTTAAACCATAACAAATATTTGAGACTTACATTTGACATATTAGATGTTACTTACCAATACCTCTGTATTTTTTGGTTGCTCACATGTAGACAAACAGTCTTTTATACTTCTTCTCTGAGAATAGTTTTGGGATTTTTCATTAGTTGGATCTTCTTGCTTATCTTGTTCATTTTTTAATTGGTCTGACTTTTTACATTTGAAACCTTCATTATCTTTATTGAGATAATTCTCTATGCTATTAAGTTGAGTATTTTGCTCACATGTCTTAGGCCTTTTTGAGTCTTTATTTGAGGACATGCTTTCATATTTGTTCAAATATTCAGACATTTCCAACACAGTAACTTTTATTTTTGAGTCATTTTTTTTGGAATCATCAGACTGAAGATTGCCAAAGAATTTTGGATTATAGTTCTCATTTATTATTTTTTCCTTATACTTATTTGTACAAATCTGTTTGTCAATAGTGGTGCAATTTGAATACTGTTTATCAATTCCATTGCTCATTTCTTGCTCCTTGAATCTGCTTGTCAAATCTAAGTTATTTTCTTTGTGCTGAGACAAAATTGAGGAAGTTGATAAACTAGAACTTTTGTTCTGTGTCTCCTGATACGTACTTTGGATGATTTCACTAGGATTGTTCTGACACTGATTTCTTGTTTGATGTTTCAAAGAACACTTTTCTTTACTATTATTTTTAAAAGAAGTAAAACATTTATTAGGTACTAAGTTTTTCCCATCACTGATGTCTCCTAACAAGGAACATTTTGTGTGAGAAATGGAAACTGAGGACTCATCCTTATTTTTCTTCAACAAATTTTTGTCTTCATATGAACTCCTAAACACTTTAGATGCAACCGAACTGGAGTCATGCATGTTGAATGACTGCCGGGGGATATGTGATGCTGTTGGATCAATGTGCTCCAAGTGTTGAGCAATCCTTGCAATAACATCTTGCCGCTCCTGGAGTAAAGAGCCTATCAAAGGATTAGTCTCTCCAACAGGCATATGAGAATAAAAGTCATTAGAAATACAAGTTTCACTTCGAGGAGTTTCTGGTTTTAGTCGAATTTTCCCCTCATTGGTGTCTTCTGGGGAACTAAACTCTGGACTACCAAAAGTCATGGAGAAAGCTTCTTTACCTTTTCCCACGTTCTCATTTTCTTGTGAAACCCGGAAAAGTTTTGAATGGAGTGAACTAGACTCTTGAGTATTAAATGGACGTCCAGAAACATGTGAAGTGCTTGGATCACAATGAATCAAATGTTGGGCAATTCTTGCAATGATTTCTTGCCGCTCCTGAATTAAAGAGCCTATTAAAGGGTTAGTCTCACCAGCTGACTGCCAGAAACTCTGGCGGTTAGAGATACTGGAATCAACCATTGAAAATGATTTTAAAGTTCTCACTGATGTTTCTTGTGATTTTATATCACCTATACCACTAAAGCCTAGAATATTGGCTTGAGATGTCCCATGGTCAGATTTACTGCCAGTGCCTGGATATAGTTTGATATTTTTGACAGCTGCAGTATATTCTGGACTTGGGCCACTTTTTGCATGTAACACACTTTCAGGTGCCATGGTCCAAGTTTGTTTGCTACACAGACGCTGTGAACTGTTTGTACCACATTGTTCTGCTTCATTTGGGTTATGGTGCTGATGAGTTTTAAGTTTATGTTGTTGAATTCTTTTCTCATAAAGGCCAATATTAGTGTGAATACTGCACGTCAAAACTGGATAATTAGATTGTCTGGGCAAGGACTGAACACTGACTTTCAAGGCAACATTGTGAGAAACATTGGGAACAGGAAACACATGCTCAATTGGAGTCTGTGAAAAATTCCACTGTAGGTCTACATCAGCAGCACTGATTCTAGAATCACACAGAAAAATACTGTATTATTGGATTATAAAGGTTAGATCCTTATTATTGTATATTATTTTAAATGTAAAGCAGTCATACACTTATTTTTGTTTGCGTTAATTACCACTGAGGTTTACTTTTAGCCACTTTACCATGCATATAATTCTGATAAAACCAATGTAAGTGATATAATAGCTTATGCTTGGAAGAGATGATCTTTTTAAGAACACCAGATCACTTAAGCATTAAAGCTCAAGAATATTATAACTTAAAAATATTTGTTAAAACAGAAAAAAGGACTTTGTAATTGCTAGCACATAAATGGATTCAGCTAATTCCATTGTGCAAGGTGATTAAGAGACACCCTATCTCATGGCCATCTGCCTAAAAAGCCAGTTAGCTGTTTAGCAGCCTATATGTTTACATTATCCAAGATGCCAAAAATTAAGTCAAACATAAAAATTCAGCAGCTCAGAAAACTTTTCTACTTTATAATAGCAGCATTAAGTCCATTGGTTCTCTAAAGTAAGCTTAAAAGTTCTCTTGATATTATTCATACCAAATTTAATACAACAAACAAAATTCATATTGAGTCAATCCAAATCTCTCTAACTTGTTTTGAAAAACCTCAGTAAATTTTATCCACTTACATTTAGAATTGCAGGAAATAATCTATTTAAAAGGTAAAATGCCATTCGGTTGCTAACCAAGGTGGCTGAATACGCACTGTCCTTTTTTTTTGGCCCTAGACATACCTGTAGAGAATATTTCGTGGAATAGCACCATGAGAAACACTCAGCCATGCACTTAACTGAGAAAAAAACACAAATGAGCGGACAGCCAACAGAAGCGTCTTCTCTTCAATAAATCGGTCACCATTCCTAAGGAAGTAACAAAGCATAATTTAAATGTAGGCAAGTACAAAATGACTGAATTTTAGAATGGCAGAAGCTGAGATCCATAAACTTATCACTCAGGATTTGTGCTTTGAAGAGCATAGGAATACACTTACGATGTCACTTGAAGTCACAATTACTAAATGCAAGTACTATATTTACTCATTTTAGTGCCAAATATAAATACTATCTCAATTTTATTACATAGAGGAATTCAAAGACATGATACATTAAAATAATTTATAAGAAGTAATGGAAAACTTGATTTACCAAGAACAACTTTGAACTACGTTCAACAACTTACTGTCGAGGAACTGGCTCCAAGATCCATCTTTCTAATAATAATGCATCTTGCTTAATCGCAGGATCATTTAGATCAATTCCCTCTGTGGTGGGCCCATCATCGCTGTAGCAGCAGTCTGGTAGTAGCATCATTTCCACCATGATTGGAAGGTTATTCTTCCACAACAATGTGACCTCAGACCTAGTTCGTCTGGCTTGGCGGCACTTAGAGAAAATGAATATAAGCAAAATGTCTCAAAAACCCACCTAATTTTGTGTTTAAAATAGAAAATTATCATTGTAAAGTAGACATCTGTGTGAGAAATGAGTCAGCTATTGCAGAGCTTTGCTCAGAATTGGCTATCTAGGTTTCCTCATTTAATAACGGATCTATGCTTAGTGAGCTCTAGAGTGCAAGGATTAGTAATGAACATTTATTTTATTTTTTTTGCGACTGAGACTTGCTCTGTCGCCCAGGCTGGAGGGCAGTGGTGCAGTCTCGGCTCACTGCAACCTCTGCCTCCTAGGTTCAAGCGATTCTCCTGCCTCAGCCTCTCAAGTAGCTGGGATTACAGGTGCCCGCCAGCACGCCAGACTAATTTTTATACTTTTAGTAGAGACAGGGCTTCTCCATGTTGGCCAGGCTGATCTCAAACTCCTAACCTCAGGTGATCTGCCCACCTTGGCCTCACAAAGTGCTGGGATTACAGGAATGAGCCACAGTGCCCCTGCTGTATTGAACATTTATAATGCAAATTTTCTTGAGGAGTGTATCTTTGCTCTACCTTGTGGAAAAAGAACTGCTACATCCAATGTCTGACAGGCCTCTGAGTTGGCCCAGCCTTGCCTACTTTATTAATTTCATCATTTCACAGGAAAGATTACTTCTTAAATCCGAACACCAAAATATTAAAAACTCATTTTCATTAAACGCTCAAAATAAACAAGATCTTTTTTTTTTTTTTTTTTGAGATGGAGTCTCACTCTTGTCTCCCAGGCTGGAGTGTAATGGCACCATCTTGGCTCACTGCAACCTCTGCCTCCTGGGTTCAAGCGAATCTCCTGCCTCAGCCTCCCGAGTAGCTGAGATTACAGGCACCCACCACCACACCCAGCGAAGTTTTGTATTTTTAGTAGAGATGAGGTTTCACTGTGTTGGCCAGGCTGGTCTTGAACTCCTGACCTCGTGATGCACCCTCCTCAGCTTCCCAAAATGCTGGGATTACAGGCGTGAACCACTGCGCCCAGCCTCAAAATAGACACGATTTTTAGAGTTTACAATTTTGGATCACATTTGAGAAACTAATAAGTGGGAGAAAAATTCTTAAAGCAAATTATATGCTACTACACCAAAATATTTTGAACAATGTTACACAAAAACATTAACAAAAAATATCTTCCCATTTAAAAAAAAAAAGGAATACAAAAGGGAAATTGGTTAATGCAGGGAAAATAATCATAACAACATCAATTTACCAAATGAATAACAACACAAAGTGGATGAGCCAGGGCTGAGATTCTCAAAATAAAGCAGACGGGGCGTCCTGGCTCATGCCTGTAATCCCAGCACTTTGGGAGGCTGAGGAGGGCGGATCATGAGGTCAGGAGTTCAAGACCAGTCTGGCCAATATGACAAAACACCGCCTCTACTAAAAATACAAAAATTAGCCTGGTGTGGTGGCACGCACCTGTAGTCCTAGCTACTCAGGAGGCTGAGACAGAAGAATTGCTTGAACCCGGGAGGTGGAGGTTGCAGTGAGCCAAGATCGCGCCACTGCACTCCAGCCTGGGCAACAGAGCGAGACTCCGTCTCAAATATATAAATAAATAAAGTAAAATCCAACAGCAGAGATAGTCTTAAATCTAGCTTATGAGACAGCAGGTATGAAATTGGGTGCCCACTTCCCCACTGATCAGCAGAGTTACCTGCAATGCCTTCAAGAGCCTCATTTGAGAGCCAAGGTTATTAGCTATGGTCCAGGATTTGGATTTTTTCCCTTTATGATTATGATCAATTTTACATTGAAATATGACAATTATAACTGTAATAAAATAAAGGTGATGATGAACATAAACTAGTTTATATAAAAGATACAAAGCATTCAACACAAGATTCTCACCTGGGCCAGCTTGTCACTACATTCATGTTTGGTAGTTACTGGGTAACAAGACTGTGCTGGAGGGCAATGAAAGCTTTCTGTTCGACCTTTTACAGAACATTCAGGTGTTCGTCCTTCTGTTATCAGCAAGGCCAAAGAGACCAAGAACTCCTCTGCATCATATTCAAAATATTCATCCAGAGTATCTGATATAAAAAAGGGGCAAAGGGTCCTCAATTTAATGTACTCTTAGTAAGAACTCATCTGGTCTGCCTAAAATAACTAATGTCACATTACACATTATTCATTTAACATAGAGTGAAAATAATAAAAATGAGAATCAAAATATACTAAACTTTTGATTCACAAACTACAGAAGTGAGGAGATGATGGATAATTCCAAATTCTAGTTGAACTGGTATATTAATTATAATTGTAATATAATTAATAATAATAATTACTATTATTTTTGAAACAGAGTTTCATTCTTTTTGTCCAGGCTGGAGTGCAATGGCGCAATCTCGGCTCACTGCAACCTCCGCCTCCTGGGTTCAAGCGATTCTCCTGCCTCAGCCTCCCAAGTAGCTGGGATTACAGGCATGTGCCACCACGCATGGCTATTTTTTGTATTTTTAGTAGAGAAGGGGTTTTGCCATGTTGGTCAGGCTGGTCTCGAACTCCTGACCTCCGGTGATCCACCCGCCTCGGCCTCCCAATGTGCTGGGATTACAGGCATGAGCCACTGAGCCTGGCCTATAATTACATTTTTGGGTCAGGTGTGGTAGCTTACTTTTCTAATTAAAAAGTGACACATTTTCTGAGAAATTTATAAAATTCAGAGAGTAAGACAAAAACAACTCATTATTCAGAGATATCTATTGTTAACTTTATAGCCTATAATAATTATATTTTCGGGCCGGGCGTGGTGGCTCATGCCTGTAATCCCAGCACTTTGGGAGGCCGAGGTGGGCAGATCACCTGAGGTCGGGAATTTGAGACAAGCCTTACCAACATGGTGAAACCCAGTCTCTACTAAAAATACAAAAATCAGCTGGGTGTGGTGGCGCATGTCTGTAATCTCAGCTACTCAGGAGGCTGAGGCAGGAGAATCTCTTGAACACGGGAGATGGAGGTTGCGGTGAGCCAAGATCACCCCATTGCACTCCAGCCTGGGCGACAGAGCAAGACTTTGTCTCAAAAAAAAAAAATTAATATTTTTGGATGTCAGGTACAATAGTTTTTGCACACAAATCATCACTAATAGCTAAAAGGTTAAAATGTCTTATGTCATATTTTTAGCTAAGATGTTCTATTGCTATTATTTACATATTAGAAAAAGATACAGATCCAACTGCATGTTTCTCTTTCTCTCCCCCTCCCTTTACTAGTTCCTTAGTCTCACAGCACTAATTCCGTGACATGAAAATTCATAGTCATGGGGTCCTCTGTGCTTTTACTATATAGTAATAACAATTTCTAAGGAAGAAATGCTATTATCCAGCAGCGGCACAAAGCCTGATTTGCAATATGTGGAGTGTGGTATTCTGGTTATTACAGTTTCAAACAATCTAATCTGTGGATTTTTTTCACGTAGTTATGGTAATTTAAATATTTCTCATGAGTGCTCTTAGTTTTTTAACAGCTAATTTTAAAAACTGTTAACTTGCTATACAAGTTGAACATTCATACACAAAAGTGCACACACTATTCAATTTGTTGTACAATTTGTTGTACAAAAAGTTGCTCTTATCTCGGCCAATCAAGCAACAAATATTTCAAGTGCCTATTATACCTCAGGTAATAGGAGGACACAGAGTCGTATGCACATAGTTCCTAGTTTTGAAACCTTTACAATTCAAAGAATTTTAAAAACAAACAGAACCATGCAGCATGGAATGGGAAGAGAGAAGGTGCAATTTGAGCAGAGATCTCATGTAGAGAAAAGTATGCAAAAAGAAAGACTGGAGCCAGCTTATGAATAGCTTTGAAGGGTATGATGAAGAATGCTCTTTTCCAGCTTCAGGAAGGCTTATCAGGAAAGGAAGAAGCCTTGGGAGTAAACTTTATTAAACTGGTATTTTAAGACCATTCAGAAAAGTTTCTCTAAAGTGACCATTTGGAACATATAAAATGACAGCTGACATTTGGTAACTTATCACTGTCAGTTCTAAGTACCTTCTACACGTCAACTGATTTAATCCTCAGAACAGCTCTAGAAGGTGAGGACTATTACTTCTATTTTTCAGATAAATGAAGCATGGAGAGGTTAAGTAATTTGCCCAAGATCATCCAGCTAGGAAGTAGCAAAGTTGAATTTTGAAGCTGGACAGTTTAGCTCCAGAACCTGGACTCTAGTACTATTCCCAGTCAATTCATCCAGTTTATCATACATCCCCAGGTTAAAAAATACATGGATCATACACTTTAAACATTCTCAGAGTAGTAGACACAACAACCAAATACATATTATAACGTACTGTGATAACCACTCGTACAGACGTTAGCAGTCTATGTTATAAGAGCACAGACAGGTGGCCAGTAGTTGAGTAGGGGTATGTGGTGGAAGACAGTGGTGATGAAAGGTTCTAAGGGGTATGTGGTGAAGACAGTGGTGAGGAAGGGTTCTACGGTAGTGACGTGTTGCTTGAGACAAGTCACTGAATGTTTTCTTCTGTTAAATGAAAGTAACATCTACCCAGTTGTCTGAAAGAACTTTAGGAAGATCACATAGAGCAAGATTTTAACAGTGGCCATTGCCAAGAGTGAACACCGGCAGCCTTCTTTAAGTTGTGTGACCCCTGGTTGGAAGTGGTGGTTCATGCCTGTAATCCTAGCATTTTGGGAGGCTGAGGCAAGAGAATCCATTGAGCCCAGGAGTTCAAGACCAGCCTGGGCAATATAGGGAGACCCTGTCTTTATTTACATGTATATATAAAAGTGTGACCCTGTTCCCCAACCCCAACAAAGCCAATTGATTCAAAGTGGGGACCTGACCCATCCTGGGTCAGTCTATTTCCCAGGACACTGGAGTTAGGATTCAGAGATGTTGGTTTGTCCCCGTCTGCTATGACTTAAACTGAGGCAATGTACACCCAGGAGCTATGCAATGACCATAGACTGCCATGGGCATGGAACAGCAAAGAGAATGAAATAAGCTATATAGTGAATGAGAGAAACAAGAGACTTTGTAGACATAGAAAGCCAGAAAAAGTAGTTGCCTGATTCCTGACAATGTTCCAGTCCCTCATAAACCTACTGAGACAGAACTCTGTATCCCTAGCAATCAATTCCTTTAAGCTTGTTGAGTGAATTGTTTGTAATCAAAAGCACCTTGACTAGTAACTAAAGTATATTGTTATGAAATTAGAGAAGACAATCATCAAAAATAAAAAAAATTGCTAGTCTATAAATGAGAATTATTGAGTGATGGGCTGAATTGAAATTCATATGTTGAAGCCTTAACTGGCACTGTGACTCTATTTGGAAATAAGGCTTTTAGGAGGTAATTATAGTTAAATGAGGTCATAAGGGTGGTAACGCATGTAGCTTTAAAAGAAGAGAAAGTGATCTCCTCTCTCCCTGCTTTCCCCCACCTCCCCCAGGCCACATGTGTCTCCTTCTTGCTTTTTTTCTCTTCAAGGAAAGGCCACATGAGCACACAGGGAGAAGGCAGCTGTCTGTGAGCCAGGAAGAGAGCTCTCACCAGGACCTGAACATGCTGGCCCCTTGATCTTGGACTTCCAGCCTTCAGAACTGTGAGAAAATAAATTTCCATTGTTTAAGCCACCCAAATCTATGGTATTTTATGGCAGCCTGAGCACACTAAAACATCGGGGAAAATAAAACTTTCCAAAAATGTGACTATTTCAAAATTTAAATAATGATTTTGAAATTAAAAAGTAACACATTTAGTGAGAAATTTATAAAATTCAGAGAGTAAGACAAAAATAACTCATTTTTCAGAGATACCTATTGTTAATTTTATAGCCTTATTTTAAGCATGTATATAACTTTTAAAACAAACTTAGCTTCATACAATGTAGCTTTTACTCTTATTTTTCACATTATATAGTCTCTACTTTTGAATAAATAAATTTTATTTAAATATTTATTTATTAATAATTTATTATATACAAATAATTTATATAATTTATTACTAATTTATATATAATAATAAAAGATGTAAAATTAACTTGTAAGAGAGCCCATAATTCTTTTAAATCCAAATCCACATAATTGTAACACATAATTGACTGACTACCTCTGCATTATCACCTTGGAATCAACCATGACCCATCTGCAGGCCTCTAACCAGAGCATTAATGTATATGATCTCCCCAAATACCGTGTACCAAAGCCTGGCTAAAAACTCATCATTCCCCTCATCAATTTTTCCTTTTTTTTTGAGATGGAGTCTCACTCTGTCGCCCAGGCTGGAGCGCAGTGACACAATCTCAGCTCACTGCAAGCTCTGCCTCCCAGGTTCACGCCATTCTCCTGCCTCAGCCTCCTGAGTAGCTGGGGCTACAGGCACCTACCACCACGTCTGGCTAATTTTTTTGTATTTTTAGTAGAGACGGGGTTTCACCGTGTTAGCCAGCATGGTCTCGATCTCCTTACTTCGTGATCCACCTGCCTCGGCCTCCCAAAGGGCTGGGATTACAGGTGTGTGCCACTGCGCCTGGCCCAATTTTTCTTCACTCTTAACAAGGATGTCTCTTAAAACTACTTTTTAAACACTACCACTGTACATATCCTAAAGAGCACCTGATCATTTCTGCAGCTGACAAAATTATGCAAAACTAACAGGTTAGATTAGGAAAGGACATACAAAGTGGGGAAGAGGGTGGGGAAAGTGCAATGAGAGAGTGAAAGAAAGAGGTATTACCAGGACTCTATGACTTGTTATCCTTATGCCTGCAAAACTGTAATACATCTACAAAGCTCCTAGCAGGGAGTGGCTAACTCTTGCAGTAGGAATTATCAAGTTTAAAGTGATAAAAACTGAACTGTTAAAAAAAGTATTTTCTTCTTCTTCTTCTTCTTTTTTAGAGACAGGGTCTTGCTTTGTTGCCCAGGTTGGAGTGCAGTGGCGTGATCATAGCTCACTTTAACCTCAAACTCCTGGCCTCAAGCAGTTCTCCCACCTTGGCCTCCCAGAGTGCTGGGATTACAGGTGTGAGCCACTGCCCCAAGCCACTTTTAAATAATGTAACATTGGACTAAAATTTGGTTGCTTTGGTCATTGTCTCTGTGGGAGGTAAACTAAACAAACTTCAAAACCATGACTGGAGTTTGCAATCCCTCAGATGACTTACTGAACTTAGTGTGTTAAATGTTTAAATGAAAAATTTGAAACAAAAGATTAGAGATGATACTAGTTATCTGTTAATTACCAATGTAACTATTACATAAGTATTGAAAGGAATACTATGGATTATACAATGGTATTTTGAAACACATAAAATATTACCTAAGTACAAGTGATATGTGGTGACAACTTTTAGAAATTTGTCAAGAATGTCTAATTTTAATAAACGAGAATACTAAATCATAGTAGTCCTCAGAACAGTTACATTGTTATAGATTGTACTTGAAAATTGGCAGTAAAAAATTTTTTTAAAGAAAAGTTACATCATTAAAATTTTTATAATGTCAACCTCTAAACACAACAGCAAAGTTTACTGAAGAATATGACTAATTTTTGGGAAATATGTCAGGCTAAAGAGAATTCAATAGATCTAACTTGATATTTTGAGGACGTAGCTCACACTAGAAATAAAGTTTGATTTTAGAGCATCTGAAAAAGTCTACTTTTACAAGAAAAAAAACACAAAAAATGTTTCAAATCTAGACAAATATGAACTGCTAGGCCTTCTTACCAGTTACATGTTAGAATAAATAAATTATTTGGCCAGGTGTGGTGGCTCACTCCTGTAGCTCACTCCTGTAGGTGGATCAACTTGAGGTCAGGGGTTCGAGACCAGCCTGACCAATATGGTGAAACCCTGTCTCTACTAAAAATACAAAAATCAGCCAGGATGGTGGTGCATGCTTGTAATCCCAGCTACTTGGGAGGCTGAGATGGGAGATCACTTGAACCCAGGAGGTGTAGGTTGCAGTGAACTGAGATTGCACCACTGCACTCCAGCCTGGGTGACAGAGAGACTGTCTTAAAAAAAAAAGAAAAGAAAAGAAAAGAAAAGAAAAATAAATTATTTGACATAAAATATAATATTGAAGAGAACAGAAAGGATGTTATAAATTTTCACAGGCTATGAAGGACAGATCACTGGACACCGGTGATTAACCAATGAAAACACAGTTCTGGGGGTCCCTACCTAAGACCTCAATGAGGATTGTGCTTGCACCAGGTTGTCTAGGAGCTATGATCAGACTGACTGCTTTTGCATGCTCTTCTGGTTCTGGAGTGTAGCAGCTTCTTAAAATTCCCCACCTGTTCTGTCCATCGAGAAAAGTGAACAACTTAGCCATTGGGAAAACTTTGAACAACTGGGGTGATCCGTAGACAAAATAGACTAAGAAGTAAATTCTTCATTGCTAGAGGTGTTCAAGCAAAGTTTGATAAACACTTGCCAGGGTGTGGCTGAAGAGATTTATGTAAGCGAGAGGTTCAATTAGGCTTGTTCTCAGGTTTTTTCCAACTCTGAGAATTTATTCTTTGTTCTCCAGAAAAACCACAGGAGAGAGACCAGAACCACTAACTCCTTGAGAGACTCTAACCAGGAGCCCAGCTGAAGCACTACTCATTATACACACACATTTCTTGATTTAGGAAAAAAGCAAACAAAGCAGGATGGCTCAAATCTACTTCAATGGGAGTGGAAGAAGAGTGTCTTTCCCATTGCTAGGCTGTTATATATGCTGTTTATTTCTAAAGCCTGCCAGAGAAGGAGAAGGAGTCTAGGCCTCTTATGCCATGGATTAACATGGAAGAGGCGTGGGAACAACTTGGGGAATTGCTACTAAGAAAGTTTATCTAAAAATAATGTCCAGCCAGGTGCAGTGGCTTATGCCTGTAATCCCAGCATATTGGGAGGCTGAGGCAGGCTGATTGCTTGAGCTCTGGAATTCAAACCAGCCTGGGCAACGTGGCAAAACCTCATCTCTACAAAAATTAGCCGGTGTGGTGGCATGTGCCTGCAGTCCCAGCTACTTGGAAGGCAGAGGAAGGAGGATCACTTGAGCCTGGAGGTTGAGGCTGCGGTGAGCTGGGATTGTGACACCGCACTCCAACCTGGGCAACAGAGTGAGACTTTGTCTCAAAAAAATAAAATAAAAATAAAAAGTGTCCTTTTTACTTCATGATGCGCAATCGAGTATTGTGAATAAAAATTCTCCTTCTATGAATTTATCCCCAGGAAATAACAGGACAAGTACACCTGGCCAAATGTTCAAGGATGTTTATGAAAACATTTATACCAACTTAAAAAAATTGGCATCAACCTAAATATTCAACAATATGAGACTGGTTAAATATACTGTGGTCCAGTTAGATCTAAAATAATGACATACCTACTTTTGACAAGGAAACATATCTACAATATAAGTAAAACCCTAATGTTTAATAACAATGTTATGATTATGTATCTGTGGAATCACAAGCATATATAAGCACAGACATACATACAACAAAATATTATCAGTCCCATAAAGCAAACACATAATCCCACATACTAAATTGTAAATAAACCACTATTCTCTGACTAGCATAAGTAACTCCTATTAACTGAAAAATAATATGTAATAAAAGCAGTCCCAGTGTCATATATTTTTAATTAATCAGAGTTATTACTTTTTGTAACCTCTACTAATATGGTTTGGCTGTGTCCCCACCCAAATCCCACTTTGAATTGTAATAATCCCCACGTGTCATGGGAGGGTCCCAGTGGGAGGTAATTGAACCATGGGGGTGGGTTTTTCCATTCTGTTCTTGTGAGAGTGAGTAAGTCTCATTAAGTCTCATGAGATCTGATGGTTTTATAAAGCGGAGTTCCCCTGCATACACTCTCTCTTGCTTGCTGCCACTTAAGATGTGCCTTTCACCTTCTGCCATGATTGTGAGGCCTCTCTAGCCATGTGGAACTGTGAGTCCATCAAACCTCTTTTTCTTTATAAATTACCCAGTCTTGGGTATGTCTTTACTAGCAGCATGAGAATACACTAACATACTTACTTTTTCTTTTTTTTTTTTTGAGACACAGTCTTGTTCTATCGCTCAGGCTGCAGTGCAATGACATGATCTCGACTCACTGCAACCTCTGCCTATGGGGTTCAAGCAATTCTCTTGCTTCAGCGTCCTGAGTAGGGATCACAGGTGCGCTCCACCATGTCCAGCTAATTTTTGTATTTTTAGTAGAGATGGGGTTTCACTATATTGGCCAGGGTGGTCTCGAACTCCTGACCTCAAGTGATTTACCAACCTCGGCCTCCCAAAGTGCTGGATTACAGGCATGAGCCACTGCGCCTGGCCTACTATTTCTTAAAGTAGGTCATAGTTTGGTTACTTTATACTGGCATTTGTGAAGACACACACAGGTAACAGTATACTGGTTCTGGTATTGAGAAATTGGAACTTAGTATCTGAAACACTTTTTCTTTTTAAAAACAAATGTTTAAAAAATTAGGTAAGAACTGGAATCTCAGTGAGATTCCATATGAGAAACACATGGTAATGAGTTGAGGCATCTGAGAATGGATATTAAGAATTAGTGCAAGAGGTTATGCTCAAAGAATGGGACTCTCAGTTAACATAACCACTATGTAGACTTCATTTATTTAACAAATACCATACAACTACCAGGTTCCAGGCACTTTCGTAGACACTGGGGCTTGGAGCTTATATTGTTGTGATGACACAGAAAAACAAAAACAAATTAATAAACTATCAGATGCTAAGTACTATGCCATAATTATAAAAAGGATGATGTGATATGAGAATGATTATGGCAATGCTTTATATCAGGTGGTTAAGGAGGGCTTTTTGAAGCAGGTAACATTTCAGCTG
This sequence comes from Homo sapiens, assembly GCF_000001405.40. Lineage (NCBI taxonomy): Eukaryota > Metazoa > Chordata > Mammalia > Primates > Hominidae > Homo > Homo sapiens. The sequence goes on from NC_000015.10 coordinate 52,622,680, forward strand.
AGATCTGAATGACAAGGAGCTAGCCATTCAAAAATTAGGGGAAAGAGCATTCTGAGCAGTGTCAAAGGTAGGAACGAATGGGTCAAATCCCAGGAACTAGAAGGTGAATGAGGCTGAAATTGCAGTGGGGAGAGAGGGAAAGCAGCAAGAGATGGACGTTTAGTCAGGCATGGTGGCTCACACCCGTAATCCCAACACTTTGGGAAACCAAGATGGGTGGATTGCTTAAGCCCAGGAGTTTGAGACCAGCCTGGGCAACACAGTGAGACACTGTCCCTATTATAAATAAATAAATAAATAAATAAATAAATAAATAAATAAATAAATAAATAAAGCCAGGTGTGTAACATGTGCCTGTGGTTACAGCTACTTGGGAGGCTGAGGCAGCAGGACTGCTTGAGCCCAGGAGTTCAAGGTTGCAGTGAACTATGATTGCACGACTGTACTCCCACCTGGGCAACAGAGTGAGACTCCGTGTCAAAAAAAAAAGGTTTAGAAAGGTGGTCAGGGACCAGATCATATAGGATTTCGAAAATAGGACAGAAAGTTTAGATTTTATTCTAAATGGAATGGGGAGCCATTAGAGGGTTTTAACTAGAGAAATGCATTTACATTTTAAAATGTACATTTAAAAATGATCACCCTGGCTGCTATGTGGATAAAAGAATAGGGGGAAAGAATGAAAGTAGCTATACTAATTAGGAGGTTATTATAGTTGTCCAGGGTTGTAGGTATAGTTTTGGGGATCGCACGCATTTGGATAGTATTTAGAATCAAGAGTTACCTAGAGGAATATGTAGATAGAGGAGAGCAGGGAACTCATGACAGAGCCCTGGGGGACTCCAACAATTAGAAGACGACGAACAGCAAAAGGAGCTGGATTACAGGCTGGTATAATGGAAGCCTTGAGAGAATAGGAAGTTTCCAGGAGTGCATGGTCAATGGTCTCAAACACTGGTAAGGTTTAATAAAATATAAACAAAGAAGTGACCATTGAATTTGACAATAAGGAAGTCATTGGTGACCTTGAAAATAGTGAGCTCAGTAGATGGTGATGATGGAAGATAAGACAAATGTGACATATACTGTCAATTATTCTGAAGAGTATAAACGATAAATGCAAAAGTCTACTTACTTAGTCTTGTCTTAACACAATGGGCATTCATGTAATACAACAGCCCTTTCTAGAAAAGTATTAAATATGCAATATCATCACTCACAGAGAATTATTTCCAAATCTCAAAATGAGACTAAAAGAAGTTTTAACTGCTTCTCTTCTAAGTCTATGGCACAAATGGTAGGAGATTCTCCTGTATAATCCTGAAATTACTAAATTTTAATTTGTTTTAAATTTTCCTTGGAATTAAACTCTTGCTTTTTATCCCCAAAACAGTTACCTAGTTAGGTTCTTATTATTTTATACCTGAATTACTACAAGTTTCCTAGCTATTGTCTAGGACTCTAGGCATCTCCTTATCCATCTTGAATCCTAATACAGATTAATCTTCCCAAAAAGCCATTCCATTACAATCCTCTTGAGCTTAAACGTTTTTGTTTTTGTTTTTGTTTTTAACCTATCAAGCATGACTTCCTCCTCTCCTTTCCACCAACCCAAAGCTTTCTGGACTGCCAATCTTTTCCATGAGAAAGCCCATTCCTAACTCCTTTCCACACTGATCTTTGACTTACTTTGTTCTCTTCCCCAGAATTTACAGAAGCCATCTAGGCTATAAATGGTTACTGTAGGGTGTTAGTGTACCAACCAAAGGTCATGAATTTCACCTCCTCATGGGTAAATTTCACTCTGTTCCATGGACAGACTGTACTGTTAACTTCAGCCAAACTTCTCCAAAACTTAGGGCATTAATCACAAATGTGACCATGAAAAAGGAAAGGACAGATCAATGCAAATGAACCACCTCAGGAAAAATTCAGCACGATTTGACAGCTCTATAGTTATATCAACCTATTCATTTCTTTAGAATATTCTTAACATGCTATGGATGTACATCTACTAATGGGTTAAATTCCACAATCACTGAAATATTTTTGGCTTCTCATTTATGTGTTCCAGTCTCAAAGGAATATGTGTACCTGCTTATTTTTTTTTTTTTTTGAGACGGAGTCTTGTTCTGTCACCCAGGCTGGAGTGTGGTGGTGCGATCCCGGCTCACTGAAACCTCTGCCTCCTGGGTTCAAGTGATTTTCCTGCCTCAGCCTCCAGAGTAGCTGGGATTACAGGCACTTGCCACCACGCCCAGCTAATTTTTTGTATTTTTAGTAGAGATGGGGTTTTACCATGTTGGTCAGGCTGGTCTCAAACTCCTAACTTCAAGTGATCCACCCGTCTTGGCCTCCCAAAGTGCTCGAATTACAGGTATGAGCCACTGTGCCTGGCCATGTGTACCTGTTTTAAGTGAGAATTGTAAAGAATCTTAGAAATCATCCTAACCTAACCTACTTTACTTCCAGATAAGGAAAATAAGGTACAAAGACATCAACTTCCTTGCTTAAATAATATACTAGAAACCAGGCAATAGCAAACTAGAATTCAAGTTTCTCAATACCTAGTACAAGTCATTTTATATACCATGAAAAGTCTTCAAGCAGAGAATAAGAGGCAAAGTTGACATTAGTGACAAGTGTGAAAAAGAGTGACCACGGCTATAAGTGAAAGCAATTTTATGTGTACACTATTATTTTATTATTAGTTATACATAAATATTCTCATCTACAGAACAGTATTTTCTAATATGAAAATACTCTTTATTCTTGGTCTTGTTAATCCACAACAAAACTTAAACTATTTTATTCCTCAACACTCTATTATGAAAAAAGACAAGTGATCAACTTATCAACTATAAGTAAAAAATCTATCACAGACTGACTTTTAAAAGCAATTTTCTGAACTTGAGTGTGGTTTGTTTAAATTCAACCAAGTATCTCTGCTCTGCATCTACACAATAAACACCAAAGTTCAAAATTATGACTAAAACACTGTAATATCATAAGGTGCCATCTTAAAAAAAAGTTACGTTTTTATAGTCATCTAGCTCTTTGAAAACTGGCTATTAAATTGTCATGTAAAACCCAAACATTCAATTAAACAAAGATGATCCCCATCAACCTGAGTTGTGAATTGTTTTATCAAGTTAGTCCTCATGAAGCAGCATAGAGCAGTAGTAAAGGGCTCAACTCTGAAGTCTGTCAACCAGCTCTGCTACTTGCTAGTTGTTTGGATTTGTACAAGTTACACAACATCTCTTTCCTCAGTATTTCACCTAATTAAATGGGGATAATAGTATCAACTTTCAGAGGGCAGTTACAGGGACTGAGTTATTATCTATGTAACTTTTAGAATGCTGCATGGCTCATAGTGTATGCCATATAAGTGTTAAATTTAAAATAAAACTAAATGCTATGATATACATCTTTCCCCATTAGGATTCTCTTTCCCCACAGAATCCTAAATTTGTAAAATCATTTGCCCAAGGCCACACACTTTATCAGTAAGTGGAGGATCATCTTGAAACCCATTGGTACTACATGAATTCGGACAGTTACTCCTTTTGTTCCACATGTCTCTCCTTTTTAAAGCTCTCAATTTAAGTACTACGGGAAAAGTCTAGATCATGTGGTTCCAGAAACAACAAGAGGATATCCAACTTGGAAACATTATCCTTATAATGCATGGCAAAACTGTACAGTTACATCTGGTTATAAATAAAGTGTTTCAATGTTCTCCTTTGTGCATTAAAAAACACCTAGAGTTAATTAAAACTAAACTTGATCCCTTTATCATCAAAGAGAAATAAGCAGCTTCTGTGGGAGAAAAGATAAGGGAAAGCTGAAAAAAAAAAAAAGAGAGCGAGAGAATGGCCAAGAGTTGGTTTTTTTGTGGAATTCAGGATATATTTTCATTAATTTACAGGTGAGGAAATTGGACTTCAGAGAGGTAAAGTGACTTGCTCAGGCATACACAGCAACATAATGGTAAAGGGGGGCCTTAAACCTACGTCTCTTGTGTAGGGAAAATGTCAGAAATTTGGGGATTTATTTCCAAATCTCATCCAGTGTGCCAAACTCTACCCCTGTTATTAGTTCAATTCCAATTGTGGCTCAGGGAAGAATTATGGACAGAGTTCAGAGAGAACATGAAGCCTTAGATATTTGTCAGTTTACTGTCAAGGTCATTCTTGTTGCCTATTCTGTAACAGTTATTCAGCCTCTTGAGGTTTGATTCATGTCCTTACTGTAAAACATGTTGGTATCTAATTCCCAATCCCAGTTTTCCTATGAATTCTAACTAGGTTTTCCAGTTCACTTTTCTGCTTTCCTGCCGGAATGCTCTTTGTTTCTCTGCCCATGCAACCCCTCTGACCCCTATTTTTGTCAATGAGACATAACATTAGTTGTGTTTTCTCAATGTCAGCCATATTTGATAGACTCCTCTCTGCCAGAGCCACCCAAATTCTAAACCTGATACTTTCAAAGTTGCAAAAGAAGGGCTGTGAATGAGTCAGAAAATACCTAAGAGGGAAGGGAAGGAGAAGGGTAGACAATTTAAGAGTACCCTGTCACAAACTGCACATTTTTCAATGAAGAAACTGAAAATCTGCCAACTTCTAATCGTTGATTTCAGTTAAATTCCAATTAATACCTTATTATAATGCCCTGTTTGCCTCTAACTCAACTATAAACTCTATTAGTACAGGGGCCAGGTCTAAATATTCATCATTTTATTACCAGTGCCTAGGACGCTGCTTGACACATAGCAAGTACTCAATAAATATATAAGCAAAATGAAAGCAGGCATAAAAGTGTAGTGATTTAGCTTATTGAAAGGCACTAGCACTTGTAGATCAACTTTGATCTATGTTGAAGTATGACCAACTGAAGAATTCACATATTACAAGACAGGAAAACTCAGATTATCAGCCCTACATTAAGGGAGAAAAAATGTCAGACTGAAGGTGGTCAGAACATCAGGCAATGCTTATGCATTTTTTTTTTTGCTTTTGCTTTTATTTTACTATGATTTTTAAAAACAATTTAACTTATTCACAATGATTTTAATTAAGAGTTGTTAACACACACAGGACTGAAATGATTACATTCGTGTATGTTCCTGGGCCTCAGCCACCAGTATCTTAAGAGAATTTATAATGCCACTTAATAGCCAATTCTGCCATCTGATTGTGTCTTCAACAAAATGCTAAAAGTAGGTCCCTCTCAATCTAATGTAATTTTGAGAGGCAGATTTCATCACACTAAATCTCACAGAAGCCAAAGGAAAAGCTTTGGCTAATTCTCTAATCGCTAATTCTCGATTGTGAATGATTAGGACAACTAGAATCACCAATGGAAATGAAGGAAAGAAAGGCAGGCTTAGTGACTGATGAGACATGTGGGAATTTGGAATTTAATTCTCTCCAGTGCTCTAAAATGTCTCTTAGATATATCTAATGCTGTTCTTCATGTCTGCAGACATTGTATCAGGCCCACACACACTCTTAAGACGATTATGAACAGAATCAATATAAAATATTCAGTCAATGATTTTAGATATTTTAAGACTAATAGTATTTTATAAAGCCCTTTGAGCTTCTTGGAACAACAAATCTAAGTAATGTTAGAATCCAAGTATTTCTAGATAAAAGACTTAAAAAGAACCTAAGAGAATTCTGGAAACACAGAAGATGCTCCTCTGATATGAGCCATGCCAGGGCTGTGTACTCAGAACTCAGGCCACACTGATTTTCTGTGACGTTCTCTAAGTCAATTACAGCTAAGTAATAAAATGGGTACTAATACCTTTCTCACTTTTGTAAATACTGCAAAATGTAAAACAGTAATTACCTGTCAATCTGAATTTGTTACCATAACTATTTACTACAGTAATGTAAAAACTACAATGTGATATAGTTTTTTAAAAACACTATCCTAGATACAGCAAAACTTTTAAAAAGGCATATTTTTAATGTTATTTAAACTCCTCAAATGATATTATGAATAGATTAAAAGCTTACATGACAAAGAAATGAATATGTCATGTGATTAGTTTTTATGTATCTTCCATTAAAATAATTTTAACTGAAGTGCCATGAAAGTATAACACAAAACAAAAACTCTATTTTAATAATAGTACAATTGATGACTTCATTAAAGAAATTTCCATCTATTTTATGCAACTACTTAATTTTTCACTCAATTGTTAACAAATATATTTTCTAGACCACAAAAATCTGAAGCTAAGGAAGGTAAATCTTCTCCTTTATACAATCCTGAAGGGCCATTCTCTTCCCAGAAGACTAAAATTAGCTGTCATAACAAACATCTTGCCCTCGCCAATTCAAATTCTTAATTACAGAAAGCCTTCAATCTATAAGTGTCCATATTCCCTTCCTGGCTGCTTAATAATCCAAACATAGTCATTTTTTGTGGAGTTAAGAGTTTTTTTGGATTGCTTTTAACTAAAGGTTTTTTAAAAAATTCAATATCACGTTAGAGGTCATATAAAGACGTTTTAAGAGCAGTTTTAAGTTTACAGCAAAACTGAGTGGCAAGTAGAGATTATACCCCCTCCCCAATACCTGTGTGGCCTCCTCGATTATGAACAACCTCAAAAGAGTGGTATATTTGTTACACTTGATGAACCTACACTGACACATCATAATCACTCAAAGTCCATAGTTTATCTTGGGGTTCACTCAGGATGTCATACATTTTCTGGGTTTGGAAAAATGTTAATGACATGTATCCACCATGAGAGTATCATACGGAATCCTTTCATGCCCTAAAAATCCTCAGTGGAGGTAAGGGTAGTTAAAAAAAAAAAAAAAGGCCAGGCATCGTGGCTCATGCCTGTAATCCCAGCACTTTGGCAGGCTGAGGAGGGCACATCATGAGCTCAGGAGTTCGAGACTAGCCTGGCCAACATGGTGAAATCCTGTCTCTACTAAAAATACAAAAATTATCTGGGCCTGATGGCGGGCACCTGTAATCTCTGCTACTCGAGAGGCTGAGGCAGCAGAATCGCTTGAACCCGGGAGGCAGAGGTTGCAGTGAGCTGAGATTGTGCCACTGCACTCCAGCCTGGGCAACAGAGCAAGACTCCATCTAAAAAAAATTAAAAAATAAAAAAAAAGAAAAGACTAGAAGGATAAGTAATTAAGAATTGAAATCAAAATGAAGACAGAATTGGGGAAGCAGCAGGGAGAAACAAAACAAATGAAGTAGAAACAATATACAGCAGGAAAATAAGACAAAAAACAAAAAATATTTGTATACAATAGAGTAAAATTAGAGCTAGAGGAAGTTCAACAGGTTAGGGCAGGACGTTGGTGGTGGTGGGGTACCTAAGGAAAGTCATTACTGTACTTTTGTTTCCTGTGTGTTCTGAACAAGTTCTTTTCCCAGACTCCCATCTTTCAAACATCCCAAAGTAGGCCTCCCTGTATTCCTCACATGTGTTCTACTAGCACTCCTATAAATATAGCTTAAAAGTAGCCCCAAATTTCTAAAAACTAATGTTCTACAACTTTGTTTCCCAAGTTGGTTGTTGAAAGTTCAGAGTTACTTGTCTTTATTAAACCACAGGCATTACGAAGGTTCCTATGGACTAAGGAAGATGAAGTGCTACACCAAAGGCACCACAGAGACTGAGAAGACATGCCAAAAACAAAGAAAATATTTGCAATGCAAATGCTGACAAAAGATGAATATCTAGAATATTTCACCTAAGAATCCTGAAAGGTTAATGAATATAAGATGTAGAACTCCTTAATCATTGCAAAATACAAATTAAAACTACAATTACATATGATTTCACATTCAAAGGATTGTGCAGGAAAATTGACTAAATATTGCTAAAGGTATAGAGCAACAGAAGTGGTCATACACTGCTAGTAAAGGTACACACTGGTGCAAACACTTTCAAAAATAACCTGGCATTACCTAGTTAAGAAGTACATACTCTACAACTCAATTACTCTCCTAGGTAAATAACCTAGAGAAAATCTTGTACATGTATGCTAGGAGACTAATATAAGAATGTTCAAAGAAGCACTGTCTATAACAACAAAATTTTGGAAAAAACAAGTGTTTATCGTCCATAGAATGAATGCTGTGATACACTCATATAATGGGATACAGGAGTAAACGTAAGTACAAGAATAATAACCTACAGCTACATACAGGTTGTAGAACACTATAGGATGATTCTATTTGCATAAAAGTTTAAAAAACAAGCTAAACAACATAGTTTATGGTTATATATGTGATAAAATATTTTAAAAGAGACAACACAGAATTCAGAACAGTGGATATTTTGGGGATGTACCTGAGGAGAGGAACACAGGAGTCAGCACACAAGGTTCTGCTTCTCAAGCTGAGTAGCAACTGCATGGGAGGTCATTTTGCTGTTCTCTAAACCATCTTTAATGTATATGCTCTTTGTAGCTATGATATGCTTCATAATTTTAAAAAATTCACATTGTCTCATGTATGACAAAATAAACCTGTTTTTAAAATTTCAGCATGTATGTGGAAAACTGAAGTCTGGGAATTCTGCACATCTCACTCTTGCCTAGGTCTCACTGTTTGTAAGGTGGTACTAGTTAGTGAAAAATAAGCACTGTGCTGGATTTCATGAGGTCCACATTCTCCCATATTAACCTCTTTTGTTCTAGGTTACTTTAACTATCAAAGTACACCACTTCTTAAAAAAAGTCTTCCAACTTTAAGATTTTATGAGTTGATGAAAATATTAAGGTGAAGAATTATGGTATAAAGGGAAAAAAGACAATATTCAACTTACAATATTGTTCAACTTTCCAAAGGATACAGAGCTGATAAATCCAAGTAATAGGACAAACACCTACGCCTATGTGTTATGGCAAATTAGTTTGCCATATATATATAATTTCTAGAATGCATTTTACATTTTTTAATGTAAGAAACAAGTTTTAAAGCAAGCAACATATCTCGAATTTAACACTCAAACTGAAAGCTACTGACGAAAAGTTAGATTTCCTCGTTGGCTGGACAAATAACTAAAGTGTTCTAAAACACAATGCTAACCCAAGAAATTGCATGGTTCAAAGTGTGTTTTGAAATTGAATAGGCAGTCCCATTGTAACCTCAAACTCCTGGACTCAAGTGATCCTTCTACCTCAGGCTCCCAAGTAGCTAGGACTACAGGAATGCGCCATCATGCCCAGCTATTTTTTTAAACTTTTCTGTAGAGACAGGAGCCTTGCTATGTTACCCAAGTTGGTCTCAAACTCCTGGCCTCAAGCGATCCTCCAGCTTCAGCCTCCCAAAGTGCTGGGATTACAGGTGTAGGCTGACAGTGCTGGGATTACATTGCACCTGACCAGACAGTATTTCTTAAATAAGTTTTCCTTCATTATAGGAAGGTAGCTGTATACCCATTAACTAAAAACATCTTAAAGTGGAAAAGACTAATTTCATCTGAATTTTAGTTCATGATACTGTTCAAAAGTTACAGTGCCTCAATTTAGTGAACATAAAATATTGACTACAACTTAAGCAAGTAGTTCTCTTAATCCTTATTTCTCTAGTAAGAGATGATCTATTGCTTGAGAACCATGTTGCTTATAATAATTTCTTCTGTTGGTTTAAATAAATAATACCATAAAAGTTAATTTTATTAAGGGTTAAATAAGATTCCAAAATTATAACTAATTTTAAACCTGAAATACTGAAATCTGATACTTTTCTATGGAACTGTGATGGTGAAACAGTGTAGCATAATTAGGAGAAAAGAATAGGCTTTTTGATCAAGTAGGCATAAATCCAAATACTGAGTAACTCTGGGAAAGGTGAAATAATAATTCTTACCCCTAAGAAATGTATGAGGAAAAAGGACTCTGCCCTTTGATTTTTGGCACACTTTGCTATGATAGGAATTATTAATTAGTTTTCGGTTAGTATTTGACCTTTAAATAGCAAGCCCAGTGTAGTTGACAAGTATATTTTAAAAATGACTATAAACATACTTCTCCATATGGTCAGAAGACATTCTTAGCAAAGATTTTATACAAAGGACCAGAATATAAATTATGAAATTATTGATTTCATGAAGTATTTCATTCATAATGTATTTTATTCAAGGAATGCCATGAAGCATAAAATCTTCCCCCTTTAAGAAATGAAATGGGATTATATATAACATAACTGATGGCCAAGGAAAAGTGATAACTAAAATTCATGCAAAGATTTGAAAATAAAATTGTCCTTTAATAACTGTTTTGTAACTGCAGTAAGTAAAACATTCACTGTAGAATTCAATTTTACAAAGAAGGGAGTAAGATCTAGTAAGTCCAATCAGAGCAAGTACAGGCATGTTACTTCATTTCTTCATTTATGAAATGGGAATGATATGTATTAGGGGAGAAGGGAAGCTTTTCTCTTTACTCAGGTTGGGCCTGTATACATAGAGAGGACAGGACTTTACCATAAGCCTTATCTTCCTACTAGGTGATAGGCTGGAGGGAAAACCTGATTTCTATATTCACTCCTTTTATGAATTTTTCCACAAGGCTGGTGGGGTGGCTAATTGACTTTGAAAATCACTGGGCTGTTTTCAGCCAGGACAGAGTAACAGATCTAATTTATTCTTATACTTTAAACCACTCAAAATATATAAAAGAACTGTTTTCAGACACTGGCCAGCAGACAGGACAGGACTGTTATCCCAGGTGGGGAAATAAACAGGTGAGCCCAACAACTGCCCCACCTTACTGTCTGGAGCAAGTTTCCAGGCTGAAGCACTGGGAAAGCCACATAGAGGCCAGCAGTCTCCCTAAATTAGTGGCAAAAGAAAGAGAAGGGGAGGTTCTAAACAGTTAAAGCATTGAAGAGGAGACAGTAGCACACAGAAAGCAAGCGCCAGAGAAATGGAGAGCAGTGAAAGAAAAAAAAATCCCATCAATTAGATTTAAAAAACCAAAGCAGAATGCTTTTTTAGACATCAAAACACTGAAAAAAAATCACTATTAGCAGACCTTCCCTACCAAAAATGTTAAAGGAAGTTCTTCTGACAGAAGGAAAATAACATCTGAGAATCTATATCTATACAAAAACACTGGAAATCACAAAATCATATAGGTAAATATAATTTTTTCTCAGTTTTAAAATCACTCTTAAATATAATTAAAGGAAAAATAATCACAATGCATTGTGGGATTTATAACAGTCTGGATATAAAATGCATAACAATAGCATAAAGGCCCAAAGAAGGTGAAATGGAAGGTTCTTATACTATACACAAAGTGGCATAATATTGCTTGGAGGTAGCCTATAACAAGTTAAAAATAATGTGCACCCTAAAGTAACTAGTAGTAAAAAACAAAACAAAACCCAAGAGGTATAACTAAGAAGTTAACAAATGAGATAAAATAGAATTTAAAAAAAATCTAAAGAGGTCAGAAAAAGCATGAAAAAGGGGCCAGGCATGGTGGCTCATGCCTGTAATCCCAGCACTTTGGGAGGCCAGGCTGGGCGGATCACCTGAGGTCAGGAGTTCAAGACCAGCCTGGCCAACATGTTGAAATTGTCTCTACTAAAAATACAAAAATTAGTCAGGTATGGTGGTGTAAGCCTGTAATCCTAGCTACTTGGGAGGCTGAGACAGAAGACTCGCTTGCCAAAATTGCACCACTGCACTCCAGCCTGGGTGACAAAGCGAGGAAAAAAGAAAAAGAGTGAAAAAGGCACCAAGAAAGATGGGACAAATAAAATTGTAAATAGCGGATTTAAGCCCATCTATATCAACAATAACCTTAAATGTGAATGGTATAAGCATCTTATTAAAAGGCAGACGTTGTGAGATTAGATTTTTTTTTTTTAAAAAGCAAGACACAACTATATATGACTTAAAAGATGTCCATTTTTCTTTTCTTTTTTTTTTTTTTTGAGACAGAGTCTTGCTCTGTCGCCCAGGCTGGAGTGCAGTGGCGCGATCTCGGCTCACTGCAACTTCTGCCTTATGGGTTCAAGCAATTCTCCTGCCTCAGCCTCCCGAGCACCTGGGATTACAGGCACATGCCACCATGCCCAGCTAATTTTTGTATTTTTGGTAGAGACGGGGTTTCACCATGTTGGTCAGGCTGCTCTCAAATTCCTGACATCAGGTGATCCGCTCATCTTGGCCTCCCAAAGTGCTGGGATTACAGGTGTGAGCCATGGTGCCTGGCCAGATGTCAATTTTGAATATAAAGAAATAATAGGTTAAAAGTTAAAGGTTAAAAAAAGATATACCATGCTAACACTAATCAAAAGAAAGCTGGAATGGTTATATTAATACCACATTAAATAGATTTCAGAAAAAAGTGATATTGCTAGTGATGAGGTCTACTTTATAATGATAAAAAAGCCAATCACCAAGGGCGTATAACAGCCCTAAACATTTATGCACCTAACAACATAGCTTCAAAATGTACGAAGCAAAGACCAATGGAATTTTAAGGAGAAATAGAAACACCCACAATTTTATCTGGAGGTTTCAACATACCCTTTTTCAATAGTAATCAATAGAACAATTAACAAAGGATCACTAAAAATATAGAAAACTTGACTTGACATTTATAAAACACTCCACCATCAAAAGCAGAATGTAGATCCTTACCAGATGCACACAAAACATTTACCATGATAGATCATATTCTGAGCCATGAAACAAGTCTCAATAAATTCAAAAGAATTTACACAAGGTGCAGTGGCTCACACCTGTAATGCCAGCACTTTGGGAGGCTGAAGTGGGAGGACCACTTGAGCTCAGGAGTTCAAGAACAACCTGGACAACAAAATAAGATCCCTGCCTCTACACACACACACACAAAATTAGCCAGGCTCAGTGATGTGAGCCTGCAGTCCCAGCTACTTGGGAGGCTGAGGTGGGAGGATAGCTTGAGCCTGAGAGTTTGAGGCTGCAGTGAGCTAGGATTGTGCCTCTGCACTTCAGCCTGGGCAACACAGTGAGATCCTATCTCAAAAAAAATAAATCAAAATCGGCCAGGCACAGTGGCTCACGCCTGTAATCCCAGCACTTTCACAGGCCAAGGTGGGTGGATCACGAGGTCAGGAGTTCAAGATCAGCCTGGCCAACACGGTGAAACCCCATCTCTACTAAAAATACAAAAATTAGCTGGGTGCGGTGGCAGGCGCCTGTAATCCCAGCTACTTGGGAGGCTGAGGCAGGAGAATTGCTTGAACCCCGGGGGCAGGGGAGGTTGCATTGAGCCAAGATTGCACCACTGCACCCCAGCCTGGGTGACAGAGTGAGAATCTATCTCACTCTGTCAAATAATAAATAAATATATAAATAATAAATATATATTATTAATAAATTTATTAAATTAAATTAAAATATTAAATTAAAATAATAAAATTAAATATTAAATTAAAATAATAAATTTAATAAATATATATTAAAATAATAAATGTATAAATAATAAAAATAAATAAATAAATAAAATAAAAATAAGGATTTAAATCATAAAGTATGTTTTCCAAATACAATGGAATTAAATTAGAAATCAGTAAGAGATATCTGGAAAACCTCAAAATATTTGGAAAGTAAATGACTGGTGATTTTAACAGTCATTGCACCACCCTTTACTCTGAAATGAGGTTACCAAGTGCTATGGGCTAAATTGTGTCCCTTCCAAAACTCATATGTTGAAGTCCTAACCCTCAAAGGGGACTGTAGTTGGAGACAGGGCTTTTAGGAGGTAATTAAGATCAAATGGGGTTACACCAACAGGGTCCTAATCCCGTACAACTGGGAATATAAAGAAATGTTATATTCTTTATATTATCTTAAAAGATGAAGGCTCACATAGAGGCCATGCAAGCAAGCCAGGAAGAGTGCCTCACTAGAAATAAAATCAGCTGGCATCTTGATCTTGGGCTTCCCAAACTCCAGAACTATGATAAAATAAATTTCTGTGGTTTAAGTCACCCAGTCTATCGTATTTTGTTATGGCAGGCTGAGCTGATTAATATTCAAGGATAAACAAAAACCAGGAATTTGAGTCCATCTTTGCTATTCTTTCCTGAAACTCAGGGGAAGTGGTCTTGCCCTTAGCTCTAGATTCCTGCAGGCATGGTGGGGCCTGCATGTAGAGCTAGGTGTTCTCAGTTAATAAAGAGGGAGTAACAGGAATAAACTGGGGTTTCCAGAAGTTTTACACTTGGGGAATTTGGGGATGCATGCTCAGATTAATAGTGTGGTACTGTATTCCACTACCAATTATTGTGTGTATGTACTTCTGGTTGGCACTCAGTTGGAGAAATGGTACCTTGAATTCCTAGCAATTACAGTAACTATCCAACCACCTTACTAAGGGAAACTTAAGAGGAAGAATAAATTTGGGATTGGGAGAGCAGGGGTAGGAGTAGGAAATGTAGGACTTCGTGAATGCTACATGTATTTATCATTTTTGTTTGCTGTTAAACATCAAAGTCCTATGGGCTTTAATTGTTATGATGATTAGAAGTGAAGTACATCAAAGACTGAATTATCAGTCTTACCCCAAAAGAGAAAAAAGAAATCTTCTGTTCTATGGCACGGTGAAGTCAAGTTGGGGGGCAGGAGAAAAAGGGAGAAAATTAAGACAAAAGAATGAGGAATAAAAGGAAAAGAAAAATGATACATACATGTAGCATTCATGAAGTCCAACATCATTTCGTACTCCTAGCTCTGCTCTCCCAACCCCAAATTTGCTCGTCCTCTTAAGTTTCCTATTTACCATTATCCATGCTCAATCACCCAAGCCAAAAACGTAGTAATTGAGTCTTATAAATTGTACCTCCTAATAGCTCTAACCAAGTTTAGTCCTCACTGCCAATACTACTAAGGCCATCATCTCTTTCACTGGTCTCTCTGCATCTCATCTCTTACCGTTCCCATCCATCTTTACCTCTCTTGTTAGAATTCTATAAAATGTAAATATAATTATATTGGATTAAATCTCCATAATGGACCCCACTATATACTAATAAGAGCCCAAACTCTTACATTTTTTAAAGCAGTTTAAAAGTCACTTAGTAGAAACAGAGGTGAAGCCTCCCTTACTCTCTCAGGCAGACATTTATTATTATAGTATTGCTATTAAAGCTAATAACCAGTGACTTCCTATAAGATGGAAGCTCTCCCATTCACTCCTATATCCTGAATACCTGAATATTAGGATTTTCTAAATAAACAATCATATCACTGTAATATAATGTTACTTCTTTCCAGTCTTTATGTTTCTACTTCTTTTTCTTGTCTTTTTGTAATGCCTAGCTATACAATGTGGTATAAAAGCAGCTTGAGTGTCTTCTTTCTGATCTCAGTAAGAAAATATTCAACATTTCACCACTAAGTATATTAGGTATAGATTTTCATAGATGTTCTTTAACAGGTTGAGAAGGTTTACAATGTTATCTTGGTTTGATGAATAGCATGTGAAAGAAATCTCTCAAGGAAATATTTTTCACTTAATTTAGAATGAATCGAGTGCTGAAGAAATTTTAAAGCAACAAACTTGTAGACAAGAATTGCTGAAGAGTTTGCCACTTTTCAAATTATTTCTTATTTAAGAAACATCTATATATTTAAAAACGCTTACCTTCTATAACATGCCAGAAAAAATACATATCCTATTCACCAAGAGTGAACCCTAACGTAAACTACGGACTATGGGTGATGGTGTTAAAAAAGAGTACCACTGTGGGCCGGGCACAGTGGCTCCCAGCACTTTGGGAGGCTGAGGCGGGCAGATACCTGAGGTCAAGAATTTGAGACCAGCCTGGCCAACAGAGTGAAACCCTGTCTCGACTAAAAATACAAAAATTAGCTGGGCATGAGGCATGGTGGTGAGCACCTGTAATCCCAGCTACTTGGGAGGCAGAGGAAGGAGAATCACTTGAACCCGGGAGGCGGAGGTTGCAGTGAGTTAAGATCGCACCACTGCACTCCAGCCTGGGCGACATAGTGAGACTCTGCCAAAAAAAAAAAAAAAAAAAAGTACCACTGGGGTGGGTGGTATCACTAACAGGAAGGTTGTATGCGTGTGGAAACAGCGGATATATGGGAAAGTTCTGCAGGGTTTTGCTGAGAACATAAAACTGCTCTAAAAACAAACCTTATTACTAATTTTTAAAAATTACTTCCTACAAAGGCCAGAAAAACATATACTTATTTTGTGCAGTTTTAAAAAGTAAAAAATGAAAATAATCTATTCACTTATTCTAAAATCATATTTAAGAAGCCTCCCTTGGGAAGCACTGATTATGAAGAAAAAAAATTACTGGAGAAAGTGACTTGAAATTGACTTCAAGCAAAAAAAAGAAAGTATCAAAGCTCAGATGAGTCTTTGCTGTCCCAAGAGCAAAAAAAAAAAAAAAAGTCCACCCGAATAGGCTTAAATTAAAAGTTTACCTTTTATATTAAGTATTTTACTATCTGATAAGTATGAATATACTTACAAGTCTTTGGGCCTGAAAATCAGACTAGATTAGTTACTAGAAGGGATAAGTGCTAATTCTATAATATCATCTGTTCCTGAACTTGTATTACAAGCAAAAAAAACTGTTAAGTGGTTAAGGCAAGCACAGTTCTCATAGTAACTGACATTCTCAAAGTCTACTGACAATAACCTTGTTTCTCATATAACCTCTGGTGCTGAGTTTCTTGAACAAAATTCCCCTGGACTAGACTACTGAATATTTATATCAGGTTTCTATATTTTACAGATATGCCAGAATAAGAGTATCTAGTGAGTAGTAAAATATATTGTATAATGACGGCTTTTAGCATTCTATAAATACAACAGTCTGGGAAATAGCAATTTAGTGCCAGTCAGGTTTCTGTTTATAAAAGGTCTTATCTATAGAAAATAGCTGAAAAAACAGTTGAATTATTTCATTTACATTGAAGACTGCTGGTAACTGCTTTCTGGTTTGTGCTTGTGGATCAATCATGCAGTTTTAACACTGTTATAATGCTATAATAATAGCTAATACTTCTTAGGCTCTCACTATATGCCAGATTCTGTGGTGAATATTTATTTTTTTTAGACAAAGTCTTGGTCTTGTGGCCCAGGCTGGAGTGCAATGGCACAATATCGGCTCACTGCAACCTCCAACTTCTGGGTTCAAGTGGTTCTCCTGCCTCAGCCTCCCAAGTAGCTAGGATTACAGGCACCCGCCACCATACCCAGCTAATTTTTTTTTTTTTGGTATTTTTAGTAGAGACGGGGTTTCACCATGTTGGCCAGGCTGGTCTTGAACTCCTGATCTCGTGATCCGCCGGCCTCAGCTTCCCAAAGTGCTAGGATTACAGGTGTGAGCCACCGTGCCTGGCCGATGAATATTTTTTCCTATTTAATCTTCATAAAATACTAAGAATACAGTAAAAGTTAAGATACTTGCGCAAAGCCCACATATTAACCATCACACTGTACTTCCAAGAATAGGCCCATTGTACATGTAATAGTCATTCATGTACAATTACTACTGTTAACTAATCAAATCTAAAGTGTCAATTTTAAGACATATTACTCTTTTATCTTTTACTAACAAAAAAGCTTCCAATTAAACTATAGTGTGGGCCAGGTGAGGTGGCTCACACCTGTAATCCCAGCACTTTGGTAGGCTGAGGTTAGGAGTTCAAGAACAGCCTGGCCAACATGGTGAAAACCCGACTCTACTAAAAATACAAAAATGAGCTGGGTGTGGTGGTGGGCACCTGTAATGTAACCCCAGCTACTTGGGAGGCTGAAGCATGACAATCGGTTGAACTTGGGAGGCAGAGGTTGCAGTGAGTTGAGATCTTGCCACTGAACTCCAGCCTGAGCAACAGAGCAAGACTCAAGTCTCAAAAAAAAAAAAAAAAAAAAAAAAAAAGGCAGCAATCTTATATCAGAGATTTAAAATGTAGACTACGTACATTTAAAATAAACTAAATATGATTATCCTAAAATTATCAGTTTTATCAGATTGATTTAAATGCAATATATACTACTAGATCTGAAAACAAAGTGAGCAAACTATTTGAATGATTTTCAGCTTCTTTTAAATTTTTATTTATAACTGACATAATTATACATACTTATGGGGTAACAGTGTGATGTTTCAATGTATTTATACATTATATAATGATCAAATAGTATATCTATTATGGAAAACACTATGAAGGTTCATCAAAAAATTAAAAAAAGGACTACCATATGATCCAGCATCCCATTATTGAATATATATTCAAAGGAAATGAAATCAGTATGTCGAAGAGATACCTGTACTCCCACGTTTATTGCAGTTCTTTTAAGCGTCTTTTGAAAAGACATGCAGTCTTGGAGAATGAAACCATTTACCACAAACCTCTTATCTGAAGAAAAAATAAAACAGCTACAGGTACAGGCGTTTATAAGAACTGCATTCGTAACTTATGCTTACATATTTCTAGTCAATCGGTTTGTACGTTAATCAAAGTAAAAATACTTCCATCAAAATGTATGTTTAATAAACACTGGTTAAAGTAAACCTGTATTGTAAAAAATGGTATGAATTAACACTGGATATTTTACGAGAAAGGCTGCCAAAAGGCACTGAGCTGAAAGTTGACTTCACTCTCTGTGTGAATAGTAACCAAGAGCCCCCCTACAGTGCTATGGGGTCTTTCTCTTCCTTTCCACTGCTCCCATCTTGATCAGCCCAAGAGAAGCTTATCATCTGAAGGAGCAATGATGGGGAGGGTAGACCATGTTCCACGAAAGCAGAAAACTGTCAATTCTAAAAAAGGGGGTGATGGACCAGAAGTGTATGAGAATGATAGCTTGCCAAAAAGAAAATGAGATGATGTAATCACATCAAGAAAGAATATCCACCAGTTCCTTCAGTCATTCAGCCAGTTGAAGGAGGCAGGCAATGCCACCCTTGTAACTGTATGAGCGGATTCATTCATTACTCTCTGTGCAAATATAGGAAGATCAATTATTTGAGATGGAAAATTATAATTGTAAATGGCAGTTGTAAATATATCACCTTGCTATAAGGTTGGTAAGAACAGAAACAACACATTTTCTGATTTTTTCCCCACAAAGTAGTTTCATATTGCTCTGTTTCCTCTTTGAAATAGTAACTCTGCCAAAGGCAGTATCCTTTGATAAAGATAACAATCAAGTAGTGGGATTTAATGCTAAAGTAACATTTTAATTAATGTTTTATTGGATGACTCTGTGGTCATTATCATTAACTTCAGGCAGCCAAGTATAGAATATTTCTAAATATTCTAAACTAAACTGGTTTTAGTTCAGCTGATTCTCACACAATGAGAACTGTAGTCAACTAAGCACAACTATTATGATCAAGCAATTATTTATTTTGTGTTATTATGAAATCCTCTCTTTAGAAGATAAATTTGCCAATCTGTTTAAATTCTGTATTTAAGTTGGATCTTTCCCCTAGATTTTGATAGCTAAATAGCAGATCTTAAAGATCAGCATTTATAGCTATAATATATCCTGAAATTCACAGATCTCTCAATAAAACAAAAATCAAATGAAAATAATGCTAAGCAACTTGCAAAAAGTATGAAAATTGCTGCACTAGAAGCCAGAAGACCTGGATTGTAATTTCATTTTTGTAATAAACTAGCCCTGAGACCTTGGGAAAAGTCAAACTCTGTGAGCCTCAGCAAACTCACATGTAAAATGAAGGTATGTGAAACTAGATGGCCCCTTCCAATTCCAATTATCTAATTCTACTTAAGCCAAATTTTGAAATTACAAAATACTAGAATCCCATTTATTGTTAGTATCAGTTTGGCCACAAGCACAGACTAACTCTTACATCTAGCCTGCCACAAACTAAAAATAATCATGAGGGTGTTGGCCAGAGTACAAAACTTGTTCCAACTGTAGCTGTTTTGCTTTTTGTGACTTGAAATCTTAGAATCACTTACGCCTCCTCTCTCTCACTTATTTCCAATAAGCCATCAATGTTAAAGTCTGACTGCTATTTCAGCAATCTCCCATATCTGACTCCTCACCATTCCCAGACAGGCCAGAACGCTGGATGCATAAAGGGGAGTAATGAGAGATGGGTGAAAAAAAGATCCTATTTATTTTTTTGAGACAAAGTCTCACTCTGTCACCCAGGCTACAGTTTAGTTTGATCATAGCTCACCATAACCACAAACTACTGGGCTCAAATCATCTTCCCGCCTTGGCCTCCCAAACTGCTGGGATTACTGGTGTGAGCCTCCACACACAGCCCCTATCTACCTTTTTTAACCTCACCTTCCATCACTCCCTTTTATGCTCCCATCACACCTGCCAAACTCATTCTCTCCCAGGGCCACCACAAGATGCCCCACCCTCTGTATTCCACTAAATCACTAGAATTCCTCCTGTTTCCAGAACTCCCCTCATAGCAGGCCTTATAAAGACGTACCATGAAAAAATTTTGTGGTCAGAAAGTGATTCATACTTCATGCATTAGGAGAATATTCCAATTCTCTTAACATGCTTTCTGCTTTTCCAATCTTCAGATTTAACGGTGGTTCCCAAAAATTATAGCTAGTGACTCAAAAAACACTTGAACTTTTTAAAAAAACTGACCCAGCATCTTGCTCTGTAGCCCAGGCTGGAGTACAGTGGCACAATCATACCTCACTGCAGCCCTGAACTCCTGTACTCAAGGGATCCTCCCGCCTCAGCCTCCTGAGTAGCTGGGACCACAGGCATGCACCACCTCACCTGGCTTTTTTTTTTTTTTGTAGCGACAGCATCTCACTATGTTGCCCAGACTGGTCTTGAACTCCTGGGCTCAAGTGATCCTCCTGCCTCACAAAGTGCTGGACTTACAGGTGTGAGCCACAGTACCTGGCCTTGAACTCTTTTTTTTTTTTTTTGGAACTAACTTTTTAAAAACTGTATTTTAGCCGGGCGCAGTGGCTCACGCCTGTAATCCCAACACTTTGAGAGGCCGAGGCAGGCGGATCACAAGGTCAGGAATTTGAGACCAGCTTGACCAACATGGCAAAACCCGTCTCTACTGAAAATACAAAAATTAGCTGGGTGTGGTGGCGTGTGCCTGTAATCCCAGCTTCTCAGGAGGCTGAGGCGGGAGAATCACTTGAACCCGGGAGGCGGAGGTTGCAGTGAGCCGAGATCACGCCACTGCACTCCAGCCTGGGCGACAGAGGGAGATTCAGTCTCAAAACAAACAAACAAAAAAAAACAAAAAAACCCTGTATTTTAAAGGTTTAAATCTCACCATATATGAAAGTCTTTAAAAATATTATTTGGTAGAGTTTTAAAATCTTTATAAAGTTCCTGAATATATCTGTTAAGTTTATTCAAAAATTAGATGTTTGTTGCTTTTGTGAAAGGCTTTTTTTTTTTTAATTTTTGGAAAGATGGTCTTTCTATGTTGCCAGGCTGGTTTTGAACTCCTGGCCTCAAGCAATCCTCCAACCTCGGCCTCCCAAAGTGCTAGGATTTCAGTCATGAGTCACTGCGCCTGGCCTACATTTTCTAACTTAATTTCTATTCTTATGGAGGAAAAATTTAACTTTACCTCTTCATCAGATTCTTCAGATTAAAAAATTAGGGTAAGAAACAATCAGATGATCTCTGTTTCAGCTTACATACATAATTCTTCATTACATCCATCTCATCTGATCCTATTACCCTCTTTCATGTCTTTTTATCATTGTTAGAAGAGCCTATGACATCTTATACTTTTCCTTCTTAGAATTTAGCACAAATAAAATTAAGTCATTATTTGAGCTTTATGAGAATTAAGACCAACTACTATTGCTTAGCACAGTGCTCGACATGAACAGGTAGGCACTCAAATGGATGTTTAATGTTTCACTGTATTTTGTTTTCTTAGTTTCAGCTTATTTCTGGTTAAAGTGATGAAAGCTAATTGTTACCCTTCCCAGATAACTATTACTTTATTCTTCTCTTGGATTTCATATTTTAATTGCCAATTGTTTTTCTATATTATCAATGTAATTCTCTTCAATGAGATAAGGAAACATTTGTTTAAAATGATTAGGCAATCACTAAATCTCTACATCAAGGGCAAAAATTGTCAAAAATAAAAAATAAAAGGGGAGAACACTTTGAGTTCTAATTTCTGTATTGATTACTAGAATTTCTAGGCCTCAACAGTCATTTAAAGGATTATAGATTGATCACAGCAACCTATTGAATGCTTATGTGAGCAGCTGAGGGCAACTCAAACTATACAAAGAAAACTAAATTCTAAGTAATTTGAAAGGCTAGAAGAGTAGAAAAAAGAAGTATTTGATATTTATGTGTTAAAAACTGTCTGAGATTCAGCTCTTCTCCAGAGGCAATGGGAGAATAAGCTACTGTTGCTAACTTCTAGTAGGGGGCAGTCGTATGGAGAGAACACAGATAAGCCTAATTCATGGTAATGTGATAAATGAGGTCAGGCGCAGTGGCTCATGCCTGTAATCCCAGAACTCTGGGAGGCCGAGGCAGGCACATCACTTGATGTCAAGAGTTCGAGGCCAGCCTGGCGAACATGGTGAAACCCCATCTCTACCAAAAATACAAAAATTAGCTGGGCATGGAGGCACATGCTTGTAATCCCAGCTACTTGGGAGGCTGAGGCGGTAGGATTGCTTGAACCTGGGAGGCGGAGGCTGAAGTGAGCCAAGATCACGCTATGCCACTGCGCTCCAGCCTGGGCGACAAAGCAAGACTCCATCTCAAATAAATAAATAAATAAATAATTTTTTAAAAGATAAATAAAATAGGAGTAGATCAAGGTGCTATGGGAATATTTAGGAGGGAACTCAATCTTGGACATCAGAGAAAGCTCCCAGTGGGTATGATATCTAAAATGTATGACTTAGAACTAGTCAGTGTTATCGAGAAAACTTACTGGTTTCCTCAATTCATTTCTGTCTTACCTGCACTAATCCTATTCAATTTCATTTCTCTGTGCTCTGTGTAAACCATCAGACACAATTCATCATAGTCTCAGGGCCTGAAGACTCTCAAGTAGAAAATATTGTCCTTTTCACTATTCTTTGTGGGAATATTCCTGATTATATGGTGTTATCACTCCACACCTCATACAGAAAGAACTCTGAGACAAAGATCTGAGAAAACATTGTAACAAAAGGAAACAAACTCCTGCCTCTCAAAACCAAATTCTAGATTTACCTGTACTCTCATAAGAATATTCTGTGTTAAAAAGGCAACAATCCACTATCCCAGTGCTGTTTTTTTCCCCCAGCTTCATTAATCCTACACAAATGGCACATGACTTTCCAAAATTATCCTTAAACTTAACCTAGTTTAGTCTTACATTTTTACCTCATGGGAAAATGGTTACAACATAGGCTGGTTTCCCAAAATACATTCTGTCCTTTCAACATCCTTCTCCCAACCATATGAATGACCCCTACTTCTAGTACTCTCAACATCCTATTTCCCACTGAATGCGTCTATGTGTGAAATCTAAAACTCCTGGAGAAATAAAAAGTGGACGGAAGACAGGTCTTTTTAATTAAGAGGTGAGAAACTTGGGCACACACAGATCAGTTCTGCTTGATTCTCTTGAACAAAGATAGAACTGGGTGACATTCATAGCAGTGGACCTGTCATTTCTTGTGCAGAATGATTTCTGGAAGAGATTCCGGGTGGCAGTCTAAGGCCAAAGGAGGTGTCATTAGGTCTTCTCTAATCTCAGTCTACAACTCAGAGATGTGGCCTGTAGGTTCTGAAGACCTGAACACCGCATTCCAGGCTGGTCCTTTTGTGCTAGGTTTTCTATTTGAAGCCCATCTAGAACGTAGGAGTCCACAAAGGGATACTGGGTACTGTCCAGGGCAAACCCATCTACAAGGGTACTAATGTATGGAGCACATATGGGAACATTTTACCATATCCCTTGAAGTGGGGGAAAAAAACCATGTGACACTTTGCTTGCATACATATTCTGAAAGTTGCATCCAGTCTGTTTTAAGCCTCAATTTTTAAATATTAATGCTTTCATACTCTGACTATAAACAAATTATGTTAAAAAAAGTTCTTAACCTAAGGTAATTTATGATCCTCTTTGGTATTTTCCACAAAATTATGTGTACATAAATATAGATGTGTTTTTCCCCCTAGCAAGGGGGTTGATAGCATTCAGCACATTCTCAAAAGGGTCAGTAGAAGATGCTGACGTACAGCAATCATTCTGTTTCTACATGGATATTTTTGAGAGAAGCGATTTAAGGTAAGTATGCATTACCCAAAAACATATACACCAATGCAATGTAGTCATTTAAAATTAGGATACCTATTTTTAAAAGGGTTCTCCTCCCCTTTTGTCAACTGTAAGTAGTCTCTGGGCCCAATGCAGAAGCTAATTGGTTAATATTACTGGACTCAATGACAGTGATAAAATGGAGTATACTTGGAAAATACTTTTGTTTTGTTTTACATTTGTGTGTTCTCTTTCATTAAGCTAACCTGCACCTTCCAGCAAATTGGAGGGCTAAATTAGTTTATGTAAAAAAAAAAAAATCACAAAAATTTTACCCTTGATCAAAATATGAAAAATAGAATGGAAACCAGATTAAACCTCTCTCCCAAAATAACATATGTCAGCTCAAAGCAATGAAAATACTGTGGTCAGTTGAAAGAAGCTGAAGTTTTGTGTACTTATGAAAATGACAAAAGAGCATTTTGGCTTTGAAGTTTGAGTTTTCACAAAACCATTAGATTTTTAGTCTTAAATTTTAATATTTCAAGACAATTACACTCGTATCTGTGATGATATTTAATTTCTGCCTTCCAGGCAGCTGGCTTGTCCCTTGTCATTAATATGGAAGGCAATTACAATGTCACCTTTAGCTCAGTTCTAGCTGAGGAATTCAAAAGAAAAGTCAGAATAAAGTTACTTCCCAGTAAATAAATCACCAAGGGATTTAGCAACTCTAGTCAATCAGCTCAGCATTTGCAGGGGTCAAAGGGGTGGGGGAAATCTGGGGGTGTCAGTACACACGAGTGTACATACACACACAACAGAAACAATAACACTACAAGAATCAAACTGTATGAATATGTTATCAAAACACTACAAACAGAACAAATGTTTCTTTTGCCTTCTATGTCTCTTCTCATTTTACTCATTCTTTCCTTACCACTATTGACTATTATCTTTCTTCAGATATTTAGCCATGCACTTACCCATGAACCCTGTCTTCTTTTTCTGCCCCAATCCCCATATCTCCATGGCTTTCCAGTTAATGAAGTACCTTAGGAAACTGAGAAACCTAGAAGTGTATCTTAGGGAAAGGTCTAAAAAACTATGCTTAAAATTCTCAAAATACTGAGAAAACTCAACATATTCACGTTTTTAACGTAGAATAACTTTAAAGGAAAGTTATAATACAATCTCACATTTTATTATAATAGCTAATTAATAAGTAGTAATGAATCTAAGTAGTTTCGCACATTCTTTCATTTAAATCCCACAATCATCCTAAAATCTCATGATACCGAGGGGGATACTAAGGCCCAGAAGGTGAAACTATGCCCAATATTACACAGCTAAATAATAAATTATACAGGCAATCCACCCAAAATTGTTTTTCCTTTTTATTTATTGATATACCACAGTTGTATGTATTTTTGGGGGTACATGTGATATTTTAACACATGTATATGATGTGTAATGATCAAATCAGGGTAACTGGAATATCCATCACCACAAACATTTATATTTTCTTTGTGCTGGGAACATTACAATTCTTCTCTTCTAGGTATTTTGAAATATACAATAATTATTAACTATAATTTCCTATCATATTATTGAATGACAGAACGATTTCTTCTAACTGTATGTTTGTACCCACCACCCAAAATTTGAACCTCAAAAAACAAAACACCTTCAAAATATTAAGAAAACAGAAACCAACATAAATTTTAATGGTAAAAATTTAGCAATGTTAAAGAACAGGAATATACATAACTGATTCACACAGCATCCCTCTCATATGACAGATGACAGGAAGCTTATAGCAAAATCTGAGGCCCATCCATGTATGAGCCTTAGGGGCTGATTACTTTTTATACTCTATCTTGACTACTTCCTCAAATTTATAATTTTACTGTTCCTGGGCTTATTATAAACCTTCTCTTCAAGTCCTATGATGTCCAGAAGTCTTTCAGTGAGTAAAACTGAGGAATCCAGTGAAGAAAGAACAGAAAGATATTTCCAGTTTCTCAATAGTCCTCATGCTGTCACTTTTATAACTGAGCCTCATCACAAAGGATTATATAATAGATTCAAGTAATACTGCAAACAATTACATTTTTAAAACTTAGGTCTTTGAATTTTTGATACTATAACATCTGAAGATTAAGAAAAAAATTTACTATATACTTGCAAAAGCAATACAGTTTATGCAAAAACACTGTCGATATGTGAAAATGCCTGACAAAAAGTTGTCAAGACCAAAGTTTTGGCCCTGCTGACTATGAAAAGCAAATATTTCTTAGATTCAAACTATGAACAAGTAATGAAATTTCCGCAAGGAAGAGTCAAGGAAAAAAATGTGTCATATATCACTTAAGGCATACATATAGAAATCAAACATTTGTGATAATACCTGAAGTAGGAACGACTTAAAAAAAGATTTTCACAGAACACTTAGAGAAAAAGAAAAACTCAGATTGTTACCCCTTCCCAATCTGAGTTTTTAAGTTACATATTTTTTAAAGAACTGTAAACAGCATTATATATTATTGCCTGATTTCAAAATAATCAAAAACAATCTGTTTTACTTAAAACCAACTGTAGCAATCACTGCATCTAGTAAATACTAGCACTTCTATTTGCTATTCCTTATAAAGAGGCAAAAACAAAAAAGAAATCACTGTTTTTGAGAATTAAAGTATTTTTCCATAAGCACAAAACAATAGCCAATTTAAAGATATGACATAGACAAAGACAATAAAAATTATATTGTCAAATAATAGACAAATCCAAAAAACTGAAATATGCTAGCAATGTTATTATAACTGACTAGATTATAAACCTCAACTACCCTGAAGTTCTGCTACTGAATAGGAACTTTCAGATGCTCCAGTATATAAAACATTTTTAGGTGCTAAGCCCAGCAATAATGTCTGGAATTCTGCCAATAATATTCCTCCTGAACACAATGGCAAAGCCTCTGTGTGACACAGCAGTACACTCAACTTTCTTACAATTTCATGTTCCCCCATCTTTTGCAGCATATGAATGAGAAATAGCCTTTCTCTTGGAGGCTCTATTAATTTTTATGAAATAAACCAACATAAAATGGGTAGCAAATCAATTTAAACAAAACTTTGGTTTTTATGGTTCTATAATTAGAAAATAAAATTAGTAATTCATAAGAGTTACAGCTAAAAAATGAAAATTGCTAGATTGACTTTCATGTGGTTAGTCATATTTAACAAACTTGAGTCCTCTCTGCCTGTGTCTGCCTCTCACTCCAAACTCCCTTTCATACCCCTACCCCTTCTACACACAGCTGCTCTTCTTGAAGTGAGTGCTTTATATTGTGGAGGCCACCAAGTCCAAATAATATAACTTTATTTTGCTATAATTTTTATAACTTCTATCAAATTCAAGTTTTTGGCTGCACCTTACAAACTTGAAAATCTAAGAAATGCCAGTCTTTTAAACTTCAGCCACATGTAGGTCTACGTAAAACATTTTTTTAATCTTTAAGGACTATTTTGTAAATTTTCACCAATTATTAGACATCTTTTTAATACAAATGTTATATACATAGTATTGTTACAAAGATCAGCAAAGGGCACAAAAGCATGGGATAATATTTTGAGTTCTCTTTAAAGAAAAGAAATATCTCTCCTTACCAGAAATGCTAACACTGTTAAGACTTTCTAATGACAGGTATTTTTTGAAAAGAACAACAACAAAACCCATCCTATTCCAAACTATATAGTTTGTAGAGATAACAAAGCCCTAATATTAACTCTGAGCTTATACTGACTTTACTCATCAGACATACATCACTGAGTGAACTAAAGGCCACTTAGCCATGTAAAACGAAAAAGCAAAGGAAAAGCCGGTTATTAGCTCAATACGGATCCTTCGTAAAATGGGCAATATGCTAATTAGTCTGCTCTGCTTTAATTAAAAGAACCATTAGCTAAATCACATATGTAAACTTTAATTTCACAGTATTTGAGAAAGATACAAAAAGACCTTTTGTTTATTAAAACACTTTAAAACTTTCCTATAATCTGTTGAACAGACCAATTTTTCCAGATCCTATATAAACAAATGGTAACCTACACTCTGTTCAATTATCACATATATTATATTAGTACAGTTTAATAAGATTTGACTATATTTGAAGTATTAACTAAGTCAGATATGCAATTATTACATTTAGGAGGCCTACTTCAATTTTAAAATACTAGTTTAACCTTGTATGTTGTCTTCAAAATCCCTTATCCTTCAGTTTTCTATATGGATGTTTAATAGAACACTACACTGACTTTGCGGTTGAATTATGATGCTTTATCTGAACTGCACAGAACTAGTCAATGGATTAAATAATTAAGAGATTGCACAATTTGAGGTAGGATTTTCAGAAATGCTTTATAAAAAGATTTTGGCACACCAATTCCTTAAACTATGTCAAAAATCTCACTTAGTTAAATTCTGACAATCTTTGTCAAATTCAGAAACATGAATTCAATTAAAAATATGCAGCTTATTTAAAATACATTTGTCTTAACAGCTTTAATTTAAAAAATACCTCCTGCCCCCACATACAGTTAATGCTTCTGGCTAATGCACATTCTCTTCCCTGTATTCTCATTTCTATCACATTTTTTCCCCATTAAAGTGAGCACATTGTACTTGGTTTCTTTTCTTCCTACTCATTGTTCAGTTCAGCATTTTAATAATCTTTTCAGTACTGCTGTTCAAAGAAAACAGGCTATATGAAGCTAAAGAAAATTCTCTAAGTTCAATGGTTTTCAAAGTGAGATAATTTTCCTAGACCTATTTATTAAAAATCCATGCAAAGCAAGCACCACAGCCAACTGGTAAACAGCTACAGAAAATTGGAAGCTTAAAAATAAAGCCGTTAAAAAACACTTCACTACACACCTTCT